>NC_000007.14:135006779-135631779 GCF_000001405.40 Homo sapiens | reverse complement strand
AGACTCCGTCTCAAAAAAAAAAAGAAAGAAAGAAAGAAAGAAAAAAAAAAATACCAAGAGATAAATCAAAAGAAAGAACTCGTGAATGGTGACGCCATGGTGGGGAACACAACTGGTGTTTTGCAGTGAATCCATGTAAATATACAACTAAAACTAAGTAGCTGAGGATATTATGGTTGCATAACAGATGTAAATGTTACAAAACCTGACAAGGTTAAAATGATATAAGCAAACATCATCTGAGGGTGGAAGAGGAAGTGTAAAAGAAGTCATCATTTCATCTTTCCCATCAGGGAGTTAACTGATTCAAAATTTACATGTAGTAAAGAAATTATAAGGGGGGAAAGTAACCAAAGTATCTTAATAATGTTTCATAATGTTTTTCCTTACTCGCAGTGATCTTTTAAAAGGTGACATACTCTAGTAGTAAAGAAACATTTGTCTGGAATTTGGCAATTCCTTTCGTTTCTCTTCAATTAGATTTTTGTCTGTGTTCATGTAAAATTCACATGTATACCTATGTAACAAACCTGAATGTTGTGCACATGTACCCTAGAGCTTAAAGTATAATAAAAAAATAAATAAATTCATGTAAAATTAAATATTTGTTTTTTAAAACAGCATGTAAAAGGTCATCCTATTCTCATTAGTTGCCTCTGTATGTCTCTGTTGCTTTCTTTCTCTCTCTCCCCCTCCCTTTCTCATATGTACGTACACATAAAGCAATGTTTGAAAATTTATCAAATGTCAACATTTGGTAATTTCTAGGTGGTGAGATTTTGAGTGTTAGTTATCTCCTTTTGAATATTTTTATAATAAGCCTATATCTTAAAAAAAAAAAACAAAACAAAACAGAGACGGAGTCTTGTTCTGTTGCCCAGACTGGATTGCAGTGGCATAATCTTGGCTGACTGCAGTCTCAACCTTCCCAACTCAAGTAATCCTCCTACCTCAACCTCCCAAGTAGCCAGGACCACAGGTGAATGCCCCAACACCCAGCTAATTTTTAAAATTTTTTGGTAGAGACAGGGTGTCTCTATGTTGCCCAGGCTGGTCTTGAACCCTTGGCCTCAAGCAATCATCCTGCCTCAGCCTTTCAAAGTGATGAGATCACAGGCATGAGCCACCACACCCAGCCAAGCATGTATCATTTTATAAACATAAACTTATTACATAAATAAAGGCTCTGTTAGCAGTACCAATTTCAAATAAGTCATATATAGCTGCAAAGTAACAAAAAAACTCATTCTATTAATTTATGTCAGTCTTTAAAGAATTATTAAAAATCCTTTCAACATAATCAACTCACCAGGAAGTGCTGCTTTACTTATAATTCCTGTCAGCAGAGCCAATTCCTGCAAAGACCCAGCACTAACATCCTGACAGCGCAGAATTGCTTGTATGGTATCAGAATGTGAAATAAGAAACTGCAATACCTAAGCCATTGAAAAGGAAGAGGAATAGAAAAAACAGGTAGAAGTAGAAAATTATATATAAATGCATAATTCATTTTATAAATAATGTTGAAGGAAGTAACCTTCAACTTTACCATAATACTCAGTAATACAATACTCAGCCTCACAATAAGTGAGGATGAGTAACAGATAAGCAATTGTTTTCTGCACTCACATATTTATCTCTTCAGGAAGTAAACATTTAAAATTCACAAGACTAAAGGATTATTTTAAAGCTTATAAGTTAATACATTTGGAGACTACTGTAGAAGAATATAACTCAGAACTACTGTATGAAAACTATTATCTGACCCCTATTTTCTTTATTGTTTGGCCAAATGAACTAGAGTAAGAATGTAATATAAATGGGTATAAAAATGACTAGTGAATTCAAGAAGCTGTTCTATGAAACAGTAACTAGCATGACATGGGGAAATCACATAAAAGCTTTTGTCTAATTCTTTTTTTAAAAAAATTCATTTTTATTATAATAGAGATAGGAACCAGGCATGGTGGCTCACGCCTGTAATCCCAGCACTTTGGGAGGCTGAGGCGGGTATCACCTGAGGTCAGGAGTTTGAGACCAGCCTGGCCAACATGGTGAAATGCCATCTCTACTAAAAATACAAAAATTAGTCAGATGCAGTGGTGCACACCTGTAATTCCAGCTGCTCAGGAGGCTGAGGCACAAGAATCACTTGAACCTGGGAGGTGGAGGTTGCAGTGAGCTGGAATCGTGCCACTGCACTCCAGCCTGGGTGACGAAGTGAGACTCTGTCTCAAAAAAAAAAAAAAAGAGAGACAGAGAGAGAGACAGAGAGAGAGAGAGAGAGAGAGAGAGAGAGAGAGAGAGAGATAGGGTCTCACTATGTTGCCCAGGCTGGGCTCAAACTCCTGGCTAAAGTGATCCTCCCACCTTGGCTTCCCAAAGTGCTGGGATTACAGGCATGGGCCACCACACCTGGCCATAACTCTCCTTTTGATGCGGTTAAAAAAAGGAGATATAAATCCTGACCTCCCAGCTCTACCCTTCCACTTTGGCATTTTATAATGTACACTCATGGAGTCCTCTTTCAGTATTTTCACTTAGGAATATCTCAACTAGCTTACAAACATTTTAAAGGCAGACTATATGCCAAAACAAGCCAAGGATGTGAATCACTCAGAATTGTGATCATTTTTGTTTTTTAATAAAGATTCCTAGCCTAAGCTTATAATGTCTGGTCACAGAACTCAGTCATCTGTGCTTCTCTAAGAGGCTCCTCAGGTGATTCTGCTTCAGTCAATACAAGATTGGTGTTAGGGAACCAGTGTCTTATATCATAATGTCCCACTTCTACTAAAAAATCTTAATCTCAATCTAGGGGAAGAAAGGCAAAGTCTCTGAGTTTTAAAAAGTACTAACTTGAAGACCACATAGGCCTAAAAGAAGTAGGACGTCAACCCAGATTGCTATGATATAAAATAAGGTGCCACTTTAGAACAGCAGCATCTACCTTGGTGAGATGGCCTAAGGCCTGATGGTAGAGAAAGCAGAAAAAATTACCAGAAATCAAAGTGTTTTAGGACACAGTTCCAAAATACAATAAAGCAATACAAGGTTGTAGATTCATGATAAGCCTAATCAATCAGTGAAAGGCTAAATTACATATAATATTAATTTTTAAAAAAATGTGTGTTGGAATGTTAGTGTTTCACTGAAAAGTAATCAAAATAAAACTAATTTCTGGTATTTAAAAAAATTTTGACAGCAAAATCACTCATTTAAATTATTTCATTCTCTATCATATATAAATGCAGTATTATCATCTGTCAGTCTCCCGAAGTGCTGGGATTACAGGCGTGAGCCACCATGCCCAGCCTGCAAGGCCTAGCATAGCCCTCTCTCAATAGATACCTGGTTAAATTACACTTTAGAAGCCAGCTTACTCCTATCACAATAACTGCTTTCTTTTATAGAAGAACAAATTTCAATCTCTTGTTTCCTGTCTTATGATTCTATTAATTAGCTACAGTGTTTCATTCAAACAACAGTATAAAAATGGACCAATGTAGTTAAGAACAAAGTACAGGGGCCTCTTTTCTCTACCCTGCTCTGCCACAAACATTAGGACTAACGTAAATTCACTTAAGCATTCTATGTGTGTAAGGTTTCTGTACTTGTAAAATGAGGATTTTGCTCTAGACAATATCTAAACAAAGGGTTCACCTTACCTGCCCTGCTGCCTGCAAGTGCTGGGCCATACTAGATGTGAGGATGACCTGGCACAGCTGGAGAGCTGGGAGGAGAATCTGGCGGTAGCGATCCACTGGGGTAGGGATGAACATTGGAGGGTCTCTCATGCCAAACATGCTTATTTCAACCAAACAAGGAGAAAACATTCCAAGAATTAAGGTATACTCTCGGCAATTCCTTAACACTGATATGGCAAATAAATCAGAGCCGGCTGATTAAGATGTGAATCAACTAGTGAGTACTCTGCATCCCATATATACATCCGCGGTCCAGAGAAAGATGTGTCTTCCTAAACTCATAGCTTAGTTAGTAAAAACAGTTATTTGAATTCTGAAAAATCTTATCGAGGAAAACCTATGTAATTTGACAAGATAATGCTTGAAACTTCCAAAACATTTTTATTCTTCTCTAAAGCTTCCTTGGGCCATATAGGCTGTTAAGTAAGAAACAGATTTAAAAAGCTACTTTCCCTAAAATTCTCTCTCCTCTACCCAAGCCAAAAATCCACTATGCTGCCCATTGTATAGGGTGAGTACCACTTACCCAAAATGCTTGGTACCAGCAGTGTTGCAGATTTTTTTGGATTTTGAAATATCTGCATTATACATACTTACTGGTTGAGCACCTCTAATCTGAAAATCCAAAATCCAAATTGCTCCAATGGGCATTTCCTTTGAGCATCATATTGGCACTCAGAAAGTTTGAGATTTAGCAGCACTGCAGATTTCAGATTTTCAGATTAGAGAAGCTCAATCTGTATAAAAATAAAACAAGATTTAAGAGTCAAAATGAGGCTGTAAAATCACTTAACCTTTCAGAGTAGGTCTCAGAACATCGTATTAATAAGCTAATATTTATTGTTAATGTTTATATTTAAATTTTTAGACCAAAAAAATGGCTGCCTATTGAGGGGGAACGAAAGCAGAATAAGAAAATAAGAGACAGGCTTTGCACAGACAAGTGATAATAGCATGCCATGAACTAAAGAGTATTTAACTCAACCCACTTTACCTAAGGTGAAAGTAATAACTCTCATGTTTGAAACTTTAGACCGCAATACTAAAATAAATGTTTTTCCCTGGAGGTAAAACAGTTCTGTAGTTAAGCCTTAAAAATCCAAACATTCAAGTTGCTAATAGATCCTTTTAAAACAATTACTAAACTCAAACTAAGTATTATTTACTTCTAGGAAGGTATGCTATCTACCTAACAATGCTGCAGTCATGTAAACAAAAAAGAAAATCAAATCAAATTTTCCACATTCAAATCGAATGTGAAACTAAGAAATCAGCTGAAAAGCTTGAAACTTGAAAACAATTCCATTTGAAGCTTTTGAATTAGCAAGCAGTAAGCAAAATATTGAAATCAGAAAAAATATATATATAATCTGAAATTCTATTCAAATCATCCGGAACAGGAAATCCATAACAAATTATAATTTTACTACAACTCTTTAAAAGATAGTGTAACTGCAAACAAGTATTTCAATTGAACATAATAATAACATTGGGCAAGTACACATTTACTAAATTCTCTCCCACTCCTACCTACTTTTTCCCTAGTAGCAACTTCCATTTATTAGTAAATGACAGGGGCACAGTATGACCAAAAAAACCCACACCAAGATGAAAGAGAATTGCTAAGCGGCAAAATTATGTTTGGAATTTTTTCTTCCCTTAATAATCCTTTACTGGGAGTTTAACCAAATTAATCTATACAGACACTTACCTCTGCGGGTCCGTTTCTGGGCGCATGTCATAGACTTGGCATTGAGCTAGTCTCACAATCACCCCTGATCTTAGCAGCTCTAATGCACCCTGCTGTATCTTTGCCACTCTTGTGAGAAATGCCTGAGGAGTTACAAGAGAAAAATCATCAGTGCTGAAATCATGTCCAAGGGCCTCAGAGAAAAGTGCAACACTTTGATGGCAAATTTCTCATCCTTAGTTATCACTGAAGAGAAATCTGGGCTAGTGACAGGTTACATTATACCGCTTTCTTCCTAGGATTTTCATGAGGACTCAGTGTTCAACATATCTAAAGCGCCCACAGACAGTAGCTTGCATGATTCAAGTATTCGTTTACAGTGTGGGTCCTGTTATTATCATGTGGGCCCATGGAGGGCAAGGAATTTTGTCTGTTTTGCTAACAGCTGTGTCTCTAGTACCTAGTGCCATGCCTGCCGTTTTGCAGGTATTTAATAAATACCTGTTAAATAAATGAAGGAGGAAAAAGGAGTAAATGAAGAATCTAAAATTTCAGTGCTTCTATTATCGTAACATTTGTGATCCTTTTAACTAGGAGGAAAAAGAAATTAAAACAGATTTGCAGGCAAAGAAACAATGAATTATATACTATATTGAAAATGCTGTGTTTAGAATAGAACTAGCATATCTACATGGAAATTTTCAATAGGCAACTACTATAGTCTAAATTGTATTGTGAGAGGACAATTTTGCTCTGTCCTCACGGAGCACTGGCTGTCATATTGCCATCATGAGCAACCTGAGTGAGTGAGGGAAGCAGCAGTCCCATTATCCAGCTATCCCTTTGAGGATCATTTCACTCATCTTTTGCACACTAGGAAGATTCCAAAGTTTAAAACTCCTTAAAAAAGGATTCCAGCTTATGATAGAAATATTCAGAATGTATGCCACATTAATTTTCTTTAATACATCTATAGCCAAGAGAAAACGACTTCTTGATCTAACATCAAATGTCTAGAAAGCCTTACCATTTTAGATTCATAAGTATAAAGTGCTTTTAAAAGGGGAGGCTGTGGGGTGAGTAAGCTCTGCAAAGTACGGTCATCTTCTACCAAGCTGTCTACGAGGACCTTCAAGTAGCCACTGTTAGAAAGATACAAAAGCCACTGCTGCTGTTTATCCACGGAGACAATTCTATCAAGTAGAGCCAGGGCCAGCATCTGAAGGAAGAATAAATTAAAGTCCAAAACATGTAGATGCTACCAAAATCAACAACAGTAACTGAATTTATCTGACATCAGATATGAAATATGAAGAATGTTTTTCATAAAGAGAATGTTACTTGCAACAAAATTTCCTTTTTATTTTTTTTTGAGAAGTTAAAAACTATGGCTCCAGAACCTCAATTTATCAATAAAGGAAAGCTCTCAGGTAAAGATGTATTTCCAAAACAAAACCTAACACGTTAAACTAGTGGCATTAGATGTATTTTAGTAGACTCTAACATTGCTTGTTAGAGAAAAGAAATTTTTTTAACAGCTGTTTTTTCTCACTGTGAAGTTTTATAATGCTCATTACAGAAAACACAGAAAAATAATAACTAGGTTGGGCACAGTGGCTCACCCCTGTATCCCAACACTTAGGGAGGCAGAGGCAGGTGGAGCACTTGTCAGGAATCCGAGACAAGCCTGGCCATTAAAAAAATTAGGCCGGGAGCGGTGGCTCACGCCTGTAATCCCAGCATTTTGGGAGGCCAAGGCGGGTGGATCACGAGGTCAGGAGTTCAAGACCAACCTGGCCAGGATGGTGAAACTCCATCTCTACTACAAATACAAAAAAAATTAGCTGGGCGTGGTGGTGGGCACCTGTAATCTGAGCTACTCGGAAGGCTGAGGCAAAGAATCACTTGAACCTGGGAGGCAGAGGTTGCAGTGAGCCGAGATCGTGCCACTGCACTCCAGCCTGGGTGACAAAGCGAGACTCTGTCTCAAAAAAAATAAAAATAAAAATAAAAATTACCCCAGCATGGTGGTGCATGCCTGTAATCCCAGCTACTCGGGAGGCTGAGGCAGGAGAATTGCTTGAACCTGGGAGGCAGAGGTTGCAGTGAGCCGAGATCATGCCACTGCACTCTAGTCTGGGCAACAGAGCAAGACTCTGTCTCAATAAAAAGAAAAAAGAAAAAAAAAGTAATAACTACACAATCTGATAAATACAGTTCATCCATTTTGGTCTGTCTCCTACCAGTATTTTTTCTATGCATACAAATATTTTAAAATTTTTAAAACATAACTTAAAAGGTGGCCGGGTGTGGTGGCTCATGCCTGTAACCCCAGCACTTTGGGAGGCCGAGGCGGGAGGATCACGAGGTCAGGAGATCGAGACCATCCTGGCTAACATGGTGAAACCCCGTCTCTACTAAAACTACAAAAAATTAGCCAGGCGTAGTGGCGGGCGCCTGTAGTTCCAGCTACTTGGGAGGCTGAGGCAGGAGAATGGCGTGAACTCGGGAGGCGGAGCTTGCAGTGAGCCGAGATTGCGCCACTACACTCTAGCCGGGGCGACAGAGCGAGACTCCATCTCAAAAACAAACAAACAAACAAACAAAGAAACGTAACTAAAAGGTTATGCCAGTTTATTTTTTAAAATCCTATTTCCTATGGTCTTCAAAAACATGATTTAATTGCTACATAATTTTGCTACATAATTTTCCATTAAGAAGAAGTTATCTTCTCACTGCATCATTACCAGTGTGCCACCATACTGTACAAGAAATATAAATACAAATTCTCCACAAAGCAATTAGGCAGACAAAGATCTATTCAGTACAAGGCAATTTATTCAGCATTCTCTTAACCAAAGATCTTTATTAAGCAGCGTTTCTGTTGTTTCTACCAGTCAACCTCAAAATTAGCAAGAAGATAATTCTGAAAGGCAATTCTGAATTAAGATTCTAACAAAATTAAACACAACATATGAATAAATAAAACAGAAGTCTCAAATTATAGCAAATAAGAAAATACAGTATATTATAAAAAATGATTCTTAATATGTACCATACATTATTAAAAGTTGAATCAATTTATTTTATTTTATTTTTTGCAGCAGGGTCTCACTCTGCAGCCCAGGCTGGAGTGAAGTGCCTCGATCACAGCTCACCGCAAGCAACCTCTGCCTCCTGGGCTCATGCAATTTTCCCACCTCAGCCTCCCAAGTAACTGGGACTACAGGTGCATGCCACCATGGCTGGCTAATTTTTTGTATTTTTTGTAGAGACGGGGTTTCACCATGTTGCCCAGGCTAGTCTCAAACTCCTATACTCAAGAAATCCACCCACCTTGGCCTTCGAAAGCACTGAGATTACAGGCATGAGGCACCACACCCAGCCGTGAATCAGTTTATACCTTAATAAGTCAAAATACTTATTCAATTATAATACTAAATAAGAGTTGCTTTACCCTTCCAATCTCATGACCATCACAAGCATCTCGACAGACCACTTCCATGAGGGCGGCGCCATAACTTTCAATAATGGCTATGTTTTCTCGCTGTAATTTGCTAAATACATCTTCAGGGGCTGTCAGCCTTTCCCACATGGTTTTCTTGGCTAAAAGGATTAAAACAGAAAAAAACACTCCAGTAAAAAGCAGTGTAATAACTGAGTAATTATACCTCACATGCTAGGTATGAGCTAAGGAAGAAAAAAAAAAAACGCAACAAAAAAATCCTTCCATCACTGCTTGTACACAAAGGCCCACTGACCGGTGGGTCCAAGCAGGTTAACTCTAATAACACAATGCACCTATTTCATGCATGTTTCATAACACTAAGATAATAATTGTACCTGGAAAAGGATAAATCATTCTGAAAGAGATCAAAATGAATTACAAGACTCCATGAGAACCAACGTCCTGTATTTATCCTGCTCATCAGTCTTTTTTTTTTTCCTTCTTTTTTTTTTTGAGACAGAGCCTGGCTCTGTCTCCAGGCTGGAGTGCAGTGGCATGATCTTGGCTCACTGCAGCCTCCACCTCCCAGGTTCAAGCGATTCTCCTGCCTCAGCCTCCCCAGTAGCTGGGACTACAGGTGCATGCCACCATGCCCAGCTAATTTTTGTATTTTTAGTACAGATGGGGTTTCATCATGTTGGCCAGGATGGTCTTGATCTCCTGACCTCGTGATCTGCCTGCCTTGGCCTCCCAAAGTGCTGGGATTACAGGTGTGAGCCACCGTGCCCAGCCGCTAATCAATCTTTTATCTTTTATTGAGATCTTTTAAAATTGCCAGGCGTGGTGGCTCACACCTGTAATCCTAGCACTTTGGGAGGCCGAGGCGGTGGATCACTTGAGGACAGGAGTTCAAAACCAGCCTGGCCAACATGGTGAAACCCCGTCTCTACTAAAAATACAAAAAATTAGTGGGGCGTGGTGGTGCACACCTATAATCCCAGTTACTGGGGAGGCTGAGGCAGGAGAATCACTTGAACCCAGGAGGTGGAGGTTGCAGTGAGCTGAGATCGCACCGCTGTACTCCAGCTTGGGCTACAGAGTGAAGCTCTGTCTCAAAAAACAAAAGAAAAGAAAAGAAAATTTAGCTAGAAAGGATCAGGTACAATGTAGACAAAAATTTGCCTCCAAAAAAATCAGATATTTTTATTCTTTTTTTTAGTTGAAATACTTATTAAAAATAAAAGCACACCTATTATAAAAATAAAAGCACAACCATTATACAATGATTAGGAACAGTATGATCATACATTTTATGTAAGACCCACAAACATACTCTTATGTGAGACTCTTTAAAAATTTCACAAGTACATTAAATAAAGCAATAACTTGTATTGGAAACTAATCTCATTTTTTCCAACTGCTACATAGCAGCAGTTTTTAAATTGGCATCTTGATGACTTCTTATAAAAAGCCTATTGTAGAGCCCCACCTAGTGGTTAAGTGGTGACTTGGCCAATTCAACTAAATGGAATGTTAAGAAAAACACACACACAAAAGAAAAATGTGGGAGGTGCTGAGTGGAGAAATCCCATTACTATCTCTTTTCTTAAAAGAAGCTCATGTTTGCTTAAAAAACTTCTCTAAACTATTCTGTTATTTTTCCTCATCTTACAAATATTCTCATGCATTATTTATGTGGGTGCTACATGCCTATAAATCTACCATTTGGCTATTACTACCTTATAGGGTACTATGTATGGCATAAAATACAACCACCATAAGGATAATGAGATCAAGTCAACCTTACGTACACAGTGGTTTTTAACAGTGTATACAAAATAACACTCACAAAGGTGAAGAGCCCAAAGAAAATCCATTATCAGAAGGTGCTCTGACAACTTCTTAACAAATGGCAGAATAACTCTGAATAACTTGATTGAACATCAAATGTCTATAAAGTATATAAAGCATTATATACTGATGTGTTGAACACTTAATAACATTTTCATGTCTTAAGATTAGTTTCAATTAAAAATGCTAACTTTTTAGAAAGCAGCATTTAGCAATATTTTAAATGTGCCTAACTTTTGACCAAGAAATTCCACTTCTTGGAATTTATCCAAACAAAACCTCACTAGTACAAAAAGATACATGTATACTATTGATGAGTTTATACTGGAGAAGGTCATTCATTTGAATCTTTTTAAAATAAAAGTACATACTTTTACACATGGAAATTCCACCATTAAGCAGTATCCTTTTTGAGAAATATAGGCATATAAAAAAAGTTGATGTAGCATTTTTGTAATAAAAATTTAGAAACAATTGAAATGCCTGTGAATAAGGAAAATGGCAGATAAGTGTTTCATCCATATCATGGAATAACAAAGACTTTTGTGTTTCTTTTTGAGACAGAGTTTCACTCTTGTTGCCCAGGCTGGAGGGCAGTGGCGCAATCTGGGAAACCTCTGCCTCCTGGGTTCAAGCGATTCTCCTGCTTCAGCCTCCTGAGTAGCTGGGATTACAGATGCCTGCCACCATGGCTGCTAATTTTCTGATTTTTAGTAGAGATGGGGTTTCACCATATTGGCCAAGCTGGTCTCGAACTCCTGACCTCAGGTGATCCACAGGCCTCGGCCTCCCAAAGTGCTAGGATTACAGGCGTGAGCCACCATGCCAGGCCGAGATATTTTAAAAGAATCAACTAGATAAGTACTCTGATGTAGCACAAAGGAAAGAAAGACATTGGACCATTCTATGTAGAGCACACTGTTCAGTCGGACTTGAGGCAAGTGAGGGAGTTACAGAAGTATATAAAGCTAAAGTATTATTTGAAGGTTATCTTAAAAGTAGTACTCATGTACTACTTCATAATTCTTAAAAACTAAACATTCTTCCTCAACTTTTGAGTAAATGCTTTAAAAATGACACTAACACTCATTTTTTACAGTTGTGATTAGTCAAAAGATGGAGAAGTGATTTTTTTTTTCAATTTAAAGTAACCATCTCCCAATCCAGAAAAGATTAGGAATTGATCTCATTCTACCTGCTTCTAAGGTGTCTGGTTCATCAGGTCTCTGGGCAATCTGTAAGTAATAAAGCAGAGAGCCATACAAGTGAGTCCTCACTCGTTGGAATCCACCACCTAGGGAGATTAGGAAGATGTCAAATGAAAATCTTTTCTCAATTAAAGTTAAAACAAATACAAAAGATAGAATTTATAGACAATTTAAATGAAAAAAACCTGTCTTCAAAATGAAGTCTAACAGTTTCTTCAATATGATGTAAAGTGAAGAATCTCCAATAGAAGCAAAACCCACTAATGGGTTCTCTTCAGGAGGAGGTGAGGTGAAGCAACTATCAAGCATAAAAGCGTAATGGGCCTCTGCTGGTCCCAAGACTGATGTTTCCTTCTGTTCAGTGAGGACGGCCTGGCTTAGGTGAGCAGTCAGTGTGAACACTGCCCCGGCGACCACAGGCATTAACTCTTGCGCAGCTTCATCATCCAGTATCTTAAAGGACAAGGGCAAATTAGAGTGAGAATCCTGCTTTCAGCTATAATCATTAACAAATTTCATAGCTTTTTTTTTTTGAAGACAGGGTCTCGCTCTGTCACCGAGGCTGGAGTGCAGTAGCATAATCTCAGCTCACTTCAGCCTTGACCTCCTGGGCTCAGGAGGTCTTCCCACCTCAGCCTCCCGCAACTGTGACTACAGGTGCACACCATCATGCTCGTAGAGATGGAATCTCACTATGTTGCCCAGGTTGGTCTCAAACTCCTGGGCTCCAGTGATCCTCCCACCTTGGCCTCTCAAAGTTCTGGGATTGCAGGCATGAATCACTGCACACAGCCCATTAACAAGTTTTATATACATTTAGCTTGTCAACTATGGTAACAATATAAGAATGGAATACAGAAATTAGTCAAGAAAGAAAGAAAGAAAGAAAGGAATCTAATATATACAGAGAAATTTAAACATGATGCTAGGTAATGGGTGTTCTTAACCAGAAGGGATTCCTATCAGAATTCCCTAGGGAGGTTTTCTTTTTGAAATTCACATAAATGGTCTCACCACTACATTCAGTAGGTCTGGGGTGGGCTCTGTCCATGTGAATTTTTACAAAGCTCCCGAGATAACTCAGACACACACTCTGGTTGAGAGCCACTACTGTACAGAATTAATCCCTTTCTCAAGGAAAGTCTTAACGTTGGTATTGCACAATTCTATTTTACTCCCAATCGAAAATGGAAAACAATTAGGATGCCAAAATATATTTGTTTAAATGATACATTCGTTCAGCAGTATAAAGTATTTTAGGAAGTACGTCACCTTATCATGCACATCTTGTAAAATATCACGAATAATCAGTTGTCGATCCTCTGCCTGAATGAGGTCCTGGGGACAAGCTGTCAGTATAATTTCTACTAGTTGCCTCCACGACTCCAGAGCATGACGTTTTGCATGAAGACACTGCAGCAATTTATTTCTTCCTACCACATACTGAAGTACAGTGCTGATTTCCTAAAGCCACAGGAATTGAATCACAAGGTTAAACAGGCAAATAAGATCAGTTATCTGTCAGTTACTCAGAAAATATTTATTTGGAAACCTACTACATGCATGCCAGGAAGCAGGTATCTTTTCATATTATTTCAGTAGCCAGGGCTATAAAAAATATTAACATATAAGGTGTGTATGTGTGTGTATGTGCATGAAAGGTAGGGGACAGAAGTGGCATAGATAAATATGTATTTTTTGACACCATCTTCTTTCTCCTTGTACCTGTCTACTTATACTTGCTTACTCTAGAGCACTAGAATTATCTAAACTCCAAGTTCAATGGCATGTTTCTCTGACATCTCTTTTATTTCTTTGCCTCTTGCTTTGGCCTGGCCGGCTGTATCTCCATTCATGTGGTTCTTCCCACCTGACCTCTTATCTGTAACTTTCCACTTGTGATGACAAATGACCCTCCTCTCTCACTGATGGGGACCAAGTGAAGTCTAATACGAAATATGGTCAGGTTGCAAATCCTTAACTAGCCTAGCAGAAAAGGTGTTATTTATTTTGGCATACCAGATAGTTCAGTTTATAAAAGTTATAAAATCAAAAGTGAAAGACTCCCTAAATGTTTAATTTTTAGGCAGCTTACTAATTAGCAAACTACATGTCAATATACTATTTTAGTCTTTTCACCAGCAACCTAAGTAGTTAGAAGTTTGAAACGAACACATACTCAATAGAGCTTACCTCCATTAGTAGAGGTCTCTGTCCTATGGCTGCCATACCCTGAAGGGCATTTACTTCAGCTACAAGAACCCTATGAAGAAGCTGGATAATTAGGAAAAGAAAGAAAAATAAGACATTTCAGACACTGGTAGAACAGTAACACCTAGCAATTACCATAAACTGCCCTAAAGGGAAAGGTGTCAGATACCTTTATATATAATCTAACAGGAGCACTGTCCAATTTCCAGACCAAAATATTAAGTATCCCTTTTCAAGAAGTTAGGTGATATATTAAGTTTTATTTCAGGGATATTTTACAAAAATCACAGTCCTTCCTATAAACTACTAAACCAATGTCTCTATCAGAAAGAAAACCTATATGGTTCTATTTGTTTCTGATGACTTAAAGTCTGAGCCACTTGACACTGCAGATATGTACTTTAAAGCAATCCTCACCTTGACATTGCAGACTGTCTGTCCCCGTAAATTCTTGTGTTCACAGTTAGCAATAACTTGTTCAATCTGGGCCCGATCAAAAAAATCCAACTGCAAAGGCTCAGGGATCTCCTGACTGAAGTCAATCGAGTCAAGAATATTTAGAATTTTTCGACGTACTAGAAATAATAAAAAGTAATTTGATTTTACTTGGGACATTGAAAAGAAAGGCAAGCCATCATATTCAGTTGATTTTCAAAGACAGTGCTATTTTCAGAAAGAGCATAAAATAGTCAAGAAACTGAAAACTGTATTGGAATCTAAATTTGATTTTATTTCTGATACATCCATTAACAAAAATATTTTCTTTCCTTTTGTATAATCCTATTATAAAAAAAATTTTCAGGTGGCAATTAATCCTTTATATAACTTTTCTATACCAGTTCAGAGTTTGGAGGCACAGGCATAATAATCCCTTGAAGTTTTTTTTTTTTTAATATATGTCTATAAAATAAATTTATTACAAATTCAAAGGGCATTACCTTTTGTAGCAGTGTCAAAGTGAAGGAACCCAGAAACAGACCTGTTTTCATCTTCTATTCCTCCTTCACCATCTGTTGGAATATCAATAATATTGAATCAGAAAAAGAAGAACATACTCTTAAAACTATTTATTTGGAAATAACAAACACAAGGTATCTTATTTCTAGGTCATTGTTTCTACATCAAAGAGCCCTGTGCAAATGGATAATTAAAATGTAAAGATTGATGAGGATTTACTACCAACATTAATCTAATTATTTCTGTCCCTATGGAATCCACTGCACAATTGTAAAGAGAATAATCAGATTCTCAAAAATGGCAAGACCCAATCATGCCAATGAGATGATTTTAAAAGTTTATGCTTAATTTGCATGAATAATACATACTGAAATAGCTTAGGTCATGCTGGCTCAGTATGACAAACTCCACTGACAATTTTGTATATAATACCGGTATGATTATAGTGTAATATGGATGCTTAAAATAATAATAAATGACAATCATAAGATGAGTTAAAATTTTTGTGTTTTAAGAAAAAAAAATTCTAAAAGTGAGAAGATAGTTTTGGTCTATAGTCACATACTAAGCACAAGCTTCAGATTTGTGCTTGTCTTCACGACAACTAGTCACCAGCACAATAAAACAAATACTAATACTCACCTGAGTATGGTTTCACTGGCATGTCATCCAGTAAGAGGTGTAGGAGCCTCTGGGTATGTGACCGCTGACGATTCAGAGAGGTTACCCTTAGCTCTATTGAGGCAGTTTTCATAAGCCATGACATCTGGTTCAGCATAGATATTTCATATTCTAGAATTTAAACATGTAAATTTTGTTTCCCAGAGTAATAACACAGTATCAAAACAGACTTAAATTCTGTAACTCAACAGATATTTTCCCATGTAACAAAGTCAATAATTTATGAAACTCAGCAACATAATAATTTCTCACTCTGTAAAATTACAAGAGGAAAAAAAAGATACCAAGAAAGAAAAAAATAAGCTAGTATAAATTTACGAAAGATGGGCTAAAGTAAATGAAGAGTAAAAGAGAATCAAGTTTTCATTACTGATTTTAATTTCACAAAGATCCTGAATCTATCGTATTTTGACACTGATATATAAAACAATATTTTAAAGTAATTTTCAAATACATAACTCAAAAAACTATCATAGTTTGGTTTTGATTTCACAAAACAAATACATAAGAAAAATTAAACTTAAATTGCATGATTTTATAATACCTCAATTAATGATGTGGTTTAACATTTAATTAAGGCTGAGAATCACTTATACAATAGTTTTTATTTTTATTTATTTATTTTTTATTGTAGAGACAGGGTCTCACTCTATTGCCCAGGCTGTACTTGAACTCCTTGCCTCAGTGTTCCTCCTGTCTCAGCCTACCTAAGCACTGGGATTATAGGCGCGAGCCACTGTGCCTGGTCCTACAATAAGATTTTTTTAATCCAATACTATTTTAATATGCTTGACATTGAAACCCTAAACTGTGACAGTATAAACATAAAATTAACCATATAACAATACTAATAATAATTTCAGGCAAAGCTAAATGAAGTTTTATAAAACACATACCATAATAGGTAAGATGTTAATTTTTATTTTTAATTAGGTGTAAAGAGGGTTTCTAAAAGCTTCTTAAACAAAATCCCAGAACTAAAAATAAGACACTTATGAAAATAGAGTGAAAAACCTTTTGCCATTAGATAATTCTCAGAGGTCTAACGCCATTACTCTAAAAGGTAAATTAGATGCTGACAATTACTAGTAATAGAAATTTGTTTATGGCATGTGTGAGCCTCAACTTCCTAAAACATAAAGATGACACAAGCTAAACTTTTAAAAAACTCAACAGACTAAGACTGTCTGAATATAGTCTGAATTCAGAAAACTGTTAAAAGTTGGTCAAAAAGAAAATAAAGTAGAATCTCGATAAGACTGCATTAGCCTGGAATAATTGTTAGCCATGTCAATAAACTAAGTTAAAACTGTTTTCTACCATAATTAGTTTTCAACTTTTCATTTCAAGATCTGAATTGGTTTCAATACAAACACAAGAAACAAAAATAAACCAGGATTTTTTTTTTCCTCATAAACAGCCTGGGAAGAGAAAATCAGAAATCTTCGTAAAACAATTTTCATTCAAAAACTTTAAATTCCCATTAATTTTCTAATCCCTTCAACACAATCTTTAAATTTTATTTGTTGTAAGAGAATCAAATTCCATCCTTGATAGGCTATATTTAAATAAGTTTTTGCTAGCAGTTAAAATATCAGCCTTCTTTAAGCAGAAATTACAAAAAGAACCCAAAATAACAAAGAAGCCAAAGTATCAGAATGAGAACAGAATTCCCCCAAATATTGTATAAATAAAATCACTTAACATGGAATTATAAATGTGTTCTTATAAATACGGGAAAATAATGGCCTACCTTTGTTAGAAAATGGTAGATACTGCAACTGGGAAAATAAGAAATCCTGGCTGGTTCTCAAGTACCTCATAGTAGGACCAGATGTATCAGAGCATGCACATAACTGATATATGACCTAAAGCATTAAAGTAAGAAAAATCCCTGAATCAGTCTTTCTGTGTTACACATATTATGGTAACAAAATATGAACTTAGACCTACTAAGTGAAAAACTAGGACCCATCAACAACTCAAGTAAAATGGACAAACAGATGCACAAAACATAAGCTCAGAGTTATGAACAGTCCTTGGCAACCTAGCTCAAGAAAATACACTGAAATACAATGGAGTGCTGGTGACATTATTACACAACTATTATTAATATACTTATTAATATATACACATATAGTTAATTTTACTATACACATATAGTACATTTTAGTATTTTAGCTTAATTATTAGTAGCAGGCCGGGCACGGTGGCTCACCTCCCAACACTTTGGGAGGCTGAGGTGGGCAGATTACTTGAGGTCAGGAGTTTGAGACCAGTCTGCTCAACATGGTGAAACTCTGTCTCTATAAAAATACAAAAATTAGCCAGGCATGGTAGCGTGTGCCTGTAATCCCAACTACTCGGAAGGCTGAGGCAGATTAATCACTTAAACCCTGGAGGTGGAGGTTGCAGTGAGCCAAGATCATGACACTGCACTCCAGCCTGGTGACAGGGCAAGACCCTGTCTCAAAAAAAAAAGAAAAAAAAAGAAAAGAAAAAAATTATTAGTAGCAAATTACTTGGAAATAACTTCTGAGAACCATAAGAGTTACATCTCAACCTCTGGAAGATTAAAATTACCAAAACTAAAGCAAATGCAGAAATTACAAAGAAGATCCATAAATTCAACTAAATAACAATAAACTGAATAAAAATTTAACAAAAAAGAATAGATAAGAGAAAAAGTTCTTATATTAAATATAAGAAAAAGTTGCTAGCTCTAATATATATAAAGATCTCCATTACAGATATGAATAACATAAAGATCTAAGTACCCCAGATGGTAAAAGTAGCCCATATGGTAAAAGACATTTTATATGAGAAAAATAAAAATAGCCCATAATAAAAAATGTCCATCTGTTTTCAGGAATTAAAAAAAAAAATCAAGATGATAATAGGTAGGTATCATATTATAAATCAGCAAATTTTTTTTTTTTTTGAGTCAGGGTCTCACTCTGTCACCCAGGTTGGAGTACAGTGGTGCAATCACAGCTCACTGCAGCCTCAACCTCCTGGGCTAAAGTGATCCTCCCAGCTCAGCCTTCTGAGTAGCTGGGACTACAGTAATTGCATGCCACCATGCGTGGCTAATATGAACATTTATTAGATGCTTTCCATGTACCAGGCACTTTAAGACATGTTTATTCTGAGCACTATTAATACCTAGTATAATTGTTATGACTACTTGTGAATTAAAATCTAAAGCCAAAACTCTTGATAGTCTTTGACCCAACACAGTCAATCCTCATTATTTACAGATTCCATATTTGCAAATTCACCTAACATGCTAAAATTTATTTAAAATCCCAAAATCAATACTTGCAGTGCTTCCATGGTCCTTCATGCGCGGGAGAACAGCTACAAACTGCAGTCACCGAACTCTCATGCTCTCTAATGGAGCAATGCTTTTCCTGTTCCAGCTATCATACTATAAAAAGGGTTCTTTAAATGGTCTATTTAGTGCCACGTTTTTTGCATTTTTGTGCTTTTTGTTGATTTTGCTGTTTAAAACAGCCCCCAAGCATAGTGCTGAAATGCTGCCTTGTCCCTAAGTGCAAAAAGGCTGTGATATGCCTTTAAGATAAAATACTACATTAGATAAATTTCATTCAGGCTGAGTTATAGTGCTGTTGGCTATGAGTTTAATGTTAATGAATCAACTACATTAAGTAAGGTGTCTTTAAACAGAAACACACATAAAACATGATTATGAATTCATCAGTTGACAAGAATGTTGGAACCAGACACTTGCAGGAATCCTAGCCTGTATTTTCCATAGGGGCAATGAATTCACCAATTCAGTTTTCACAATGACTTTATAAAACACAACTACTGTGAATAACGAGAACTGACTATAAACCCTTGTCTGGAAATATATTCTGTTTTTTTTTCTTCTGTTTTTTTTGAGATGCAGTTTCATTCTGTCGCTCAGGCTGGAGTGCAGTGGCGCGATCTCGGCTCACTGCAAGCTCCACGTCCCGGGTTCATGCCATTCTCCCGCCTCAGCCTCCTGAGTAGCTGGGACTACAGGTGCCCACCACCATACCCGGCTAATATTTTGTTTTTGTATTTTTAGTAGAGACGGGGTTTCACCGTGTTAGCCAGGATGGTCTTGATCTCCTGACCTCATGATCCACCCGCCTCAGCCTCCCAAAGTGCTGGGATTACAGGTGTGACCCACAGTGCCCGCCTGGAAATATATTCTTAAGAAAAATACAAAACAACCAAAGGTAATTTATTTATTTACAACTGCCACCTCCCAGGTTCAAGCGATTCTCCTGCCTCAGCCTCCCAAGTACCTGGGATTAACAGGCACATGGCATAACGCCTGGCTAATTTTTGTTTTTTTGTTCGCTACAGCAGAGTAAAAAAAAAACTGGAAACAACCTGAATGTAATTTACATTGTTGCAGCACAGAAAGTTTATACAGAGAGGAGTAAAAAAGACACAAAATTTCATGTATACTGAATACAACTATAAACAATGTATATACACAAAGAGAAAGAAGACAAGGAAAAGAGTAAAAAGCTCTGCTACAGATGTACATTGACCTTTTAAACAGTTTTGATACCATTTTGATATTCTATAAACAAACAAAAACTTAAGCTAATACCGAACTTCTCAAAACAAAATCAGTTAGGTCTATTACTGGGGGAGTTAAGAAAACACAAGAAGATACTCTAACAAGTGGAAGAAATAATACTATCAGAAGAGAACTGCCAGGCAGTGACTCACGCATGTAATCCCAGCACTTTGGGAGGCCAAGGTGGACGGATCACCTGAGGTCAGGAGTTTGAGACCACCCTGGCCAACATGGTGAAACCCCGTCTCCACTAAAAATACAAAAATTATCCAGGCGTGGTGGCCCAGGGACGCCTGTAATCCCAGCTACTTGGGAGACTGAGGCACGAGAATTGCTTGAACCTGGGAGATGGAGGTTGCAGTGAGCCGAGACCACACCACTGCACTCCAGGCAAGGCGACAGAGCAAGACTCTGTCCCCCACCCAAAAAAAAAAAAAAAAGAAGAGAAGGACACAAAAAGTGAGTTCAAAAAGCACTGAAAGCCATTTTATTAAGATGTGGGCTATATCCTTCCTGGTTTCCAAGACCAGGGACCAGGTAGAAGAAATCTCCGTTCTTAAAGAAAAGAGGGCAAAGGCACCAGGCCTCAACTTCTTCACCCAGAAGCCCTTGTGTTGCAGGACAAGGAAGGTATCAGTAAGGACCATTTCCCTTTGCTACAATCAGATTTATTTAAACTAACAAGCTCTTCTTACTTAGAGGTTTAAATTTTTTTCTGAAGCAGGGTGAAGTACAAACATATAGGTATAGGGAGTATATTTAGTTATAAATGGAGCAGTGCTTTCTGTAAAAATGCAGATCCTGACTCATCAGGTCTAAAGTGGGGCCTCAGATTCTGCACTAATAAGCTCCTAGGAGATAATGCTGATGATACTGGTCCCTGGGCCATATTTGAGTAGCAAGGTCACAGAGCATATGTTATGGCCGGGCACGGTGGCTCACGCCTGTAATCTCAGCACTTTGGGAGGCCAAGGCGGGTGGATCACCTAAGGTCAGGAGTTTGAGACCAGCCTGGACAACATGGTGAAGCCCCCTCTCTACTAAAAATACAAAATTAGCCGGGTGTGATGGCACATGCCTGTAATCCCTGCTACTTGGGAGGCTGAGGCAGGAGAATCGCTTGAACCCGGGAGGTGGAGGTTGCGGTGAGCTGAGATCGTGCCACTGCACTCCACCTGGGCAATAGAGTGAGACTCCATCTCAAAAAACAGTAACAACGACAACAGAGAGTATGTTATAAACTGGTAAACTGCTGGTATGGACATGTTTTCCTTGGCTAGTAGAGTGTTCTAAAAGTTAGAACAACTTTAACAAAAATTCAGATTTCCAAATTCTTTTAAAAATGAATAAATAAAAATAAAAATTCAGACAATCTGGCCCAACAAATCCTGCACTCTGGCATGGTAAAATAAGCCAGGGATGAGTAGGAAGGCACATGCTCTCCAGTCTGCCAGATTCTCCTTTCCTCCCACTCCCTTAACTGGACCCTGGCTTCATTCATTTACTTCACCTGCCATTAGCCTAGGTGTTAAGCTTATCAGTTGTTTCTACTTATATATCAAATTCTGTAAATCTGTGCTAATATGTACATCAAATTTGTTCCCCCATAAGGAAGAATTAATTTTGATTTACAGGAAAACCTAGCTATAGTACTTACAGTGAAGGGATGTTTGGACAGCCGGAGGACAGAAAAGATAGTAAAGAATTACAAAAAGAAAAGCAGGAGATTAACAAAGAAAAATATCCATGCCAGTAACACTAAGAGGTTAGTGATGCATTTCTTTTTTTTTTTTTGAGATGGGGTCTCGCTCTGTTGCCCAGGCTGGAGTGCAGTGGTGCGATCTCGGCTCACTGCAAGCTCCGCCTCCCAAGTTCACGCCATTCTCCTGCCTCAGCTTCCCAAGTAGCTGGGACTACAGGCACACACCACCATGCCCGGATAATTTTTGTATTTTTTTTTTTCTGGGACAGAGTTTCGCTCTGTCGCCTAGGCTGGAGTGCAGTGGCGCGATCTCGGCTCACTGCAAGCTCCACCTCCCGGGTTCACGCCATTCTCCTGCCTCAGCCTCCCGAGTAGCTGGGACCACAGGTGCCAGCCACCATGCCCGGCTAATTTTTTGTATTTTTAGTAGAGATGGGGTTTCATTGTGTTAGTCAGGATGAATTTTTGTATTTTTAGTAGAGATGGGGTTTCACCATGTTCACCAGGATGGTCTTGATCTCCTGATCTCATGACCCACCATTTCTTATCCTAAAAATGTAAATTTAGGGTAACACTTAAATTGAGAAATTAGTCACAGCTTATAAAGCCTGGTTCTTTTTTTTTTTTTTTTTTTTGAGACGGAGTTTTGCTCTTGTTGCCCAGGCTGGAGTACAGTGGCACGATCTAGGTTCACTGCAACCTCTGCCTCCCGGGTAGAAGCAATTCTCCTGCCTCAGCCTCCTGAGGAGCTAGGATTACAGGCGTCCACAACCAGGCCCAGCTAATTTTTTTTGTATTTTTAGTAGAGATGGGGTTCCACCATGTTGGCCAGGCTGGTCTCTAACTCCTAACCTCAGGTGATCTGCTCACCTTAGCCTCCCAAAGTGCTGGGATTAAAGGCGTGAGTCACTGCACGCGGCCAAGCCTAGTTTTTAAAACACTTATAAAATGAATAAAACAATAAACAAAAGTGAACAAGCGAAATTATAAATTATCATTATAGTTTACTTATGTATTTATTTTTATTTTTTTTGAGACAGAGTCTCACTTTGCCACCCAGCTGGAGTGCAGTGGCATGATCTTGGCTCACTGCAACCTCTACCTCCTGGGTTCAAGCAATTCTCATGCCCCAGCCTCCCAAGTAGCTGGGATTACAGGCACGTGCCACCACGCCCAGCTAATTTTTGTATTTTCAGCAGAGACAAGGTTTTGCCATGTTTCCCCGGCTGGTCTCCAACTCCTGGCCTCAAGTGATCCAGACCACCTCAGCCTCCCAAAGTGCTGGGGTTATGGGCGTGAGCCACCATGCCCAGGCCCAGCCCTCATTATAGTTTAAATGTTAATCTGACATTCTACCACTTAACATAGTTGTATACAGGACTTCTTAATTTATTTGGTTATTAAAAAGTGCTTTCTGGCCAGGCGCGGTGGCTCATGCCTATAATCCCAGCACTTTGGGAGACCGAGGCAGGTGGATCACAAAGTCAAGAGATTGAGACCATCCTGGCCAACATGATGAAACCCTGTCTCTACTAAAAATACAAAAATTAGCTGGGCATGGTGGGCACGCCTGTAGTCCCAGCTACTTGGGAGGCTGAGGCAGGAGAATCGCTTGAGCCTGGGAGGTGGAGGTTGCAGTGTGCCACAATCACGCCACTGCACTCCAGCCTGGGCAACAGAGCGAGACTCCATATTAAAAAAAAAAAAAAAAAAAGTGCTTTCCCAGCCTGGGCAATGTGGCAAAACACCATCTCTACTAAAACTACAAAAATTAGTCATGCATGGTGGGACACACATATAGTCCCAGCTACTTGGGAGGCTGAGGTGGAGGATCATCTGATCCAGGGGAGGTTGAGGCTGCAATGAGCTGTGATCACACCACTGCACTCCAGCCTGGGTGACAGTGAGACCCCTTCTTAAAAAAAAAAAGTGCTTTCACTTACATTCTCATTGAAGTCTCTCAACAGTCCATTTCACAGTTTGAAAAACTCAGAGTCAGAGACGTTTCATGCCATGCCCAAGGTGACTTCACCTGTCATGGGGCAGAGATGGGAACCAGAGGTCTTCTGACCCATCAGAAGGAGCTACTTTAAACACAGCACTGTTGGAAAGTTTCTACACTACTGGTAAAAATCCATCACAAAAATCTAATTTCCTCTATTTTTCAAGTGATTAACATAAGATTTGGGTCTATAAGAACTTGGGGTTTGTGCTTTACGGATTTTATCCACAAATGAAAGACAGGTCAAATTGCTAAATGAACTCATTTCAACTAAGTCCTGCTGTTATACTGTCATATCTGTGGCGTACTCATGCACCTGGTCAAGTTTCTTCTATTCAGTACCACAAAACGCAGTTTTCTGTGTACCTGGTAACATAGCTCAGCCAGCTGAGGAGATTCTCGCACCGCCACTGGGCCTGTTCTCCCTTCCGTTCCTTTCTCCAAGATGTTTAGAATGGCGTGAAGGCATGTCCGAGGGCAACCTAACACTCCTGCATGAAACCAAAAAGAAATTCAACTTTTCTTTTAGAATTGCTGCATTAAAATCTTAGACTGCCTTTTCAAAAGTTAAATTCTTTAAATATATGCTGTACTGTAAACACTCTTTCAAATACTGATAACAGAAAATTGATAAAGGCTGATTCTCTATAGCTCAGTTTGTCCAGTCTTGTTCTAAGCCCTAAAGAACTGACCCATCCATCACATTACCTTTCTTACACTTTTTCTTTCAATGAATTATCCCATGAGCCCAGAATGCAATCAGTGACCCCTGAGATACACAAATATGGAAGGAAAGAAATGCCTTTATGTCTTAGGCTATACCTGGATCTTGTAGGTTTGTAGTACTGACAGGTTTTTTCAATTCAAAGCCCAACAGGTAGAGAGCAAGATTGGGTGGATTGCATTCCAGAGAGGTAATGAGAAGATTCAAGATGTGGATTCTTGTTTCATGACGAATTGCAACTAATTTCTTTTCAAGTTCTGATCCTTAATGCAGAAATCACAAAACAAAATTACAAAACAGTGGAAAGTTAACGTAAGTCAAATAAAAAATACAAAACTTGTATTCCAACTCCATGTTTTCTTTAGATCGTTTGCCTGATTATCTATCACATTCATTTCAGATTTATTTAAAGTGGAATCCTAAAAACCTTATAAATTTACAAGTTGAGTACTCTTTATCTGAAATGTGTGGGACTAGAAGTGCTTCAGATTTCAGATTTTTTTGAATTTTAGAATATTTGCATTATACAGGTTGATGTATAATCCAAAAATCCAAAAATCCAAAATCCAAAATGAACCAATGAGCATTTCCTTTGAGAGTCATGTTGGTGGTGGTCAAAAGGTTTCAGATTTTATTTTGGATTTTGCATTCTCAACCTGTATTCTAGCAAATTCTCAATTCCTCTTACACCATCACTAAAACAGTTAACAATTACAAGTGTTTTCTTTAAATTAAGCATATATAAAAAGTAAAAGAATGCGTGTATGCACATTAATCTAAGGCATACCCTCTTCCAGACGTACAAATTCTTCTGCATCTTCACAATCCAAACACTCCACAAATCCAGCCATTAGTTTCTGACTTATACTCTGAAGTAACATGAAGGTAAAAAATGACAAATTATTACAGGTTTCTAAATATTAGAAAAACTATGATTGATATATGTAAATATTCATCCATAAGGAAAAATAGGCAAACCTGCTTAGGTATTTACGTTTTAGTTACATTTTTAATAGAAAACTCAGTTCCTTAAGTTGCCGTAAGTTAGCTCTCTATACACATAATTAAAGAAACAAAAGTTTTATAAATTCATTGATTTCAAAACTTGCTTCCTAATTTTCCTTCCCAAAGCATCAAGCTAGTTAAAAAAAAAAAAAAAATCACGAAATTGCTGTTTACTGACCTCTTCATTATATAGTCAATGTTACGAGATCTTAACTAAAACATAAAATAAAATTTTCATCTTCTCTCTTTAGAAATGTATTACTTATCACCCATTTTCTATTTCTGAGCTGATTTTGCCTTTAATAATCTAGGAGGATGTTAAATCAGTAATAACAATTTATACCAAAATCAACCCAAAAATCAGCACATCAAAAACCTTCAGCATCCCCTGATTATCACAAGGTTTCATAAACCTCATCCATAAGCCACAGATGAGACTTACACCTCTTATGGTGGTTCTCATGCTGGGTGGTACCACCACTCCAAAGGGAACTTAGAAATAAGTGGAGTCATCTAAGTAATCACATCTAGAAGTTACTACTGACAGATAGTGGTATCTAGGGATGCTAAAGGTACTAGATGTGAGGGACTATAACACACAAAATAAGATCTGTGCCATCCAACATGCCAGAAGAATCCTTATTTCAAAATAGGGACTCTATGAAGGACTACACAATAAAATCCTTCAACGAGGCCAGGCACGGTGGCTCAGGCCTGTAATCCTAGCACTTTGGGAGGCCGAGATGGGCACACTGCTTGAGCTCTAGAATTCGAGACCAGCCTGGGTAACATGGTAAAACCCAATAATACAAAAAAACTAGCTGGGCGTGGTGGCATGCACCTGTAGGATCGCTTGAGCCCAGGGGCAGAGGCTGCAGTGAGCTGAGATTGTGCCACTGCACCCCAGCCTGGGTGATAGAGCGAGTTCCTGTCTCAAAAGAAGAAAAAAAAAAATTCTTCAACTAGCTAAAGCAGTGATTTCCAACATAAAGATACAATGGGATGAAATGTTCATAAAGAAAAAAAAAAGCAGATTCCGCAATTGTAGGTATTCAGTGAACAGAACTATTATAACTTGAATAAAAAGAGGAACTCCTAAAAACACTCTACAGTGTCATCAAATGAAGTGACACACAGGTGGATCACAAGAAAACCAGTGAAGTAGACAACTTACAACAACGAAATATTCAGAACTTGCAGAGGGCTCACTTAGAACACAGGCAACTGACAGGTCGGGAGCAGTAAACAAACAAGTTAACAGCAAACCTAATCATTTTGAACGTGCTGAGAGTAGCAGTGGTCATGTACCCAGAGTAGCAGTGTGCCACATACCATAATTATGCAGTATCACTGTGAATAGCATTATCTTCAAAGATAAGTCATAGCCAAGTTCGTGGGTAGGTTTTCACCCATCCTATACAAATATACTTACTCTTAATGAATTTTTCCACAACCAAGAATATGATTCCTCCATAGACACTAGAACTTCCATATATAGTCAAAATGCAAAATGCACCAAAAAATAACAAGAGCAACAAAATCAGTTACCTGGTCATGTGTGAAATCTCCAACCAACTTTATCTGAATATTAGAGTTGCAAGAGATACAACAGAGGATCTTGGCACTTTCAAAAGCCAATTCTGGATTAGTATTGCCATGATATAGGTATCTTTAAAGAAAAGAAAACATTTGAGGAACAGTGATAAAATTTTTGGTGTCTCACTATTCTCAATAAAGAAAATTTAGAACCAGGGCTTCCCCTGCCCATACAGCACTTCAAGGTAAATAAGAAAAAGCTGTCCCCTTCTAAATAGATGCAGTCTGTTAGGGGTTGAATCATATCCCTGCCCCCAAAATCCTTATGTGAAGTCTGGCTAACCCAGTGACCTTATCTGAAAGTAGGGTCTTTGTACATATAGTCAATCGAGTTCAGACGAGGTCATTAAGGAGGCCCTAATAAAATATGACTGGTGTCCTCATAAAAAGGGTAAATTCAGACACAAACACACACACAGGGAAACTGCCATGTGACGCTGAAAGCAGAGATCAGGGTGATGCTTCTATATGCCACGGAACATCAAACCACCAGAAAGCTCAAGTTTTCTGTGAAAAGTCTGCTTCCTTTCCAGCCCTATCCTCCAAACACCTAGTTTCCCTACAGGAGACAGACAATATTGTCATTTTAGACTTAGAGATTTCGGGTGGGCACAGCGGCTCACACCTGTAATCCCAGCACTTTGGGAGGCTGAGCTGGGCGGACTGCTTGAGGTCAGGAGTTTGAGACCAGCCTGGCCAATATGGTGAAAGCCCATCTCTACTAAAAATACAAAAATTAGCTGGGTGTGGTGGTGCACATCTATAGTCCCAGCTACTGGGGAGGCTGAGGTGGGAGAATCGCCTGAGCCTGGGAGGCGAAGGTTGCAGTGAGCCAAGATTGTACCACCGCACTCCAGTCTGGGTGACAGAGCGAAATGTTGTCTCAAAAAGACAAAAAAAAAAAAAAGTAGACTTAGATTCTTAGAACATGGAAGAGAAGAAATTGTAAAGTTCAGAGTAATTAAAATCAGGGTAGCTAAAGAAGGCAACAGTAAAATAAGGCTGGGCGCGGTGGTTCACGCCTATAATCCCAGCACTTTGGGAGGCTGAGGCGGGCAGATCATGAGGTCAGGAGTTCAAGACCAGCCTCACCAACATGGTGAAACCCCGTCTCTACCAAAAACACAAAAATAGCTGAGCATGGTGGCACTCACCTGTAATCCCAGCTACTCAGGAGGCTGAGGCAGGAGAATCGCTTGAATCCAGGAGGCAGAGCTTGCAGTGAGCTGAGATCATACCACTGCACTCTAGCCTGGACGACAGAGCGAGACTCCATCTCAAAAAAAAAAAAAAAAAAAAAGTAAAATGAGGCAAAAATAAAAAAAAAGGTGATGCACTAGATACCTAACCAGATTTGAAAATCAAAGCTAGAATGTCTATCTGTTTACTTCATTTCTCTACCTACAAAGGTAACTTACCTGGCAATGTTTACCACATTATCTGCCTTCTTAGTTCTGGGATTAATTCCCTGCAAAAGCTGTTCTAAAGGACAGACTATTAGAGCCAGTTGACTCTCTCTTAGAAGGTCCATAAAAAGATTTTCCTTTTGCAGAGTAAGATTGAGAAGTGCAAGGCAATGCTGTACTGCTTTCTCCAGGTGTTTTTTCCCTATCAACCAAAAATAAAGTTAGAAAGTTCTAAATTTATCTTAAAAACTCACAGTCAATTCTTAGGAAAACAAGACAAATGACAAGTTTTAGATTTTCAGATCTAGAGATTCAGACTCTTGTTTCCAACTTTCAGCAGCAAAACCTAGAGATTTATGCTCTCATTGTTTCAAAATTTCAGCTCCAACTTCACAAAACCATTCATCTATGCAAGTCATCGTTATTTTGCAATCCAGAAAACTCCCATGGAATGGATTCTCAAATCACTTCTTTATCTTTTCCCTTATTGTTTAGAGCAACAGTTCTCAGAATGGGGTGGCTGAGCCCCAGGGCACATTTGACAATGTCTGGAGACACTTCTAGTTGTCCTAACTGGAAATGTGCTACTGGCATCCAGCTTACAATACACAGGACATCATCCACAACAAAGAATTATTCAGCTCAAACTGTCAATGGTGCCAAAATTGAGAAACTCTGATCTAAAGTAAGACCAAATCACTGTGGAAAATAACGCAGAAAATAGAAACAAGGATCACCTATAATCTTACCAATCAAATTTAAAATTGTGGCCTAATTCTTCCTATAGTGTCTTATCTGTATATTCTGACTATACAGTTATTGTTCATATGTTTAGAATCTCTTTTCTCATTTTGATCACAGCCACATTAAGTAGAGGTAATATAGCATCGTGGTAAAAAGCATGAGCTCTGGAGCCAAGATGACTAGGTTCAAATCCCAGCTCCCACACTTGATAGGGAAAGCCAGTATAACTTCGTTGTATTTCAGCTTCTTTATTTGTTAAATGGAAATAAGAAGATCTAACACATTTTTGAATAGATTGAATGCATTAATATATGCAATGTGCTTTTAAAAGAGCCAAATACATAGTAAGCATTCAATAAATAATAATTAGTGGTAATAATAACAAGTAAAATTTATTGACCACTATGTATCAAGCACTATAGTAAGTCCTTTTAAAAATATTATGAGGTGGGGGATGGACAAAAAAGTACTTTAAAGTTAGGGATGTTAAAGATGTTAAAATGATAGAAAGATCACTTTACCTACAAAAGACCCTGCAGTGAAACACAGTGACAGTGAGATTCTCTCTGTACTTTAGTCTGTTTTTACTTACAATACTCTCATTTAAATGATTCACTGAAAACACCACTTCAGATACAGAGAGAGAATCTTACAGTGAAAAATGACTTCAGAGATCATCTATTTCAAATTCTCAGTTTACAAAAGATGAAAACATCAAAGCTGTTTGCAAGACATGAAGGCTTTTAAGCATATACCAGGAAAGGGGGCATAGGTGTCAAGCTGCTTAACTCCTTCTTCCAGTAAACTGAGAGCAAGCTCCAACATTGGTGACTCATTCAGCAGATGATACATCAGACTAAATCCAGGTGGCTTATAGGCTATGATTTCTTCTCCTAAATAGAACATAACATATTCCAAGAGATGATGGGTTAGTATTTTTGTCACACCCTTGATTTATATGAAATGTATGAGACTTGTAAATTAGATGGCATCTAGATAGATAAAGGCAAGTTTCAATTTAGAGACACAGCAGTAATTCTCCTAAGGGCAAATCTGCACAAAGCAGTTAGTCAGCTATTCTATTAACTCATTAGAGAAATTGTAATGCAGTGTTCTTGATCTTCCATTCAATAATTTTTTCTCTTGAACAGAAAAATTAAAATGATTAAAACAATGAAACAAAAGATTAAATTCTAATTTAAAAGTATAATTTTTAATTTATATATAACATAGCCATAATTTATAAATTATAAATAGTTGACAACTTGTTTGAAAGTGACAGAATTAAATTACCTTGTAGTTCCACAAACTGGTCTACAAAATCTTCAAGCTGAGGCTCATAATCTCTGAGCAATTTATAAAACACCTCCAAAACCACCTCAGCAACTTCCCACTATAGAAAGATATAAATAGGTCAATAACAATAAAACAGACCAAGGTGGTGGCCTTGCAAGGCTTTTCACTCTTCCCACTTCTTTTTCCAGAAAATGAGTGAAGTTTCTTGTCCACTTTATTCACTTACGCTAAGCAATATAGAAATCCCAATTCATTTTGCTTTATTTTGCTAAAAGATAATGAATTGGCTCATTTTCAAGGTAAAATATTTTCAATGCATTATTCTTAAAGATACATTTTTATAGATGTTTGGAATTCATTAATACATTGAAAACATTTAGTATCTAGTCATATTCAATTTATAATTAAACATCAAATTTGGACACTTTTCAAGTGCCAAACATTTCACATTTTCTCTAACAAGCCTGCCTGCAAAGAATCTGAGAAATCATCTCATCTAAATTCCTTATAAGTGAAGCAAGTGAAGCTCAGAGCAGTGAATGAATTCCCCAAGATCATAAAGCCTGGCAGCAAACAGGCTGAAAGTCAAGCCCAGGCCTTCTCATTCTCAGACCAGGGTTCCATCCGTGACTATAGTCAAAGAAGGTTAAGAAGACACAATCACTGGTAGGCTTGCCCCAAATATTCCCATTATCGCCTTCTTATTCAAAATGTATTTAAAAGCTATGTACCAGTAAAGAAAAATACTTATGCCAAAAAAATTATATACAACTGCATAGCCAGTAAAATTAAAACTTTGTTTAAAAAATCCACTACATAGAATTTTAATAAGACTGGGTTTGGTCATTGCAGACAGGGTGGTTTTATGAATTACTATTTTAAAATTATTATTTCCACTGCACATAATTGTATCAAGGTTGAGTTAGAAAATGGGACTATAAAGTGACTTTTAAATTATTTTTATATTATTCACTGTTTTGCATTTTCCAAAATTTTCAAAAAATTTTATTTAAATAAAAAAGGCATATTACCACATAATAATGGATTTAGGACTGGTAAACATACCAATTGCCTCTAACACGCTGTTATTTATCTCAATCCAAAGCACTGTTTGTGTGAGCAGCTAGTGTCCTAAAATAGTCATATAAATTAGATCTCAAGAACACTTTCAAGTAAAATAAATTCACAAAATTGAGGGAAAGTTTTTTAGAGTAAGTTGGGGTGGAACTGAAATCAATGGCAGCCAGGGAAAAGCAGCAACACTTGAAGTGTGGCTCTGCATGGGTGAAAAGTGATAGCATCTGGAGAGAATATGGCTAACTAATGCTCTAAACACTCAGATCACAATGACCTTTTTAAGAAAAAGCATATAAGACATTTAAAACAACTGTAAAAAAGTATCAGAACATTTTGATGAAATGAGTGCTGTAATTATCAGCACTCATTATTCATCTGAAATGACTTTATTAATGAGGCATGGTTGCTGTTATTGTTTTCTTCCCATCAGGAAATACATGTTAAGTTCTAGAGCCTAAGTAAAGTGTATACCCCACCTCAGTGTTTATTTTTACAACCTGGCAAGCAAAAATTCTAATGCAATTGACAAAAAAAAAGAACTTCAATTATTTGTGACTAAATATAAAAAACAAGCTATATCCAATGACAGGGCAGTGAATAAACTATGCTAGATACAAGTAACAGATTTTATGCAGTCACTAAAAAGACTATTTTCAAAGAATATCTTAGGACATGAAAAAAATCCCCATGATGCTAAGTGACAAAAAAGAAATACAAAGTAATATAACTAATTATCTCAATTGTTAATTAAGTCTACAGGCATAGGAAAAAGACTAAAAGTAGTTATCCTTCCTTTGGCAACAAAATTAAGGATGATATAATTTCTTCATATATATATACACTTGTTTTTTTCAGATGGAGTCTTGATCTGCGCCAACTACCAAAATAAAGCAGAAACATTCCTACAAGATACAACCAAGGGTATTCTGTAAGGTTAATAAACAGTATTATAGACTAACGTGAATTACATCAGAACCTGGAAGAGTCTCTTACATAGCTTAGTGGCTATGAGCTTGGATCTGGAATCAGAGTCCTAGGTTCAAATCCTGGTCCTGGACCTTAGGCAAGTTCCTTAACCTTGCTAAGCCTCCATCTGTAAAATGGGAATATTAAATAGTACCTGCCACGTGGTAATATTGGAATTATATAAAATGATATATATAAGCTCAGTGGTTAGTGTCTTGCAACCAGAGCAAATGTGTCATAAAGATCAGTGCTCTCTCAGCCTCCATCCATGGCAGACATGCCTAATGGATTACAATACTCCTTCCCGCTAAACCAGTACTCCACAACCCAGTGCCACTAATCAATAGAAACTGCTGTGCAAGTTTAAACTTATTTCAATCCCTAACCTAAACCATTCCAATAAGCAGTAGTAGTGTGTTTCCAACAAATGTGACACTTTTTGTTCCATTTTAGTCAAAACTTGTTAAACTAAGGATATGAAATATGAACTCCTATCAATTAGATTACTGATGACTAATGTCAGTGCTTGGGTTTTAATGACCAAACTTATTTTTTAGTGCACATAAACTAATCAGACCACTTCATAGATATTTCAAAACAAAGACTGTGAATTTTACTACCTTTCAAAAGCTAACATGAATTTAGCACCATATACTTTTGATAAAAGAAAAAGCAGTAAATGCATAAGGAGAAAAAAGCTTTTCTCTGAACATAACCTTTTCAGCTGCTCTCCGGTAAGCTCTTGTACGGAATCGTAGAAACACAGAGTCTCTAAGGAACTGCAAATAAGGGTCAAAGCCAGGGGGCCGCAGTCCAGCACCCAAATTAGAAGGAAATGAGCTCTCCACCAGAGTACTAATAAGCTGGCAAAAGGCCCGAGTCAATGGGTATTCTTCACACCGGGATTCTATTTCATTTAGTTCAACCTTCCAAAGAAAAAGAAAGAAAACTTGGTAATAAAAACTATTAGCTATGAAGTGAAGAGTATTATGCAGACATTAACATATTAATAGTGCTAACTCACACCAAAAGATATAACAGATATTTCTGTTTTTCATTTAGAGGAAAAGATAAAAAAGTATTATATGAATCCAGATGAGTCAGATGGAAGAACTCCAAATTCCCACTTACTGTCCCCAAACTTGAATTTAAAACAGAAATCTTTAATGTTTCTTTTAAAAGAGAGGGAGAATTAGAGAGAAAAGAAAATAATTAACTCTCATTTCAGGTTGACTCAAGTAATCTAATTAAATTGAGTTAAAATCAAGAATTTTCCATTTGGATGGTTGCCATGTAACATCTTTTTCCAACTCTGAAACACAAAATATTTTGGTTCCTTTTATTAAAAGTTTCATCTCTATTTCAACACTGATCAGAAAACCCTTCAAATAAAAATACATTAAATTTGATAATTATGGAAACGTAAAAGGGTAAGAATGATTCATAGACTTCTTATCATTACATGCATGAATGAATTAACATTTAAACTAAAAGGAAAACTTTACCTCAATACCAATAGCTTGCCTTTGGCTTGGAATCCTCACGGTCTGCAGTATCTTAAAATAGTAAGAAGTAGATGTCAGGAGCATTCCTCATTCATCAATGAATATTAGTGGCTTTGCAATATAATAGTCACATACCTCACCCACTGGACCCACAGATCTCACAATGTCCACCAAAATGACAATCAATTAGTCCCTGGATGGACTTTCATTAGCAGTTCTGCCAGGTTGAGATAGAACTTTTGACTGTCTGGGGTTCTGAAAATTGGTAGTTTCTAAGAGCACACAAGACATTTTTTCAGCAAATTTCCTCTCAGATATTCTAGGAAATGAATCTTTAAAAAGGATTTATGGGATGAAATCTCACCAGTGTTCAAGATACTGGACTGTTTACAACTAGCCCTACTGGTGGCACAAAAAACCCAAAAGGAAACTTCTTTTTTTCAATTTTTTTTTTTTTTTTTTGAGACAGAGTCTCACTCTGTCGGCCAAGCTGGAGTACAGTGGCATGATCTTGGCTCACTGCAACCTCCGTCTCCTGGGCTCAAGCAATTCTCCTGCCTCAGCCTCCAGAGTAGCTGGGATTACAGACGTGCGCCACCATGCCCAGCTAATTTTTTTTTTTTGTATTTTTAGTAGAGACAAGGTTTCACCATGTTGGCCAGGCTGGTCTCAAACTTCTGACCTCAGGTGATCTGCCTGCCTTGGCCTCCCAAAGTGCTGGGATTACAGGTGTGAGTCACTGCACCCAGCCAGTAAACTTAAGAACAGGCTTATTAAAGGAGGCTCAAGTTTTGACTTAAGATGTTCTGTCCAGACCTCGATATGGGCCTAAGTAGTCTATGGTATAATAAATAATCCTACTGTCATGATACTTTACTTTCTTGCAAATCAAAAGTATACTAATTAGGTAGAATCCTTTAAAAACAATACTGTTGCTCTAAGGATACAAATGGCTAAACCCAATCACATTTGATTTCAGGTGTAAAGAAGCACTAAGCCCGTAAGACACTAGCAAGTATTGGTACGCTCAGGAATCAAAAGGTGAAGTATCCATAGTAAGCCAACCCCTCTCAGCAAACCCCAACTCTGTTAATTATTATGTTAACAAAGTATCAATAACATCTTCAGGATATGTATGTCAGAAAATAATCTAGAGTATTTTACTGCTTCAAAATGGTTGCTTCTGGCTGGGCGTGGTGGCTCACGCCTGTAATCCCAGTACTTTGGGAGGCCAAGGCAGGCGGATCACCTGAGGGGAGAAGTTCAAGACCAGCCTGACCAACATGGAGAAACCCCGTCTCTACTAAAAATACAAAATTAGCTGGGCGTGGTGGCACATGCCTGTAATCCCAGCTACTTGGGAGGCTGAGGCAGGAGAATCGCTTGAACCCAGGAGGTGGAGGTTGCAGTGAGCCGAGATCACCCCATTGCACTCCAGCCTGGGCAACAAGAGCAAAACTTCATCTTAAAAAAAAAAAAATTTTTTTTGCTTCTATGAATAATGAGTTAGAATCCCAGACTCCCTTAAGTTGTATTACTTCCAAGACAGATATACATATCCCACCTAACCATTTTCCTAGAGATACGTCTATAAAGCGCATCCATATTTTCCTTCATTTTATCACATATAAAATAATTATACCTGATAGAAAATTTTTAATGGAGCTTATCTCTAGAGAAAAGAATGCTAATATTTTGAAGTTATTGAGACTTCAAACATTATATCATCCATTTATTTCCCCACATCAGCAAAGGTACATTCCCTCAGGGTACAGAAGTCAAAAAATCCAACTGTCACATTCCCATTCTGCCCAAAGTTAAGTTTATGGTCCTGGCAATAAACCCTCATAACCACCAATAAAAAGTATTCTAGATGCTGTTAAAATTTCTCTGCAGGCTGGGTGTGGTGGCTCACACCTGTCATCCCAGCACTTTGGGAGGCCGAGGCGGGCAGATCACTTGAAGCCAGGAGTTCAAGACCAGCCTGGACAACATGGCAAAACCCCATCTCTATTAAAAATACAAAAATTAGCTGGGCGTGGTAATGCAAGCCTGTAATCCCAGCTACTCAGGAGGCTGAGGCACAAGAATCGCTTTAACCCGGGAGGTGGAGGCTACAGTGAGCTGAGATCACACAACTGTACTCACTCCATCCTTGCCAACACAGCGAGACCCTATCTTAAAAAAAAAAAACAAAAATCAGTGCAAACTTGACAAACAGTTAGACCTGCCCTTTAATGGAAAAACAACCCCAGTGACCATGTAGCTATACAGAGATACTTCACTCTTCTGGTATAGGGCAGGAAAGAGCAGATAAGAAAAACAAACATTCCCCACATTTAATGAGTGCAGGTGATTTGTGAGGGCTTACAGCAGCCTGGTTTAAAGACAGAGTGGACAAATTCTGTCCATCTAGTAATATCTTAATAGACATCGAAAAATAAGGTCTTCAGAGAGGTACAGTACATGAAGAACCAATCTCTGGTAACCTAGTGATGTTATCAACCAATCTAAAAGAAAAACCCAAGCCTATTAGTTTCTATTGCTATGCTCAGTCCCTAAACCGTAACTCTAGTTGGGATGTTCATGATATACTATAAGTTCCAATTGCATGTTCTTGCTTCTATGGTATTATCAAGCCCAACTTTCCACATTGGGATAATATAAATAAGGGACTTCAGAGCCCTACCTGAGTGTATTCCAATGACTGCCAGAGGGAAGCAGCAATTTCAGGAGATTTTCCAAAAGCTGCGAGTGTCTTCAGTAGCTCAGCTTTTAGGACAGGGGGAATACTGCATTGGAGGAGTCCCAGAATCACCACAACAGGGGTCCACTGAGGGTGTTCACAGAGTGCCAAGCGAGCATTTTCACTCTAAGAATTGACACAAAAAGAATGAGACTTTCCATTTTTAAAAGTTATTAAAATGACCAGCAATCATCTAAATTGCTATCATTTATACTGAGTCCTCATGGGCTTAATATATACTAAAACAAAAATAAGCCTATCATTTATGTTTGAAGTCTACCAACACATCAAATCAGATCACTCATTTATTCGAAGTAAAAAACTGGAGGAGATATAGACTTTGTAGAATTACTTTTGCAGTTCCAAGTATGAGAAATAATACAAACAGAGATAAATGGTCCGCAAGGGTTGGATAAATCTTACCTAGGCATCTTAAATCCTTTCTGGAACAATATATTATACTGCAATATAAAGTATGGATGAAAAAAATACCTTGTCCTTTTCTCAAAAAAAAATATAGAGATATACAGTATCAAGTATCACAACATTTTTTTCATTTTTAGTTGATATGTAATAACTATACATATTTATAGGGTACAGAGTCATATTTTGATATATGTATACAATATGTAATGATCAAATCAGGGTAATTAGGATATCCATCCTCTAACATTTCTCATTTCTTTGTGTTGGGAACATTCAAAATCCTCTCTTCTGGCTTTTGAACATACACAATGAATTACTGCTAGTTATATTCACCCTGTAGTGCTATAGAACACTAGAACTTTCTTCTTCTCTATCTGTAACTTTGTATGTTAACCAACCTTTCCCTATCCTCCCCTCCCATTTCCATTTTAATTCAGTGAGAAATAGTTAATAACTGACATTTTGATGCCTAATAATGTTAAGTACTATTAGAAAAGCCAAAAACTTAGAAGTTCCTATTCCTACCCTTCAGAGAAAATGTCAGACTATTCTAGTGAACAACAGACATAACTAAAAGATATTTCTGAGTTGGGAAATTATATACAGTCATGAAAATGTTTTTTACAAAGACCAATTTGGTAGTGGCAGATAAAATGGTTTGGTATAAGGAGAGAAAAAATAATACAGTAAATGACTTTTAATTACAATATTCTTTATGCATACACACATATAAATGCACATATATATCTCTACACTTATGCTGGAAACCTAGAAGCATATGCATCCAACAACTGGTTCTTATTTGCCCTTCTGACTATTTTCTTTCAGGCTCAGGCTATTATTTTTATACTAAGATTATGCCAATGAGCAGGGCTACCATAACTTACACCCTGTAGAGGTCAAAAAACAAAAAACTTAAGGGCAGAATGCTATATATCTGTCTATCTAGATAGGCTAAGTTTATTACTCTTAAATTAAAAGAAAATGTTTGGGGCTCTTAAAATGCTACTGTGCTATAATAAAAATAAAATTATGCTGGGGATGAGTTACCTACCCAAGTAATGATGGTAGACGTGAGCTGCAAAAAAGCAATCAATCCATCTTGCTCCTTCTGGGTGATGCCACGGGAAGGAAGGTGACGGTACTGGACACTATCTGCACTTGGAAGATCCTTCCGAAGGTGTTCGTGGTAAAGCATCAAGGAGTGAAAGAAATGTTCCCAGGAAACAGGACTGCCACCTGCTCCCTGAATATTTTCAACTATAAAGAAAAACAGCACAGAATTTTATTTAAAAAACATCTAAGCATTTGCTGGGAAATGGAGAGAAAATTAATTTAAAACAATATACTTTTTTCTTTTTTGAGATAGAGTCTCACTGTCACCCAGGCTGGAGTGCAGAGGGGCAATCTCAGCTCACTGCAACCTCTACTCCCCAGGTTCAAGCAATTCTCCTGTCTCAACCTCCCAAGTAGCTGAGATTACAGGCGTGCACCACAACGCCTTGCTAATTTTTGTCTTTTTGGTAAAGACAGGGTTTCACCATGTTGGCCAGGCTGCTCTTGAACTCCTGACCTCAAGTGATCCGCCTGCCTCGGCCTCCCAAAGTGCTGGGATTACAGGCATGAGCCACTGCACCCAGCCTAAAACAACAAACTTTGTTTGCCTTTGTCTTAGCACAAAGGCAATCTCTGTCCTGCATAAGCGGTGTGCTGAAAATGGGTTAGAATCCCTCTGTGAGCTAGAACTCTGGATTAATTTTTCCTCTGGATTAACTTTTACTCAAGAAAGGGGCTACTGCCCATGTAAATGTAAAGGTAATTTACTTTGGATGTCGGTTACCTACTTCACATCCAGGAGAGTTCTCTGTGCTCTCATGTAACTGTACAGGGCTGCTTTTTCCCACAGAATAATTCACAAATGTTGAGTTTGAATTCCCAAAGAAAGAGATAACTACAGTCTTAATTTGGGAATTACACTACTCCATTGCATACCAAGCATCGGAAGCAAAAGCATAGCACACAAGACTGGCAGGCTTGACAGAGTAGTCAGAACACTGGCTTTGGAGCCAAGCCGATTTCAGCTCCCATCATGGCTCTCCAAATAGCTGTGATGTTGGGTAAATTCCTTAACTTCTCTAAACCTCAGTTTCTTCACATGTAAAAATAAAAATATCTACCTAACAAAGCAGATGCTTAATTTCTTTTCCCTTTTACAGTGTTTTTGGTCTAACCAAACCAGTCTGAAAATTAAATAAGAAAACTGGGAGACAGTCAAGAGAAAAATTCTAAGTACTGAAATTAAGAAAAAAAAATACGAAGATAAATTAATCAAACTTATAAGGCAAGGGCATATGCTTTTTTTGTGGACCAGATGTGTTCTGGAAAATTTTCATACATTAATTCTGATTTGTCAAAATGAACTGTATTTTATAAAGGAGAATGACAAAACTCCCCAATCTGTGAGACCATAATCACAGCATCACTATGCATAAAGCTGTATGCATGCTTCCTTCACCCTATTGTTATGAAAATAATTTATACCTCTGGTAGAACCTAGTTCAAACACCAATGTTCTTAATAGGTAGTGGGATACTGAACTTAAAAGAGTATAACAACAAACTTTAACAACATCCACATATTCCTTACCATGACTACTACCATTGACTTTGAGCAGGCTGAAACAGTAGTGGGCACACTGAGGCCCATTGGCCAATCCCTGGAGCATCTTCAAATAAGGAATATAAATAGTTGGAGGCAACAGGTCACCCATTTGCCTAACAAACTTTGACAAGACAACCTGAAAAAGAGAGAAACAAATGGTTTATATAATGTATATCTTAACTTTAAGGCAACACGGACTAGCTAATAAAGACTACATATAAACTAAAAGTAGTGCTCTGACTTAACCCTCGCAACAGACAAATTTAACTGATATTCTATTTATGAAAAATTGTTTAAGCTTGTCATTAGCAATTTAATGCAATTATAAAATACCTTTATGAAATAAAAGTACATTTTTAAAAAAATATCTCAATGTCACAAAATATAAGACCACTCAGATTTTAAAAATATAAGACATGTGACATTTACTCATCCAAAAATCAACCAGCAATTCAAAAGTACACTTAAAATCCAGAGTTCCTATATCCCAGCCAAATTAGTATCTAGACCTAGGAAATTTAAATCATTTTTGATGGTAACTTAAGCATATTCTGTTCTGTGGTCAAACCAATGCCACGTTCCCATACTCCTGTTCTTTAAGTCTATTTCTTAATTTTCCCTTTTTCTTCCTTATGCCTTAAACCTATTATCAACAACTAACAGTATTACTCAAACTCACTAGTTGGAACTGAGAACTGAAAACACTACAGATGTCTGGAAATAACTATTAAATCAGCTAGGTTTAAAAATGGTTTGGCTGGGCGCAGTGGTTCACACCTGTAATCCCAGCACTTTGGGAGGCCAAGGCGGGCAGATCACGAGGTCAAGAGATCAAGACTATCCTGGCCAACATGGTGAAACCCCGTCTCTACTAAAAATACAAAAATTAGCTGGGTGTGGTGGCACACACCTGTAGTCCCAACTACTCGAAAGGCTGAGGCAGGAGAATCAATTGAACCCAGGAGGCAGAGGTTGCAGTGAGCCAAGATTGCGCCACTGCACTCTAGCCTGGCAACAGAGACTCCGTCTCCAAAAAAAAAAAAAGGTTTTATGATGATGTAGCAAAATAACATTTTTAAGAGAGATATACTTACTTAAATATTAAGGGATAGAATTCATGTATTTGCCTATAATTTACTTTAAAATAAAACGAAAGTAAAAATAATATAGCAGGCTGGGCACAGTGGCTCACGCCTGTAATCGCAGCACTTTGGGAGGCCAAGGTGGGTGGATCACCTGAGGTCAGGAGTTCGAGACCAGCCTGACCAACATGGTGAAAACCCGTCTCAACTAAAACAATACAAAAGTTAGCTGGGCATGATGGCGGGTGCCTGTAATCCCAGCTCCTTGGGAGGCTGAGGCGGTAGAATCACTTAAACCCAGGAGGCGGAGGTTGCAGTGAGCCGAGATCAGGCCATTGCACTCCAACTTGGGTGACAAAGTGGGACTCTGTCTCAAAATAAATAAATAAATAAATAAATAAAATAATAATATAGTAGATGAAGCAAACATCATAAGATGTTAACTTAAGATGTGAAATTAAAATGTGGGGCATTCCTTATAATAATTCCCTCTTCCACATGTTTCAAATTTTTCATTACTGCTAGCTTTCTTAAAAACTTTAAAAATTTTTAAGGAAATCTTTCTCCAAAACATTCTTTTTCTTTTGAGACAGGGTCTTACTCTGTCACCCAGGCTGGAATGTAGTAGCACAATCACAGCTCACTGCAGCCCAAATGATCCTCCCACCTCAGCCTCCCGTGCAAATGGGGCCATAGGTACGCACCACCATGTCTGGCTAATTTTTAAAATATTTTTTGTAGAGACAGGGTTCACCATGTTGCTCAGACTAGTCTAAAACTCCTGAGCACAAGTAATCTGCCTACCTTGGCCTCCCAAAGTGCAAGTATTACAGGTGTGAAGCACCGTGCCTGGCTCAAAACGTATTTTTTAAATGAGAAAAACACTGAAACAATACAGTTTAAAAAGTGGCATCTGGGCCAGGTACAGTGGCTCATGCCTACAATCCCAGCACTTTGGGAGGCTGAGGCGAGTGGATCACCTGAGGTCGGGAGTTCGAGACCAGCCTGACCAACATGGAGAAACCCCATCTCTACTAAAAATACAAAATTAGCCTGGCGTGGTGGCGCATGTCTATAACCCCAGTTATTCGGGAGGCTGAGACAGGAGAATCGCTTGAATCTGGGAGGCAGAGGAGGTTGGGGTGAGCTGAGATTGCGCCATTGCACTCCAGCCTGGGCAACAAGAGCGAAACTCCATCTCAAAAAAAAAGGCATCTGATCTGGAGTCCAGAAAAAAAAAAACACACACACACACATTGCATAAAAGCTTCTAGAACAGAAATCCCCCAAAATGAACATGGCAATCTCCTGCCAACTCTTTTTTTTTTTTTAAAGAGTCAGGGTCTCACTCTGTTGCCTAGGCTGGAGTGCAGTGGCGTAACCACATCTCACTGTAACCTCAAACCCCGGGGCTCAACGTGTCCTCTTGCCTCAGCCTGAGCAGCTAGGACTACAGGCTCATGATAGCACACCGAGCTAGTATTTTTTGTAGCGATGGGGTCTCATTACATTGCCCAGGCTGGTCTCAAATTTTGGCTTCAAGCGATCTTCCCACCTCAGCTTCCCAAAGCACTGGGATTACAGGTGTGAACTACTGCATAGCAATTCATTTTATTTGCCTCTGCACATCATACTTTAGTTAATACAGAAAGAATTTTTGCCTGTATTATCTACAGACTCATAGGCATTTTGCCATCAATTAAAACGTCTAAGAATTCTCCTTTAATACTTGTACCTCTCCTATCCTCCCAAACTTGAAAAGATTGTCATGCCTATGGAGAACTAAAATACTAATAAAATTCAAGTGGGGCACAGTGCTCATGCCTGTAATCCCACTGCTTTGGGAAGGCTGAATGAAGCCAGGAATTACAGACCAGCCTGGTCATCATAGCAAGGCCCTGTCTTTTAAAAATAAGTAAATAATAAAGAGACTGGATGCCTTTCTGCCTCTAATAATTCAACACATATCTAGTATCCAATAAAGGATTGACTACATTAACTTCAAAATCAACAGAACTTAAATTTTAAGAGTTTCAAATTTTCTTTTATAAAAGAGAAAAGTAGGCTAGGCACAGTAGCTCATGCCTGTAAATCCAGCACGTTGGGAGGGCCGAGGCAGATGGACACTTGAGCTCAGGAGTTACAGACCAGCCTGGGTATCATGGCAAAACCCCATCTCTACAAAAAATACAAAAACTAGCCGGGTGTGGTGGTGTATGCCTGTAGTCCCGACTACCCTGGGGGCTGAGGCGGGAGGATCACTTCCACCTGGGAGGTCAAAGCTACAGTGAGCTGAGATCGCGTCACTGCACTCCAGCCTAGGTGACAGAGTGAGACTTTGTCTCAACATAAATAAATAAATAAATAAAATTTAAAAAGTGTAAGTCTCTAAAGGTTACACTAGTGATCATTTGTGTTAACAGCAATAAAATCAGGAAGTAATATCTTTCATGTTTTCAAGACTCTCTATCACAGTACCAGAGTATAAAAGAGGAAAACCTAAAGACTCACCTGGCGTTGAGGGGGCCGCTGATGAGCCACCCCTAGATAAGAGCCCATGATAGTCGGAGTCTGAAGAGGCTCTGTGGGACACCAATATTCTAGAGCAAGCTCCAGATGAAAAGGGTTCTTTTTATATAGCTCGCCAATCTGCAAAGAGTAAGCAAAGACTGTAGGGAAATGTCTATGACTGAAAAATTACTTTCAATAAAAAAAAGGACATTTAAAGTATTACACCTGAAATTTTCCAAAGTTAGGGGAAAAAATAATGAAAGGAGGGAAAGAGGACAAGCTTTCTAATATAATGGCTTACCAAAAGCATTAAGTGTTCCAGGTCCCTTCTAAGTGAAATGGGGGGTTCATTACCCATCTGCATACTCATGTGAATCATTCGAGCATCTTCATCTGCCCGATTCCTCAGCTGTTTCACCTATTAAATTTATTAGATATAGTTTTAATATGTAAATGTATTGTACATGCTAATAATAATGAAATCAGGCAACTGTCTTAAAGTGACTACATACAAGAATATATTTTTTAAATATCTATTCCACTTTAGGTGACATGAAGAAACATGCCAGGAATCTTATTTGCAATATTACTACCCATAATGTATAATATCTTAAAACTTGAATGCATTTTCCACTATAGAAAAGTTGAACTTAACTGTAGTATTTCTCAGTGGGGACATTACTGACATTTGGGCACAATGTTTCTTCACTGGGTTGGATTATCCTGAATATTCCAGGACATTTAGCATCCTTGGAACTACCTACCAACTATCAATAACAACACCAGAGTCATCATAACAAGCAAAACTGGCCCCACTCATTTCCCAAACACACTCTGAAGAACATTATACCTCAGTTGAGAATCACTGCTTCACAACATTTGTGTGAACTAAATGCCAACAAAAATAAGAAACAAATTCTGTTAAAAAAAAAAAAAACATAGCTAGACAAATCCACAATTACAGTTGGAAATATCAACACTCCTCTCTCAATATTCAATGGAACAAGTACACAGAAAATCAGTAAGGATATGGAAAACTTGAAAAACAGCATCAACCAACTTGACTTAATTGACACTTGTAGAACATTCCACAGAACAGCAGCAAAATATGTGTTCCTTTCAGGTGTACATAAAATATTTACCAAGATAGGCCATATTCTGAGCCATAAAACAAACCTCAACAAATTTAATACAACTGAAATTCTACAAGGCGTGTTCTCTGAGCACAACGGAATTAAACTAGAAACCTGTGACAGAGATCTGAAAGTCTGTGAACTACCTGGAAATTAAACAACACACTGCTAAATAACCCATCAATCAAAGAAGTCTCAAGGAAAATTAGAAAACATATTAAACTGAACAAAAAAGAAAATGCAACATATCAAAATTTGTGTGGCATAGCTAAAGCAGTGATTGGAGGTAAATGTATAGCATTATTAAATGCTCATATTAGAAAAAAGAAATATTTAAAATCAATAATCTAAGCTTATATCTTAAAAAACAAAATTAAGGGAGCAAATTAAACCCAAGGCAGAGGGAAGAAAATAATAAACATAATAGCAAAAATCAACAATGGTGAAGCAAAATATAAGAAAATCAATGAAGCTAAAAGCTAATTCACTGGAAAGATCAATAAGATCAATAAACTTCAAGCAAGGTTAACTAAGAACTGGGGGAGAAGACACAAATTACCAATTTTAGGAATTAAAGAGAAAAATCACTATAGATCCTATAAAAATAAAAATAATACAAGAATCCTAAGGGCAAATTTATGATAATCAATTTATACTTTTCAGGAGGTATGGTACCAAAACTGCACAATATATTACAAGTGTAGACCTTTCAGGGTGCTTTTAAAAACTGTACATTTGAAATAGGTGGTTTTATAATATAAACACAAAAAAAGACGTTTTTCTCCCTCATTTACTTCCCGCCAACATTTGATGGCTTCTTTGGCACAAAACAGCACACAGAGCATATACTATAAGGAACTGTTTGAAATAGCTCTAAGAATCGCTTTTCAGATGACAGTTACAGCTCAAGCTATCTATTCAAAAGCAGCCTTTGTGTTACGGTTTCTTAAATTCATTATTTTACCTGTATCCATGCTGAAGCCCTTTTATACACTGCAATTCAGAATCTAAACAATCGGGCCAGGCATGGTGGTTCACACCTGCAATCCCAGCATTTTGGGAGGCCGAGGTGGGCAGATCACCTGTTCAAGACCAGCCTGGCCAATATGGTGAAACCCCATTCTAATAAAAATACAAAAAACTACCCAGGTGTGGTGGCGGGCGCCTGTAATCCCAGCTACTTGGGAGACTGTGGCAGGAGAATCACTTACCCAGGAGGCGGAGATTGCAGTGAGCCAAGATCACACCACTGCACTCCAGCCTGGGCGCAATAGAGCAAGACTCCATCTCAAAAAAAAAAAAAATCTAAACAATTATCTATAAAATGCAATTTTTCCACTGTGCCTCTTCCAAATCATGTATAAAAATATTAAATAAAGCAACCTTAGCACTAATCCTTAGGGCAGCATGAGGTTAGTAATTTTCTACCCACAGAAGCATTTTCATTTAATTACTTTCTCATTTATAAACCATTCACTATGTCAAATATTTCTTTCTACTGACTTATCCCCAGTTAAGAGGACTTATTTCCATAGAACAACAGCAAAATATGTCTTCCCTTCAGGTGTACATAGAACATTTACCAAGACAGGCCATATTCTGAGCCATAAAACAAACCTCAACAAATTTAATACAACTGAAATTCTACAAGGTATGTTCTCATATCTTGTAGAGACTCATGACTTATTTCATGAGTCACAAACTGATTCACAAGATGTAATACAGCTACTGGCAAATTTTAGTCTGTATTAAAAATTTTTATTAGTTTCCAAAACATAAAGCTGGTTAATCAGTTTTAAATTATTTTATAAAATTCTTCTACTATTTACTCATCCTACATTATTACACTTACCTTCATTGGCATAAGTGCAAGGAAATCTGTGATGAGATTATGGACTCTGCGAATATAAAATTCTTCCTGATAAAAGTATTCTGATACCACTACAGATTCCATGAGGAACAGGAAAACGTTGTCAGCAATTGCGAGTTCTGCCATTGCTTCATCTGCCTCTGTGAATTCTGCCAGAGCTAGAAACAGATTTTAAAACACAGTACATGGAGGAAAAGTCATTAACCCAGATTGTAATTATATCTCATAATACTCTGCTGATGGTTCAGACATCTTCCCAGCCTTCTAGCATGTGCTATGCACAAAATGAGACTATATATAACTGTAATTGACTCATAAACCCTAAAGAACTCACAAACCCCAAATAACAATATACTCTGAATGTGTATTAGAAAAATACATACTCTTTGAAATAATAACATAACTAATGAAAATTATTTTAGAGATGTGTGATGCAACACTGATGTAGTCAGGGAGCTATCATCCAAACATTCACATATTAAAATGATGTTAAGACTTTAATCCCAATGAAATCTCATGGGTCATCTGAAAAGTCTTCAATCCAAGACCAAAACCTGAACATGAATAGGTAAGTAACTGTGCTAATTTGGTAACCAAGTAGCTAAAATTTAAAAACTAAATTTTAACTTGAATATAAACTTGTCTAACTGTAATTTTTTTATATTTTATTTGGAAAATATCCAATATATATCTAAAAATAAGTATAATAAACCTCTACATACCCATCACCTGTTTCAATACTACCAACTTATGGACAATCTTACCTCATCTATATCTTCCCCCTCTCCACTCATACATATCTCATTAAAGCAAATTCCAATTTAACATTTTACCAGTAAGTATTTGCAGTGTACAACTCAAAAATATACTTAAGAAACAAGGCCGGGCAGGGTGGCTCATGCCTGTAATCCCAGCACTTTGGGAGGATCACCTGAGGTCGGGAGTATGGAGAAACCTCATCTCTACTAAAAATACAAAAAATTAGCCGGGTGTGGTAGCGCATGCCTGTAATCCCAGCTACTGGGGAGGCTGAGGCAGGAGAATCGCTTGAACCCAGAAGGCGGAGGTTGCGGTAAGCCACGATCACGCCATTGCACGCCAGCCTGGAAAACGAGCAAAACTCCGTCTCAAAAAAAAAAAAAAAAGAAAGAAAGAAAGAAAGCAAAAGTAAAAATTCACTACATACTCACACACAACACCATTATCGTATCTTTATTTTATTTTATTTTTTGAGACAGGGTCTCGCTCTGTCACCCAGACTGGAGTGCAGTGGTACAATCTCAGCTCACTGCAACCTCTCCCTCCCAGTTCAAGCAATTCTCAGGCCTCAGCCACCCAAGTAGCTGGGATTATAGGTGTGCGCCAACACACCTGGCTAATTTTTGTATTTTTAGTAGAGACAGGGTTTCAACATGTTGGCCAGGCTGGTCTTGAACTACTGACCTCAAGTGATCCTCCCATCTCGGCCTCCCAAAGTGCTGGGATTACAGGCGTGAGTCACTGCGCCTGGCCATTATCACATCTTTAAAACTAATTCCTCAGCTGGGTGCAGTGGCTTGATCTAGAGTAACTTAATCTGACTTACATTCAACTTTCTATTAAGAGTATGTCATAGGTTATGGTGTATCTTTCCATCAAGAAACATATTGCTGATTACTGCTCTTAAATTTTGAATATAAAATTACTAGGTAATTGTGTGGCAATCTGGCTTTGAAAAAGACTACTACACAGCTTATTCTGTTTGACTGTCATACAAACCAAATACATAGTCTGTTACCGTAAGTACATTTTCATTGCCTTGAAAAGGGCCAGGAACAGATAAAAGCCAAGATAGTCTCAAACAGAGGAAAACATATGATTTGTAGTATTTCATTTTTATTATTTATTTATTATTTATTTCGAGATGGAGTCTCGCTCTGTCGCCGAGACTGGAGTGCAGTGGCACGATCTCAACTCACTGCAACCTCCGCCTCCCAGGTTCAAGAGATTCTCCTGTCTCCGCCTCCCAAGTAGCTGGGACTATAGGCACGCACCACCACGCCTGGCTAATTTTTTGTATTTTTAGTAGAGATGGGGTCTCACCATGTTGGCCAGGATGGTCTTGATCTCTTGACCTCATGATCCACCCGCCTCGGCCTCCCCAAGTGTTGGGATTACAGGCATGAGTCGCCATGCCTGGCCTGTTTTTTTAATGTTTTGTTTCGTATTTTGAAATAAAGTCTGCATTATCAGCCAGGTGTGGTGGCTCATGCCTGTAATCCCAACACTTAGCCAAGACAGGAGGATTGCTTGAGCCCAGGAGTTCAAGACCAGCCTAGGCAACATAGTGAGACCTCATCTCTACAAAAAAATCAAAGAATTAGCTGTGGTCCCACCTACTTGGGAGGCTGAAGTGGAAGGATCATGTGAGCCCTGGAGGTTGAGGCCACTGAGCCATGGTCACACCACTGCACTCCAGCCTGGGCAACAGGGAAGCCACTATCTCAAACAAACAAAAACGTGCTTATCTACCCATATTATACAAAATCCTTGAGAATAAAATATTGTCTTAATTCTTTGGTATGACTAGTAATAACAATTACTAAAATTACTAATTATTAAATATTTTCAGTAACAGTAACAAATTATTTCAAACCTTTACTTGAATTCAAAAACACCAGAATTAAAAGAGAATCAACTCAAAGATTACGTCTTTTATTTTTTTTGAAACAGAGTCTTACTCTGCTGCCCAGGCTGGAGTGCAGTGGTGCGATCTTGACTCACTGCAACTTCTGCCTCCCAGTTTCAGCCATCCTCCAGCCTCAGCCTCCTGAGAAGGTAGGATGACAAGCATGTGCCACCACACCCAGTTAATTTTTGTATTTTTAGCAGAGTCAAGGTTTCGCCCTGTTGGCCAGGCTGGTCTTGAACTCCTGACATCAAGTGATCTGACTACCTCAGCCTCCCAAAGCACTGACATTACAGGCATGAGCCACTATGCCCAGCCAAAAATTACTTCTTGAAGACCATTTAGGCAATAAGGCATCATTGTCTTAATATAAATTGAGTTTCAATGCCTAAAAACAGTATGCTAAAATTCTGTAAAGCTTAGTGAAATTACAAAAATGCTTGGTTTTTTTGTTGATTTTTTTTTTTTGGAAACAGAGTTTCACTCTGTCACCCAGGCTAAAGTGCAGTGGCATGATCTCAGCTCACTGCAACCTCTGCCCACTAGGTTCAAGCAATTCTCCTGCCTCAGTCTCCCAAGCAGCTGGGATTACAGGCACGCGCCACCATGCTTGGCTAATTTTTTGTGTTTTTAGTGGAGATGGGCTTTTACCACGTTCGCCAGTCTGGTCTTGAACTCCTGACCTCAAGCGATCCACCTGCCTCATCCTCCCAAAGTGCTGGGATTACAGGCGTGAGTCACCACACCCGGCCGATGCTTGTTTTTTTAATTTTTTTTGAGATGTGATCTCACTCTGTCACCCAGGCTGGAGTGCAGTGGAGCAATTTCAGCTCACTACAGCCTCTCTCCTGGGCTCAAGTGATCCTCCTGCCTCAGCCTCCTGCGTAGCTGGGACTACAGCCAAGGGCATGTCACCACACTGGGCTAATTTTTAATTTTTTGAAGAGATGAGGTATCACTACATTGCCCAGGTTTGTCATGAACTCCTGGGCTCAAGCAATCCTCCCACCTTGGCCTCCCAAAATGCTGGGATTATAGGCATGAGGCACTGCACCTGGCTTCATGCCTTTTATAGAATAATATAATAAAAACATTTGATAAAAGTTTCAGAAGTCTATGAAGAGAACAGAAACCAATTTTTCAAATTGGAGATCTTCGTTAAAACTTGTCTGGATTATTTCAAGAAGTGACCATTTCTGCAAAATAACACAAGCTAGTCATTTTTTCTAACAATTTTTAAAATGCAAATTAACAGAAAAATTTTTATAGTTTAAAAATTCTAATTATAATACCCCTAACTATTAAAGCTTATAAAAGGATATGAGCATATAAAATCAAAGAGATTAAGTAGCCAAAGATCTGGGACTTGAAACTAGGGCTGTGATTCCTAACCTATTTTTACTATTATTCTACAGCAAACTATAGCATATTCTATTAAACCTTTCAAAACTAGTGCAGTGGTATGGGCAATTATAGCATAAGATTGTGACCATATTACATAATATTATAATAACTATCTATGTATAACTATATTATATAGTTAATATATTAACTATCACACCTGGGCATGGTGGCTCGCGCCTGTAATCCCAGCACTTTGGGAGGCCAAGGCAGGCAGATTGCCTGAGCTCCGGAGTTCGAGACCAGCCTAGGCAACCCGGTGAAACCCTGTCTCTACTAAAATACAAAAACTTAGCTGGGTGTGGCGGCGTGCGACTATAGTCCCAGGTACTCCGGAGGCTGAGGCAGAATTGCTTGAACCCAGGAGGCAGAGGTTGCAGTGACCTGAGATCATGCCACTGCATTCCAGTCTGGGCAACAGAACGAGACTCCATCTCCAAAATAAAAAAAGAAGATATTAACTATCACATAGCCACTTCAAAGGTTAAAGGGTAACTTTATGTCAGAAAAGTAGTGAAATAAGACTTATAAATGATGAGGGTACGTACAGGTGAGAAACAGAATTTGTACGGGAATGTAAAAGTCTAATTCGCTATCAGCATTTAGATATATAGATGACAGACAGATAGAAATTAACTGGCCAAAGAAAGACTCCTAACACAAAAAAAGCTTTCTGCAAACACCTTGGGAACAGCATGACACTAGTGAAAACAAAATGTTCTGGAATTACACGATTGATAAGATACTAGAATCTGTTGATACTTTAGGATTAGAAAACTGACATAAATTGTAAACTTGAATAAAGCCTTTCTAGATTTACCATAAAAAGACAATTCTTTGGGCTTCGTGTTCCATGTATGGTTCTCATTCTGTTAGAATAAACCCCTACTAATATGACAATTAAATAATGTAAATGTAAATAGCAGAATAATATATGCTACAGTGAGTTAACAGGTTGTTAAAAGTCAGTATTCTGGTCAGGCGCGGTGGCTCACACCTGTAAACCCAACACTCTGGGAGGCCAAAGCAAGTGGATCACCTGAGCTCAGGAGTTCGAGACCAGCCCAGCCAACATGGTGAAACCCTGTTTCTACTAAAAATACAAAAGATTAGCCGGGTGTGGTGGCGTGTGCCTGTAGTCCAATTACTTAAGAAGCTGAGGCAGGAGAATCACTTGAACCCAGTAGGTGGAGGTTGCAGTGAGCCGGGATCGAGCCACTGCACTCCAGCCTGGGCCACAAAAAAGAAAAGTCGGGATTCCACATCTGTTCTTGACTGATCCAAATATCTCCTTTTTAATACACTGTATGGAAAAATAACTGTTTTTAATTTGACACAATGTGAAAAACTAGTTTGTGAACAAATCAAGAAGTAAAATATATAAAAATAAAAGGAATAGTATATTTTAATTTTAAAAAACATTTAAGGCCGGACGGGGTGGCTCACGTGTTGCAATCCCAGCACTTTGGGAGGCCAAGGCAGTCGGATCACCTGAGGTCGGGAGTTCAAGACCAGCCTGACCAACATGGAGAAACCCCATTTCTACTAAAAATACACAATTAGCCAGGTGTGGTGGCGCATGCCTGTAATCCCAGCTACTTGGGAGGCTGAGGCAGGAGAATCGCTTGAACCCGGGGGGCAGAGGTTGCAGTGAGCCGAGACTGTGCCATTGCACTCCAGCCTGGGCAACAAGAGCAAAACTCCATCTCAAAAAAAAAAAAAATTAATGTGACACTGTCATTCCAAATTTTAAACTCATACCCTGAAGGTAAAAGAGCATTGTCAGTGGCTCCAAGAATGGGAAATAGTATTTCATATGATATTTTTGAGAGACAAGGAGAAAAAAGTCTGTATTTCACTACTACACTAAAGGTTTCATTTAATACAACTCTGGATATCTTCCTATGCTTATGCTTATGTATGTCAAAGATAATACTCCTTCCAAAAATGTCATTAAGTGCTAACATGCTGTTTCTCATAACAAAATTACCTACAATCAATTCACCTGTCACATCAGGTAGCTGGGATATTCCCCTCAATGCCAGCGCCCAGGCAAGTCTAACAGTGGCTTGGAGCCCAGGCAGTTTCCAAAGCTGTGAGTCCTGAAGACGAGAGTGAATTGTTGCAATGTACTGTTTTTCTGTCAACAGTGGAAGTTGATGAATCATATCTGAAAACACAAAAATAGACCACTTTACCGATCACCAGATAAATTCTCACTTCTGATACACAGGAATAATATCCAAAAGTCAGAAAATCTGAGCATTCTCACAGAAGAATAATGACCAATTAACATTAATTTCTACATCCCAAAAGGTACACTACTGTTGATTGTACACATACTAAAAACAAAAAAAGAAAATGACAATAATCCTAAATTTCAATTTCACTATTTTCAGTCATTTTTATAAGTGTACTACAAATAAACAAGAAAAAAGTTAGACACTCATTTTTTCTGCACATAAATTCTAAAATAGAAATCATGCTATCTAAAGATCACAAAAATTTTATTTACTTCACAGAAAACACAGATCAAAGATTACATTACTGAAATGACAGTCACTGTCTCAGAATGTTTTAATAAAAAGTTTGAAAATGTAAATGAATGGTAAAGAAACAAGCAATTAAGTAAATTAGGCATGTGCAATCATGAACATGTATAATATATGCTTTAATACTTTCCATTCCAAATCCCCCCAAAAAACAGAAATAATTAACAGGACTGCAGCTGTTTTTTAAATGTGATCTTATATATAAATATTCAAATATGAACGGACTGCAAACACAGGAACAGAGCAGACTATTTTAGTAGCTAAAATATCACCCTTTTTAAATGTTATCCCCACAATTTTAAATCTGATTTTTTTAATGTAGGAAAATGTATAAAACTCAATACCATCTCGTTCCTCTGTGCTTTGCTCTATAAAACTGATATCAAAACAGTATAGAAGCGCCATAAGAAGAGCCAGATTCACTGCATCCAGTGAGCCATTAGCCTCAACTGTCACTCTTTCCAAATGTCCAATGAGGAGGAGAGTGTCTTCTTTGCCTAAAGGTGACTGGCAAGCCCAGGCAAAAAGGCTTTCTGCAAGAGACTGCCTGCACTCCTTAATGAGATCAGAAACCTAGAAATAAAAACATGACTATCAGTATAAATAAATTACAGTGAAGCCTGGTCTTATTCCAAAGTACAAACTACCTTTTACAAAGGCTAATAAAAAAACCTATCAAAATCCACAAGTGATCCTAAGACGTCACCTCTGGAATTCTGAACAAACCCTATTGTTTATTCCTTATCCTTAAGTTCCTTAAGAAATTGGGATGACCAATTTCTTGTTCATTTCATAAAAAGAGCTAGAATGGCACATAAATGACTATACCGAAGCTGAAACAACTGCAAGTCAATTTTATGGACACAGCTGACTACAAACTTTAATATACATTACGAGCTGACTACAATTAACAATTTATTGTATACTGTACTGTCAAACAGTAGTACAGTGAATTTTGAATGTTCCCAACACAAAGAAATAATAAACGTTTGAGGTGATGGATATGCTAATTATGATTTATTACATATCATACATATGTATCAAAATACCACACTGTACCCTATACATATGTACAGTTTTGTGTCAATGAAAAATAATAAAAGCAAAAAAAAAGAAAAGTGGCAATCAGGCATGGTATCAGCTACATAATTCATCTTGAAAAAATGAACATTCTAATTGTCATGTTTCTGCCTCTGAGATTTGACAGACAACTCATGAATTGATTTCATTGAACCCTTGCCTCTTTGCGATGTTTTTCACTGCCCAAACCTCTCTCTCGCTGTAGTTTCTCAAACTCATTATTCACATCAATCTGTGACACCAGCGTAAGAACTTTATAAGTCAATCCTTGCTCCATCAGCTCATCTGTAAAGCGTGTTGTCATGGAAGCCAGCTCTGGACTGTAATGAAAAGAAATCAATAAACTACGTTAAACAATATTGTTTATGCTTCTTCATAATAATAGGTATAGCAAACGCTCTTTTTTTGAGACAGGGCCTTGCTCTGTCACCCAGGCTGGAGTGCAGTGGCGTGATCATGGCTCACTGCAGCCTTGACGTCCCAGGCTCAGGTCTTTCTCCCACCTCAGCCTCCCAGGTAGCTGGGACTGCAGGTGCATGCCATCATGCCCAGTTAATTATTCTATTTTTTGTAGAGATGGGATTTCATCATGTTGCCCAGGCTGATCTAAAACTCCTGAGCTCAAGACTGTAATCTGTAATCCCAGCACTTTGTAATCCAAAAATAATTTGGGCCACTGCACCTCGGTCCAAATTATTTTTTATTTATAAACACAATAAAACAGGTTTAAATTGTTATATCTGTCTTGGCAGAATAAGGGAGTATATTACTCAGCTTATGTTACATATTGCTCAGATTGTATATAATAAGGGAAATATTGTCATACTTCAAGTAATTTCAAATTAACCCCTGAAATCCCAAGAAGTAAAAAGACCTGAGTTCTAGGGTCCATGTCTTTCCCCGTCTAGACTGTATCAAGGCTTTCAAGGAATTCGCAATGCATCGCTTTCCATCCCAGTACAGAAGAACAGCTACTAATCCTCTGGTAAGGCCAGGAAAATGTGGCTGTTGATGCTCTCCTAAAAAAGGAAGTTGAGAAATAATATTGTTAATAAACACGTATGTGTTTAGGAGGAGACAAAAATCAATATAACAATGTTCAGTTCAAAGAATCACAGTAGCTCAGGGCTTAAGGGGCCCTGGGGTCCTCTACTACAAACATCCATCCACTGTCTAACTTCTTGCTCAACATATTCGAGGGCCATCCAACTTATCCCTAAACACCAGCAGGGACATGGAATTCACCATTTTCCAAACTCTCAATTTCTAACTCTCACACTTACCTGTGATTTCTACATACTGGGTGAGAATCTTTTGGTCTCACTGTTGTCCACTAAATTTAATTTTATTCAATGCCCATTTTACTATCTCATATGGAATCTTTCAAATATTTCTAAGTTTCTTCCCTCGGAATCTTCTCTGAATAAACAACCTTTTTATAATTCAAGTTCAGTCACCTTTTAACTACTCTCCTTTGAATGAGTTCTACCTTTTTTTTTGAGATGGAGTCTCACTCTGTCACCTAGGCTGGAGTGCAGTGGCGTGATCTCACTGCAACCTCTGCCGCCTAGGTTCAAGCAATTCTCCTGCCTTAGCCTCCTGAGTAGTTAGGATTACAGGCACTTGCCATAGCACCCAGCTAATTTTTGTATTTTTAGTAGCGATGGCATTTCACCATGTTGACCACGCTGGTCTTGAACTCCTGACCTCGTGATCCACCTGCCTTGGCCTCCCAAAGTGGTGGGATTACAGGTGTGAGCCACCACGCCTGGCTAAGTTTCACTTTTTTTTTAAGAGTACTTTGCCTATAGTTTCAGTTTCATTTCCTAAAGCTTTCTTTTCCCCTTACTGCAACTACTCCTCCACTCTACTCCTTTCTGTTCCCCAAATTCATCACCTTGCTTCACCCTCTTGCACAGGCAATTTCTTCTGCCTGGATGCCCTTCATCCTCCCAAATAACCACCTATTCCACCTGATGTATGCTTACTCATTTTGCAACATCTACCTTAAACTTCATGATGTTGTTAAGAGTTCTCTGTACAATCAAGGTCCATCTAATACCATCTCTAAATCTCTGGACCATCTCTAAATCTTGCACAAAACTGCATTAATTGTACTTAATTGTGTCAAAATATTTGTTTCCACATCATTCTCAATTATTAGAATATGAGCGTATTTACACTAGTTGAGATTTTATTCATCTTTATATCACTGGAGTGATATAATTAACACCATGCCTGGCACATGGTAGGTATAGAAGAAATGTTTGTTAAATGAAAGTTCCGAGTTAAACTCAAAACTCAAGCATGTCTAGTGAACATCCCCCTCATTCTCAATATCATACTTCTTTTAGTGCAGGCTTAGGTCAAAAAGGATTTTGGTAGCCATATATTATCTTTAGACATATTAAACTTTTGTTCAACTAACATGCCCATATTTTCTTCAAATGGCTCCTCCATTATAATTAAAACAAACTGCTTATAGTATAGAAATTTTTCTCTCTTTTCTCTACACAGCAGCCAGAGAAATAATTTCAGAGTTAGAATGAATTATGTAATGTCTCTGCTTAAAGCCCTCATCAACAACTTTCTATTGCAATTAGAATAAAATCCAAATACCTTTCATTATCATGCAAAATCAAACATGCTCTGATTCCTGCTGTATCTGCATCTTCCTTTGCTCTCCCTCTCATTTATGATGCTCTAGCCACAATGATCTTTTTATCCTTAAACACGCCTTTATTCCCACCTCAAGCACTGGCTGCTTGCTCTCCCCGGAAAAGCCTTACCCAATAGGTCTGGGTGGCTGGCACCTTCTCATCATTTGGGTCTCAAGGCAAATGACACCATCTTAGAGAGGCCTTCTCTACGGATCCTACTTAGAGTTGCACTAGCCAGCCTCCACCTCTCTATATCTCACTGCTTTATTTTATTTTCTTCCTAGTACTCTGTATTATTGAAATCATCTTATTTTTTACCTACTCATGCATTATCTGAATTACTCTCTCAAAAAGAAATTCCAAAAAAGTGGTGACCTTACCTGCCTACTCACTGACAGTAAGTGCTTTGTGCTATAAAATTTCTGAGATGTCTTTAACAATTCTGATCACTAAACTGAAGCCTTCCTTCCAATCAAAGGTTAAGAAAGGATAGCCGGGCATGGTGGCACATGCCTGTAATCTCAACTACTCGGGAGGCTGAGACATGAGAATCACTTGAACCCGGTAAGTGGAGGTTGCAGTGAGCCGATATCATGCCACTGCACTCCAGCCTGGGCAACAGAGCGAGACTCTGTCTCAAAAAAAAACAACAAAGATTAAAAAAGGAAATATTTTGAATATGGTTTTACCAAACTGCAGCCTTAGAAACTATGATAGAATCTAAACAATAAACTATTTTAAACTATGAGTGATTTTATAATTTTGCATTATTTTACCACTGTTTCAGTTAAATGTCAACCTACCAGCAAGAAGAAGCTCAACAGCTGCCAATTCTCCAATATCAAAAAGGTCACTGAGAATAAAGGCTTCTTTAATGAGCTGTTCAGGAAGAAGTCGAGTTCCCTGTTGACCCTGAATGGCGACTCCCTCTGTACTGGCTTTCTGAACCTTCTCATGCTGTTGAACATTTTTTGGCTACAATGATAAAATTGTAATTGTTATGAAAATAGCACACTGGAGACAAGGTCCCAAAGTGTTACCTACAGAAGCTTATTCATGATAATTCAGCCTGGTAACATGACAAACAGAAGTATTTCTTATCAGCTAATTTAGAACAGACTTTTATGAAGTAATATTTTGCATAACCTTAAACTTTTTATTCCAATACTACCTTCTCAATAACTGTGACTGCTAAACTCTGATCTGAAAAATTTGGAGAAAATATACAAAATAGCATACTATTTTTCAAGTTTCTACAGAACTTTTCAATTACATAATAAATAAAAATAATAAGGTCTTCAAATGGTACATAACAAATGGATATATGAACTGTTTAATTACTTAGCAGAGCAAGTAACAGTTTATTAATGTTATATAAAATGTAGTCTTATTTCCTAAAAGATAATTTGGTGCAAATATTTAACATATGACGTACAGTACAGAATTAGCTGATAGATCATACATCTAAAGTTTCGGAACTTAAAGGTTACACATTGGTCATTGAATCTAGCTCCTCTATTGCAGACAGAAAAACCGACATCCAGCTAAGTCAGGTAACTTGTCTGTGGTCATAAAACTCTCTAGTGGTACAGCCAAGACTGGAAATCAGCTCAACTGGTTCCCAGGCTGGGGTTCTTTCTACTAAAGAAAGCAAAAAAAAAGAAAAAAAAAGAAAAAAAAAAAAAAGCTAAAAAGCAAAAAGCCATTTCTGGTAACACAATCCTATAAATAGTTCTTGGATGGCTTCCTTGCTGTATATAAAAGAAAAGTGCCAGACTGGGCGTGGTGGGTCATGCCTATAATCCTAGCACTTTGAGAGGCTGAAACAGGCAGATCACTTGAGGCCAGGAGTTCAAGACCAGCCTGGCGAACGTGGTGAAACCACGTCTCTAATACAAAAAAATTAGCTGGACATGGTGGCAGGCGCCTGTAATCCAGCTACTCTGGAGGCTGAGGAAGGAGGATTGCTTGAACACGGGAGGGAGGTTGCAGTGAGCCAAGATCGCACCGCTGCACTCCAGACTGGACGACAGAGTGAGACTCTGACACACAAACACATACACGCAAAGGAAAAGTGCCAAACAACAAGAAAAGCATTTTCCAAGTTTGAATCCCCTCCACTAAAGTACCCTATTGCTATTGCAAAGAATTTCAAGATGCAGAAATTAAAAATACTCAAGAATTAATTCATTCCATTAACACAACTTACATAATACTATAAACTACTATAAAATAATACTTAAAATTTTAACGTACATCTGGAAATAAACAAAATAATCAATCTTACCAAGCATAGATGTATTACTAACTAGAGGTCAGAAATTCTAAGGCAGTTAATATTTCTGGAATATACTAAATTTCTTAAATAGTCTTCAAATATTATTAAGTTTATCTCCTAGCTAGAAATAAACATAATATTAACTTCTATAGAGAATAACATTGCTCCTAAGAAAAATTCCATTAAAATCACAGCAGGGCACAGTGGCTCACGTCTATAATCCCAACACTTTTTGAGACCAAGGCAGGAAGATCACCTGAGGCCAGGAGTTCAAGACCAGCCTGGGCAACATAGCAAGACCCTATCTCTAAAAAAAATTAGCTGGGCACGGTGGCACACACCTGTAGTCCCAGCTACTTAGGAGTGAAGAGCCAGGAAGAACGCTTGAACCAGGAGTTTGAGGCTATAGTGAGCTATAATCAGGCCACTTCACTCCAGTCTGGAGGACAGAGCAACACCCTGTCTTTAAAAAATATCTAGAAAAGAAAATCATTGAATCACTGGAGTGAGACAGGTGACATGTTTTTGTTACGTACATTAAGAGTTTACTTGCAAGGACCTACTATTTGATAGCACGACAGGGTGATAGCCAATAATAATTATACATTTTAAAATAACTAAGAGTGTAAATGGATTGTTTGGAAAACAATGGATAAATGCTTGAGGGGATGAATGACTCCCCATTCTCCATGATGTGATTATTTCACACTGCATGCCTGTATCAAAACATCTCACGTACCTCATAAATATATACATCCTTTATGTGCTCACAAAAATTAAAAATTAAAAAAAGTTTTTAAGATAGTTTTTGCAGCTGGCATGGTGGCTCACGTCTGTAATCCCAGCACTTTGGGAAGCTGAGGCAGGAGGATCACTGAGGCCAGAAGTCCAAGACAAGCCTGGGCTACAAAGTTAGACCCTGTCTTTTTTTTTTTTTTTAAGCGTTTAGGGGTACATGTCATCAGGACCTCATGAGACTGTGGCACAGTAAATAAATTTCTGAAAAAAATTTGAAAATTAAAAAAAAAAGAAAAGAGTTTACTTCCTTCCTCGATCTTAAAAAAAAAAAAATCCCAAAAAAACTGAAAAAGAAAATTTCTTACCGGATTTTTGAACAATGAGATGAAGTCAGGTTTGTGTTTCTTCAAAATCTTATCAAGAAGGTGAACAGCTTCAGGTTGTCTTCTCCAAAGAGCATTTCCCACTTTATGCCAAATGTCTTTGTAAGGACCCCATAGACTAGCAGCTTAAAGAAAAAATAAATGAAACCACCGTCAAAGAAAACATACACTTGAAAAATAATGTGAGGTTACCATCCACACATTTTAGTTACACCCACAGCTACTTTTTAATCTAGGAAGTTATCTTAATTAATATAATTATCAATTATATTATAAATATTATAATTAGTATGTTACATTAACTATATTATATTAATATATTATATATAAATATATAATATATAATATATTACATATATTTTATATTTATATATAATATATGTAATATATAATATATAATTTATATATTAATATAATTAATATATATTAATATAATATATAAATATAATTAATATATATTAATATAATATATAAATATAATTAATATATTAATATAATATATAAATATAATTAATTATATTAATATAATTAATTATATTAATATAATTAATATATATTAATTATATTAATATAATAAATGATTGCTAATTATATAAATATCAATGTTGTAACTGATTAAGAGACACTAATATAAAAGCATAGTTTATTAAAATTCTCAAGCAATGATATAAACACATCACTTTATCTGACTTACTATAAAATAAATCCTGACTTTAGGTAGGCACAATGGCTCACGCCTGTAATCCCAGCACTCTGGGAGGCCAAGGCGGACAGATTACCTGAGGTCAGGAGTTTGAGACCAACCTGGCCAACATGGTGAAACCCCGTCTCTACTAAAAATACAAAAATTAGCCGGGTGTGGTGGTGCGCACATGTAGTCCCAGCTACTTGGGAGGCTGGGACAGGAGAAATCACTCGAACCCAGGAGGCGGAGGTTGCAGTGAGCCAGGATCGTGCCACTGCACTCTAGCCTGGCCGACAGGATCAAAACCCCATCTCAAAAAAAATTTAAAAATTAAATAAATAAATAAAATAAATCCTGACTTTAAATTGGAATATCAGCTGAACCTAGTTTTACCACTTCATTAGCTATGTCTACTGGAACAAGGGAAATAACCTCTTTAAACTTCAGTTTCTCTCTCTCTCTCTCTCTCTCTCTCTCTCTCTCTCTCTCTCTATATATATATATATATATATATAAAACATAAACACCATCTGCTTCAAAGAGCTGTAAGTTTTTCAAATGAGATAAACTAAGGAAAACACACAGTCCAGTGCCTTTCATATCATAGGCACTCAATAAAGGTAAGTGCCTTTCCTTCCTTTCCTTCTTGTCATCCAGATGAAAAGCAGCAGTAGGGAAATAACTCAGAATTTATAAAACTTAGAAGCTGAAAATGTACTTTGGGCTGAGACACTGGCTATTATAAAACAGCATAGAAATACAGAATACTTTTATAAACTCATATAAAAAGGATCACATTTTAATTGATAAACATGATAACAGTAAGTAATAATGACTAAACTTGTGCTGTGTGCTACTAAGCATGGCCCTAAGCTCTTTACATGTATGATTATGTCTTAACAACACCCTATGAGGTTAGCACTATGGCTTCCTCCATTTTATAAATATGGAAACTGAGGCAGAGAGGTCAAAATATTCACCACCTGAGGTCACACTAGATAATGTCAGAACTTAAGCCCAAGCAGTCTGGGCATCAGAGTGTGCCCTAACCAGTAAATTGTACTTTCACCATAATTTACTGGAAAGTAAATGACACATTTATACTATAATACATAATACTTAAAAAGTGAAAGTGTTTGGGAAGAATTTAGGTATTTCAAAAATAGTACTAAGGCCGGGCACGGTGGCTCACGCCTGTAATCCCAGCACTTTGGGAGGCCAAGGCGGGCGGATCACCTGAGGTCAGGAGTTTGAGACCAGCCTGGCCTACATGGTGAAACCCCATCTCTACTAAAATATACAAAAAATTAGCCAAGCGTGGTGGCACGCGCCTGTAATCCCAGCTACTCAGGAGTCTGAGGCAGGAGAATTGCTTGAACCCAGGAGGCGGAGGTTGGAGTGAGCCGAGATCGTGCCATTGCACTCCAGCCTGGCAACAGAGTGAGACTCCATCTCAAAAAATAAAAAATAAAAAATTTAAACTCCATAAATGAACAGTAAAGTATCAAAGAAGATAAGACAAACAATCTTTGTCTTACAGCTCACCAGTTGGGGAGATAAAATGTACATAAGTGAAATATTCCAGTAAAGGAATATGATTGTTGGCACAAACAATAAAATAATTTCAAAAGATCAAACTGATGGTCAGAGTTGGCTAAGGAATGGCTGCACTTGTGCAGCATTTGAAGGATGAGGAAAATCTGGGCAACAAACATCAGCCAAGAACAAGTGTGAGCAAAGGATCAGAGACAGGTGTGAAAGCATGAAAGAGAATTCAGAGCAGTAGCAAGATTAAAGAGGTAGGAGTAGTGCTTTCAAACTTTGACTATAATCCACAGTAAGAAATATTTCACATTTCAACCCAGTACACATGTATATACAAAACTGGAACAAAAGTATTATATAAAATACTAAAATTCAGGCTGGCTCTCACCTATAATCCCAGCACTTTGGAAGGCCGAGGCGGGCAGATCACTTGAGGCTAGGAGTTCGAGACCAGCCTGGCCAACATGGTAAAAACCTGTCTCTACTAAAAATACAAAAATATTAGCCAGGAGTGGTGGCGCACACCTGTAATCCCAGGTACTCGGGAGGCCAGGAACCAGAATCGCTTGAACCTGGGAGGTGGAGGTTGCAGTGAGCCAAGATCACGCCACTGCACTCCAGCCTGGGTGACAGAGTGAGACTCTGTCTCAACAACAACAACAATAAAAAACTAAAATTAATTCATTTATTATATTCAATGCCCTATGATATTTTGTGTTCTGTCCCATTTTTGGTGAGGGGCCCACTAAATTGATTTTATCTTTATTGTTTTTAAGATGCAGTCTCACTCACTCTGTCACCCAGGCTGGAGTGCAGTGGCACAATCTCCGCTCACTGCAACTTTCACCTCCTGAGTTCAAGTGATTCTCCTGCCTCAGCTTCCTGAGTAGCTGGGATTACAGGCGTGCCACCACGCCCGTCTAATTTTTGTATTTTTATTAGAGATGGGGCTTCACCATTTGGCCAGGCTGGTCTTGAACTCCTGGCCTCAAGCAATCTGCCCACCTCGGCCTCCCAAAGTGCTGGGATTACTGGCATGAGCCACGGCGCCCGGCCCCTACTAAACTGATTTTAGACTCACCATTTAAAAAATATGACTCTAAAGCCAAAGGTTTCTGTTTGGAAATAAGCAGATAAGGTACTCATATGTGTTTAGACTCTGAAGGAAAAACTGGTCAAAACCAATTACTCAACAGATGAAACTTAGAACTAACTATAGCCTAAACATTAAAGACTGTAAACAGGGTAAACTGTTGAGAAAACCCAAATCCAAATAAAGTTACCAGGATATAAGAACAACATGAAAGATAACTGTAATGTAATTAAATACATTATAACTCAATGAACAACGTCAGATGACGCAATGTAATTTAAAAACATTTTTTTTTTGAGACAGGGTCTCACTTTGTCACCCAGGCTGGAGTACAGTGGTGCCATCTCAGCTCACTGTAGCCTCAACTTCCTGGGGTCAAGAGATACTGCCCCCCTCAGCCTCCTGAATAGCTGGGACTACAGGTATGCAACCACACCCACCTAATTTCTGTTTGTTTGCTTTTTTTTTTTTTTTTTTTTTTGGTATAGACAGGGTTTCACCATGTTGTCCAGGCTTGTCTCAGACTCCTGGACTCAAGCAATCTACCCTGCCCACCTTGGCCTTCCCAAGTGCTGGGATGAAAGGCATGAGCCACTGCACCCAGCCTGAAAAAAAAATTTTTTAAAGGGAGATGTGCAGGGAGAGGACGGACTAAACCAGTGGAGATGGATTATTTATTCATACTTTCATTCACTATCAAATATTTACTGAGGGACCATATATACATATATATATATATATATATATATATATATATATATATATATATATATATATACACACATAGACTGAGCAAGACAGACAGAATCCCAAGCCTCATGGAACTTACAAATTGATAAGACTGACAGACATTAAACAAAGAATTCCAGGCCGGGTGCAGTGGCTCACACCTGTAATCTCAGCACTTTGGGAAGCCGAGGTGGGCCGATCACGAGGTCAGGAGTTCGAGACCAGCCACCTGGCCAATATGGTGAAACCCCATCTCTACTAAAAATACAAAAATTAGCCAGGCATGGTGGTGCGCACCTGTAGTCCCAGCTACTCGGGAGGCTGAGGCAGAAGAATTGCTTGAACCTGGGAGGCAGAGGTTGCAGTGAGCCGAGATTGCGCCACTGCGCTTCAGCCTGGGCAACAGAGCAAGACTCCGTCTCAAAAAACAAAACAAAACGAAAAAACAAATAATTCCAAAGATATCAGTATAATAAAAGATATGATGAAGTACAACGGGCTATGAGAGTACATGAAAGAAAGAGCCTAAACTAATCTGAAGATTAGGGAAGGATGCAAAGCGTCAGGTCTTTGATGTGGGGATGTGAGGAATCTGCATGTCTAGATCTTCCTTACATAGACAGATCATCCAATTCCCTGCTTTGCTTCTCCTGCTTTAGTCCCACACTTTCCAATCTTCTGATTAAAAATATAGCTCGACATATAAATTTCTAGCATGAAGGATGTGTTGACAAGGCAACATGAGTACCTATGCAGACATACTTCCCATTAAAGAGCAATAACTGGCAGACAGGGGTGGTGGCTCATCCGTGTAACCCCAGCACTTCGGGAGGCCAAGGCTAGGAGTTCAAGACCAGTCTGGCCAACATGATGAAACTCCGTCTCTACTAGAAATACAAAAATTAGCCAGGTGCAATGATGCACACCTGTAAATCCAACTACAAGGAGGGTTGAGGCACAAGAATCTCTTGAATCTGGGAGGCAGAGGTTGCAGTGAGCCGAGATCACACCACTGCCATCCAGCCTGGGCAACACAGCAAGCCTCTGTCTCAAAAAACAAATAAATAAACAAATAAAATAAAAAAGAGCAATAACTGGCATACTGGTTTATGTATCTGTCTTTTCTGAATTTGATTAGAGAATAATCAATGAATGGGACCTAATCAACTCTGGATACACTGAAAAAAATCAGATTTCTCTGCCTGCCAAAATGAGGACCTAGATCCTGGTGACTAGATGACTTCCCTCAGGATCATTTTCTTGGCCCTCTCTCTAACTGCAAAGGATAGAGTAGGTTTCAGCCTTGGATTCCAGGGCCATGATGGAATTTTTCCTATTAGTAAATGGCAAAGTTTCCAGTAGCAGATGACAAAATGAAACTGGCATTGTAGGAAAATGGTGTTCTAGTGTGGTTGATGGACTAGAACAGGCAGTGTCAGGAAACAAGGATAAGAGGTAAGTAAGCCACTTATAAGAAAATGGAACCGGGAGGCCAAGGTGGGCAGATCACCTTAGGTCGGGAGTTCGAGACCAGCCTGATCAACATAGAGAAACCCCATCTCTACTAAAAATACAAAATTAGCCAGGCATGGTGGCAGGTGCCTGTAATCCCAGCTACTCGGGAGGCTGAGGCAGGAGAATAGCTTGAACCCTGGGAGTGGCGGTTGCAGTGAGCCGAGATCACACCATTGCACTCCAGCCTGGGCAACAATAGCGAAACTCCATCTCAAAAAAAAAAAAATAAGAAAATGGAACCTAAACTAGGATGAGGGCAGTACAGGAGGAAGAAAAGGTCTGTTAGTAACAGAAAGGACTCAGAATTGGTCATCAAATGGCACATGGTATAAAGGGAAGGTATTAATGATGACTCCTATGCAAATCTGAAATATACCTTACCACAGACATTTCAGAAATCTGATAAAGTGCTGACAAAAGTTAATTTTCTCTCCCTCATTTTAAATATTAATATACAGTAGGACCTCTGAAAAACCAATAAATTTCCTTGTACTATACATATTTAGTGTAATAAGCTCAGTGAATGGTAGAGAAAAATCCAATTTTTCCCCCAATAATGGTAGGCATCCAATTAAAGATCAAAACTCTACAATAGGCCGGCTGCAGTGGCTCACACTTGTAATGCCAGTACTTTGGGAGGCCAAGGCGGGCAGATCACTTGAGGTCAGGAGTTCGAGACCAGCCTGGCCAAAATGTCAAAACCCTGTCTCTACAAAAAATTTTTAAAAAGTAGCCAGGCATGGTGGCGTGCACCTGTAATCCCAGCTACTCAGGAGGCTGAGGTGGGAGAATCGCTTGAACCTGGAGGCAGAGGTTGCAGTGAGCCAAGAGCGCACCACTGCACTCCAGTCTGGAAGACAGAGTGAGACTCCATCTCAAAAAACAAACAAACAAAAAAACTCAACAATAAAAAAACAGGTTCACTGGCCTACTTAGTTCGTCATTAATATCAACATAGCATCAAAGGGCCAGGCAAGGTGGCTCGCACCTGTAATCCTAGCACTTTGAGAGGCTGAGGTAGGCCTCCCAAGCAAGGTTCAAGGAGCTTAAGTGCAGGAGTTCAAGACCAGCCTGGGTCACATGGCAAAACCCTGTCTCTATTTAAAAAAAAAACAGGCCGGGCGTGGTGACTCATGCCTGTAATCCAGCACTTTGGGAGGCCGAGGTGGGCAGATCACAAGGTCAGGAGTTCAAGACCAGCATGGCCAACATGGTGAAACCCTGTCTCTACTAAACACACACAAAAAAATTAGCTGGGCATGGTGGCTAACACCTGTAATCCCAGTTACTTGGGAGGCCGGGGCAGGAGAATTGCTTGAACCCAGGAGGCAGAGGTTGCAGTCACCTGAGATCATGCCATTGCACTCCAGCCTGGGTGACAGGGCAAGACTCCGTCTCAAAAAAAAAAAAAAAAAAATAGCTGGGCATGGTGGCTTGTGCCTATAGTCTCAGCTACTCATGAGGCTGAAGTGGGAGGATCACCTGAGTCTCAGAGGGTAGAGGCTGTAGTATGCCATGACTGAGCCACTGCACTCCAGCGTGGGCAACAGAGTGAAACCTCGTCTCAAAGAAGAAAAAGAAAAAAAAAACACCAAAGGTAGCCGCAACAAAGAGTTATCTTCAATCTGTCTTGAGTTTGACCAATTTCAGTAAACACCTTTTTTTTGTTTGTTTTTTGTGACAGGGTCTTGCTGTCACCCAGGCTGGAGTGCAGTGAGGCAATCACAGCTCATTACAGCCTCAAACTCCTGGGCTCAAGCAACCTCCTGCCTCAGCTTCTCTAGTAGCTAGGATTACAGGCGCACGCGCACCACCAGACCTGGCTAATTTTTGTATTTTTTGTAGAACTGGGATGTTGCTATGTTGCCCAGGCTTGCCTTGAACTCCTGGCCTCAAGTGATCCTCCCTCCTCAGCCTCCTAAAGTGCTAGGATTACAGTAAATATCTTTTTTACTGATTACAAATGAAGGGACACTATAAATTTTTCAAAATTACTAAATATGTATTTTTACCATGTAGTTTAGTCAGTTGAGAAATACATTTATTTTCCTTAATGTTTAGGGATACCTCCAGCAAATCACATTTACTCACTCATTCACCATGTGTGAGGTATTGGTAAGATTATACTGCAGTGAGGAAAAACATTAATCATAATCATACATAAATGTAAAATCTGGCCGGGCACAGTGGCTCACGCCTGTAATCCCACCACTTTGAGAGGCCAAGGCGGGCCACATCACGAGGTCAGGAGATCAAGACCGTCCTGGCCAACACAGCGAAACCCCGTCTCTACCAAAAATACAAAAAATTAGCCAGGCGTGATGGCATGCGCCTGTAGTCCCAGCTGCTAGGGAGGCTGAGGCAGGAGAATCGCTTGAACCCAGGAGGCGGAGGCTGCAGTGAGCCGAGATCACGCCACTGCACTCCAGCCTGGGCTACAGAGTAAGACTCCATCTCAAAAAATAAAAAAATAAATAAAAATAAAATAAAATCCAACTGTGGTCAGGATATGAAGGATATGAAGGAGAGGTAGCCAGGGCAAGAGATCACATAATAGGGGACTCTGACCTAGCCAGAGGAAAGAATTATCCATGAGGAAGTGATAACTAGGCTGAAATCTGAAGAACAAAAGTGATAGTTAACTGACAGGTGGGAGGTGAAGACATGCATTCCAGGGAGAGGACAACCTGTGGGTTTCCATGGCAAGAGGGAATGCGGCATGTCAAAGAACTCAAAAGGCCAAGAGAGCTGCAGTACAGAAAACGGGTTTGGCAAGATCATCACACAGGGCTCACTTGCCCACGTTAAAGAATTTTGATGACCGAGTGTGGTGGCTCAGGCCTGTAATCCCAGCACTTTGGGATACCGAGGCGGGCAGATACGAGGTCAGGAGATCAAGACCATCCTGGCCAACACGGTGAAACCCTGCTCTACTAAAAATACAAAAATTAGCTGGGTGTGGTGGCGCACGCCTGTAGTCCCAGCTACTCAGGAGGCTGAGGCAAGAGAATCGCTTGAACTTGGGAGGCAGAGGTTTCAGTGAGCCAAGATCGCGCCACTGCACTCCAGCCTGGCAACAGAGCCAGACTCTGTCTCAAAAAAAAAAAAAAAAAAAAAGGATTTTGGTCTTTACTCTAAAAGATCAAGCCAAATGAAGATTTAAAACATGGGGACTTTCTGCTCATGCCTATAACCCCAGCACTTTGGGAGGCCGAGGCAGGTGAATCGTTTGAGGTCAGAAATTCGAGGCACCCCTGGCCAACGTGGTGAAACCCCATCTCTACTAAAATTACAAAAATTAGCCAGGTGTGGTGGTGGGCGCCTGTAATCCCAGCTACTTAGGGAGGCTAAGGCAGGAGAATCTCTTGAACCTGGGAGGCAGAGGTTGTAGTGAGCTGAGATCACACCACCGCACTCCAGTCTGGGCGACAGAATGAGCCCCTGTCTCAAAATAAAAAATAATTTTTTAAAAAGGAACTTTCTGAACTACAAGAAACAGAAGTTAACCCTATTGAGAGCTGTTTACAAGGATGGAAGAGACCAGAATGGGTGAAGGAATAGGAGGTATGAAAAGGGAGTCAGTAGGCTGGGCATAGCAGTTCAGGCCTGTAATCCCAGCTACTAGGCTGAGGCAGGAGAATCATTTAAACTTGGGAGGTGGAGACTGCAGTGAGCCGAGACTGCACCACTGCACTCCAGCCTGGGCAGAGTGAGGGAGGGAGGGAAGGAAGGAAGGAAGGAAGGAGGGAAGGAAGGAAGGAACAAAGGAAGGAAGGAGATGGAGTCCATGAATACTAACAAATCTTTTGAAAGGCTTGACTAGGAAGAGGACAGTAAGTGGAGTGACGCATGAGATCATCAGTGGAGAGAAAGGGAAGAGCAAGAGAGAGAAGTGAATATACAAGACAAAAAAAGGGGTAACAGGTGAAGAACACAATGGGTGGGATTTACATTAGATAGGAAGACAGAGGAAAAGTGATTCAAAAGAATGCAGACACACCTAGGTTTGTAGGTTTGAGAGTGAATAAAGGGAGTTCATGTATGTTGGCTCCTATTTTCTCTGTGACTAGAAGTCTGAGGGTTTAGTTAGTTGCAGGTTAAAGATTTGAAGAGTGTAGAAAGGTCTGAAGTAGTCACTGCTGTGAATGGACGAGGTGACCAGACTATCACAGAAGGACTGCCAAGCAGTGTTAATAGTTGCTTATTCACAAGTCTGTGAGTGTACTCAGCCAGGTTGATACAGGTCACAAGACTAGTTAAGTTATACAGCTGAAATACAAGCATAGGTTTTTTTGTTTGTTTTTTGTTTGTTTGTTTTTAAGACAGAGTCTCGCTCTGTTGCCTAGGCTGGAGTGCAGTGGTATGATCTCGGCTCACTGCAACCTCCTCCTCCTGGGTTCAAGCAATTCTCCTGCCTCAGCCTCCCGAGTAGCTGGGATTACAGACACCTGCCATCATGCCAGGCTAATTTTTGTATTTTTGTAGAGACAGGGTTTCACCATGTTGGCCAGGCTGGTCTCGAACTCCTGACTTCAGGTGATCTGCCCACTTCAGCCTCCCAAAGTGCTGGGATTACAGGCATAAGCCACCACACCTGGCCAACCATAGGTCTTAGAACTCTACAATCTCTGTATTTTTTCCTTACAACTCCAAGATGTTTGATTTTTTAAAACTGTAATTTAAAGGAAGCACATAACATAGAATGCAATCTCAACAAATTTTAAGTGTACAGTTCAGCAGTGTTCAGTGTATTCACATTGTGCAACAGATCTTCACAGCTTTTTTCATCTTGCAAAACAGAAACTCTATGCCCCCTAAACAACTCCCCACTTTCCCCTTTCCCAGCCCCTGGCAACCACCATTCTACTTTCTGTTTCTATGAGTATGACTACTTCAGATACCTCATATAAGTGGAATCATGTAGTATTTGTGTCTTGTGACTGGCTTATTTCACTTAGTATGTCCTCAAGTTTCATCCACGTTGTTTTATGTGACAGGATTTCCTTCCTTTTTAAGGCTGCATAAGGATACTATATATATGCATGTATACGTTATGTTATGTATATGCATGTATATGTATTATGCATATTGCATGTATATGACACATTTCCTTTACCCACTCAACCCAACATTCATTCCTTGATGGAAAAAGAGTTCCTTCCCTAAGACGTTTAGTTTTTTAAAAAACCAGCTCCTGACTCTTGGCTTTTAAAAATGTTTCCTATGTTGCCAATTAAACACTCCTGACACAAGGCTTTATTATACAATGTACACTCTTTGCTGCTGTTGGCAACTCCTTTTCCCTCCAATGATTTGTTTAATAATTATAATAGCTTAGGGCGAGTATGTACTAAAGGAATGTATATAGGCCAGGCACAGTGGCTCACGCCTGTAATCCCAGCACTTTGGGATGCCGAGGTAGGCGGATCACCTGAGGTCAGGAGTTTGAGACCAGTCTGGCCAACATGGTGAAACCCCGTCTCTACTAAAAATACAAAAAAAATTGGCCAGGCGCAGTGGCTCACACCTGTAATCCCAGCACTTTGGGAGGCTGAAGGGAGTGAATCACGGGGTCAGGAGCTCGAGACCAGCCTGGCCAATATGGTGAAACCCCTTCTCTACTACAAATACAAAAAATTAGCTGGGTGTAGTGGCGGGCGCCTGTAATCCCAGCCCCTCGGGAGGCTGAGGCAGGGGAATCGCTTGAACCCAGGAGGCGGACGTTGCAGTGAGCCAAGATCGTGCCACTGCACTCCAGCCCGGGCAACAGAGTGAGACTCCATCTCAAAAAAAAATTAGCCAGGCTAGCCAAGCATGGTGGCGGGCGCCTGTAATCCCAGTTACTTCAGAGGCTGAGGCAGGAGAGTTGCTCCAACCCAGGAGGTGGAGGCTGCAGTGAGCCGAGATCACGCCACTGCACTCCAGCCTGGGTGGACAGGATGAGACTCCATCTCAAAAAAAGAAAAAAAAAAAAAAGGAAAATAAATGTGTATACCTTGCGTACTGGCTCACACCTGTAAACCTACCACTTTGGGAGGCCGAGGCAGAAAGATCGCTTGAGGACAGCAGTTCGAGATCAGCCTAGCCAACATGGAGAAACCCCACCTCTACTAAAAATACAAAAATTAGCCCAGCGTGGTGGCACATGCCTGTAATCCCAGCTACTCAGGAGGCTGAGGCAGGAGAATTGCTTCAACCTGGGAGGCAGAGGTTGCAGCGAGCCAGGATCGCGGATCGCATCACTGCACTCCCGCCTGGGAGACAGAGCAAGACTCCATCTCAAAAAGAAAAATTAAAAAATAAAATAAAATAGAGAAATGTATTATATACAACCACACGTTAAGCATATCTAATTGGGAAGGAAGGACCGCAATATTAAGCATGTAACTTCATTACTAACCTTCTAATATATACGTCTAATATCATAAAATGAATTAGGTTGTGCTTAAGCAGTAGCACTAAGTAGTTTAAGCACCTAAGACTGACTTAGATCATTAGATGTTTAACTCTGGGGACATTACGTAACTATTTGAAGCCTCTATTTCCAAATCTGTAAAACGGAGTATGTAACAGTAACTACTCCAAAGGTGTATAAACGGGAACTGAATGAGATAAGCACGATAATAAGTGCAATGCTGGGATATAGTATGTGTTCAGTAAACATAGCCTTCATTATAATTTATCATAGCTTTTCTGAAATGATTTGATTTACAAAACAGATTTAGACAACTTTTCAAGAATATCAGTCCTGTGGAAAATAGAACCAATACTTTAAAAAAGAGTCCTTTTAAGTGAGATTCTCACAAGCATTTACCACACAGATATACTCTTAATCTTGCCCGCGAACTTCAGAGCATCTCAATCGAGGCATTAACATTCTAGGCACCAAATTATTTTTCCGGACTGCTCTGACCATGAAGGACTTTCTGCATCCTTGCCCCGCCTACTATGCGACAGCAGTGTACCCCAGGAAATATGACAATCAAAATGCACTCACTCATTCAAACACCACTGGAGGGCGGTACGGCCCGAATTGAGAATCACCGAAAGAGGATCCACCCCAAATCTTCCAGAGTTCCTTTACTACCTTCTAGATTCAATTCCACCCCGAAAATCTACAGCTCCAAAGGTACAAGAACATCCAGGGCCTAACCACATCCGCAGGGTTAGAAGACGTCTGCTGAAGCCCCGCCACCCTCTTCCTGACCACCTTTCAGATGGCCGACTTCATAATAGGGAGTATTCGCTGCCTGCAAGATCTCCCACCCTATAAGGAACTCCGACGCCTACTTTCAGCCTCTGCTCATGGCTGGAAAATATCTCGGGTCCTCTGGCTTCACTGTGGAAGACCTGATGCGTATTCCAGCGAAATCGGGACCACAGACGCACAGTGAAACTTGGGGGTGAGGGGGACCAGACTCAGCCCTGGGCTGTGAGAGATTACACACCTGGGTCCAGCGGCCCAAGCCTCACTGCCTGGAATCTCAAACCCCAACTCGAGGGCTGGAGCCGCAGCACCGACGCGCGCCATTCAAACTGGGGAGGGGTGGGACTCTAGGCCCAGAATTAGGGAAAAGCAGGCACCGCACATAAGTGGGGTCCTAGACTCCGAGAAACCTCACGGTCTCGTCTCTCCATGAAGACCTGGTTATCGCTCAGCTCAATCGTCTTTCTGTCTGGCCACACTTACCCGAATTTACCGCCAAAGGCGTCGCCATCTTAGAGGCGCACTAACAGAGCCCTTCTGCCGCATGGAGGCCCCGGGAAAGGGTGAGGCTGACCTGAGCGAAGCCTGAACAAAAAGGCACCACACTGTCCCCTCCACGCTGGGCCGTCCCAGGCGTACAAAAGGCTCCAGAATCTGCTCTGGGTCACAAACATCAATTTTCATTGGGATTATTCCCATTCAAATAAGGCGAGGGCAACCACTTCAGAGACACGAGGTCCTCGATCCGACGTTCATCGTGTAGTGCATCCTGGGACTTGTAGTTTCTAATGATGAGTTGGTTAAGTGGAGAGGAAAAAGTAAAGTGGAATAGAAAAAGATATTCTGAGAGTAGTTATTAAAATGACGCCCATTTATGACATTATAAAAGCCGTAAATTCAAATCATTATCTCCGCTTCAAGTTAAATCTTCCTTACAGTGGGGAGTGAAGTAAGGTATGAAGTGTCTACACCTCAAAAAGCCACTGACCGGTTACAAACTAAGTTTCCGTGACATTTCAGTTTACCAAATATATTCTGTCAACATAGTTGCGTAGAGCGAAACAAATCATAATTTTTAATTATAAAATTTTCAAACGGATACAAAATTAGAATAGCAAACACTCAGCATCAATAACGTGGCCAATTTCCCACCACGGCAGCCCCAACCCACCCTTACCACCCCAACACCCTCCCCTCCCCACCCCCCGCCCCCGATTAGTTTGAAACAGATTCCAGACATATCGTTTCATAATCACCAAGTATTTTTCTACCTGAGCACCCAAAGTAGCTGAACTCTTTCTTCAGCTGTTAAATTTTAGTTTGCTGATTTTCAAACTAAAATGTAAATAATCATTGCTATTTACAGCTATGTATTAAGAAAAATTTTATAGCCATTATCTCATTTAATCCCTGCAAACCATTCTATTGGGAAAATGATATGATTATAACTATTTATGTCAGAGACGCTCCATGTGCCTTACAATCTCATTGTATTAACTCTCCATCATTCCCATTTCACTGTTGGAAATCAGAATCAAATAATTTAGACAAAAGCATAGAGTATGTTAAGAATATCCAGAACTGGCAGGGCGCAGTGGCTTATGCCTGTAATCCCAGCACTTTGGGAGGCCAAGGCAGGCGATCACTTAAGGTCAAGTGTTTGAGACCAGCCTGGCCAGGAAGGTGAAACCCCGTCTCTACTAAAAATACAAAAATTAGCCAGGCATGGCGGCACGCACCTGTAACCCCAGCTGTTCGGAAGGCTGAGGCAGGAGAATCCCTTGAACCCGGGAGGTGGAGGTTGCAGTGAGCTGAGATCATACCACTGCACTCCAGCCTAGGCAACAGAGTGAGTGAGACTCCATTTAAAAAAAAAAAGAATATCCAGAACAGAACATTTATTCTTTTGAACAAATAATATCAAGTGACACAATGTACATTAGGTTTGAAACACAAAAATCACTGGTGATTTTTTCTAAAAGTCATTGATATATAGAGACAAATGCCAAACTACGATTAAAGTGGTTTTAAGGAGTGAAGTGGGGAAGAGAGAAAGTAAACGCAAAGGAATTTTTCAAGAAGTTTATCATGAAACTGAGAAGAATACTGAGCAGGAACTTGACAGGAAGCGGCATTCAAAGATTTCTCTCTCAGCACAGCTATTACAAGCCTTTCCCTCTCCACATGCACTTTTTAAGCCCACACGCTTCCCTCTCAGTAGATAACTTTGCTTTCTATAAAGTAACTCTTTAAATTCCAGCAACTCCTCTTCACCTGTCATTACACTTTACAAGCATTCTCTCACAGGCTTCTTCAATTCGTAGCAATTGGGATATTGCCATCATAAGCCCCTCTAAAACTGCGCTTGGTATGTTTACCAGTTATCAGTCATCAAATTCCATGGGCACTTTTCTGAATTATGATAGTTATAGGCCGGGTGCAGTGGCGCACGCCGGTAATCCTAGCACTATGGGACGCTGAGGTGGGAGAATCACCTGAGGTCAAGAGTTCGAGACCAGCCTGGCCAACATGGTGAAACCTTGTCTCTACTAAAAATACAAAATTAGCTGGGCGTGGTGACAGGACTCCTGTAATCCCAGCTACTTGGGAGACTAAGGCAGGAGAATCGCTTGAACCCCAGAGGCAGAGGTTGCAGTGAGCCGAGATCGCACCATTGCACTCCAGCCTGGGTAACAGAGTAAAAACTCTGCCTCAAAAAAAAAAAAAGAAAAAGAAAAGAAAAAGAAAGAAACAAAATTATATTATCCTGTGGCTACTGGGGCACCAATGATACTGGTTTTCCTCCTCTTTCCAGTTCTTTTTTAGTGTTTTACGTGGACTTCTCTTCCTCTTCTACCCACTAAATCTAGCTCTTCCCCTATAGTCATCTCTAGTTTCTGTCCTTTTCATTCTACATGCTTTCTGTGGGACATCTTATGGTTTCTTACTACCACCTGCTTGCTGATGAATTCTGTGTTTGTATCTCTAGTCCAGTCCTCTCTCTTGAGCTTCATATTTGTAGAACCAACTCTCTACTTCATATCTGTATTGATTGCCACACAGGCGTTTCAAAACCAACATGTCTGAAACGTAAATGATCACTTTTCCCCTAAAACTCTGCCACCTGTATCCCCACCCAGTTGCCAAAATCGGAAACCTGGGATTCTTTCTGTATTCTTCCTTCAATTGTCAAATCCTGTTCATTCTACCTCACAAATATTTCTGGAACCCTTTTCCTCTTCTCTGCTTTCTATGCCATTGTTCAAGTCTCATCTTCTTAAACTTGGTATTTTGCAATAGCCTTCTCATTTGTCTTTCTTATTTCCATCTGATCTTCCTTTCATGGACTCCTAAGGTGATTTTTATTTTTTATTTTATTTTATTAATTTATTTCAAGACACAGTTTCACTCTGTCGCTGGAGTGCAGTGGTGCAATCTTGGCTCACTGCAGCCTCCACCTCCCGGGTTCAAGCGATTCTTGTGCCTCAGCCTCCTGAGTAGCTGGGATTACAGGGGCATTTCACCACACCCGGCTAATTTTTGTATTTTTAGTACATGGCGGGGGGCGGGGGTTTGCCATGTTAGCCAGGCTGGTCTCGAACTCTTAACCTCGGCTTCCCAAAACACTGAAATTACAGGCATGAGTCACTGTGCCCAGCCTGAAAGTGATTTTTAAATACAAAAAAACATGACCGGACACGGTGGCTCACGCCTGTAATCCTAGCACTTTGGGAGGCCAAGACAGGCAGATCACCTGAGGTCAGGAGTTCGAGACCAGCCTGACCAACATGGAGAAACCCCGTCTCTACTAAAAATACAAAATTAGCTGGGCGTGGTGGCACATGCCTATAATGCCAGCTACTCAGGAGGCTGAGGCAGGAGAATTGCTTGAACCCGGGAGGCAGAGGTTGCGGTGAGCCAAGATCACGCCATTGCACTCCACCCTGGGCAAGAAGAGTGAAACTCTGTCTCAAAAAAAAGGAAAAAAAAATATGGCCAGGCGCAGTGCCTCACACCTGTAATCCCAGCACTTTGGGAGGCCGAGGCGGGCAGATCACGAGGTCAGGAGATTGAGACCATCCTGGCTAACACGGTGAAACCCCATCTCTACTAAAAATACAAAAAATTAGCCAGGTATGGTAGAGGGCACCTGTAGTCCCAGCTACTCAGGAGGCTGAGGCAGGAGAATGGTGTCAACCAGGGAGGCGGAGATAGCAGTGAGCCGAGACCGCACCACTGCACTCCAGCCTGGGTGACAGAGTGAGATTCTGTCTCAAAAAAAAAAAAAAAAAAAAAAAAAAAAACACATGATGTGGTTGTTCTGATCAAAATTTCTCAATGATCTTCTATTACTAAGAGTTATTACTAAGAGTATCATTTAAAATCTTCTTAGCAAGGCACTCATGACACTTCCTGATATGGTTCAGCCTCGTTCTTCAGCCTTCCACACTCTTCCTCAAGAGCCCTTTACTCTAATCATTCTGAACTATTTGTTATCCCCAAATACAACATGCTTTCTTTTGCCATGTATCAATGTCTTTGCACCTGCTATTCTGTCCTCCTGGACTGCCCTTCCTTCCCTTCCTTATTCACCTGTGACCACCCACCAAGTTAACCTCCAAACATGATCTGCTCTCCAAGTCTCAGGGCCTGTGTTAATGCTGCCTTCATGATGCTGTCCTTGATCCCCTGCCCCATCAAATTCGGGTGTTTCTTTGCCTGCAGACCTATTGCACTTTTTCCCATCTTTATTACGTCCCAATGTGCTATGACAATTGTCTCCTCACTAAAACTGTTAGCTTCTTGTGGTAGATTGTTATTAAAAGGCCCTCAGTGAATCACAGGTCCCTGAATTGAAGCCATTGTGTAATCATCTGCCACATTGAATCTGGGTTGGCCTTCTGACTTGCTTGGACCAGGAGAATGCAGAGGAAGTGATGTTGGGCACTTCCAAGCCCAGGATTTAAGAGACCTTGTTACTTCCTTTTTGCTCTTTTGCCCATGTAAGGAAACTCGAGCTTGTCTTTTTGAGGACGAAAGACCATGAGGAGAGAGGCCTAGCCAACCCTTAGCCATTCCAGACCCTAGCTGAAATGTTGAACATTAGTGAGGCTATTTTGGATCCTCAGTACTAGTTGATCCACCAACTGACTGTAAATGTGTGAGTCCAGACCAGATTGTAGAATTGTGAGCAAGTAAATGGCTATTGTTTTAAGTCACCGTTTTGTGATTTGTTATGCCCAAGAAATAACTGATATACTCCTAGAAAGCAACAGCTGTGTGTTTTTATATTTATATTCCATGCTCCTACCACATCTCTGGCTTGCAGTTACAATTCAGAAAAATAATTTGCAGAGCTTGGTGCTTCCACTGCCTACTGGGAGAGACCACATACAATTGTGATGAAGTGCACAGGACTTAGAGCAAGGCTTCCTGAATTCAAATTGTGTTTCAGTTACTTATTAGCTATGAAACCCTCCTGAGTACCTTGGTTTTTTCCTGTCTAAATAGGGTGGCAATATCAGTACCTATATCATAGGGTTGTTAAGAAACTTATTTGTAAAGTCCTTAAAATATGTCTGACATGTAGTGCTTACATGAGTGTTTGTTAAATAAAAATAAATGATTTCTAAGGCCAAATAGGTATAAATGGAGGTATAATTAATTACTCAGGACTAGCTTAACTAAGTTGTTAGAGTGTACTGCAGACATGGCAGCATTCAGCAATTAAATAATTGTGCCCCAGTCTAATTGATCCATTATTGGTAACTTTCCTCATTACCCTTGGTGAATTGAGTTTCAACCTATGCACAAAGTTCTTTGAGATCTTAAAATAAGGACAGCTAATTCTTATTTGGATTCAGGGAAATGAAAATTATGGGAAATTATATGAAGTAAGTCGCATTTGAATGGACAGATGATAAGACTTTACATAGTCATCAAAGTGTATGGGATAGGGAGAAGGGAAATAGACCAGTGAAAAAGTGACAAAGTTCAAGGTTTGGTATTTACAGAGCTACAACAACTCCTCTGGACAAGACTTAGAAATTTAGATGAGTTTCAAGCTCTGTAATTTTCCATATGGGCCCAGTGGAGGACCCAAACACGACTGGTCCATGTTTTGACCCCCAGTCAGTGGCCAGCTGTAGGCTGTAGTTGCAGATTCACTGACCTTGTGATACCGGCAGTATCTGGTAGAGTAGGGACCCACAGCACAATGCAGCAAATGGGTCCTGTGTAAGAGCTTCCTTCCATAGGCCGGATCATCCCAACAGCCTCCTAACTGGCCCTTCTGCCTCCAGTCTCACCTATTTCCAATTCACCTTCCATCCTATTAGAAGGCTCAAAGTGAAGCTATGTTTGTACAAAGAACAAGAAAGCGCAGGCCAGGCACAGTGGTTTACGCCTGTAATCCCAGCACTTTGGGAGGCCAAGGCAAGTGGATCACCTGAGGTCAGGTCAGGAGTTCGAGACCAGCCTGGCCAACGTGGCGAAATTCCATCTCCACCAGGCATGGTGGTGCACGCCTGTAATCCCAGCTACTCGGGAGGCTGAGGTGAGAGAATTGCTTGAACCTGGGAGGCGGAGGTTATAGAGAGCCCAGATTGCACCACTGCACTCCAGCCCAGGAGACAGAGTGAGACTGTCTCAAAAAAACAAAAAATAAAAAGAGGACTTTTCCTGCACAAGCTCTCTCTTTTCATGTTTTTTTTTTGTTTTTTTGTTTGTTTGTTTGTTTTTTTTTTAAGTGAAGCTATGTTTCTACAAAGAACAAGAAAGCATAAGCCGGGCACAGTGGTTTAGCTCTTTGGGAGGCCAAGGCAGGCAGATCACCTGAGGTCAGGAGTTTGAGACCCGCTTGGTCAACATGGTAAAACCCCATCTCAACTAAAAATATGAAAATTAGCCAGGCGTGGTGGTGTGTGCCTGTAATCCCAGCTACTTGGGAGGCTGAGGCATGAGAATCACTTGAATCCGGGAGGCAAAGGCTGCAGTGAGCCAAGATCGTGCCACTGCACTCCAGCCTGGGTAACAGAGTGAGACTGCGTCTCAAAAAAACAAACAAACAAAAAGAAAGTATTAATTGAAATAAACTGCACACTTCAGGACATGATGCAAACTCAGAATCTTTGTGGGTGCTATCTTCTCTTTCTAGAACACCTTTAGCCCCTTCTTCATCTGATTGGTTTTACTTGGCCATCAAGCCTCAACCCAACCCAAGCATTACCTTCCCCCACTCCATTCCTACCCCCAGATTGGATTAAATGCCCATCCCATAACATATTGTTATTTTTCATAACTCTGTCCCATTGGACTGAAGCTCCACATAGAAGAGAGGTACCCAATAGGTAGCCAGTAAAAGTTTTCTGAATGAATAAGGATGACAAAAGATCAAGCTGCTATCTACTACCCATTGCCAGACTATATTGTGGGCTCTTTGAAGACTCTTCATAAGCCAGCATCTCTCTTGCGAGTACCTGAAAACTCTAGGATAAGAAGGCTGGGTCCCTCTTTTCCTGCTACATGAACTATCAATGTGGATCTGAAGGAGGCAAGTTACTCCCTATTTCCTTCTATGTCAGGTCCTTGGTCCTGAGAAGGGCTTGTGCCACCATGGAGCATGACGTAAAACAGGAAATCAGGTAGGAGTAGAATAATGTAAAAGTGCTGGTTGCAAAGTCAACTTATATGATCAGAAAGAATCTGGGCCAGGCTTGGTGCCTCACGCCTGTAATTCCAGCACTCTGAGAGGCCAAGGCGGGTAGATCACTTGAGGCCAGGAGTTTGAGACCAGCCTAGCCAACACAGTGAAAGCCCGTCTCTACCAAAAAATACAAAAATTTTCGGGGGCATGGCTCACGCCTGTAGTCCCAACTACTCAGGAGGCTCAGGCAGGAGAATCTCTTGAACCTGGGAGACAGAGGTTGCAGTGAGCTTAGATCATGCCACTGCACTCCAGCTTGGGCGACAGAACGAGACTCCGTCTCAAAAAAAAAAAAAGGAAAGAATTTGGATTGTACTCTGGGAATTAGCATGAATACTTGGCTCCGGCCCTGGGCAGCAGTGTGTGGAGGAGAGTGGGGAGCTCCTGAGGAAAGCAGAACTCTGTCGTGAGTTGATGAAAGAGCAGAAGGTTCATCCTATCCAAAGGCTCAAAGTGAAGCTATGTTTGTACAACGAACAAGAAAGCATTAATTGAAATAAACTACTGTACTGTTCAGGACATGATGCAAACCCAGAAACAAGGGACAATAGAAAATATTCCCAAGTGAAAACAAAAGCAAAAAGTAGGTAAATAGAGAAAGAAGTTTTGTTTATTTGTTTATTTGTTTTGAGATGGAGTCTCTCTCCCGTCGCGCAGGCTGGAGTGCAGTGGCACGATCTCAGCTCACTGCAATCTCCACCTCCCAGGTTCAAGCGATTCTCCTTCCTCAGTCTCCCGAGTAGCTGGGATGAAAGATGTGCGCCACCATACCTGGCTAATTTTTGTATTTTTAGTAGAGACGGGGTTTCGCCGTGTTAGCCAGGCTGCTCAAACTCCTGACCTCAGGTAATCCACCCACCTCGGCCTCCCAAAATGCTAGGATTACAGGTATGAGCCACCGTGCCCGGCAGAGAAAGAAGATTTTTAAGAAAGATTCCAGATTCACATGAAGCTGTGTGTGCACCATTTCTCTTCTTCCCGTGGCTCAGGCCAGTTCTTCAGTGATGTGTATTTTGTGTCTTCTCTTCCCCCATCATGGGAGAATTGAGATTTCAGGAAGATAATGATCACCAGTAGAAGCCATCTCGTGCTGGTGGAGTTGAGAAGACTCCTGAGACATACTGCCCTGAAATTAAATTTCTACTTCACCCCTGACTTACTGTGTGTTATCAAGCAAGCTATGCAACTTCTGTGAGACTGAGTTTCCTCATCGATTAAAACAGAAATAATAATACTTTCCAATAATACTTGGATTGGTGTGAAGATTCAGTGAAATAACATGAATTTAACATAAAGTACTAGTAATAGGATGATCCAACTGAAGAATGAAGAAGGTAAAGTATAGGGATTAAAGAAAGGAAAAAAGGAGCTATTGAATGAAATGTCTGATAAAGATGTATTAATTCAGTACTAATAATAGTATAGCATCAGTGATTCTATTAATGAAGTTCCCATGGCAGTGTTCACCACATTGCACAACCATATACATTTTAAATTGCACATTTAGTAAGCACACAAATAATAATAAGACTAATTTAAATACTTCCAAAATTAGATAGAAAATTGATGTGGCTGCAGGAACTTGGAGTTGAATTTTACCATAATTTTAAGGTTTCAATCTCCAGCCACAAGCATGACAACTCCATAGCAAGGCAGTCATTTTAAAATTTAATTTAAGAAGAAAAATGGTACTATCCAGCATTGAAATATTCTTGCTTCTTTGTTTCTTAAATTAACTCTGCATAGTACCTATAGCAAGGCTGAGGTACTCATTCTCATACTTTTTATTGTGGTAAAAATATACATAATTAAAAATTAACCATTTAAACCATTTTTTTTTTTGAGACAGAGTCTTGCTCTGTCACCCAGGCTGGAGTGCAATGGCACCGTCTCAGCTCACTGCAACCTCCACCTCCTGGGTTCAAGTGATTCTCCTGCCTCAGCCTCCTGAGTAGCTGGGACTACAGGTGCATGCCACCACACCCGGCTAATTTTTGTATTTTTAGTAGGGATAGGGTTTCACTATATTGGCCAGGCTGGTCTTGAACTCCTGACCTCATGATCCACCTACCTCGGCCTCTCAAAGTGCTGGGATTACAGACGTGAGCCACTGTGCCCGTCTTTTTGTCTTTTTTTTTTTTTTTTTGTCCTTTTTGTGGAGAACAGGGTCTCGCTATATTGCCCAGGCAGGTCTTGAACTCTGGGCTCCAGCTATCCTCCCACCTCTGCCTCCCTGACAGCTGGCATCACAGGTGTGAGCCACCACGCTCGGCCAATTTAAACCATTTTTAAGTGTACACTTCTGTGGCATTAAGTACATTCACACTCTCCTGCAACCATCCTTACCATCTATCTCCAAAACATTTTCATTGTCCCCAAATGAAATTCAGTACCCATTAAATACTAATTCCCCATCCCTCCCTTGCCGCAGCCCTGGGCAACTAATATTCTATTTTTTTCTCTCTAGGAATTTGAATACTCAAGGTACCTCATATAGCTGGAATCATACAGTATTTGTCTTTTTGTGGTATATTTTCATTTAGCATAATGTCTTCAAAGTTCATCATCTTGTAGCATGTGTCAGGACTTTCTTCCTTTTTAAGGCTGGCTGAATTATATTCCATTGTATGTATAGACTACATTTTGTTTATCTATTCATCTGTTGATGGACATTTGGGTTGCTTCTACTTTTTGGCTGTGTGAATAATGCTGCTATAAAATTGGGTGAACACACATCTCTTCATATCTCTGCTTTCCATGTGACTGGGCATATGCTCAGAAGTGAAGTTGCTGGATCATATGGTAATTCTGCATTAAATTTTTCGTGGAATCACCATGCCATTTTCAACAGAGGCGGCACCATTTTACACTTCCACCAGCAATGCGCAGGAGTTCCAGTTTCTCCACATGCTTGCCAACATTTGTTATTTTCTGGGTTTTTTAAAATAACAGCCATCCTAATAGGTATGAAGTAGTGTCTCCTTATAGTTTTGATTTGCATTTCCTAAATGATTAATGATAGTGAGCATCTTTTCATGTGCTCATTGGCCAGTTGTATATCTTCTTTGGAGAAATATCTATTCAGACCTTTGCCCATTTTTTAATAAGTTTTTTTTACTGTTGAGTTGTAGGAGTTCTTTATATATTCTGACATTAAGCCATTATCAGGTTATTTTTATTTCATTTTTTATTTTTGAGTTTTTAAATGCATTACTTTAAAAACTAGGATCACTCCACAAATAACCAGGAAAAGTTGTCAATTACGTTCAAAATGTTAGGTGCACATTTAATAAACACACAAGTAGTAATAACCCTAATTTAAATGCTTTTAAAATTAGAAAATGGATAGAATAAATCAATTTTCTTCCTTTATTCATTTTTCAAACAGTAAAAGTACAAAAGATAAAAATTTAAATCACCATAATATCAGCCTAACAGATAGCCTCAGTAATTTTTTTTTTATTGATAATGTCAGGAAATCTTAGTGATGCTAAAGCTAGCTAAAGCTAGAAAGATGCTTATGAAAATTAGTCTTTCTGACTTCAAGCCAAACAAGGCATAAATATGACAGAGGAGAACACATCTCCCAATAAATACCATCTCTCTTAAAAAGATGACTATAAATTCAGGAGATACACTAGACAGGAGATCTGTATCAGTTGTTAGGGTATTTTATAGTTGCAAATAAGTACTAGAAGTCATAGTGGAGATACAGGAAGAAAGGAGTATGTCAAGACTTCAAATGGAAGAGAACCCTTGGTTAGGGATAAATATAGACCAAACGAAAAAATTGTAACCACCAGTAGCACATATGATCCATGTGGGCAGGGATATTATTTTATTCACTCACGTCACTCAAGTACCTAGAACAGTACCTAGCACCTTGTGGTAGATGATCAACAATTATTTGTTGAATGAAAAATTTACAGGAGAAAAAAGTTGGTACATGAGACAGAGTGAGATCGAGTGAGAAAGAACTATCCAAAAGGCTTCAAGAAAAAAAAAATCACAGGCAAAATCAGAAAATATTTTAAACTGAATAAAAATTATTCGTCTTGGAAAAGCAAAGCAAATTAAATATATAGTGAGGCCAGGCATGGTGGTTCACACCTGTAATCTCAGCACTTTGGGAGGCTGAGGCGGGCAGATCATGAGGTCAGGAGATCGAGACCATCCTGGCCAACATGGTGAAACCCTGTCTCTACTAAAAATACAAAAATTAGCTGGGCGTTGTGGTGCGCACCTGTAATCTCAGCTATTCAGGAGGCTGAGGCAGGAGAATCGCTTGAATCCGGGAGGTGGAGATTGCAGTGAGCCGAGATCGCCCCACTGCACTCCAGTGTGGCAACAGGGAGAGACTCCATCTCAAAAAAAAAAAAAAAAAAAAAAGGAATAAATAAATAAATATATATAGTGAGGAAGAAAATAATAAAGCAATGGAAATCAATCAAATAGAAAATGGGAAAAGAGAAAAAGAGAGAAAGTCAATGAAACCAACCACTATGGTTTGAATGTGTTCCCCAAAGTTCATGTGTTGGCAACTTAAACCCCTCAATGCAACAATGTTGAGAGGTGGGACCTTTAAGAAGTGATTAGGTCATGAGGGCCCTGCCTTCATGAATGGATTAATGAGTGGGCTCATTATCTGGAGAGTAAATTTGTTATAAATTGTGTTTGTTCGGCCCTCTTACTTTCTCTTGCCGTGTGATACCTTCGGCCATGTCACAGTACAGCAAGAAGGCCTTTAGCAGATGTTGGTCCCTTGATCTTGAACTTCCCAGCCTCCAGAACTGTAAGAAATACATTTCTGTTCTTTATAAATTACTCAGTCTCCATTATTATGTTATAAATACTGACCATTAGTTCTATGAAAAATAAAACTGATAAATTTTTAGCTTAACTGATCAAGAAAAAAGGAGAAAATACAAATACATCACTTCAGATCCTACAGATAGATAAAAGATAACAAGAGAATATTATGAACAACTTTATGTCAATATATGTCCATGGACAACTTAGATGAAATGGTCAACTCCCCTAAAAGATAAAATTCCCAAATAGAAAACCGAAATAGCACCAGCCTGGCCAACATGGTGAAACCCCGTCTCTACTAAAAATACAAAAATCAGCTGGATGTGGGCCGGGCGCGGTGGCTCACACCTGTAATCCCAGCACTTTGGGAGGCCGAGGTGGGCGGATCACAAGGTCAGGAGACCGAGACCATCCTGGCTAACACGGTGAAACCCCGTCTCTACTAAAAATACAAAAAATTAGCCAGGCGTGGTGGCGAGCACCTGTAGTCCCAGCTACTGGAGAGGCTGAGGCCGGAGAATGGCGTGAACCCAGGAGGCAGAGCTTGCAGTGAGCCAAGATCGCACCACTGCACTCCATCCAGCCTGGGCGACAGAGCAAGACTCTGTCTCAAAAAAAAAAAAAAATTAGCTGGGTGTGGTGGCATGCACCTGTAGTCCCAGCTACTAGGGAGGCTGAAGTGGGAGGATCACTTGAACATGGGAGGCGGAGGTTGCAGTGAGCCAAGATCGCACCACTGCACTTCAGCCTGGGCAACCAAGTAAGACCCTGTCTCAAAACAAAAAACAAACAAACAAACAACCAAATAGCTTCGTATCTGTTAATAAAATTGAGTTTGTAATGAAGAATCATTTTACAAAGAAAACTTAATGCCTTGATGGCTTAATTGGTAAATATTAATAAATGTTTAAGTTTTAAAAAAGATAACAATCCTACACAAACTCTTTCAGAAAATAGAGGTGTAAATGCTTTTCACTTAATTTTATGAGACCTATTAACCTGATACAGTAAAGGCATTGCAAGAAAAGAAAAGTACACACCAATATTCCTTGTGAATAGATGCCAAAATCCTTAATAGGAACAACTACTAAATAGCCAAACAAATCCAGTAATATATAGAAAAAAAATCATGACCAAATGGGCTTTAAAATTTTAATTTTAGCAGTTTCTTTTCAATCACAGAGGGAACTGACTTTCATTAATTCAATTTTTTGGGGAGAGGCCCGGCGCAGTGGCTCATGCCTATAATCCCAGCATTTTGGGAGGCCGAGGTGGGCAGATTGCTTGAGTCCAGGCATTCAAGACTAGCCTGGCCAGCATGGTGAAACCCCATCTCTACTAAAATTACAAAAATTAGCCAGGCTTGGTGGTGCACACCTCTACTCCCAGCTACTCAAGAGGCTGAGGCAGGAGAATCGCTTGAACCCGGGAGGCGGAGGCTGTAGTGAGGTGAGATCACACCATTGCACTCCAGCCTAGGCAACAGAGCGAGACTCTGTCTCCAAAATAAATAAATAAATAAATAAATAATTCATGGGGAGAGTAAATCCCAAATGAAAATAGTTTCTTTACCCAGAGATATTACTCAGCCAGCTGAAATCTTTGGAGAGGCTGGTCCAGGCACTCTCTCTATAGGGCATTGTGTCACTCACAAATCTAGTTCGTTTGCTCCCTTTTTTCCCAAGAAAACAAACTCTATTTCTGGTAACTTTTTGTTGTTGTTGTGTTTCATTTTTTCCAGAACTGATTCATTCAACAACCTCTTGATGAGATTAAAAGCACCCCTGTCTCTGGATTGGACTGGGTCTTCTATAGTTCTATAACAAATTTGCACTCCATCTCGTAGAATTTCTTGCAGCTGATCATTTAAACCATTAAGTTGTGTGATCACTATTTTAGTTTACAGTTTATAATAATCATTATTATTATTTGGCAGACTGTTTCATGCCTAGCCCTCCTACTAAAGAATATGGGGGCAGAGGCCATTTTCCATTCACATGTAATCACCTTCAGCAACTAGTGTGGTACCTGGCTCAACAAACAGCTGAGTAAATGATCTGGGGATCTCAAAAAATAACCTCCTCCTGACCAGGTGTGGTGGCTCATGCCAGTAATCCCAGCACTTTTGGAGGCCGAGGCAGGCAGATCACTTGAAGTCAGGAGTTTGAGACCAGCCTGGCCAACATGGTGAAACCCCGTCTCTACTAAACACAAAAAATTAGCTGGGAGCGGTGACACGTGCCTGTAATCCCAACTACTTCAGAGGCTGAGGCAGGAGAATCGCTTTAACCCAGGAGATGGAGGTTGGAGTGAGCAGAGATCTGGCCACTGCACTCCAGCCTGGGCAACAGAGTGAGACTCTGTCTCAAAAAAAAAAAAAAAAATAATAATAATAATAATTTTTTAAAAAAGGATAAACTTTTCCTGACCTCATTTCCCCAATTCTAGGACATCTTAATATCCTGTTACTGACTATTTTGTCAGACACAATTTAACAAAAAGTCCTCTTTCCTTTTTGTAGTATTTTGAATACTATGAGTAAGAGTCATCTTGTCTCAAAAACTTGAGGATGGGAAAAAGTACAAAAATCCTTTCAACAACCAAGACTAGTCCAGCACCTGGACATATAGATGGAAGGTAGTACTATTTACTATTATCCAGGATGACATTTCTACTTAGGGCCAACCAAAAAAGGTTGTCAAGAAATGACAGCACCTAAATCTGGGCCACCCTAGAGGATCGCTCCTCCCCACAACAGGCCATCTTGAGTTCCTTGACCTTTAGCCCATCTCAGCATTGCCCTCACCCCTAACCTGCTCATGGTGACCGAATGGACCTCTGAGCAGCATTTGTCTGTTTGCTGTGGAGGTGGGAAGCTGGGATCCATAGCAAGTAGAGTCTCTCCAGAGTGAAACCTCACTTCCAGGTACTGCTGCCCTCCTGCTAGCTCCTGGGTATTTTGAATCCTGGCTCTAATTGCAGGGTCCTCAGCTAGATTCCTGTCTCCTGCAGCCCGAGGATTCAACTAATTCTGAACCTCTGCTGGAGGTGAAACTGCATTCTTCTATGTAATCTCAGTTTGTTTGTTTTTTCCTTTTTAAAAAATTGATACATAATGGATGTACATATTTTTGGGGTACATGATTTAATACATTCATATAATTTGTAGAGATCAAATCAGGGTAACTGTGATATCCGTTGCCTTAAATATTTGCCTTTTCTTTATGCTAGAAACATTCAAATTATTCTTTTCGCTCTTTTGAAATATACAACAGATTACTGTAAATTAATACACACCCTACTGAACTATCAAACACTAGGTCTTCTTTCTTCTATCAAACTGTATATAGTGGGTCTTAAGATAGATTAAAGAAAAAGAAAAAGAAGAAAAAAATGTAAAAAGAAAAAAATTTTTCAAGCTGTATATTTGTACCCATTAATCAACTTCTCTTCAGCCCCCTCTACTCTCTACCTTTCCCAGTCTCTGGTAACTACCAATCCTCTCTATCTTCGTGAGATCCACTAATTTTATTTATTTTATTTTATTTTATTTTTTTATTTTATTTTTGAGATGGAGTCTCGCTCTGTTGCCCAGGCTGGAGTTCAGTGGCGTGATCTCAGCTCACTGCAACATTTACCTCCTGCATGCAAGCGATTCTCCTGCCTCAGCCTCCCGAGTAGCTGGGATTACAGGCGTTCACCGCCATGCCCAGCTAATCATTGTCTTTTTAGTAGAGACGGAGTTTCACCATATTGACTAGGCTGGTCTTGAACTCCTGACCTCAGGTGATCCACCCACCTTGGCCTCCCAAAATGCTGGGATTACAGGCATGAGCCACCGCGCCCAGCCAGAGATGCACTTTTTTTTTTTTTGGAGACAGAGTCTTTCTCTGTTGGCCAGGCTGGAGTGCAGTGGCACAATCTCAGCTGACTGCAACCTCCGTCTCCCTGGCTCAAGCAATTCTCCTGCCTCAGCCTCCCAAGTAGCTGGGATTACAGGCATGTGCCACCACGCCCGGCTAATTTTTGCATTTTTTTGTAGAGACCGGGTTTCACCATGTTGGCCAGGCTGGTCTCGAGCTCCTGACCTCAGGTAATCCACCCGCCTCGGCCTCCCAAAGTGCTGGGATTGCAGGTGTGAGCCACTGTGCGCAGCCACTTTTTTAGTTTTCATGTGAGTAAGAACATGCCGTGTTTGTCTTGCTGTGCCTGGTTTATTTTAGTTAACATTATGACCACCAGTTCCATCCACGTTGCTGCAAATGACAGGATTTTTATTCATTTTTCTGGCTGAATAGTATTCTACTATGTATATATACTACATATTCTTTATCCATTCATCCATTGACTGCCACTTAGGTTGATTCCATATTTTGGCTATTGTGGATAGTTCTGCAATAAATACGGGAATGCAGAGATAGCTTCAATATATTGATTTCCTTTCTTTTGGATATACACTCAGTGTGGATTTGCTGGATCACATGGTTTTAATTTTAGTTTTTTCAGGAACCTTTATACAGTTTTCCATAGTGGTTGTACTAATTTACATTCCTACCAGCGGCGTACTAGAGTTCTTCTTTCTTCACATCCTCACTGGCATCTGTTATTTCCAGTCCTGTTTTTTACTCCCAAGCCCTTGACATTTCTCCAGTCTTTTTTTTTAAGACAGGGTCTCACTGTGTTGTCCAGGCCAGAGTGCAGTGATACAATCTCACTGCAACCTCTGCTTCCCCAAGAGATTCTCCCACCTCAGCCTTCTGAGTAGCTGGGATTACAAGCACATGCCACCACATCCAGCTAATTATCATATTTTTATTAGAGACGGGGTTTCACCATGTTGCCCAGGCTGGTCTTGAACTCCCGAGCTCAAGTGATGCACCTGCCTTGGCCGCCCAACGTGCTGGGATTACAACCGTAAGACACCATGCCTGGCCTTTCTACTCTTTTTTTTTGGAGATGGAGTCTCGCTGTGTCACCCAGGTTGGAATGCAATGGTGCAATCTCAGCTCACAGCAAACTCTGCCTCCCGGGTTCAAGCGTTTCTCCTGTCTCAGCCTCCCGAGTAGCTGGGATTATAGGCATCTGCCACCACAGCCAGCTAATTTTTTTTTTTTTTTTTTTTTTTTTTTTTTTTGTATTTTTAGTAGAGACAGGGTTTCATCATGTTGACCAGGCTGGTCTCAAACATGTGACCTCAGGTGATCCACCTGCCTTGGCCTCCCAAAGTGCTGGGATTACAGGCGTGAGCCATTGTGCCTGGCCTTTTCCACTCTTTTTGATAAAAGCCATTTTAACTGGTGCAAAATGATATCTCATTATGGTTTTGGTTTGCATTTCTCTGATGATTTGTGATGTTGAACATTTTTTCATATATACCTGTTGGCCATTTGTATGTCTTCTTTCGAGAAATGTCTACTCAGATCTTTAGCCCATTTTAAAATTGGATTACTGGGGGTTTTTTTGCACTTGAGTTGTTTGAGCTCCTTATATGTTCTGGTTATTAATTTTTTGTCAGATGAATATTTTGCAAATATTTTCTCCCATTCTGTGGGTTGTCTCTTCACTTTGTCAATTTTTTATTTGCTGCCCAAAAGCTTTTCAGCTTGATGTAATTCCATTTATCTATTTTTGCTTTGGTCATCTGTACTTTTGAGGTCTTACACAGAAAATATTTGCCTAGACCAATGTCCTGGAACATTTCCCCAATGTTTTTGTCTGCAGTTTCATAGTTTCTGGTCTTAGATTTAAGTCTTTAATCTATTTTAATTTGATTTTTATATATGGTGACCTAGTGTCATTCTTCTGCATATCGTTATCTGATTTTCCCAGCATCATTTATTGAAGATATTTGGCTTTTCCCCATTGTATGTTCTTGGTGACTTTGTTGAAAATTGAGCCAGCTGTAAATGCACGGATTTATATTTATTTCATTCTCTTCCATTGGCCTATGTATGTGTCTGTTTTTATACCAGTATTCTGCTTCTAACCCCAGTTTGCTGAACCTAAACTATGGATCTGAGCAGCTCAGTTAAACTGTGGGGCACTGGCCTATTCGCTGTACAGGCAGCCCATTCTCTGCTTTTGTTGCACCCAGAGTGGGAAGGGCCATGTTGCTCAAGAGGGTGAAAGAAAGGCCAGGTTAAGAATCAGAGGCAGTTCATGCAAACATTCATCACCTAAAGGCTAGGCAGAGAACCAGAAACCAAAAGCTGACAAAACTGCTGCAAGGGAAGAAGATCCCCAACAGGTTTTGGAGCATAAGAAGAGACAGAGCCTAGGGAGATGGCCTATTGTTCTGAAACCTGAAAGCCAGGAGGCTGTTACAGAGGGCAGCCAGCAGCCTTACCCAGAAGCACCAGATCTTGGCTGGCTGCAACCTTTGCCTCCCAGGCTCAAGCAATTCTCCTGCCTCAGCCTCCCGGGTAGCTGGGATCACAGGTACGCACCACCACGCCTGGCTAATTTTGGCATTCTTTGTAGAGATGGGGTTTTGCCATGTTGGCCAGTCTGGTCTCGAATTCCTGGCCTCAGGTGATCTGCCCACCTTGGTCTCTCAAAGTGCTGGGATTAAAGGCGTGAGCCACTGCACCAGGCCATGTTAACTTTTTAATACTCTCATTAGATATTGTAAAGTTGTTTTAAAGATGATTTTAATTTACATTCCTGCTAGAGAGTGTACTGATTTTCCAAACTTCACCAACACTAAATACTAACATTTTTAAATGGATGTTATTTGGAAGTTATTTTTTTTTTAATGGTATCCTCTTCATATGGTTAAATAGATGGAGGAAAGAAAGAAGAAAGTATGGGAGGAATGGAGGGAGGGAGGGAGGGAGGGAGGAAGGAAGGAAGGAAAGAAGGAAGGAAAGAAGGAAGGAAAAGATATTCATCAGCCAGGAGCTAGGATGGGAAAAAAGAAAGAAAAAATAAGAATAAAAAGCAGAATCTTGCACTTTTATTGCTGGTGAGGTTTTGAATTTGTTCAAATACAAATACTTTCCCCATGCCACATATTAAAACATAATTAAATAAAGCATAATGTCTTAAAAATAATGTGACAGTAGTTATCTAACAGATGTTTTATTATGGGATCTCCATGAATATGAACCAAAAATGGGATGAAATCTGATACTGAGAGACAATATTTTAAATCAAAACTGGGGTGAAAAAGCCAGGACATGTAGTTGCCATATTTACATGCCCTGTTGACTTCAGAACTATTGGTGGGGGAAGGAATCACCAGGTCATAATTTCAAGGGATCAGGATTCAGAAAAGTATTTCTATAAATTGTGCTTATTTATTATGTGCTACTGGGTTAAGCCGTAGGATTAGAGACAGGAGGGGAAGGGAAAGAAGTGAATTCCAGACAGACATGCATCTCTGCCAAAGGTTCAAAAATACCCAGACGTTTTCCTGGAGGTATTTTGCAATTCCTCCTATGTTGCACTTTTTTCCCATAACGAAGACCCTAGCCTGCAGCCAGAGCTATTTAACTCCCCCAAAATTCTCTGAACAAAATTGCCTGAATCCAGATCTTTATTTTTAACCAAGCTCTCTGAGAGTCTCGAATAAATCACTTGATCTGAGTGTATGAAATAATCACTTGATCTGAGTGTGTGAAATACATTCTGAGCTCTGAATAGCTTCAATTACATTATAGTCTGTTCAATCCAACAAGCATTTATTGAGAACCCACCATGAAAAACAAATAGGGGAAAAAAAAGAGATTCAGTAGTAGTGACAAATATATCAACACATGACCACAATACACTGTGACTCTCTGTATATAAAGCACCACAGAAATCCAGATAAGAGACAGGGAGGAAAACTCATTTTACCTCTTCCCCTTTTGTTGAATGGGTGAATCAAGGGTTTTTCAGGAAGTTCAAAGGACAAAGAAGAGAAAGGGAAGGGAGTAACAAAGAGAAAAAAACAGTTTCAGTTTCTTTCCCATTCTCAAAAACCTATCCCTCCCAGCAATTTAAGCCCTAGATAGGCTTCCTAGATTGATCTGGAATTTAGGTAAGTAGCCAAAGCTTTGGGGCAAATGGCTAAGGATTTGTTGAGCAACATGAATGGCCCATGGAAGTGGCCAGTTATATAGGAAACTGGATGAGATCTTAGGAGGCAAATGCATGTGGCTCCATTTTTAATTGAATGGATCTTTGCAGATTACAAAGTCCTCCTTCCTCCCTGTATTATTTCATTTGTATTCATAACAACCCAGTAAATTAGGAATTATTATTTTCCCATTTTACAGATGAGAACACTGAAGATCAGACAAATCAAGTAACTTGCCCAAGACAACTTAGCAAGTGGCAAAGCTAGGTATGAAACCTAAGCTGTTTGACTGCAATTTTGGTGTTATTTCTAGAAGAGGAAAACCAAAATACATTATCAACAATGCTGTTATTATCTGTGTATGCAGTGACTCCAATTTCTAGAATATGCTTTGATATTTCCCAAGAGGTCCCCCGTTAAACCTGTACTAAACTAGACTTAAAAGGGAAGGGGTAGGAAAAGAAATTTTTTGTTATAACATTAATTTAAGCAAAAGATGCAGGACAAACATAATGCTCTAAAATTTTTACCAGTATCGTAAAAGAAGAGGTAAAGCTAAAAATGAGACCTAGGCAAGATCAACTGTAACAATATTATCATATTATTATGTTAATATAGTATCCTATTTTCATCATGCAATAATACTTATTATGTAATAATACTTAATATTCAAGTAATTCTTATTATTAAAACATGTAGATGTTGCTTACCATATTCCAGGTACTGTTCTAAGAGTTCTCAGTGTACAAACTCATTTAGTCCTCACCACATCCTAAGACACATACAGAGTTATGACTCCCATTGTATCAATAAAGAAATGTGAGGCACAGAGAGGTTAGGCAAGTTGCTCAAGGTCACAACCAGTAAGTGATGGAGCCATGATAATAGGCTGAAGCAAAAGTAATTGTGGTTTTTGCTGTTATAAAAACTGCAATTGGTCAGGCGCAATGGCTCACGCCTGTAATCCCAGCACTTTGGGAGGCTAAGGCGGGCAGATCACGAGGTCAGGAGTTCAAGAACAGCCTGGCCAATCTGGCAAAACCCTATCTCTACTAAAAAATACAAAAATTAGCCAGGCATGGTGGCATGCCCCTGTAGTCCCAGCTACCTGGGAGGCTGAGGCAGGAGAATTGCTTGAACCCGGGAGGCAGAGGTTGCAATGAGCCGAGATTGTGCCACTACTCTCCAGCCTGGGTGACAGAGCAAGACTCCATCAAAAAAACAAAAGCAAACAAACAAACAAAAACACCGCAATTACTTTTGCACCAAGCTAATACAAAACCAGAGAGCTGGACTTCCCAGGGCCGCTTAACCACTATATTATACTGCCTCTTTTGGTCCCTGCAAAGCTCCTTTCTAGAACAGCCAGATTTCCTTTTGACTTGGGTTAGGGAGGTTCTTCCACACCATGATCGCATAACACCTTACACACCCGCTGTCGAAACACTCCTCACGTATTATGTAATCACTTGTTTGATTGTCTTTCTCCATAGTCCGAAAGTTCTAGAGGCAGATGCTGTGACTATTTCATTCACCACTGTATCTCAAGCACCTGGCTCAATGCCTGGAACATACTAGTTGCTCAATGCATACTTGTATTAGTCAATTTTCACGCTGCTGATAAAGACTTACCAGACACTGGGCAATTTACAAAAGAAAGTGGTTAAATGGATTTACAGCTCCACGTGGCTGGGGAAGGTCTCACAATCATGGGAAGGAGAAAAGCACTTCTTTTTTTTTTTTTTTTTTTTTTTTTTGAGACAGAGTTTTGCTTTGTTGCCCAGGCTAGAGCGCAGTGGCAGCGATCTCTGCTCACTGCAAGCTCTGCCTCCTGGGTTCACGCCATTCTCCTGCCTCAGCCTCCCGAGTAGCTGGGACTACAGGCACCCACCACCACACCCGGCTAATTTTTTGTATTTTTAGTAGAGACGGGGTTTCACCGTGTTAGCCAGGATGGTCTCGATCTGCTGACCTCGTGATCCGCCCGCCTCAGCCTCCCAAAGTGCTGGGATTACAGGTGTGAGCCACCGCGCCCAGCCAAAAAGCACTTCTTACATGGTGGCGGCAAGAGAGAATGAGGAAGAAGCAAAAGCAGAAACCCCTGATAAACCCATCAGATCTTGTGAGACTTAATCACTATCACAAGAATAGTACAGGTAAGACCAGCCCCCATAGTTCAATTACCTCCCCCTGGGTCTCTCCCACAACACGTGGGAATTCTGGGAGATACAATTCAAGTTGAGATTTGGCTGGGGGCACAGCCAAACCATATCACTTGTCAAACCATATAACTTGTCAAACTTACTAACACTTGTGAGTGTTAATCTCACAAACACTTCTGTGATGTCTACTATGTGACAGGCACTGTTCGAAGGACAAATTTTAAACAACCCAATGAGGTATGTACTATTTCGCAGATAAGGAAACTGAGGCCCAGAGAGGCTGAGTAATTTGAACAAGGTCACACACTAGTAATAAATAGCAAAATTAGGATTAAAACAAGGCAGTCTGGCTCCACTGTCTGTGCTCTTAACTATTAAGCTGAATGAATGAATAAACAAAGAAACGAATGACATATCTATCTTTATGCACCATAATCTGTATCATCATTATGAGATTACTGTTCCTTAGGCTTTCATGGTCCATTTGTTTTTCTAGTGGCCTCTTGATGGCTTCCTTTTTGGCTTGGGTTTGTTATTTTTCACCAGCCTTCCTCAGTGGAAAGATGATGAACATTACAATTGCAACTTGGCTGGATGAAATACCACATATTTCTGTCTCAGTTACTCTGCTTTTTATTTAGTCTCTACAGATGTCTCAAGGTGGAAATAGTTGTCTAAATCTTCGGAAAATAACAGAAGAACTGGATTCTCATAGCATTGCTTGATGTCGGTAGAGTGCCAAATGGGGGAAAAAAAGGCTAAGAGAATTATTTTATTTCCAATCTTGTAGCATTATTTTGCTGAAATTTCTATGATCCCAAGTAAACTGTGAAAAGTATTCAAATAAAATTAAATATATATATTTAAAATATTTAAACAGAAACTTCTGCTATGACGCCCTCCCCTCCCCTCCCCTCCCATCTTCTTTTGAGACAGAGTCTCACTCTGAAGCCCAGGCTGGAGTGCAGTGGTTTGATCTCTGCTCACTGCAACCTCCGCCCCTCTGGTTCAAGTGAGTCTCCCACCTCAACCTCCTGAGTAGCCATCACGCTCAGCTAATTTTTGTATTTTTATTTTTTATTTTTGTTTTTATATTTTTTGAGACAGAGTCTTGCTCTGTTGCCCAGGCTGGAGTGCAGTGGTGCGATCTTGGCTCACTGCAACCTCCACCTTCCAGGTTTAAGCAATTCTCCCCCCTCAGCCTCCTGAGTAGCTGGGACTACAGGCACGTGCCACCACGCAGGCTAATTTTTTGTGTTTTTAGTAGAGATGGGGTTTCACCATGTTGGCCAGGCTGGTCTCGATCTCCTGACCTCGTGATCCACCCGCCTTGGCCTCCCAAAGTGCTGGGATTACAGGCATGAGCCACCGCGCCCAGCCTAATTTTTGTATTTTTAATAGAGACAGGGTTTCACCATATTGGTCGGGCTGGTCTCAAACTCCTGAGCTCAAGTGATCCGCCCACCTCGGCCTCCCAAAGTTCTGGTATTACAGGCGTGAGCCACCGCGCCCAGCCATGCTGTGACATTTTCTATAGTCTTTTGCTTACTTGATTTGTTCTACAAAATCTCATGCCATGAAAAAAATTGCATAGTTTGGAAACAGATTTGCTTGAATATACAAGGTTGTTTTTTCTTTTTTTAAATTCTTTTTTTTTAAAGTCTCTTTACTGGTATTTCAAGGATTTAGAATGAGAAAAATCACACAGAACTGTGCTCTCAATGATAGAGCAAGAGTTAGCGTTACCAGCTTTATATTTTCTTCTCCTTTATTCTCATCAGAGGATCTGAAACCTGATTGCAGCATGTGGGCCACTTCAATGTGTAGCACTGACCCTGGTGCCTCTCCAGAGGCTCAATAAATACTTGTTGAATGAGTGAGTAACACAGAAGGGAAGATACAGTTAGATAGCCAACCCCTAAATGCAGATCAGCCTCTCCAAATAGATTAAAGTGAAACCCCAAATCCTGTTTTTCCCAAAGTTTTTGTGGCAGTCAAACTGAGAGCCGAAATGAAAAAATATTTAAACTATGAACCAAATCATCCTTAAATAGAGTGATTTTTCAAGGTCTTTCAGAGAATCATAAATTATCACAGTTTTTGTCTATGTCTCTGGATTTTCCCCCAGTAGAAATAATTTATTTTGGTACCATATTGAGCATGTAATGAAAAGAATGTCTCCCTCACACCACTTCCCCCTATCCAAGATTCCATCTCCAGAGGCATCACTATTGCTAGTTTCCTGTGTCTTTTATTTTATTTTATTTTTTTGGAGACAGAGTCTCGCTCTGTCACTTAGGCTGGAGTGAAGTGGCACAATCTCTGCTCACTGCAGCTTCTGCTTCCCAAGTTCAAGCAATGCTCATGCCTCAGACTCCTGAGTAGCTGGGATTACAGGCACAAGCCACTACACCCAGCTAATTTTTTGTATTTTTAGTAGAGACAGGGTTTCACCATGTTGGCCAGGCTGGTCTTGAACTGCTGACCTCAAGTGATCCACCCACCTTAGCCTCCCAAAGAGCTAGGATTATAAGTGTGAGCCACTGTGCTCAGCCAAGTTTCCTGTGTATTCTTGTGGAGATACTTGTTGTATATACAAATTTCTTCACAAATAGTAATAGACCATACATATATCTATCCCCCTGCCTTTTCACCTACCAGGATGTGTTGGACATGGCTCCATACAAATACATATAAATCTGTGTCATTCTTCTAATGACTATATGGAATTCCATTATATGCATATACCATAATTTCTTTAGCCAGTATTCTATCAATGGACATTTAGACTTTATATTTTGCTATTGTATATCATACTAAAAAAAAAAAACCTAAACATACTGACCACAGATATGTCAGGGGAAAAATAACATTAGATAAACACTGAAAAAGAAGGTCTTTGAAACCTTGTTTGGAGTACTTATTTCCAAATTTTAAAAAAATGTAGGCTGGGCACAGTGGCTTACACCTGTAATCGCAGCACTTTGGGAGGCCAAGGCAGGAGGATCGCTTGAGCCCAGGAGTTCAAGACAAGCCTGGGCATCATGGTGAAACCCTGTTGCTGCAAAAATTCTAAATGAGCCAAGCATTATGGTGCATGCCTGTGGTCCCAGCTACTGACGAGGCTGAGACGGTAAGACTGCTTGATCTTGGGAGGTCGAGAGTGCAGTGAGTTATGATCCACTGTGGTCCAGCCTGGGCAACAGAGCGAGACCCTGTCTCAAAAAAAAAAAAGAGGCCAGGCACGCTGGTTCACATCTGTAATCCCAGCACTTCGGCAGGCCGAGGCAAGCAGATCACTTGAGGCCAGGAGTTCAAGACCAGCCTGGCCAACATGGCAAAATCCCATCTCTATTAAAAATACAAAAATTAGCTGGGTGTGGTAGCAAGCACTTGTAGTCCCAGCTACTTGGGAGGCTGAAGCAGGAGAATCGCTTGAACCCAAGAGGTGGAGGTTGCAGTGAGCTGAGATCATGCCACTGCACTCCAGCCTGGGCGGCAGAGTGAGACTGTTTCAAAAAAATTAAAATTAAAAATTTTTAAATGTAGTAATTTAGAGGAAAGAATGAAACATAATGGAAATGAGAAGTTTGTAACATGCAAAAGAAAAGTGAATTTTTGGGAATGAATTATTCTCTTTAGGAGTAGGATTGTTGAAGAGTTAAGTGAAGTGTTTCAATAGCAGAATAAGATGGCTGAAGAGAAATAACTTTAGTACAGGTACACAGATTTTTCGAGTGTAAAAATGTCCTAAAGGTGAAAAAGATATAGCACAGTAGAGGACTGCAAGTTTGAAATGATTAAGGCTGGGAGAAGGGTCTTAGTCATGAAAACACAGGTTCAAATAGTGTTGCGGAGAAACATGGCAAAGAGAAAGGTGGAGAAAGCCAGCGAGAAGGAACTAAGGATAAGTAGGGATAAAAAAAGAAATGACACTATTCTGAAAGATGGCTATATCATGATGGACCTAAAAAGGGTCAGCATGAAACCCATGGAAGCCCATTTGCAAATATGATTTTGCACCTCAGTCCATGGTCAACCCTGATTCTTCGATCCCTCAGCCATAAGATTCGGAGGAGTATCAGCCAGGGGAAGCTGGGAGCAATAAAGAGGGTAATCAAGCATTATGCTACTGGCCAGGCACATTGGCTCACACCTATAATCCCAGGACTTTGGGAGGCCGAGGTGGGCAGATCACTTGAGCTCAGGAGTTCAAGACCAGCCTGGCCAACATGGTGAAACCCAGTCTCTACTAAAAATACGAAAAGATTAGCCAGGCATGGTAGTTCACGCCTGTAATCCCAGGTACTCAGGAGGCTGAGGAAGGAGAATTGTTTGAACCTGGGAGGTGGAGGTTGCAGTGAGCCAAGATCGCTCTCCACTGCACTCCAGCCTGAGAGAGTAAGACCTTGCCACAAAAAAAAAAAAAAAAAAAAAAATGGCTGGGCGAGGTGGCTCATGCCTGTAATCCCAGCACTTAAGAAGAAGACCAAACTGACCAACATGGTGAAACCCTACCTCTACTAAAAATACAAAAATTAACTGGGCGTGGTGGCAGACGCCTGTAATCCCAGCTATTTGGGAGGCTGAGGCAGGAGAATCGCTTTAACCTGGGAGGCAGAGGTTGCAGTGAGCCAAGGTCGTGCCACTGCCAGCCTCAGTGACAGAGTGAGACTCTGTCTCAAAAAAAAAAAAAAAAGGTACTAAATTTTGCCTGCTTTTGTGAACAGGTAAAGTAGAGGTATGACATAAGCTCTGCAACTAGAACGGTCTTGCTAGGACTCACAGTGAGTGATGTAAGGAGGAACAGCAAGCCAGGCTTTATTTGGAGTAGCATGCAACAGATATAACAGTGCCACTGTTCAAGCTATGCAGAACAGTGGTGATGGATGTGATGCCAGGGACATTTGTCCTGCTATCCAGACCTCTCCAGCTGCCAGCCCTATGGTTCCTGCCTGTTTTCCAAGCCTGGTTCTCCATTTCCCAGCCAAATTCTGAGTCATCCAATATCCTTCTAATAAATTTATTTTCTACTTACGTTAGCCAGGGGTTATGGTTGTTCTTTGCATTCAAGAACGCTGGCTGGTACAGTGAACAGGAAGGTAAGCAAGCAACTTCAAACGGACCCAGCCTCTGAGAGAATTAAGCACAGAGGCAGAGATCCCCAGAACTAGGGTCCTAAATGGGTTAACCCTAGGCTGTAGACTTGCTCTCTTCATGGAAGGCCAGAGAAGCAAAAAGCAAGGCAAAGGTAAATAAGGTAAATAAGGGCTGCACTCTTCTCTGCAGATTATGTAACTTTCTTTCCTTCTGATGAGGTTATCAGAGCTGTCAGAAGAGACATATCTGAATGCTCTTCTCTCCAGCAAATGGGAGCTGGTTGGGTGCAGGAAAGGGGAAGGGCAGAGAGCCAAGAGGAAACTAATGAAGGTATTCAGACAACGCTACTGAGTTCAAATCCAACTGTCCAAAGGGAGCTTGGTGGAGGGGTGACAAAGGGTCTATATCTTGGAAATGGTAGAATACCAATGGTAGAAGGCAGAGGAGTAATTCTTTGTGACAATAGCACAGTGTGAGTCAAGCTCTTGCACTTCACTCATTAGCAAAAGGAGCTCATTTTCTTTGCCCGCTACCATATCCTCCATGGTGCCTGATATATTGTGGGACTTCAATAAGTATTTGTTGAATGAATGAACTGTGAGAGATTGGATACCCATTATCAGCGGGCACATGCCTTCTATCAGGGACCTCCATGTAGGCAGGATGGAATGGCATTTGGGGTTTGAATCCATATCTAACTCTGAAGCCCACATTCTATGTTATATAGTCTATTTCCTGGACTCCAGCAGCAGGAGTTGTTCAGAATTCTGCTGCCTGCCAAGCTGCGTAAAGTCACCCATCGCAACTTCTGGTGCTCACCACACTGTCACTTGGTCCCGGTTGCCACCTTCTCCCTCTCTGGGCATCATCATGGTGGATATGATGAACTTTTCAAGGTGCCAAATTTCTTCTGAATTCTGGGTCATTGTGCTTTGGATGTCATGCTTTATCAATGAGTATTAAAGACAAACCTTGTATACCAATGGTGATACATAGATTTTAGGAAAATTGGCCTTTCAATGTTGACTCATAGTTCACATGGGTTTATGGAGGGGGCTGAATGGGGACACAAATCTAAGTAATAAACTGACTCAGTGTCATCCCCTGCCTCTTCAATGACTAAGGCTTTGTTACAATCTCATATGTCAGGTCCTTGCCTAGAGATTCATCTCTCAGGAGATTTCTTGGGATCTTCTACAGGTAGACTTCTTTTGGCTACTCCTCAGTCTCTCAGAGGTGCTCGGACTTGTCCAAATCCCAGGAGTAAAATACAAATGGATTCTCCCTGGGGTCCTTTTGGATCAAGTTCGCAGTTTCAAACATAAATAATACGTTTTTTTTTCTTGAGATAGGGTCTCACTGTTACTCAGGCTGGAGTGAAGTGGCATGATCATAGCTCACTGCAGCCCCAAACTCTTGGTCTCAAGTGATCCTCCCACCTCAGCCTCCTGAGCTAGGACATACAGGCATGTTCCACCATGCCTGGCTAATTATTTATTTATTTAATTATTTTGTAGAGATGGTGTTGTGCTATGTTGCCAGGCTGGTCTTGAACTCCTGGCCTCAAGTGATCCTCTCACCTCGGCCTCCCAAAGTGCTAGGATTACAGGAATGAGCCATTGCCAGTCACCCATATATAATAAATTCTTTTAAATTCCCATGCAATAAAAGCAACAAGATAAAAACTTTTTCAATAGGGCCTGAGATTCTGCATGTCTAACAAGCTCCCAGGTGGTGCCAATGATGCTGGTTCATGGGATACACTTTGAGTTGCAAGACTATACCCACACAGCTAAAAAATCTATTATCCATTGTTTCCTTTTGACTCTTACAGTGCTTAGTTCTTTCTGCCATCCGATTCAGTTCTCACCCCTTCTCCTTCCTCCCAAACTCTTCCACAGAGTCCTTTAGTATTTCTACTCTGTGATCAACAAATACTCTCAACATCTTTCCAGATCATTCTCTTTATTTACTGCCCTTAACTAATATATACACGTATTCCAAGAACACCACATCACCATAAACAGAAGGTGCTTCTTTTCTTTTCTTTCTTTCTTTCTTTTTTTTTTTTTTGAGATGGAGTTTTGCTCTTATCACCCAGGCTGGAGTGCAATGGTGCAATCTCGGCTCACTGCAACTTCCACCTCCCAAGTTCAAGCACTTCTCTTGCCTCAGCCTCCTGAGTAGCTGAGATTACAGGTGCCCGCCACCATGCCTGGCTAGTTTTTGTATTTTTAGTAGAAACGGGGTTTCACCATGTTGGCCAGGCTGGTCTCAAATTCCTGACCTGAGGTGATCCACCCGCCTCGGCCTCCCAAAGTCCTGGGATTACAGGCATGAGCCACTGAGCCTGGCCGAAGGTGCTTATTTTCTTATACCCCACATACTTTAGGAAACAGAGATAGCATGGTGTTCTTCTTGATCTTATTTTTGCTTTCAGGCTTTTATTGATTCTTCCACCAGGCACAAGTTCACACCTGTAATCCCAGCACCTTGGGAGGCTGAGGCAGGAGGAACACTTGAGTTCAGGAGTTACAGACCAGCTTGGGCAACATGGTGAGACGCCATCTCCACAAAAAAATTAAAAAATGGGCTGGGCGCAGTGGCTCATGCCTGTAATCCCAGCACTTTGGGATACCGAGGTGGGTGGATCACCTGAGCTCAGATGTTCAAGAGCAGCCTGGCCAACATGGTGAAACCCCGTATCTGCTAAACACACATACACACACACACACACACGCACACAAAATTAAAAAGTAGCTGGGCATGGTGGTGCATGCCTGTAGTCCCAGCTGCTAAGGAGGCTGAGGTAGGAGGATTGCTTGAGCCTGGGAAGTTGAGGCTGCAGTGAGCCATGATTGTGCCACTGCACTCCAGCCTGGGTGACAGAGTGAGATCTTGTTTCAAAAAAAAATAAAATTTTTAAAGTAAAATAATAAAAAATATTGTTTTTCCTCTTGTAAACTGGTTTCTTCAGAATTCATGACATTTGGCTATATTACCCTCTCCTTCTACTCTTTTTGTTCATTTCTGGAGTACTGTGAGTGGCACAATCACCAATCACAGCAGCCTTAAACTCCTAGGCTCAAGCGATCCTCCTATCTTAGCCTCCCTCGTAGCTGCTGGGACTACAAGCACACGCCACCACACCCAAGTGATTTTTAAAAATTTTTATAGAGGCTGGGTCTTGCTTTATTGCCCAGGCTGGTCTTGAACTCCTGCAATCCTCAAGCAATCCTCCCACCTTGGCCTCCCAAAGTGTTAGGATTACAGGTCTGAGCCACTGAGCATGGGACCTCTCCCTACTCTTTAATGCCATCTGCATTCGTGGTCTTTCTCCCTCATCCACTTGCCCATACTGTGATTTTGCTATCCAAGCCAACTCCTGTCACATGACTTCTCAGTTCCTTGACCTCCTCACCTGAATGGTCATTTTCTTCATTCCACCTGAGCCACTCCTCCCAAAGTCACACCCGAACGGTTATGACTAGAAACTGCTGTGGACCCAAAGATGTGTGAGTTAACTGTGGTCCCCAAGGCAAGTTTTCTTTTTCCTTTTTTTTTTTGTTGGGATGGGGTCTTGCTAGGTCACTCAGGCTGGAGCACAGTGGTGCAATCACAGCTCACTACAGCCTTGATCTTCTGGGCTCAAGGGATCCTCCCACCTCAGCCTCCTGCGTAGCTGGCACTACTATACTTGGCTAATTTTTAAATTTTATTTTTAGAGACAGGGTCTTGCTATGTTGTCCAGGCTGGTCTTCAATTCCTGGGCTCAAGCGATCCTCCCACCTTGGCCTCTCAAAGTGCTGAGATTACAGACATGAGCTGGCCTCATGCCTTGCTGGCCACACCTGGCCAGCAAGTTTTCTTGAAGGGACATCCGTGTAGCAAAACTTCATGACTGTCACTGTCCACCTCTTACACTGCACAGATCCACTTTCCCATATGTGTTTAGGGAACAACTCCTCCCAATTTCCTGTGGGCCTCTCTTCCTGAAGGTAAACTTAGAAGATGGGGGTTAGTGGAAAGAAATACAGTCCCTATTAGGGGATGCATATGGTCACGGAGCTGCAACAGGTTTTCTCTCTTTCCTTCACTATCCATTCTAAACTCCTCTTATCCACAGCCCTCACCTTGGCTGGTCTTAGAGGCTCTCCAGAAGGTGTAATTAAAACCTTAATTACAGAGGCATTTGAGTGCTTTATAACTATCACCTCTTCAGGCCAGGACTGCTGCATGTGCCCACTCTCAATTAAAATTGGGCAAGGAAGCATCAAGATGATGCCCAAGTGTTCCACATGTATACTCCCATGCCCCTTGTGTAAAAGTAGCCCACATCCCCCTGATGATCAGGTCAATTATCCCTGCTGAGATGGTAACTCTTCTTTTTTTTTTTTTTTTGAGACTGAGTCTTGCTCTGTCACCCAGGCTGGAGTGCAGTGGTGTGATCTTGGCTCACTGCAACCTCCACCTCCCAGGTTCCAGCGATTCTCCTGCCTCAGCTCCCTGAGTAGCTGGGACTACAGGTGCGCACCACCACACCCAGATAATTTTCTTTTTTTCGTATTTTTTAATAGAGGCGGGGTTTCACCGTATTGGTCAGGCTGGTCTCAAACTACTGACCTCGTGATCTGCCCGCCTCAGTCTCCCAAAGTGCTGGGATTATAGGCATGAGCCACCGTGCCTGGCCTTTTTTTTTTTTTTTTTTTGAGATGGAGTTTTGTTCTTGTAGCCTAGGCTGGAGTGCAGTGGTGCCATCTGGGCTCACTGCAATGTCCGCCTCCCGGGTTCAAACGATTCTCCTGCCTCAGCCTCCTAAGTAGCTGGGATTACAGATGTCCACCACCATGTCTGGCTAATTTTTGTATTATAGAGAGATGGGGTTTCACCATTTTTGCCAGGCTGATCTGGTCTTGAACTCCTGACCTCAAGTGATCTGCCCGCCTCGGCCTCCCAAAGTTCTGGGATTACAGGCGTGAACCACTGTGGCTGCACTGATATGGTAACTCTTCTTATCTGTTGGTCCCTGGTCATAAGGGGTTCAAAGTGCACAGGTGGCAGCAGTAGCTTATAGTTCAATGGTACCCTTGCTATTTCCTCTGGCAAGCAAGTGGCCTTTTTGGGTACTAGGACCTATAACCCTCTAGAGCCCAGCATCACAGAAGCACAAAATCCCCAGTAGGTCATTGGGAGTGAGGGAAATGGGGCCGCTCCTGCTTTCACCCTCATTTCCTGGACCCACATATTTTTAGTGAGGACACTATGCCACATCGACTCTGATTTAATATTTATACTGCATCTGGAAGGATGGCATCCTACTCTTATGGTGTACTGTCTCTAAGCTGGTGCTTAAGCTGTGCCTTCAGTGGTTTTTCCAGTGCTTTATGTAGCTGAATGGTGTGGTAGATTCAAAGATGAAGCATCTGGGATTATCTGTCAACTGTGCTCTCTGCAGCAGGTTCTCTTTGAGGGACATACGAGTGGTGCACCTCCATGGCTAACATGATATTCAAACTGTTAACTCTGAATTCATACACAGGGAAAACATCTTTCAAAAATTATGTCAAAGTAAAGCCTTTTTCAAGCTAACAAAAGCTGAGAGAATTGACAGAAGACCTGCATTACAAGAAATTTTTTTTTAAATTTACATTTGAGCTTTTTTTTTTTTTTTTTTTTTGAGACAGAGTCCCACTCTGTCGCCCCAGGCTGGAGTGCAGTGGCATGATCTCGGCTCACTGCAAGCTCCGCCTCCCAGGTTCACACCATTCTCCTGCCTCAGTCTCCCGAGTAGCTGGGACTACAGGTGCCCGCCACCACGCCCCACTAATTTTTTTGTATTTTTAGTAGAGACGGGTTTCACCACGTTAGCCAGGATGGTCTCAATCTCCTGACCTCGTGATCCACCCGCCTCGGCCTCCCAAAGTGCTGGGATTACAGGCGTGAGCCACCACGCCCAGCCACATTTGAGCTTTTTAAGAGATAGAGTCTCATTCTGTCTCCCTGGCTGGAGTGCAGTGGTGCAATCATAACTCAAACTCCTGGCCTCAAGCAATTCTCTCCTGCCTCAGTCTCTTGAGTAGGGATTACAGGTATGAGCCACCACACCTGGCTAATTTGTAATCTGCACCTGGCAAATTACAAGAAATATGGAAGTTATTTGAGCTGAAGTATGATACCTAACATTTATATATCCATATAAACAAATAAGAGCTAAACGTACGAAGATAACACAAAGGTAACTGTAAAATACATGTTTTTTCTTATTTTAAAGAGATAATCAGGCCAGGTATGGCGGCTCACGCCTATAATCCCAGCACTTTGGGAGGCCGAGGTGGGTGGATCACAAGGTCAGGAGTTGGAGACCAGCCTGGCCAACATAGTGAAACCCCGTCTCTGCTAAAAAATACAAAAAATCAGCCAGGCACGGTGGCGGGTGCCTGTAATCCCAGCTACTCGGGAGGCTGAGGCAGGAGAATTGCTTGAACCCGGGAGGCAGAGATTGCAGTGAGCCGAGATTGTGCCATTGCACTCCAGCCCGGGCAATAGTGTGAGACTGTCTAAAAAAAAAGAGATAATTGATGTCTAAAGCAAAATAGTAACAATATATTGGAGCTTTATAACTTGTGTAAAAGTAAAATATATGACAAAAATAGTATGAAGATGGGAAAGAAGGAATTTAAAATACGTTGTTGTAAGATTATTATATGTGAAAAGGTACAATATTATTTGAAGGTAGGCTGTGATGTATTAAAAATGTATTAAAGATGTAAACTCTAGGGCACCCACTAAAATTTTTTTTTTTTTTTGAGATAGGGTCTTGCTCTGTCACCTAGGCTGGAGTGCAGTGGTGAGAACATGGCTCACTACAGATTCTACCTTCTGGGCTCAAGTGATCCTCCTGCCTCAGTCTCTTAGTCTCTTGAGTGGCTGGGACTGCAAGTGTGTGCCACCAAGCTTGGCTATGGTTTTTATTTTTTTTAGAGCTAGGGTCTCGCCATGTTGCCCAGGCTGATCTCAAATTCCTGGGCTCAAGTGATCCTCCCACCTTGGCCTCCAAAGGTGCTAGGATTACAGGTGTGAGCCACCATGCCTGACCTAAAATAATTTTAAAAGAGCTATAACTAATAAGCCAATAGTGGAGATAAAATAGAATAAAATATACCCAATACAAAAGAAAGTAGGAAAAAAGGACCAAAAAAGCATGAGACAAATAGAAAACAACTAGCAATATGGTAGATTTAAATCCAACCATATTAATAATTATATTAAGTGTAAATGGTTCAAACAGCTCAATTAAAAGATAGTGATCAGGCTGAGTGTGGTGGCTCGAACCTGTAATCCTAGTATATTAGGAAGCTAAGGCAGGAGGATCACTTGAGCTCAGGAGTTTGAGACCAGCCTGGAAAACATAGCAGGACCTTGTCCCTATACAAACTTTTTAAAAATTAGAAAATAACAAAATAAAAGACAGTCACCATCAGATTGGATTAAGTTAGACTCAATATATGCCGACTATAGTAAGCACTGCTGCCCCTTCAGTCTGGGCCCCAGAATGAACACACATAGCTTTCTTTCCTTTCTTTTACCTTTTTGGGAATCACTGGGCATCTTGAATCAATGAATTGAGGTCCCTCATCAGTTCTGGGAAATTCACAGCCATTATCTCCAAATACTGCCTTAACTCCATTTTCTCTCTCTTCTCTTCAGGGATACTAATTATACTAGACCATTTCTTTGTATCATATATATCTCTTCTCTATTTTGTATTTTACTTCATTTTATCTCTATGAGTTTTACTACGAATAAATCTTCTACCATCTAGTTCACTAATTTTCTTTTCAGCTCTGCATAATCATCTGTTAAAGCCATACACTGAGTTCCTTTTTTTATATTTTTTTAGATGGAATTTTGCTCAATCACCCAGGCTGGAGTGCAGTGGTGCAATCTCGGCTGACTACAACTTCTGCCTCCTGATTCAAGTGATTTTACTGCCTCAGCCTCCTGAGTAGCTGGGATTACAGGTGCCTGCCACGACGCCGAGCTAATTTTTGTATTTTTAGTAGAGCTGGAGTTTTACCATGTTGGCCAGGCGAGTCTCAAACTCCTGACCTCAAGTGATCCACCTACTTGGCCTCCCAAAGTGCTGAGATTACAGACTTCAGCCACCACGCCCAGCCTCAGTTCTTAATTTTGGTGATTACCTTTATCAGTTTTAAACTTCTAGTTGGATCCTTTTTAACTCTGTAATGTCACTTTTAATAGTTTCTAGTTCCTTGCAGAGATTTTTAAAGTTAATCTTTTGTTTACACTAAAAGAGAAAATGTAATTGTTTTACAACTTTTCTCTAGTAATTCTAATATTTAGTGTCTCTGTGGATTTTGCTTTCTGTTGTGTTTTTGTTTGTTTTGTTAGGCCTGATTTGCACTGTCTTGACTTCAGGTATATTCCATAATTTATTGCTTCTTGGACTTTTTTTTTTTTTTTTTTTTGAGACAGGGTGGGGTACAGTGGAACAATCACAGTTCACTGTAGCCTCAACCTCCTGGGCTCAGGTGATCCTCCCACCTTAGCCTTCCAGGTAACTGGGACTACAGGTGCACGCCACTATGCCTGGCTAATTTTTGTATTTTTCTTTCTTTTTTTTTTTTGAGACAGAGTCTCTCTCTCTCACCCAGGCTGGAGTGCAGTGGCGCAATCTCGGCTCCCTGCAACCTCTGCCGCCCGGGTTCAAGCGATTATTCTGCCTCAGCCTCCCGAGTAGCTGGGGTTAGCCACCGCGCCTGGCTAATTTTTGTAGTTTTTTTTTTAGTAGAGACGGGGTTTCACCATCTTGGCCAGGCTGGTTTTGAACTCCTGACATCGTGATCCATCCGCCTTGGCCTCCCAAAGTGCTGGAATTACAGGCTTGAGCCACCGTACCCAGCCCAATTTTTGTATTTTTCTTAAAGAGACAGGGTTTCACGATGTTGCCTAGACTGATCTTGAACTCCTGGGCTCAAGTGGTTTTCTTGCCTTGGCCTCCCAAAGTGCTGGGATTAAAGGCATGAGCCACTGTGCCCAGCTGACATTTTATTTTAAAAATTTCTTTCAGGTATACTTTAAAAGCTAGGATAATATAGGCTTCCTCCAGGGCATTTTTGTTTCCTTCTACCAAGAACCCGATGGTGCTAGTAGTCCAAGGCAATGCTGCAATGCCAGTTACCAAGATTACTCTCCAAAGTTGAGTTTCTATCCTTCCTTTTTATTTTTTTGTTTTTGAATTTCCTGCATTGCCTGAGGACCTACCCTTACTTTCTTTTTTCTTTTTTTAGAGACAGGGTCTCACTCTGTCACCCAGGCATGATCATAGCTCACTGCAGCTTTGAACTTCTGGACAATCAATGATCCTCCTGCCTCAGCCTCCTGAGCAGCTGGGACTATAGGTGTGCCAGGGTGCTCAGCTAAAATCTTTTTTTTTTTTTTTTGAGACAGGGCCTCTCTATGTTGCCCAGGCTGGTCTGGAACTCCTGAGCTCCAGTGATCCACCTGCCTTGGCCTCCCAAAGTGCTGGGATTACAGGCATGAGTCACTGCGCCCAGCCCCCTTACTTTCTTAAGTAGGGCATTTCAGGGTCCCAGTCAAGGGCAGAGAGCCCCCACCTTCAGCATGTGTTGACCTCCAACTCCTGTTCCTCTAGCCTCAGGTTCCATGAAGCTACTCATTTTCAGCTGCTCCCCTTAGACTAGCAAATGGCCCCTGGGTAAAAGCAGTAGTATATTTAAAGATAATATTTAACAAGGAGGGAGATCTTTATCTTTGGCTGCCAGAGGATTCTTTACCTTCGGCAATTGGCAGAAGGCAGCCTTGTCTCTCAGATGCCTTTTTTGGATGACCAAATGCCCCTTGAATGGAAATAGCTTCAATTCACTTACTTAAGCTCCAACTTTTTCTCATTTCAAGGTTGACTATATTTTTATGTCTTTTTTTTTTCTTTCTTTCTTTCTTTTTTTGAGATGGTATCTTGCACTGGCATCCAGGCTGGAGTGCAGTGGCCCGATCTCAGCTCACTGCAAGCTCCACCTCCTGGGTTCATGCCATTCTCCGGCCTCAGCCTCCCGATTAGCTGGGACTATAGGCGCCCGCCACCATGCCAGGCTAAATTTTTGTACTTTTAGTAGAGATGGGGGTTTCACCGTGTTAGCCAGGATGGTCTCGATCTCCTGACCTCGTGATCCGCCCGCCTCGGCCTCCCAAAGTGCTGGGATTACAGGCCTGAGCCACCGCGCCTGGCTATTTTTATGTCTTTTATGCTTTTTAGCAAATGCTTCTGGTATTTATCAAATCTCTTGTTAGTTATCTTTAATGAAAGGATAAAGGACTTATCTTTAATGACCTTCAAGAGCCAGAAAGTGAAGACAAATCTGGATGGTACTGGAAATTCATTCGTTTCTTTTTCATTACTGTGGTACATTAATTAGTGTTCAGTAAATATTCACTCATTTCTCTCACCCTCCAGGAGAGGACTCTATTTCCCAATTATTATAATGTTGAACTTGGCCAGGTAACATGCCTTGACTACTGAAATGTTACCAAATGTGGTGTAAAGAGAGGCTTAAAATATGTTTGCAAGGCTGGGCGCGGTGGCTCATGCCTGTAATTCCAGCACTTTTGGGAGACCAAGGCAGGTGGATGGCTTGAGCTCAGGAGTTTGAGACCAGCCCGGCCAGTATGGTGAAACCCCATCTCTACTAAAAATACAAAAATTAGCCAGACATAGTGGCAAGTGCCTGTAGTCCCAGCTACTTCAGAGGCCGAGGCAGGAGAATCGCTTGAACCCGGGAGGCAGAGGTTGCAGTGAGCCGAGATCATGCCACTGCACTCCAGCCTGTGCGGCAGAGCGAAACTCCATCTCAGGAAAAAAAAAAAAAAAAAAAGTTTGCATATTTGGGCTTGCCTTTCTGCACCTCTGCCATTGCCATGAGAAGAGCTTTCCTCAGGAAGCTGCTGCCTCTTGACCTTGGGCCCCAGAATGAACAGAGATGAAAGCAATCCTGAGCCTAACCCACAGAGAGGAGCCAATCCCAGCTGGACTTACAGCTTGAAGCAGAGTTGCTGAGATGAACCTAGCTTAGATCCATTGACCCTCAGCTGACCTGCAGTTGGAGAAAATAACTGACTATGCTTTAAGCCATTATATCTTGGGGGTAGTTATTACACAGCACTTTTGTGGCAATAGCTAATCAGACAAGTAGCCTAGCAAGAACCTGCTTCAGCAGGTCTGAGAAAAGGAATATTATCAGAATCTGAACTCCAGGAGCTGCTCCTTTCTAACAAGGTTATTCCCAACCAGGAAGTTCTCATTGTTATATAATTGCCTACTCCCTATTTCCCATTCTCAGTAAGTAGGTAAAACATCACAGGAGTGCAGTCTATCACCTGGAATCGCCCCTTTTTTGGGAGGGGAGTATACCTAGCCTATTTATGGAAGTTGTGTCTCTGTGGGATAATAGGGAATAATGCTTTGCTGCATCTCTGCCAGTATTTTTTCCCCACTAAATCTTATTTTACATTTACACTATGCAGCATTTGTGGTGTGTGTTCTTCTGCCCCCTTCGCATAATAAGAGAGAAGTTTGGTCAGAATCACCTTGCATGCTCTTTATTACTGGAAGCCACAAATCCCAATGACTCTGTAAACACTCCTTACCAAGTTTTAACAAGTCTTACTATTTAGTCATGTGCATTTTTCATATGGTTTTGTATTCTTGTGGCTGATATATAGGAATACTGCTGGTTTTTGTATGTTTATATTATGAACTGAATTGCTTTTAGTTTTTGTTATTTATTCATATATTTTCCATACTGACAATCATTATAACTGAATATAGTGAGTTTTTTCTTTCTTTCTAGTTTATATATGTCTTATTTCTTTTTTATGTCTTTTTGCATTGGCTAGCCCCTCTAGTATGATGTTAAATAGTAATCATGATAGTAGTGAGTATCCTTGTCATGTTTTAAAGCAAATGCTTTTAAAATTCTGCTATGAAGTGGCTGGATGTGTTGGCTCACATCTGTAATTCCAGCACTTAGACAGGCCGAGGTGGGCGGATCACTTGAGGTCAGGAGTTCGAGAGCAGCCTGGCCAACATGGTGAAACCCCTTCTTTACTAAAAATACTAAAATTAGCTGGGTGTGGTGGCATGCGCCTGTAATTCCAGCTACTCAGGAGGCTGAGGCACAAGAATCGCTTGAACGTAGGAGGCAGAGCAGAGGCTGCAGTGAGCCGAGATCGCACCACTGCACTCCAACCTGGGTGACACAGCGAGACCCTGTCTCTAAATAAATAAATACATACATTCATAAATAAATCAAACAATTCTATTAAGTGTTATGCCTGGCTAATTTTTTTTTTTTTTTTTGAGATGGAGTCTCGCTCTGTCACCCAGGCTGGAGTGCAGTGGCGTGGTCTCAGCTCACTGCCAGGGTTCACGCCATTCTCCTGCCTCAGCCTCCCAAGTAGCTGGGACTACAGGTGTCCGCCACCATGCCCATGCCTGGCTAATTTTTTATAATTTTTGTAGAGATGGGGTTTCATCATGTTGCCCAGGCTGGTCTCGAACTCCTGAGCTCAACTGATCCACCTGCCTCGGCCTCCCAAAGTGCTGGGATTCTAGGCGTGATCCATCATGCCCAGCCTTGGATTTTGTCTTTATCTTATATTTTAATATTTTGTTCATCATGGATTTTTTGCATTAACTTTGACTTTTTAAAATGTTTTATCTAAACATTATTGACCTTAATTACTGAGTTTTTAAATGTTTGCTTAAATTTTATACCCTAGGGCCAGGCACGGTAGCTCATGCCTGAAATCCCAGAACTTTGGGAGGCTGAGGAGGGAGGACTGCTTGAGGCCAGGAGTCTGAGACCAGCCTGGGCAACATAGTGAGACCTCATCTCTATAAAACATAAAAAACTTAGTCGGGCATGGTGGTGCTGCATGCCTGCAGTTGGGAGGCTGTGGTGGGAGGATTCCTTGAGCCCAGGAGTTCAAGATCTTAGTTACAGCGTGCTATGATCATGCTACCGCACTCCAGCCTAGGCAAGACCCTGTCTCTAAATAATAATAATAAAAAATAAAATAAATAAAAATTTTTAAAATGTTGTGCCCAAGGCAAACGCTGCCTTACTCCCCTAACCTAGTCCCAGCCCTGCCCTGGTCCAAGCCATGCATTATCTCCAGGCTGCACTTCTGCAGTAGTGTCCTCACTGGTCTCTCCACTTCTCCATTCACCGCCTATCTCTGATCTACTTGCCACATGACAGCCCCAGTGGTCTTTTGAAAAGATAAATTGAGTCGTGTCACTCTCCAGCTTCAAATCATTCAATTGTCTCTTATCCAAACTTCATGTAAAGCCCTGCATAATCTGGATTTTACTTCCTTCCTTAACCTCATCTCCTACCACTCTGCCTTTGTGTTCTCTGACCCAACTTCACAGGCTAACTTTCCATTCCTGGAATATGCTCAACTTCTTCCTGCTTCGGGTCTTGGCATAGGCCATTCATTAAATGGATAATCTCTTCAAATCCTTTTAATCTCAGATTAAGTCATCTCTTCAGAGAGGCTTTCCAATCTAAAGTAAATCCCTTCCTGATATTTCTCTTATCATTCTGTTCTTTGTCCTTCCTAATACTTTGACAGTATAAGTAATTTGCTTATTATTTTACTTGTGGTCTGTCTCTCCTTTTCAACCCTAAGATCTCTGAGTTTAGTGTTTTGTTTACCACCATATACCCAATATTTAACACTCAAATACTAAGTAAGTGATTAAAACTAACTAAATAACAGAAAAAAACCCACAAAATTAATGGGTTTTTGGAAAAAAAAAAAAAAGTCCCACGAATAAAGTGGCTTTAGAATGCATTAATATTAAAGCAATCTAGCCATAACAAGGGTCATGAAACTGATCATTTCCTTTGGCCTAGTACAGGGGTGTCCAATCTTTTGGCTTCCCTGGGCCACATTAGAAGAAGAATAATTGTCTTGGGACACACATAACATATACTAACACAAAGGATAGCTGAAACAAAAATATCACAAAAAAAAATCTCATAATGTTTTAAGAAAGTTTATGAATTTGTGTGGGGCCACATTCAAAGCTATCCTGGACCCCATGTGGCCTGTGGGCTGCAGGTTGGACAAGCTTGGCCTAGCAAGTCTATATTTGAGAATATATCCCAAGAATGTAACTTGAAAATGATGTTATTTATTTAAAATATCTAGCTGGGTGTGGTGGTTCATGCCTGCAGTTCTAGCGACTCTGGAGGCTGAGGCAGAAGGATCACTTAAGGCAAGGAGTTTGAGAACAGCCTGGATAGTATAGTGAGACTCCCACCTCCAAGACAAAAAATCTAGGTCAGATGCAGTGGCTCATGACTGTAATTACACCACTTTGAGAGGCAGAAGTGGGTGCATCACTTGGGCCAGGGGTTTGAGAACAGCCTGGGCATCATGGGGAAACCCTGTCTCTACCAAAAAATACAAAAATTAGCCAGATGTGGTGGTGTGCACCTGTAGTCCCACCTACTCAGGAGGCTGAGGCGGGAGGATTGCTTGAGCCCAGGAGGTAGAGGTTGCAGTGAGCTGAGATTGTACTATATTGCATTCCAGCCTGTGTGACACAGTGAGACGCTGTCTCAAAAAAAATTAAAATTAAAATCTATATATTAATAATTTTAAAAGGCTTAAAAAATGGGAAACAATCTATAATTCTGGTTGCCCCTTAACCCTCTCTTGTTTTTATTGTCCTCCTCCAGCCTAGATAAACCCAACTGTACGTAGTTTCTTTGGCAGAAACCAAGCAAATAAACATTATTAAGAAAAATCACTAAGTTGGGGAAGACATAATCACTATGATTTTTAAATTCACGAGTCTCAAATGAGAAGCCATTATTTCCCTGAAATCCTGCTGTTTTTCTGATAAAGTTGCTCTGCTTTCTACAGATGCTATTTCAATATTCGCCATTCTCCTTTTACTAAAGGAGCCACTATCTACAAGGCCATTGAAGCCCGAAAATCTGAGAGTCATTGATGAGAACTTCATGTGCAGTACATCACCAAGTCCTATTATTTCAACTCCAAAAAAATATATCTTGAATTCATCACCTTTTTTTCCCCCTATCTTTACTGCTACCACCACATTCAGAACTACCATCTGGATGACTGAAATATTCTCTTCATTAGTTGTTCCATTTTCATTTTTGCCTTTCTCCAATCCATTCTCCACAAAGCTGAGTGATCTATTTTTTAAAAATGTATAAAACGAATTCATATGCAAAAAAACCAATGAAGCAATTTATAAAGAAAATGTTTTTTTTCTTTTTTAAAAATCAACTTCCTCAGGTTGAAGAAAAGCTTTTGTTTTTGCTTTTTCCATTTTGTTTTGAGACAGGGTCTCTGTTGCCCACGATCACAGCTCACTGCAGAATTGCTGGGTCGACCTCCTAGGCTCAAAGGATCCTCCCACCTCAGCCTCCCAAGTAGCTGGGACTACAGCCATGGGCCACTAAGCCTGGTTAATTTATAAAGCAAATATTATGCTTTCCCTCTATGCCTATCTAATTACAATCCTCCCAGGTAACCAACACACACTAAATGTTTGATGTGTAATGAATCCTTCTATTCTTTTTTCTGTGATTATATAGAAATCTATTTGTATTATTTTGCACTGGTTCTTTTCATTTCTAAAAAATGTATTACATTACACAATATATTACGTTATAATGTATTTATTTATTCTTTACCTGATAAACATATCATGGGCATTCCTCCAGGTCAATATGTCATTCTTTCCCTTTCTTTTTTTCATATAGCCACGTAATATTCCAGAAAATGGAAGCACTGAAATTAAATTTATAACTTTCCCATTGATGGACATTGGGTGGCATTGTCTTTTCAAGAAGTCAGTCAGATCATGACTCTTTCCTCCATAGGCTTTCCTTTTCCTGTGATATAAGAGCTGTGTTTCCTATCTACAAGGGCCTGGATAATCTGGCCCTTGCCTTTCTTTATATTTATTTATTTATTTATTTTTGAGACAGAGTCTCACTCTGTTGCCCAGGCTGGAGTGCAGGGGCGTGTTCTCGACTACTGCAACCTCCACCTTCTGGGCTTAAGCGATTCTTGTGCCTCAGCCTTCCAAGCAGCGGGGACTACAGGCGTGCACCACCATGTCTGGCTAATTTTTTTTTTTTATTTGAGACAGAGTCTTGCTCTGTTGCCCAGGCTAGAGTGCAATGGCACAATCTCAGCTCACTGCAAGCTCCGCCTCCTGGGTTCATGCCATTCTCCTGCCTCAGCCTCCCTAGTAGCTGGGACTACAGGCGCCCACCACCATGTCTGGCTAATTTTTTATGTTTTTTTTTTTAGTAGAGATGGGGTTTCACCGTATTAGCCAGGATGGTCTCGATCTCCTGACCTCGTGATCCGCCCACCTTGGCCTCCCAAAATGCTGGGATTACAGGCGTGAGCCACTGTGCCCAGCAATTTTTGTATTTTTAGTAGATACCAGCTTTCACCATGTTGGCCAGGCTGGTCTTGAACTCCTGACCTCAAACAATCCACCCACCTTGGCCTCCCAAAGTGTTGGGATTACAGGCATGAGCCACTATGCCCGGCCTGGCCCTTGCCTTTCTCTAAATTCACCTCATGCCACCCTTCCCCTTACTCACCATAGTCCATATACACCTTCTGGTGAGGCTTTTTTTGTTTTGTTTTTGTTTTTGTTTTGAGATGAGGTCTCACTCTGTCACCCAGGCTGGAGTGCAGTGGCACAATCTTGGCTCACTGCAGCCCCAACCTCCCAGGCTCAAGCGATCCTCCCACCTCAGCCCCCCTGAGTAGTTGGGACAATAGATGTGTGCCACCACGCCCGGCTTATTTTTTGTATTTTTGGTGGGTTTTGGCAGGTTGCCTAGGCTGGTTTTGGCAGGTTTGGCAGGTTGCCTAGGCTGGTCTCGAACTCCTCGGCTCAAGTCAGCTTGCCTCTGCCTCCCAAAGTGCTGGGATTACAGGCATGAGTCACCATGCCTGGCCATGGTGAGGTTTGTTTGTTTTTTGAGACAGAGTTTCGGTCTTGTTGTCCAGGCTGGAGTGCAGTGGCGTGATCTTGGCTCACTGCAACCTCCACCTCCTGGGTTCAAGCAATTCTCCTGCCTCAGCTTCCTGAGTAGCTGGGATTACAGGCACCTGCCACCACACTTGGCTAATTTTTTTGGTATTTTTAGTAGAGACGGGGTTTCACCATGTTGGCCAGGTTGGTCTTGAACCCCTGACCTCAGGTGATCCACCCGCCTTGGCCTCCCAGAGTGCTGGGATTACAGGTGTGAGCTATCGTGCCCAGCCTGTGGTGAGTGTTTTTTTTAACCACCTCCTGTCTCTGCATATTCTCCACTCTCAACCTGGTAAAGACTACCCTCCTCTCCCCACCAATCTAAATTAGGCTCCCCTCTTAAACTTTCTCATAACATCCTTTATACATCTTCTTAGTACTCATGACCAATTGTAATCATATATATGAAATTCTGTTTATATGCTTGTAGTTATTTATTTATATGATTATTTAATCTCTGCTTTTTCTACTAGGCATTATGCTCTATGAGGACAGGGACCATGTTTTGCTGACCATTGTTTTGCTATACCACCAGCATTGAGCACAATGCCTAAAGGCAAAATAGATTTGTTAAGTGAATAGATAGGTTCCACACTTAGGAATCATTAGGTAAGCAAAGTAATACAACTGAATGTTTTTTGTTTTGTTTTGTTTTGTTTTGAGACAGAGTCTCACTCTGTTGCCCAGGCTGGAGGACAATGACATGATCATGGCTTACTGCGGCCTCAACTTCCAAGCCCAAGTGATCCTCCCACCTGAGCCTCCCAAGTAGCTGGAACCACAGGCAGGCACCACCATACCCAGCTGTTTTTCAAATTTTATCTTTGTAGAGACAGAGTCTCCCTAGGTTGCCCAGGCTAGCCTTGAACTTCTAGCCTCAAACAGTTCTCCCGCCCCAGCCTCCCAAAGTCCTAGGATTACAGGCATGAGTCACCACACCTGGCCAAATTTAATGTTAACTTTTAAAATTATATGAGAATGAAGTGTTACATACATAAGTCTATATGATAGTATATATATACACATATGCATACATAAACATATGAAAACTGGCAATGTAGTATAGTAAAAGGAGTACTGGCCTGAGATGGTAGTGACTCTTACAATTGGTGACCTAGGAACTGTCACCTCCTTACTGTCAGTCTCAATACAGGGGTGGCATTGCCCCCTAGTGTTGGATATTTTATTTATAAGTGCTAGCAAACCATGACTTGACTGTATTTCTAGAATGGTCATGCTGAGCATTTATATATTGAAATACAATTTTATTATAAAATATTTTCTTCATATCATTTATATTATAAATAGCACATCATTTTGATTTCAGATGAAATCATGTATATAGGTAGTTTATATACCTATGAATTTCATTTTAGGCTAACAAAGAGCATATTATAAAAACATTTATTAAAAAAAGGAATGTTGGGTAAGATAAGGTTGCCACTGGATTAGGTGATGCTTAAGATCCCTTCCAGTTTTTACTGTGATGATTCTAATCTTTCATAATGGGAAGGCTTCTTTTTATTTTGTTCTTTTCATTACTTTGTTTATATACTACTATAGAATCAGTAATATATACAAGAACAATAAACACATTTTTAAATAAAAATGTCAACCATATTGAATGTTTAGGCATTTAATTACCTAAAGGGAAATCCAAATAATTTCCCAAGTTTCCTTGCTAGGTAATCATTTCATGATTCTATAATTTCAAACTTTGGGTAAAATGTGACTTCACTACATATTTTAATTTTTACCCAAGTAACTGTTGTCTCTAGGTTTATAGTGAGGAAACTGAAACACAGAAAACCAATGTACCAAAAGAATGAGGCCGGGTGCCCTGGCTCACGTCTGTAATCCCAGTACTTTGGGAGGCCGAGGCAGGCAGATTACCTGAGGTCAGGAGTTCGAGACCAGGCTGACCAACATGGTGAAACCCTGTCTCTACTAAAAATATAAAAATTAGCCTGGCGTGGTGGCACGTGCCTGTAATCCCAGCTACTCGGGAGGCTGAGGCAGGAGAATCACTTGAATCCGGCAGGCGGAGGTCGCAGTGAGCCGAGATCGCGCCACTGCACTCCAGCCTGGGTGACAGAGCTAGACTCCGTCTCAAAAAAAAAAAAAAAGAAAAAACAATGAATTGAGGGCTTATTATGAAATTAAGTTCGTAAATTTAAAACTGCAACCTCTTTCCCTACTCCCCTTCCCTGCTTTAAGTTTTTAAAATCGGTTATGACATACTATGCATTTTAATCACGTATTTTTAAAATAATGCCTCTTCTCTCCTCTTCCTCATCCCAACACATCACTAGAATAGGGACAGGGAATTTTTTCTATTTTGCTCACCATTGTATTCTCAATATATAGAAGAGTACCCGGCAGCTAGGAGGAGCTCATTGAGTATTTGCTGTATGAGTGGGTGAAGAATACATGCAATAAGCAAAAGTTACTGCTTCGAGCGCCACTTCCACCAGAGTTCTGGGATGCAAACGGGGCGACCAGTACATTGACTGACTTTTGTGACTGATGATTCCTCAGTGCTCGTAGGGATTGTGGCTGCATTTATTGTTCTTGGGGATGTGCCGATGTGTGTAGTTTGTAAACTTGCACACAGCTGTGCTGGCTGGACACCGAACTAACACTAATTTGCACCGAGGTCCGCAAATTCTCAAATTCACACCAACAGAAGCACGTTATTGTAAGTGCACGGGTGTTCCGTTCTCTTGGGTAATCTGCACAGAACAATTTAGTGTATGTCTTCACTGGTGATTTTACAGTGAAGAAGGGATCAAGGGTGGTGGCCCCAAATGCGCAAGGACAGGGAAATGAATTAAACAGGCGCCTGTTTCCTCCTTGTTCGCAAACAGACGCCAAGTCTGTATCAAATTCTCACCCTGGATCAAATCCCGCGCTCTTCGTACCCACAACCTGCCTCCACCTCCACCCCGCCCCCTTTAGATATCCCTGGTGGGCGGGGCAGAGAATAAACATTCCGGGCTCCCCGAAAAACTGTTTAGCCTCGCCCCAGTCTTGGGGTAGCACATTTCCGCAAACACCGAGGACACGGAATCACTAGTGAAAACCGCCGACCAAATGACATTGAAGCAGCACACGCGTGCAGAGAAGGAAGCAAAACACGAAGAAAGGCATCAGTCCAGCAGCCACGTGAGGTGGGCGATCCCCTCCGCCCTCTGAGAGAGGACTTCAACTCCCGGCGTGCCCCTGGGAGGTTACCCTCCGAGGACTTCAACTCCCAGGGTGCTGCGGGAGCGGCCACCGCAACCTCCCACTCAGCCGCCCGCCGCTCCTCCCGCCCCTCCCCCGCCCCTCCTGGCCGGATCAGCGTGCGCCTGCGCACGGGAGGCCGGAGGAGTCTTACCCTAATGTAAGATGGTGGCCCGTCTGGCTGTGGAACCCACCGAAAGCTGAGAGTCTCTCTCTCAGCCGTAAAGGTCGGACTCGCTGAAGCAATCAGGCCCGGTTCTGAAGAGTTTTTTCCCCGACGCTCGTTCGGTGGTTTCTTGTGAGGACGCGGCAGCCCGTGGAGTCGGCTGAGGGAAAAGCGAGGCAAGGCAGGCGGGTGAGTCTATGCGGGGCTGGGCTTAGGGGAAACCCGGGGCTGACCGGCTACGAGAGAGCGGAGGCTTCGCTGGGACTGTACAGGCCGCACCCCCCTTTCTCCCCACCCCCCGCCTCATCTTCACCCTCCTCCTCCTTGGTCTTCTTCCTCCTCCTCCTCTTCCTCCCTCTCCCCTTTACGCCACAGCAGTTACCATAAGGAAAAGGGAGCGGGTCAGAAGGCAGCGCGGCGGCAAGCAGCGACTCTCCTTCGAGAATTTCTTTAATTGGGGAGCCGAGGCGGCTTTTGGTCTCCAGCTTTTCCCCCTGCATTTTCACCGGGGCAGGATTCTTAGGTCTCAGCCCTCCTTGTTTCCCCAATCCCCTGTTCCCTGTCTGACGTCCTTTCCCTCTGGCCCCCGTCTCCCAAGACCAAAGCCATCACTTCCACTCTGATCCGTGTTGGCTGCTGCTGCTCATTAATCCCACTGCTCATTGCCCACTCGTCCTGCTGCTTGTTTTTTTGCTCCACTGCTACCACTCTGGAGTTAGCCTTTGCCCCCCTCTGGTGCTTGCAATCAGCCCACAGTGTATCTGCCACACTAGAGCTGCTTCCGATTTGCAGTCTTTCCTTCCACCACATCTGTCATCTTAAAGCTGCCCCTTAAGTATCTAGATTATGCTCCTCCTGCTAACCCACCTGTTTCTCAGCCTTCTTGAGAATTGTCCGTTCCTTCCCTCTTTCCTGTACAGATCCTTTCAATATACACTTCCAGAAAAAGGGAAGCCCCGTGGTGGCCCTTGAAAAGTAAAAGGAAGTTGGGAAGTGAATGAAGTGAGGTAGGATACTATTAAACGTTATGAGTGAAGATCTTTTATTCAGGCTACTCCGGAGAGGACCGTTTTCGTTTTGCTTTCTGTGATCTATTTGTCGCTTATTCGCTCTGTTGTGTTAGGACTTGGCTTTTTTTCTTTTTTTTCGTTTTGGACCGGTTTTATCATGCTACTAAGCGTTCTTTGGATTGCCTCTCCCCAGGACACTTAGTGTGGGCCCTGATTTATACCAATAAATATTAACCCCAGCATTACAAAATAAGATAAATCTGGCGCACATACAGAATTCATCTGTGAACTCCGCTAGCAAATATAAGTGATATTTTGATTACATGTGGGTTATGTGTGGGTTCTGTATTGAGGCTTGATTTTTGACTGAGTTTTATTGATGTTCAGCTTAATTGATGACATTTTATTTATGATTTGAGTGGAAATTTCCTCTCCAGTTAATATCAGATTTTCTTCTTATTTTTGGATTTGGGAAGTTCTCTTGACATTTCTAGGATGATAGTTATCAGAATAAATTGTCTTGTCTTGAAAATCCATTAGTTATGTATGCAAAAGAAAAATCGACATTTTTATATAAACCTAAGTTCCTCGTATTTTTCTCATAGAAAAGAAGGGGGCTGGGAAAAGAATGACAAAGCTGTGCACATACATGCATTTGGTGGAACTCACTGTCATTGTTATCTACAGTAAAAAGCAGAAAACTGGAAGCAAGAGGTGGCTTATGATGTCCATGTTTTGGTGAAAGCAAAATTAAGATGTACTGACTAATGGTAAAATGGGAAGAAGCAGCCCTGGCTATAATCAGACCACTGTGAGATAAAGAATTACCAGAAAAGCAACCAAGATTACATAGTTCAAATACATACATCCCAAGTTTAAACATGACTTACATGACATTGTATTCTTAAGATATATGTAAAAATGTTTAAAATCAGTGACAGTCTCATGTGGCAGTCCATTACTGGGTTATTGTAATTTTTACAAATTTTACCTGTAAAATTTGGAATCTTAACATTTGGCATTATGTTCACTTGATTGTGATAAATGGTCTGTTTTACCAAATGTAAACTAAGGTTAGAAAAGCTGTTTATAAAACTTTTTTCTTTCAGCCACTTAAGCCCCAATTTGGGGGACCAAATAAATACCTACTCTTAGAACTGCAAGCAATTTATATAGCAAACTTTGTGCTAAGTTACAAGTTGAGTTTTGGGTTTTTTTTAATCACTTACATTTAGTTTATCAGTAGGAGTGTATTTAATAGTTGATCTTTAACTCTAAAAAATATACTTTTTGTTGTAATACACTGGTGGAGAAGCTTTCCACTTTTAAAAATCCTAACACAGGTTTAGAAACTCTTGGCAGTCATACTTGGCTGAATTGTAAGCAGTGAGTTCTAGGAGAGGATTGTTTGTCTGGTAGAAGGGAGTAAGTGATTTTAATACATCTTTTTTTTTAAAAAAAGGTATTTGTCTCACGAAATATTTTCTCAAGTAATTCTTTCCCCTCCATAATTTTTGCCCGCAGTTACTGAATTCTTCATTTCAGCCCTCTGAAGTCAAAAGGAATTTACTTTTGTATCTTTAGTACGTTTAAAGAAGATATCTAAAGTTCTTTAACATTTTGATAGGAAATAGGGAGCTGAGATTTCTAAATAGTTTTGCTTGGTTTTAGTTTTTTGATCTAACGTTATGAACACTGAAGCTTCATATTTTCATGGTTTCTTTTGATAATTTGGAATACTTTCTGCCAGGTTGAGTAGTTGAATTCTTGAGATCAATAGATTATTTCTGTAAGAAGGTTTTGAACATGAATCGCTTAAAGTTGGCCTATTATAAAATTAGGATGAGACAGTTATAATCAAATGACAAAGTGCAGAAAAATAAAATTGTTTTTGTAATGCCCTTCAACTTGAGTCTAAATGGGAGTACTAGCGATAACTTGCAACTCATTTGTTAAAGAAAGGGTGTTGCCAGTGGATGAACTCCTAGCTTTAGGGGAGTCTTATTTTAAAAATGATTTTGTGTGCTTTAAAGGAATGAAAAAATATCTTATCAGTTTAAGCAGTTTGGATTTAGAAATCTTCCCTTTTTTCACCTCCCTAATCTTGGCTTTAAAAGGAATCCATATTCTTCAGTTTAATAAATTTATCTTTTTGTTGTTTTGTATGAGAAAAATATTAAATTTTCTTTTCTTTCTTTTTCTTTTCTTTTCTTTTTTTTTTTGAGACAGTCTCGCTCTGTCACTCAGGCTGGAGTGCAGTGGTGCGATCTTGGCTCACTGCAACCTCTGCCTCCCAGGTTCAAGCGATTCTCCTGCCTCAGTCTCTTGAGTAGCTGGGATTACAGGCGTGTGCCACCATGCCCGGCTAAGTTTTGTATTTTTAGTGGAGACGGGGTTTCACCATGTTGGTCAGGCTGGTCTTGAACTCCTGACCTCGTGATCCGCCCACCTTGGCCTCCCAAAGGGTTGGGATTACAGACGTGAGCCACCATGCCAGGCCTAAAATTAAATTTTCTAATGTGACTGCAAATAGTACTCAATTAAATATGTTTAAACTTAGTGTTATTATTTTTATAGATCATTTAAGTAAAATGGTTTTAATTTGTGAAAACTTCAGCCTCTGGTGAAAATTCAGTTAGTTAGCTCTCTTACAGTAACTATAATACTGTCTTGACTCTTTGTGAAGGAAGTTACATTCAGCTCATTTGGTTCTGAAGAAAACAGTAGGGAAATAGGTTATAGAGATTTTTGCTGTTCTAGAAACAGTATAACTAGAATGTACTACATAATTTTCTCAAAGGATTTCTTAATCTAAATGGAACTTGTAAATGGTTTTTATCCCACTGGAATAGCATGTATTGGATAAAACTTGTTTAACACATTCTGAGATTTTATAATATTTTATGTTACCTCAAAGATATTAGGAAAAATCTGCAAATATCCATTCCTGAATAAAAGATGACAATATCCTCAATATTTTAAAGATTGTAGTATATACATATTTTCCTCAAAAGTTGAGAGTACTCAAATTTAAAAGCTAGCATAATTTACCCAGTTATTTTTGTGATGCAAGGAAAGAAGATATGTGGGACTTTTTAATCATGCATTTATTGGTTTTCTAAAAGAACTTCACAATTGTTTTTAATCTTGTTATGTGGACTTCTTTATTAGAAAAGATTATGTGGTAAATGTCAACTTTTTCTACTATAATAGAATCTAACTGGTTCTGTGACACATTTCTTTTTTATGATACGATTCTTTATTATTTAATTACAAAGTTTATAAAAAATTTCACCACTATTTTGTCTCCTTAGATTTTAGTACTTAGATTTTAGCAGCATATTTTTCTTTTTATCAGAAAAGAGAAATTATAAGCTACTAAAAAGAAGATGATTACTTTTACTTGGTAGGAAAACCTAACTTTAAGGATGGTATAACACAGTTTGAGTATGAGTTTATTTTTCATCTTAACAGGTTTATTTGTGAGTATGGCTTTTTTTCTCCCCGCTACTCCCCAAGACGGAGTCTCGCTCTGTCACCCAGGCTGGAGTGTAGCTGCACGATCTCGGCTCACTGAAGCCTCTGCTTCCCAGGTTCAAGCAATCCTCCTGCCTCAGCCTCCCGAGTAGCTGGGATTACAGATGTCCGCCACCACACTCAGCTAATTTTTGTATTTTTAGTAGAGATGGGGTTTCACCATGTTGACCAGCTGTTCTCGAACTGCTGACCTCGTGATCTGCCCGCCTTAGCCTCCCAAAGTGCTGGGATTACAGGTGTGAGCCACTGTGCCCGGCCTCAAGTACGGCTTCTTTATTATTAAACTCTGTTTATACAGGAGAGTTGTCCTGTTTTAAGCTTTAATTGCTTTGGGTGATGGGCAGATGATGTATTGCTATTAGGATAAGTCTTGCTATTTGTATAGGTGTGTATGTCAGATAACTGTTCAAAAACAACTTTTTTAAAGTATGGCTACTAAAATCTCACCTCTTGAGTTTTAAAGCAATTATGGAGTAGAATTTGAAATCAAAATAATCAAAATTGGCTTGTGGATATGCCTAAAACCAGTTTGGAAAAAAGGTCAAGGCAAAAAAGCAGTGTAATTAGAAGAATAAAATGCTTTCCCTTAAAAATAGTAGATGTGACCGGGCACGGTGGCTCACGCCTGTAATCCCAGCACTTTGGGAGGCCGAGGTGGGCAGATCACGAGGTCAGGAGTTCGAGACCAGCCTGGCCAACATGGTGAAACCCCATCTCTACTAAAAATACAAAAATTAGCCGGATGGGCCGGGCGCGGTGGCTCACGCCTGTAATCCCAGCACTTTGGGAGGCCGAGGCGGGCGGATCACGAGATCAGGAGATCGAGACCATCCCGGCTAAAACGGTGAAACCCCGTCTCTACTAAAAATACAAAAAATTAGCCGGGCGTAGTGGCGGGCGCCTGTAGTCCCAGCTACTTGGGAGGCTGAGGCAGGAGAATGGCGTGAACCCGGGAGGCGGAGCTTGCAGTGAGCCGAGATCCCGCCACTGCACTCCAGCCTGGGCGACAGAGCGAGACTCCGTCTCAAAAAAAATAAAAATAAAAAAAAAAAAAAAAAAAAAAAAAAATTAGCCGGATGTGGTGGCACGTGCCTGTAATTCCAGCTACTCGGGAGGCTGAGGCAGGAGAATCATTTGAACTTGGGAGTCAGAGGTTGCAGTGATCTGAGATTGCGCCATTGCACTCTAGCCTGGGTGACAGAGTGAGACTTTGTCTCCAAAAAAAAAAAAAAAAATTAGTAGATCTTATATTACTGCTTTTGGAAGCAATTAGTGAATGATGTAGGCAAAATAGTGATTGAATTTTGAAAAGCAATTAGACTGAAATTTCAAAGGGGTGGAGCATTTCTTAATAGCAACAAACAGATACATGGTCATTAATCCAAATATCTGAAATTTTCTGAGCATGTTTTTCAGAGTTTGGAATAGAGTGGAAGTGCTAATTTTCTGATTATTTAAGAACCTTTTAATCCATTCCCTTAGAGCATCAGGTGTTTTCAGATTGTGAATTTTCTAAAATAACATTGGCTGATTTGTGTTATTGAACATTGGTTGTAGCAACTTTTTTCCTTTTTTCCCCTTTATTTTCTGCCTCCCATATTTTGCTTAAGATTTTTTTCTGAAGTTTTAAAGTTTCATCAGTTATTTGGGTGGACCGTCTTGTGAATGCTCTAATTGAAGTTGTATAATATAAACAGTGTTGCTTTTAGTAGTTAGGATTAATTTTTCTTTTCATGGAAATCCTTTCTATTTGATTATATTTTTTCCTCTAACTTTTATTAATTCTTAGATGAGAATTAGGATTCTGCATTAAATCTTTCTGCACACATTTTTCTTACTGTCAGTAGGGACCTATGTCTTCCTTGGGTAAAGAAAATGTTATATTTTGGTTTTGCCATTTAAAATGATATAAAGACGTTATTAGTACTTTTTTAAAAAGGAACTTTTGGTATTTTTAAACAAGTACAAAAGTAGGTATGAACCACCATGTACCTGTTACTCAGCTTCAAATAGTATCAAATCTTAGTCATTACATTGTTTCATTCGTACTAGAACTTTTTTTCTTTTTTTTTTTGAGATGGTCTCTGTTGCCCAGGCTGGAGTGCAGTGGCATGATCCTAGCTCATTGTAGCCTTGAACTCCTGGGTTCAAGCAATTCTCCCACCTCAGCCTCTCAGGTTGCTCTGACTACAGGCACAGGACCATGCCCAGCTAATTTTCTTATTTTTTGTGGAAATGGGGGCTCACCCTGTTGCCCAGGGTAGTCTCAAACTTCTGGGCTTAAGTGATCCTCTTATCTCAGCCTCCCAAAGTGCTGGGATTGCAGGTGTGAGCCACTATGCTGTGATATAATAAAATGTCTTTATTTATTTATTTTGAGATGGTGTCCGACTCTGTCACCCAGGCTAAAGTGGCAGTGGTGCCATCCCGGCTCACTGCAACTTCTGCTTTCTGGGTTCAAGCGGTTCTCCTGCCTCAGTCTCCCAAGTAGCTAGAACTACAGGCGTGTGCCACCATGCCCAGCTAATTTTTATATTTGTGGTAGAGACAGGGTTTCACCATGTTGGCCAGGCTGGTCTCAAACTCCTGACCTCAGGTGATCCACCTGCCTCAGCCTCCCAAAGTGCTGGGATCACAGACGTGAGCCACTGTGCCCTGCCAAAATCAGGATTATTTAATCAACTTTTCTTTTTTTCTTTTTTTTTTTTTTTTTTGAGATGGAGTTTTGCTCTTGTTGCTCAGGCTGGAGTGCAGTGGTATGATCTTGGCTCACTGCAACCTCCACCTCCCGGGTTCAAGCAACTCTCCTGCCTCAGCCTCCTCAGTAGCTGGGATTACAGGCGCCCGCCACCACACCTGGCTAAGTTTTTGTATTTTTAGTAGAGACAGGGTTTCACCATGTTGGCCAGGCTGGTCTTGAACTCCTGACCTCAGGTGATCTGCCCGCTTCGGCCTCCCAAAGTGTTGGGATTACAGGCCTGAGCCACTGCACCCAGCCTTAATCAATTTTTCAAACAGACTTTGCTTATGGAACCACTTCTTGGAAAATTTGGCAGAACTTCTTTGTAGAGTTTATCTTGTCAAGAATACTTTCATAATGATATAATTAGCACTGTCCAAAGCAGTGTACAAATAATGTGTGCTACATGTAGTATGAGTCCAGTCTGTTTGTACAGGGATATCTTCAGACTAAAGTCCTAGGAGTGAGGCTTCCTGAAGAAGATGAGTCTTGAATAAAGATTGTGTACTGTTTGTATAGGCTAGCATATCCAGAAGGAGAACATTATGTACGTTCTATATAGGGAATGGAAGCATGTCTTAGTTCATTTTATGCTGCTATAACAGAATACCACAGACTGGATAATTATAATCGACAGAAATGTATTTGGCTCATGGTTTTGGAGACTGGGAAGAACCAGAACATGGCACTGGCATCTGGCAGGGCCGTCATGCTATGTCATCCCATGGTGTAAGGTAGAAGAGCAAGAGAGGGTGAGAGAACAAGAACAGAGAGGGCAGAACTTGCTTTTTATCAGGAACCTACTTCCATTACTATGGCATTATCATTGATGAGGGTAGAGCCCTCATAGCCTAATCACCTCTTTTAATGGCCTCAACTCTTAATACTACCACACTGGCAATTAAATTTCAATATGCGTTGTGGAGGAGACATTTAGACCACAGTAAAGAATGAGCAAACACTTGATAGGGGCTAGCATGATGTGAGAGGGATGTAAGGAGTCTGATCTCAATGGAATAAAGTGTTAATTACTGGGAATGGTGGCAGATAAATTTGTATTAGTAGGGTAGAGCTAGATTATGAAAGGTGTATTGGTGTCAGGTTGAATTTAATCTGCTAAGCAATAAGAAGCCAGTAGAGGTTGATAGGGAGCAGGAGAAAACATGAGAGTGTTTTTCAGAAAGATTACTCGTTCAATAGTGTGCAGCATATTTTGGGGATGACACTTGAGGTTTGTTTGAAAAATTAGAGACCAAGCCACTGAGGTAAGGAGCTATTCTGAGAGACGTTAGGATGGAAATTCTACAGGATTTGTCAGATAATTGATTCCATCTTCTCTTTAGTCCCTCATGCCCTAAAGTGACACCAAGGTTTTGAAGAGTAGAGAACTGAGGAAATGTGGTCTATTTGTCTTTGATAGTAAACTGCAATTTGTTATCCAAGCCCAGCTTTTGCGAAGAAAGTGATAGATGATTACTCCAATAACAGCCTCAAAAAGTTTTAGTAGGCCTGGTGTGGTGGCTCACACCTGTAATCCCAGCACTTTGGGAGGCTGAGGTGGGAGGATTGCTTGAGGTCAGGAGTTTGAGACCAGCCTGGCCAACATAGTGAAACCCCGTCTCTACTAAAAATACAAAAATTAGCTAGGTATGGTGGTGTGCCCCTGTAATCCCAGCTACTTGGGAGGCTGAGGCTAGGATAATTGCTTGAACCCGGGAGGCGGAGGTTGCAGTGAGCCAAGATGGCACCACTGCACTCCAGCCTGGGCTACAGAATGAAACTCTGTCTCCAAAAAAAAAAAAAAAAAGGTTTAGTAGAAAATAGCTACCAGTGTTTCTGAATGATTTTAAAGATATTCACTGGAGAATAGGAGCTTGGAAAATAAAGAAATATTATCTTTATTACAGTAAGAGAAATGAACATACTTCATTTGTAAAAGAGAAATTTAGGCCTTACCTGCTTCCTATGTGTATATTAGTTCAGAACGGTTATTAGGAGACTACTCACATTTGAATAGCTATAACCAGTAAATATTACTGGATGACTTTAATAATGGCCTGATCAGAGCTAAAGAAAATTCTGATGAAGTAGGGCATTAAATATTTCTAGCTACCAACTCCCTTTAAGGATGAATAAAGGTAGGTCCGCAGGCTGAGGAAGTATACAGGGAGATTGTGAAATGAAAACTTATCCTTTCATTTACTTCGATATCTTTGTTTTGCACAGGTAATATTAAAAAACAGGTCTGGTTAAACATCAGCCGTATATGTTTTGGTTGGAATTTTTTTTTTAAGTTCTGTGAACTTTGAAGTTTTTTTAAAATTCTTTGTTTTGGTTTGTAGACCCTGCATTAAGCCAACTTTCTGGATCTGTTGTGTATTTCTGGATAGCATACTTTGTTTTGTGAAGGAAAATTTTACATTTTATTTTAAAGCTGGGGGAAAAAAGTAGGTTTCTTGTTTCTCGCTTTGTAAATGAGGTAGATGAATAATACTGTATTGCCACTTATTATCTTCATGCTTCCTTCAATGTCTCAGGTATTCCTCTACTGTATGTAGCATGTGGATCTCAAAGTTTCCCACAGTTGAGTCTGAAAACATCTCAACTGTGCTTATAATTTTAAAATTAAACTTAATTTTACCATTTTCTTTATTGTTATTATAAAATATAGGACCTATCATAATGCCATGAACCTTTTAGTGACTTGGGAAATAGTGATTAAGATGATGCAACATAGTACATTATTGGGAAATAATCTGTTTTTCGTTGGCATCGCCTCTATCCTTAGACCTCTTTCATTCTAGTAATATGACAGAAATATTTTTGACATTTTAAAACTTCCTCATTTAGCTGATCGTGTGTGCTGTTGAAAATGAACACTAGAATAGAAAGCCATTGCCTTCTCCTTGGGGGGTTTGTTTTAACAGGGGTTTTCATGTTTTAATTTTGGATTTGAGATTTGAGTTGAGATATCCATTGTGTAGAGAATCTTGAGAAGGATTATCCATCTTTCTTGCTGTCACCAGTGTATGTGGGAGGGAAGAAAATATCAAATATAGGGTATACAGGAGAACCTTAGTATTTGGGAATATCTTCAGTGATAGCTGCCAAATCCAGTGTTTTCCCCAGGAAATTTGTATTTAATCCCTTGGAGTATGGGATGACTTTATGAGTGTCATAGTGGGTTGCTGTGGGTGAGGAGAGGAGAAAACGACTCCCTGTTTGAAAAATCTTTTCCAAACTGTTCGAAAATTTGAGATTAAATTGAATTAATCTCAAATTATTAATAGTTTATGTTTTTTTTTTAATTCATACAGTGCTTGGGAAGAAATTGGTTTTCTGTGAGTGGCCTTGGGGGTGCTTTGGGTGCTTTCCTTACCCAGGAAAAGGGAGGAGAGGCAGAAAATAAAGTGGGGAATAGTAGCTGCTGTGGATTTTTGCCTATGGCATTGATGGCATTGTTTTTTTGGCTGCCTTTATCTACATACCTTTTCTTTTCTAGTTAGGCTGTCATTACTAGTTGGAGAGGCTACATACAGTCTAGCCTTTTCCAAATCAAACTAGCATCCCTGTCCTGGTTTGTTTGTTTTAATCTCTCCGTCTCAAAACCTGACAAATTTATGTCTTTTCTCTGCCTGAAGAGCAGGGGAAACTGGAAAGAGAAGAAAATGATAATGTTGTAGTTAGGCACTCCCTATCTTTTAATATGTCAGGATTGTTTTATGAAAAAAACCTCTGCCTTTGGATTTTAATTTTATGTAATCAGTTATAAAATAATTGAATTCTCTATGAGTCCTTAGAAACCCTTTAAAAGATCCTTTAGCCGTAAAGTTGGTGATAGGTTGAAGAGTACCTATATGAGTTAAATGCTTTGGGGATTTTTTTTGCTTCTCCTAAATTTTTTTCTGTCATACAGGACCTAGTCCTACATGTGAATTTTGCTTCCAAAAAGTAAAGCTGGCAGTCTTTTAATCCCAGCACTTTGGGAGGCCGAGGCAGGTGGATCACGAAGTCAGGAGTTCGAGACCAGCCTGGCCAACATGGTGAAACCCTGTCTCTACTAAAAATAGAAAAATTAGCCGGGCATGGTGGCATGTGCCTGTAATCCCAGCTACTCAGGAGGCTGAGGCAGGAGAATCACTTGAACCTAGGAGGCGGAGGTTGCAGTGAGCCAAGACCATGCCATTGCACTCCAGCCTGGGTGACAGAGCAAGAGTCCGTCTCAAAAACAAACAAACAAACATAAAAACCTTAAAGATTGTATTCAAATCTATTTTGATTCTGATGAAAGCAAGGATGACAGCAAAATACTTTAATATATGCATGCTAACAAAAGAACACAAGTTAGACCTGTGTCACCATATATTCTTTGTCATGCCTAGCAAGTATTTTCAGCTTTGGGGAACTCTGAATGATAGATGGTGTATTCATGTTTGTAGATTGTGGTTTTTATTATATACTATTAAATTCTATAATTTAAACTTGACATATTAGAGGAAATATTGTTCTTCATTATTTGGAGTAAAGGATTAATTATACATAACTTTTTATAGTCGAATGTAGTTTTCAGTTTCAGTTTTGAACTCTATTTGTTTTTATTACTTCTGCTGGGAGTATGCTGGGTAGTATGGAACCAGGCTTCCTACATATGAATGTTGGCTCTGCCACTTACTTACTATCTGTGAGACCTAGGTTGTTACTTTACCGTCTTTGGGACTCAGCTTCCTCATTTGTAAAATGGAGATACCAGGATTGTTGTGTGGAATAAATGGGTTAATGTATATAAAGTGCTTGGAATAGTGTTTGGCACATCGTCGCTTTGTCTAAGTGTTTGCTGTTTTTATGCATTTGAAGGAATAAAAAACATTCATCTTTGAATTTCTCTATTAATTCAGTACACTTGTAAAACAATGTCTAAGTACTAAACATATATTTTCAGTAATCACTTGACCACATAGAAATATAAGGAATGTGTTTGAGGGGTAATCAGAAGATTGGCCTGCCTGGAATTCCCTTGAATCAGAGAGTAATGGAAAATGAACCTGTATGGATACAATAGAAAATGATTATCAAGTGTTTTGAACTAAGGCATAGAAAATTAGATGCTGATAAGAGGGGAATCATTGCAAGGTTGTTATTGTTGTTTTTAAGTCATGATAGTGATGTGTTTAAAATAGTATTTAGGGGAAGATAGTTTTGAGTGTGCTTGGTAGCATAGAATTATTTCACTATAAGGACAGAGGATTTTTTTTTGGTCTGTTCTGTTCACTAATCTATTTTAAGCAACCCAAACAGAACCTGGTTGATGGTAGATGCTCAATAAATACTTAATTGGATGAATGAACCTTAAAAGAGACTATCAGAGTCTTTTATTTTTATTTTGAGACAGTGTCTCACTCTCTCACCCAGGCTATAGTGCAGTGGCGCAATCTTGGCTCACCACAACCTCCGCCTCCTGGGTTCAAGCAATTCTCCTACCTTAGCCTCTTGAGTAGCTGGGACTACAGGCACGTGCCACCATGCCTGGCTAATTATTGTATTTTTTGGTAAAGATGGGGTTTCACTGTGTTGGCCGGGCTGGTCTTGAGCTCCTGGCCTCAAGCAATCCGCCTGCCTCGGCTTCCCAAAGTGCTGGGATTATAGGCGTGAGCCACCATGCCTGACCCTATGAGAATATAAAAAAGAGCTGGGTGCAGTGGCTCACGCCTGTAATCCAACACTTTGGGAGTCCGAGGCTGGAGGATAGCTTGAGCCCAGGAGTTCAAGACCATCTTGGGCAATTATAGTGAGACTCCATTTCTTAAAAAAAAAAAATAATTATCCAGGCTTGGTGGTGCACTCATGTAGTCCCAGCTACTTGGGAGTTTAAGTGGGGAGGATCGCTTGAGCTTGATAGATCGAGGCTGCAGTGAGCTGTGATTGTGCCACTTCACTCCAGTCTGGGTGACAGAGACTCTGTCTCAAAAAATAAAAAGAAAATGAGAGAACAGTGGACTCAACTTAAACTTTTGGGGTTCCTACGTTTCAGGGGTAGAAGTGAAAAAGATACTTTAATAAGAACAGTAGGAGAGGTAAAAGGAAGATGGAAAAGTTTGGCTCAGAATCCAAAGGAAGAGATTTTCTAAGGGAAAGGTCAGAGAGAGAGAGAGAGAGAGAGAGGAATAGGAAGATTCAGGATAGTGTTGCTTCTAGGTAGCCAAGGAGGTTTCAGGAAGAAGGGCACAGAGGTGGACATAGTCCAATACGAAGTTCGAGGAGAATGAGAATAGAGAAAGAATCCTTTGGCTTGGTGGTGTGAGGGTCACTGACCACTGAGTACACTAAGAATGGTAATATAAATCAGATTGCAGGGAGGTTAAGGAAGATGTTAAGCAGAGACTGATAAAGACTATTCAGTTGGCCTGGCACAGTGGCTCACGCCTGTAATCCCAGCACTGTGGGAGGCCAAGGCGAGCAGATGACGTGAGGTCAGGAGTTTGAGACCAGCCTGGCCAACATGGCGAAACCCCGTCTCTAATAAAAATACTGAAATTAGTTGGGCATGGTGGTGCATGCCTGTAATTCCAGCTACTTGGGAGGCTGAGGCATAAGAATCACTTGAACCCGGGAGGTGGAGGTTGCAGTGAGTGGAGATTGCGCCACTGCACTCCAGCCTGGGTGACGGAGTGAGACCTCTTGTCTCAAAAAACAAAAAAACAAAAACTATTTAGTCAAGAAAATAACTGTAAAAATGGCCAGAAAACAATATAATAGGAGCATTCACAGTTTTTGTATGTATACTGTAAGAGAGTCTGTTTATTAGAGGTGAGAAAACTTGAGACAGTTTGTGCTGAATATTATTCTTTTTCTTTATTTTAGAGACAGGATCTTCCTTTGTTTTCCAGGCTGGAGTGCAGTGGCACAATCATAGCTTATTGCAGCCTTGAACTCCTGGGCTCAAGCAATCCTCCCACCTTGGCCTCCCAAAAGCACTGGGATTTACAGATATGAGCTATTGCTCCCACCCAGCCCTGAATGTTCTTAAATTTCTTTCTTTCTTTCTTTCTTTCTTTCTTTCTTTCTTTCTTTCTTTCTTTCTTTCTTTCTTTCTTTCTTTCTTTTTTTTTTTTTTTTTTTTTTTTGACACAGGGTCTCACTCTGTTACCTAGGCTGGAGTGCAGTGGCGAGATCTTGGCTCCTTATAGCCTCCCAGCCTCAGGTAATCCTCCCACCTCAGCCTCCCAAGTAGCTGGCACTGTAGGTGCATGCCATCACATTCAGCTATTTTTTTTTTTTTTTTTTTTTTTGAGGCAGAGTCTCGCTCTGTCTCCCAGGCTGGAGTGCAATGGCGCAGTCTCGGCTCACTGCAGCCTCCGCCTCCCGGGTTCAAGCGATTCTCCTGCCTCAGCCTCCTGAGTAGCTGGGACTACAGGTATGTGCCACCATACCCGGCTAATTTTTGTATTTTTAGTAGAGACAGGGTTTCACCATGTTGGCTAGGCTGGTCTCAAACTCCTGACCTCAGGTAATCTACCCGCCTTGGCCTCCCAAAGTGCTGGGATTACAGGCGTGAGCCAACTTTTCGTATTTTGGTGGAGATGGAGTTTTGCCATGTTTGTTGCCCAGGCTGCTCTTAAATTTCATAATAGGGAATATGTATTGTATATGTTTCTCCAGGGCTCTGCTACTTGCTAACCATGTGATCTTGGGAAACTTTGCTTAATATTTTTGTGCCTCAGTTTTCTGCCTTGTAAAATTGAGGCAAAAGGAACACCTATTTCATAGATCTATTGTGAGGATGTAATTATTTAATCTTTTAAAAACACTTAGAACAATGCTATGTGGTAAATGTTTCATAAATGTTAGCTATTATCTACTGCTGAAGTAAAATAGAGTAAAATTGGTGGCTTGAAGAAAAAATAGAAGAAGAAAAGAATTTAATAATGCAAACTAGTGGCAAAAACTAAATGGAAAGGTCTTAGGGCCTTTTCCGTGGATGTTATTGGAGAAAACTTTGGATGTCTACTTACTCTATTTATTTACACTTGGATTTCAGGCCCCTTTCCTCTAATATTTGCACTGTTTTACTTTTTTCTATAACACTTATGTTCTGACATATCATATAATTAATATATATACTGTTTGTTGTTGATCTCTTTCCAGGGTAGGGATATTTGTTTTGATCCCTGATGTATTCCAGGTTCTGGGAATAGTACTTGGCACATAATAGGTGCTCAATATTTGCTTGTTGGATTAATAAGTTAATCTACCATAGAAGTAGGATGGATGGAGAAAAGTGTTCAAAGTGCTGGTGGTCCTTTTTTTTTTTTTTTTTTTTTTTGAGACGGAATTTCATTCTTGTTGCCCAGGTTGTAGTGCAATGGCGCGATCTCGGCTCCCTGAAACCTCCACCTCCTGGGTTCAAGCTATTCACCTGTCTCAGCCTCCCGAGTAGCTGGGATTACAGGCGCGCACTACCATGCCCGGCTAATTTTTGTATTTTTAGTAGAGACGGGGTTTCACCATGTTGGCCAGGCTGGTCTTGAACTCCTGACCTCAGGTGATCTGCCCGCCTTGGCCTCCCAAAGTGCTGGGATTACAGGTGTGAGCCACTGCGCCCCACCGCTGGTGGTACTTTTTTAGAGAAGCCAGTTATCAGATTGATGGACACTATATAGGACTTTACCTTCTCAAAGACTTCCTCCTTTTTCTCAAATGAGTTTTCTGAGTTTTTTTTTTTTTTTTTGGTACAGGTTTTCTTGAAATCACTTGGGAAACCCATTTGTTTAATAGCTGAGGAAAGGAATCTATAAATGAATCTCTTTTTTTTGATACAATACTTATATTTTACATTTGATTAGCTAATGAAAGCCTATCCGTGAGCGCTTATTAGATGCTAAGCACTATTCTAACCTCCTTATTAGTTTCAAAAAATTCTATAACACCTTACAAGTGCATTACAGTTTCTTTGCAAGCCATTATTAAGGTTTAAGGGGAGGCCCTTTGTACTGAGACCAAAAGCATGATTCCCCAAACTGTTGTCTTCCATTGATAGGGAGCTTCAAATACCACATTCCTTCCTCCAATTTTCATAGCTTTGACACTGCTACTTGTATTAGTCCACCAGGACTAATCTCATTATGTTCTTTATCCCTTTTCCCTTTCTATGTCAGTTACTATCAGTCTCCTAGGTGATACTCATGTCCCCACAAGGTTTGGTGTATTTACTATTTTTTTCAATCCTCTTCAACTCTTGAAATCTTGCCATTGTGCAACCCAGTGGAATTCACAGTCTATCATCAGCAAAATTTCCTGTATCCTTGTTTGTCTTTCTCTGAACATTTTGTCTACTTCGTACTTTGCTGAGGATGCTGCTTCCCCTGGCTGTCTTATACATTGGCAATTAAATATTTCATTTTTTTCTGATAATGTCATCAAGGATCAGTGGGGAGTCCTATGCACTGAGACTTGAAACTACATTTCCTGGCCAGGCATGGTAGTATACACCTGCAGTCCCAGCTACTTGAGAGGTAGAGGCAGGAGGATCCCTGAGCTCAGTTCAAGGCTAGCCTAGCCTACGTAGTGAGACCCTGTCTCTAAAAACAAACAAGCAAACAAACCAACCAACCAACCAACCATTTTCCTGCTCTGACCTACTCCATTTGAACAGGAGTCAAGAGGGAGCCTGGTTCCACTGACTGGAACCAAGAGCCTGGAGATGGGGCAGTTGTCCACCATTCTCTTGTTCTCCTTAAAACTTGTCTATTAACAGGTTATATTGTCTGTAAATCCTCATGTTTGCTGGCATCTACTGCCACCTGGGTTACACCTTCTCTTTTCTTGACTGGTTTAGCTCCTGGCTCATTGTCATTCTTCTAACACTAAGTCTCTTTTAATTCTTGATAATTTCAATATATATCACTATGGTCCCTCTAATACTGTGACCTCTTAATTTCTAAATGTCTTCTTTAATGATCTTACTCTCTAGCCCATTTAAGGCACTTCATGGTCCTATCTTTTTTATGCATTAAAAAAGATATTTTGTAAAGATGGGGTCTTGCTGTGTTGCCAAGTCTGGTCTGAAACTCCTGGCCCCAAGTAGTCCTCCTTTCTTGGCCTCCCAAAGAGCTGGGATTACAAGTGTGAGCCACCACACCTGGCCTCATGATCATGTCATATACCTTGTTATTACCAATAACTTGAAACCTCTTCATTTTTTCTAAGCTCTTTCTGACTGCTGTCTTTTCAGCCCATTCTACCTGGTACCTCAACTCAACAGTTCCTCACCGTCATTAAAACTGTCAGTCCACTGATTCTATTGCCTTTTCACTGTACCTTGCCCCGTTGATTTCCTTTCTTCCTTCCTTACCTTGTATAATTCAATCGCCAGTCATATTGCATATGCCTTCAACTCACTTGCTCCTTTCTGCCCTTTTCATAATTAGTTGGCAAAAACCTCAATCTTAGGTAAATCAACTCTTTGAGTACTTCATATCTACATCTGTGCGGCTGAAAGTGACTGAAGAAAAATACAAATATGATAACTGCCCTCACTTTAAATTCATGGTAAGAAACCTCAGGTTTCTTGCCCTGAATATTGTCTGGCAATTGTACTCTATTTTCTTAGTCCATTCAGTCTCCCCTCTCATAGATGACTTAGTTTGTACCCTTGCTTTTCTCTTCAAACTTCCAACACTCTTCCTCATACTCACTCTCAGTTGATGGACCTGATTTCTACTTCATTGTGAGATGCAAGCAGTCAGAAGAACACTTACAGACTCCTGCCACCACATGTATGTATTGACTACATCTGTACTCAATAGACCTTGCTGCTGTCTTTGTGTTACTATAGATTTACTCTCTATGTTTCTATATAGTCCCAGGTCCTCTGATTAATGCATTAATGAACTGTGAAGTTCTTTTTATGCCAACCACTCTCCAAGGTTCTTTATATACAGTGTAGTATGTAACTCCTATAGATTTACTCTGGACATTGCCCTAGCCATTCTCCCTTCTCTCTGTATATCATCAATTTGTCTCTTCTGGATAATTCCTATCAATATACAAGCATACTGTTACTTTTTTCATCATAAAAATATCTTCCCTCAATTGCTCTTTCTTGCTCTCTTTCTGTAGAACCCCTTAAAGCATTGTCTAAATGCACTTGTCCTAATTTCTTTCTCATGTTCTCTCTTAAGCCTGTTCTAATCAGGCTTTGCCCCTACCACTGTGCTAAGATTGCTTTTGTTAATGTCTTCCAACAAATGACATTATTAAATCTAGTAGTCAGTTCTGTCATTATCTTGGGTGATGATCTACGTTTGACAAAGTTATTTTCTCCTTGTCTTTGATATACTTGTTTAACTTGCCTTTTAGGCTACTACATTTACTTGGTTTTCCTCAAAATTCATTGGCTGCTCCTCCTTAGTCTTCCTTAGTAGATTTTCCTTTTTGCCTACCTCTAAACATTGGAATATCCCAAGGCTCACTCCTTGGTTATCTTCTCTATCTATGCTCATTCCCTTAGCAATCTCTGTTAGTTTGGTGGCTTTGAATATTTTTCTCTCAAATGAATTTTTTCAGCCCAGATCTCTCTCCGTAACTCCTTATTTTTATATCCAGTTGCCTATGTTGAATGGCTCTTAAACATCTCACACTCAACATGTCCAAAATGGAATTCTTGCTTTTCCCTCCCAAACCTGCTCTCTCATACCTACTCTGTCCACATAGCCTTCCTCATCTCAGTTCTTGGCAGCTTTCCAGTTGCTCAGGCCAGAAACCTTGGAGTCATTCTTGACTCTTGCTGTCTTATCTTCTTATCCAACATTCATTCCTTCAGGAAGTTGTTGGCTGTAACTTTAAAACATATCCAGAATTCAACCAGTTTTCACTGTCTCCACAGCCACCATCATCTCTTGCTGGGTAATGGCAGCAGCCTTTTAACAGGTTTTCCTGCTTCTACCCTTGCCCTCTGTAGTCTGTTATTAACACAGCAGTCAAAAAGATCCTTTGAAAATTTAAGTCATATGGCAAGAGATTTTGTACTACATTTAAGAAGTTTCATGAGTTGATAAGATTAGAGATTGTTCTAGCCAATGATATTTTACTAAATCATGTCAGCCTTGAAGGCACATTTAAGGCAGGCTTTGAGTATGCTTGTTAGTGTGGGTGGGGAAGGAGTGGTCAGAGATGGTTCATAGCCTCCCTCTTTTCTCCTCACTAACACTTGTCTTTTCCACCATATGCACGAAAAGACATATTTGTTCCTGAGGAAATTAGAAAGGGAGGGCCTGAGTTGGTTGCTATTCCTGAAAGTTTCTTTGAATGGAATACTGGATCATCGTTTTTGAAGAGGTCTGTTGTTACTTCATTATTACCTCCTTTAGCAGCACCCTTGTTTTCCTCCAACCTCTGCCAAGATTAGTGTCCTGTGTCTACATTTGCCCCTTCTGTTTCTCATACTCCCAGATGGAAATATTATATTTCTTAGGACTTTTCGCTCTATTTGAATTAGTATTTTCTACTCGAAACCCTTCAGAAATCCTGAAATCCATTCTTATGCTTTCTGTGTGAGTTGGTTTTATGTTTGTTAATAATGTTTCAACAGAATGATAGTGGACATGATAGCAAAAGGGAAATTGATACTAATATGTAACGAAGAAATCGTATGTGAAATTGTGAAGAAAATGAACGATATTTTTATTGAGTACTTTGAAGGTACTTGTCATAAACTAACAATGCTAATGATTTCTAGAGGAGTTATATACTACACTGTATATAAAGAACCTTGGAGATTGGTTGGCATAAAAAGAACTTCACAGTTCATTTCTTTTATCTGTTTACATTCTTTTCTCTAGAGGCAAATGTTCTTTAATCAGTTTTCCTTTGATTCTCTTTCAGAGAGGCTCATGTAGTGGGATCAACAATCATATCACTGTTGTGGCATTGTATATATGTTAACTATTGATTTTGCATTCTTTTAGATTATAATATTTAATCTCTTGGTCTGAAGGTAGATATATTCCTGTTTTCTCAAGCTGTTTCTTAGACCTTTATTGTCCAGTATGGTACCCACTAGCCATATGGGACTACTGAGCACAGGAAATGTGGCTAGTCGGCCAGGCGCAGTGGCTCATGCCTGTAATCCCAGCACTTTTGGAGGTTAAGGCGGGCAGATCACACGAGGTCAGGAGTTCAAGACTAGCCTGGCCAACATGGAGAAACCCTATCTCTACTGAAAATACAAAAATTAGCTGGGTGTGGTTGTGGACGCCTGTAGTCCCAGCTACTCGGGAGGCTGAGGCAGGAGAATTGCTTGAGCTGGGGAAGCGGAGGTTGCAGTGAGCTGAGATCACGCCCTTGCACTCCAGCCTGGGGGACAGAGCGAGACTGTCTCAAAAAAAAAAAAAAAAAAAAAAAAGAAATGTGACTAGTCTGAATCAAGATTGTGCTAAGTGCAAAATACACACTGGAGTTAGAATCCTTAGTAACAAAATTTTATAAAATGTGTAAAATTTCTTATTAGTAATTTTAAAATATAGATTATATGTTGAGCTGATTTGTTGGGTTAAATAAAATTAATTTTACTTGTTTCTTCCTATTTTTTCTAAATATGGCTAGTGGAAAATGTAAAATTATATATGTGATTTACGTTATATTTCTCTTGGATAGTGCTGTCTTAAACTTATATTTCTCTTTGGCCCTAAAACTTCTGAAGTTGTTTTTAACTCTGTTAATGATCTGTTATATATTCACTAAAATATGATTTTGGTATTATGTATTATAAAATAATTTGTTTTTTTCTGAAGGAACAACTTTTATGTTTTTATCCTTCTTAGTCCTAACTTTGTCAAGTCTTGAGTTTTCTTTTTCCTTTTTTTAAAAACTCTTTGACTTTTGCCATACCTTACCCATGGTAGTACTACACAAGCATAACTTATTCTTTCTCTACATTGCTTGGGAGAATTTTGAAAAGGGAATTTGAAATTATGAGTATCAGAGTTGATCTTTTATTTGCTTTCCTTCTTAATATTAGGACTATTAATAATGATACATTCTATAATTCCTCCATGATAACATAATTTTAAAATTTAAAATAAAGGCAAATTTTATCAGGTAAAAAAGTGCATTGAAAAAGTTACATACGAGGAAAGAGATTTTTGTCTGCTTTAACATAAAACCCAGCAAATAAACAAAACACCTGCACTGACTCATTCTACTGGCACACATTTTGTACATTTTTATAAACTTAGACTCTAACAGCCACTATTAGCTTTTTTTCTTCAAAGATTTCAGTTTAGGCTGGGCACAGTGGCTCACGCCTGTAATCCTAGCACTTTGGGAGGCCGAGGCGGGCGGATCACTTGAGGTCAGGAGTTCAAGACCAGCCTGGCCAACACGGTGAAACCCCTTCTCTACTAAAAATATAGAATTTAGCTGGGTGTGATGGCATGTGCCTGTAGTGGTACGATTGTCTTGCCTCAGGAGGCTGAGAATCGTACCATTCAGTACCAGTCGTACCACTCAGGAGGCTGAGGCAAGAGAATCGCTTGAACCTGGGAGGTGAAGGTTGCAGTGAGTTGACATCATGCCACTCACTGCACTCCAGCCTGGGTAACAGAGCTCAAAAAAAGACTTAAGTTTATGGTTTTATTTATATTAATTTTTTTTTTGAAAAAAATCCTTGAAAACAAGATTTATGTAGAGTTTAAAGAATGCTTTTTTTTTCTTTTTTTTCTTCTTTGAGACGGAGTCTCGGAGTCTCACTCTGTCGCCCAGGCTGGAGTGCAGTGGCGCTATCTCAGCTCAGTGCAAGCTCCGCCTCCCAGTGGTTCTCACGCCATTCTCCTGCCTCAGCCTCCCGAGTAGCTGGGACTACAGGTGCCCGCCACCATGCCCGGCTAATTTTGTTTTTGTATTTTTAGTAGAGACGAGGTTTCACCGTGTTAGCCAGGGTGGTCTCGATCTCCTGACCTCGTGATCCGCCTGCCTTGGCCTCCCAAAGTGCTGGGACCACAGGCGTAAGCCACCGTGCCTGGCCTCTGTGCTCGAAAAGTATATTTTGAAAGTATTCCACAATCTAATATCAATTCTGATTTTTTTTTAAAAAGCAATGCATGAGATAATAGCAATTCATATTGCTACTATCAATGTACTAACAAAAGTGGCTTTGTTAGGCATTTGGAAATAATTTATTTACTGAAGAACTATTACTTTTATTGTTCTTACCGACTCGAAAGAGTCCATAATACCTGCTTAGGTACGGAAAATTAGACCTGGTGTGGTGACTCACATCTGTAGTCCCAGCACATTTTGGGGCCAAGGTGGGAGGATCACTTGAGCCTAGGAGTTCCAGACAAGCCTGGGAAACATACGGATACTGCATCTCTACAAAAAATTTACAAAAAAAAATTATCTGGGTGTGGTGGTGTATACCACCACCACTACTTGGGAGGCTGAGGTGGGAGGATTGCTTGAGTCTGGGAGATCAAGGCTGCAGTAAGCTGTGATGGCATCACTGCACTCTAGCCTGGGTGAGAGGGAGACCCTGTCTCCAAAAATAAGAAAAGAAAAGAAAATCATATAAAAGCACATTTACAGGAAGAGTATTAAAAAAAAAAAAGATTGGGCCAACAAGCTAAAACTTTTTTTTAAATGGTTGTAATTGAGAAAACATAGGTTTTATAAACAAGGACAATGAGAGCAAAAGATATCTAGGGTAGAAAAAGTAGAGATAATACAGATAATAGGAATTTGGGGATGTAAGAAAATAGCAAAGTCATAAAAGTTCACATTTTTGGATGCTTAATGGAAGGATAATCTTGACAGACTGAAACAAAAATTTTACTGCTTGTTAATTTTCTGGATCTTAGTACTCTTTACCTTTTTTATTTTTTTTATGCTTTGAGGATAGGACTGATTTCTGTTGGCTCTCTAGACCTAGATTTGGATTGATTCATAAACATTTCTTTAAAAAAAAGTGTTTTGTTTTGTTTTTGTCCTGTGACACAGCCTCAGGAGACTATTCTTATGTGCCCCAAAAGAACAATTTCTGAGTTCATCTGTGTTGTGTATATTAACTCTTTGTTCCTTTTTATTGCTGAGTAGTATTCAGTGGTGTGGGTATACCACAGTTTAGCTATTTACCCACTGAAGGACATTTTGGTTCTTTTCAGTTTCTGGCTCAACTAAAAGCTGTTATGAACATTTGTGTACATGTTTTCATATAACATAAGTTTTTATTTCTCTCAGATAAACGCCCAAGAGCAAAATTGCTGGGTCATCTGGTAAGTATGCATTTAGTTTTCAAAGAAACTGGTAAAGTATTTTCCAGTATGTGAGTACAATTTTGCATTCTCATAAGCATTAAATGAGTGGTCCAGTTTCTTTGTGTTCTAGCCAGATAGGGTGTTACCAGTTTTTTCATTGTAGTCATTCCAAGAGATCCGTAGTGATATTTTATTGTGGTGTTTTCTTGCATTCCCTAATGGCTAAAGATGTTCAACATTTTTTCATATGCTTATTGGCCTTTCGTAATTCCTTTTCAGTGAATTGTCTGTTTGTGTCTTTTGTCCATTTTCAAATTGGTTATCTTTACTGTTAGATTTTTTTTAATCTCTTGAGACTTTTCTAGATATCTCATTTTCTTCTCTTTCATTTTATTTTTATTTTTCTATTAAGTTATTGGGGTACAGGTGGTATTTAGTTAAGTTCTTTAGCGGTGATTTGTGAGATTTTGGTGAGTGCTTTATACAGTCTGGATACTAGTTCTTTGTCAGATATGTGGTTTGCTAGTATTTTCTCCCTGGTTTTAACTTGTCTTTTCATCCTCTTTGTAGGGTTATTCACAGAGTGAAAGTTTTTAATTTTGATGAGGTTCAGTATAGCAGTTCTTCCTTTTGTGGATCGTGCTTTTGGTGTCAAGTGTAACAACTCTTTACCTAGTGCCAATGCCTGAAGATTTTCTCTAAGTTTTTTCCTAAAAGTTTTATACTTTTACGTTTTACATTTAAGTGTGTGATAACATTTGGATCTAGTTTTTGTATAAAGTAAGTGGTTTAGGTTGATAACTCTTCCCCCTTCTTGTCCCGCTTCCCTTCCCCCTTCCCTTCTCCATCCATGGAAGTCGCATTGCTCTCGCACCATTTATTGGAAAGGCTGTCCTTCTTTTATTGAATTGCTTGTGCATCATTGCGAAAAATCATTTGGGCATATTTGTGTGGACACATTTCTGGGTTTTCTGTTCTGTTCTATTAGTCTATATGTCTCTTTCTTCATCAGTACCACAGTTTTAATTGCTGTAGCGGTATAGTTATCCTTAATATCGGGAGGCATAATTCTACTTGTTTTTTGTTTTCACAAAACTGCTTTAGGTCTCCTAGGACTTTTCCTTTCCATATAAATTTTAGAATATGTTTATCTATATCTACAGAAACAAAAAACCGCCAGCTGTGGTGGCTCAAGCCTGTAATCCCAGCACTTTGGGAGGCCGAGGCAGGTGGATCATGAGGTCAAGAGATCAAGACTATCCTGGCCAACATGGTGAAAGCCCGTCTCTATAAAAATACAAAAATTAGCTGGGTGTGGCGGCACGCACCTGTAATCCCAGCTACTCGGAAGACTGAGGCAGGAGAATCGCTTGAATCCGGGAGGCAGAGGTTGCAGTGAGCCAAGATCGTGCCACTGCACTCCAGCCTGGTGACAGAGCGAGACTCCATCTCAAAAAACAAACAAACAAACAAAATCCTTCCTAAGATTTTGCTAGGAATTGCATTATACTATACATCAATTTGGGGAGTATTGATATCTTTACTATGTTATATTTTCCCGTCAATGAACATAGTAAGTCTCTTCAGTTATTTAGATCTTTGATTTTACGTTAGCATTTTGTAATTTTCAGCATATAGATCCTGCATGTATTTTGTTAGATTTATACCTAACTATTTCATTTTCTTTGGAGCAATTGTGAATAGCATTGTATTTTAAATTTCAGCTTTCATGTTTATTAATATATGGAAATATGATTGATTTTTGATTTTTGATTTTTTTTTTTTTTTTGAGACAGAGTCTCACTCTCTTGCCTAGGCTAGAGTGCAGTGGCACAATCTCGACTCACTGCAACCTCCGCTTCCTGGGTTCAAGTGATGCTTGTGTCTCAGCCTCCCAAGTAGTTGGAATTACAGGTAACACCACCACACCCAGCTAATTTTTGTATTTTTAGTATAAATGGGGTTTCACCATGTTGGCCAGGCTGGTCGCAAACTCCTGGTCTCAAGTGATCTGCCCGACTCAGCTCTCAAAGTGCTGGGATTACAGGCACAAAATAAGACTGATTTTTGTATGTTGACCTTGCATCTTATAACCTTGCTAAACTTAATTATTTTGGGGGGATTTTTGGGTAGATTTCTTGGGATTTTCTAGATAGTCATGTCATCTACAAATGGGGACAGATTTTTTCTTCTGTTCTAGTCTGTTTGCCTTTTATTTTCTTGTGCTGGCTGGAATTTCCATAATTATGTTGGATAAGATTGGTGAGAACAGCCAATCTTGTTTTATACTTGAAGTTAGGGGAAAATATACTATTTTTCTTTTTTAAATTAAATTAATTTATTTATTTTGAGATGAGGTCCCACTCTGTCACCCAGGCTAGAGTGCAGTGGCAAGATCTCGGCCCACTGCTACCTTCGCCTCCCAGGGTCAAGTGATTCTTCTGCCTCAGCCTCTTGAGTAACTGGTACTATAGGCGCCTGCCACCACGTCTGGCTAATTTTTTGTATTTTTAGTAGAGACGGGGTTCTACCATGTTGGCCAGGCTGGTTTCGGACTCCTGATCTCAAGTGATCCGCCTACCTTGGCCTCCCAAATTGGTGCTAGGCTTACAGGCGTGGGCCACCACGCCTGGCCTAGCTATAGGTTTTTTTGTAGATGTTCTTTGCCAAGTTGAGGAAGTTCTTCTCTATTCCCAGTTTGCTTAGAGTTTGGTTTTGTTTTGTTTTTGAGACGGGGTCTCACTCTGTCATCCAGGCTGGAGTGCAATGGTGCAGTTTCGGCATACTGCAGCCTCAACCTTAAGTGATCCTCCTACCTCAGCCCCCCGAGTGGTTGGGACTACAGGCATGTGACACCTTGTCCGGCTAATTTTTGTATTTTTTGTAGAGACGGGGTTTCCTCATGTTTTGCAGGCTGGTCTCAACTTCTCGGCTGAAGCAATCTGCCCTCCCTGCTCTCCCAAAGTGCTGGGATTACAGGCATGAACCACCGCACCTGGCCTGCTTGGAGTTTTTTTTAATATCATGAATTTTGTCAAATGCTTCTGTCAATGATATGATCATGTGATTTTTCTTCTTTAGCCTTTTGATATGGCAGATTACATTATTTTTCAAATGTTGAACCAGCCTTGCATACCTGGAATAAATCCCATTTGGTTGTGGTTTGTAATTTTTTAATATATTGCTTTATTTTTATTTTTTTTTTTGAGACAAAGTCTTAAACTGTCACTCAGGCTGGAAGGCAGTGGCATGATTATGGCTCACTGTAGCCTTGACCTCCTGGGATCAAGCAATCTTCCCACCTCAGCCTCCAGAGTAGCTGGGAGTACAGGCATGTGGCAGCTGATTTTTTTTTTTTTTTTAAATTTTTTTGTAGAGATGGGGTTCCACTATGTTACCCAGGTTGGTCTCAAATGCCAGGGCTCAAGCAGTCCTCCTGCCTTGGCCTCCCAAAGTACTGAGAAAACAGGCATGAGCCACTGTTCACAGACTAGATTTTATTTGCTAATATTTTGTTCAGGATTTTTCATCTACTTTTTTTTTTTTTTTTTTTTTTTGATATGGAGTCTCGCTCTAGTTGCCCAGGCTGAAGTGCATTGGCATGGTCTCAGCTCACTGCAACCTCCACTTCCCAGGCTCAGGAGATTCTCCTGCTTCAGCCTCCTGAGTAGCTGGGATTACAGGCACCCACTACCATGCCTGTCTAATTTTTGTATTTTTACAAAATTAGAGACAGGGTTTCACCACGTTGGCCAGGCTGGTCTTGAACTCCTGACCTCAGGTCATCTGCCTGCCTTGGCCTCCCAAAGTGCTGGGATTACAGGCGTTAGCCACTGTGCTCGGCCTTTCATCTACTTTTATGAGAGGTATTGGTCTGAAGTTTTTCTTTCTTTCTTTCTTCTCTCTCTCTTTTTTTTCCTTTTTTTGTGATATCTTTGTCTGGTTTTGATACCTGGCTCTCTGGACCACCGGATTTCTTTCTTTCTTTTTTTGATACAGGGTCTCGCTCTGTCAGCCAGGTTAGAGTGCAGTGGTATGATCACAGCTCATTGCTCCACCTCCCAGGTCCAAGCGATCCTTTCACTTTAGCCTCCTGAGTGGCTGGGATTACAGTTGTGTACCACCACACCTGACCGATTTTTAATTTTTTTTTGTTTACAGGGTCTCTGCATGTTGCCCAGGCTGTTTTTGGACTACTGGGCTCAAGCAACCCTCCTGCCTTGGCCTCCCAAAGTGCTGGGATTACAGGCATGAGCCACCACACTCCTAGGATTTCTTTATTGGGAGCTTTTAAACTATGAATTCAGTTTCTTTAATTTTTTAGATTGATGCATAATATCATATATTTATGGAGTACATGTGAGTATTATATGCATAGAATGTGTAATGATCAAGTCAGGGCATTTGAGGTATCTATCACCTTTAATATTTATTATTTGTGTTGGGAACATTTAAAATTCTTTCTTCTAGCTACTTTGAAATACACAGTACTTTGTTGCTGACTATAGTCACCAGTACTCTGCTATTGAACATTAGAAGTTATTTCTTCTATTTGACTGTATATTTTGTACTCATTAACCAACTTCTCTTTATCCCCTCTCACCCACCCACCCTCTGCAGCCTCTAGTATCTATAATTCTATTTGCTACTTCTATAAGATTAACTCTTTTAGTTTCTACATATGAGTGAGAACATGCAGTATTTGTCTTGCTGTGCCTGGCTTATTTCACTTAATATAATAACCTCCAGCTCATCTATGTTGCTGCAAATGACATGATTTCATTCTTTGAATGCCAAATCCATTGTGTATATATACTACATTTTCTTTATTTCATCTGCTGATGGACACTTAAGTTGGTTCTTTGTCTTGGCTGTTGTGAATAGTGCTGCAATAAACACATGAGTGCAGGTATCCCTTTGATACACTGATTCTTTTCTTTTGTATAAATACAGTGGTGGGATTGCCAGATCATATGATAATGATACTTTTAGTTTTTTGAGAATTCTCCATACTGTTTTTCATAGTAGTTGTATGGATTTACATTCCCACCAACAGTGTTTAAGAGTTCTCTTTTTCTCTGCATGCTTGCCAGCATCTGTTATTGTGTGTGTGTCCGTGTGTTTTAAGAAATATCCGTTCTAACTGGGGTAAGATAATATCTCATTGTGGTTTAGAATTGTATTTCCCTGATGATTAGTGATGTTGAACATTTTTTTCATATACTTGTTGGCCATTTTTATGTCTTTTAAGAAATGTCTATTCATGTCCTTTGCCCACTTTTTAATGGGATTATCTGTGTTTTTTTTAATGGTTTGAGTTTCTTGTATATTCTGGATATTAGTCTCTTGTCACATTAATAGTTTGCAAATATTTTCTCTCATTCAACAGGTTATCTCTTCATTATGTAGATATTCCCTTTGCTGTACAAAAGCTTTTCAGTTTAATATAGTCCCATTTGTCTATTTTTATTTTTGTTGTCTGAGCTTTTGAGGTCTTAGCCATAAAAATCTTTGCTTAGACCAATGTCTTGATGTGTTTTTTTTTTTTCCAGTTTTATATTTTTGGTCTTACGTTTAAGTCTTTAATCCATCTTGACTATTTTTTTAATATGGTGAGAGAGAGAGAGATCCAGTTTCATTTTTTTTTTTTTTTTTGCATATAGATATCCAGTTTTCCCAGCACAAATTAGCCTGTCCTTTCTTCAGTGTATGCTCTTGGCACTTATATTGAAAATTAGTTGTCTCTAAATATGTGGAATTACATGAATTAAGTGGATATATATGATTTAGGAATTGTATATTAAGCTTATAGCCAGGAACAAAATGGAAGGAACATTTGTATTCCTAAAAGACATTTCATGGGACACAGATGAATGCCTCTGCAATGGTTCTAATAGGAATTTGAAACTGCAATGAGCTATGTCATGCCACTGCACTCCAGGCTGGGCAACAGAGCAAGACCTCATCTCTTAAAGAAAAAAATACAACATTTCCAGAATCTGCATTTTTGACAAGACTGTGTGATCAAGTTTGGTAGGCACTGGTTTGAAGGGAAGTTAATCAAATAGGACTGTATGTAAGTTGAATTGTAGATGAGAGAAATTATGGTAAGGAGTCAGTTCAGATTCCTTTATTTCCTATATTAGTAATCCACTTGAAGTGGAGACCAAAGGGTATATAAAAAGAGAATTCTTAAATAAATAAGTGAGATTTAATGACTAGGATTTAGAGAATGGAGGAGAGTGCTATATCAATGATTATGATCAAGTTTTGGCACTGGGCAACTGAAAACTTAGTGGACCAGTGACAAGAAATCAAAACCCTAGGTGGCATAAAAAGCCGTGGTGGTTATTCTTTACTCCCAGACTACTAGAAATTATTGTTAACAGAAAATCAGCATAATAATAACACTGGAGAAAATCTTGAAAAAGGAATTTAGAAAAACTCATAATTTCAAAATCCTAAAATAAGCAGCATTTTTTGCAAGTTATCTTATTATGTGAACTTTTTTTAGATTGTTAGTAGTTTAAAGCCAGTTTGTACTTTTAATGTTTCTTATACTTGTTTCTTCAGAATTTAATTAGTTTTAAAGGAATTTTTCTCATTATAAAATACATAAACTCTCAAATTCTTTTTGTTTTGTTTTGTTTTTTTGATGTAAGTTCTCACTCTGTCACCCAGCCTGGAGTGCAGTGGTGCGATCTTGGCTTACTGCAGCCTCCACTTCCCAGGCTCAAGCAATCCTCCTGCCTCAGCCTCTCGAGTAGCTGGGACCACAGGTACCACGCCCGACTAATTTTTGTGTTTTTTATAGAGACCAGGTTTCTCCATGTTGCCAGGCTGATCTCAAACTCCTGAACTCAAGCCATCCTCCTGCCTCCGCCTCCCAAAGCACTGGGATTACAGGTGTGAGCCACCTTGCCTGGGCATTTTTCTTTCTTTTTTTTGAGTCAAATTCTTTAAAAAAATACAAATTATAAATAATAACTCCAGTATTTATGTTTTAGATTGGTGAGGATTAAAATACTTGGTTCTGGATGGGCGCGGTGGCTCATGCCTGTAATCCCAGCACTTTGGGAGGCCGAGGCGGGCGGATCACAAGGTCAAGAGATCGAGACCATCCTAGCCAACATAACGAAACCCTGTCTCTACTAAAGAAATACAAAAATTAGCTGGGCATGGTGGTGTGCTCCTGTAGTCCCAGCTACTCGGGAGGCTGATGCTGAAGAACTGCTTGAACCTGGGAAGTGGAGGTTGCAGTGAGCCGAGATCACACTACTGCACTCCAGCCTGGTGACAGAGCGAGACTCCATCTCAAAAAAAAAAAAAAAAAAAAAAAAAAAAATTTGGTTCTAATAGGCTTTGGTGAGACTGTAAGATTGGTGCAACTTTTAAAATGACAATTTGGCAATGTTTGTCAAAGCTAAAAAAATGCACATACCATGCTTCATCTAGCAATTTCATTTCTAAGAATTTGTTCTACAAATATACTGGCTCTATGTCAATTAATCTGTAGACTGACTCATCAAATTTACCAATTGTGTTGGTGTATTCAGGAAAATTTTTTTAAATAGATATGGTCAAAATTACATCACTTCATGGAAAAATTTTTCAGTTTATTCTGATTTCTTTTCAATCCTTTTAAAAGTTGTTTTATGTATTTCCCCCAGCATCTTAGTATTTTTAGGATTATTTTGTCAACTTCAAAGTGCCTCTACCAACCTTATTTTTTGGTGTTTTTGACTAAAGTTTACAGCTATTTATATTGGATGGGATGATCATAATAGATTTTGAAGATTTTTGATGAGATTTGGTTGACTTTATTGATTAATTGATTGATTCAGACAGAGTTTCATTCTGTCACCCAGGCTGAAGTGCAGTGGTGCGATCTCTGCTCACTGCAACCTCCACCTCCTGGGGCTCAAGAGATCCTCCCACCTTAGCCTCCAGAGTAGCAGGGACCACAGGCACGTGCCACCATGCCTGGCTAATATTTGTATTTTTTGTAAAGACAGGGTCTCCCCAGTTGCCCAGGCCGGTCTTGAACTCCTGAACACAAGTGATCTGAGCCACCGTGCCCAGCCCTATTCTTATAATATCATTTAAAGGACTGTTCAACTTGTAAGCTAAGGGTCATGGCCTGGTTGATTTTTATGAATATATTCAATATCCAGAAAAACATTTCACAACCAGTAATTATTATTTCACTATAACTGTAACATACATCTATCATAAATGTGTGTTGAAAAATAGGCAACTGCATCAGTAAGAAATGCCAATATTTTGGTTCTTAATTGCTATAAAAATTAAGAGTGATACCTTAGTTGAGACATTGGGGAATAATAATAAAATTACCTAACAACTGGAACAATAAAATATTTCATTCAAATAAGAGTGTGAAATATCATCATGAAAGACAAATTAAGAATTATAATGACTAGAATAATTAGCAAATATGTTAATTAGTATAGTAATACATATAAATATGTTTTCACAAATTAATATTTATAAACAGATAACACCACATTTGATTTTAATAAATACATATTTGTGCATGTTAATAAGCACATATCTATTATATTAAATATAAACATATTTACACACAGAAGTACATATAGTGTATTCATATATCAACATAAAATATATATTGGCATAAAATATAAGGATTATGTGTCTGAGTGGTTCAGCTCTTTGAAATAAATATGTAAATTTGGTAATTTCCATGAATTTATTGTTCAGTGAATCAAGTTTTATAGAATGAGTTTGTTTTTGTTATACTAATATACAGGATTATATGTTCAAGTGCGTGTGTTACCAGATTGGAAACAGGAGGGTCAGTTGTGTGTTTATTAAATTATTTGTCCATCTGTATGATGAAATGTATTGCAGCCATGAAGAAGAATGAAGTAGAGATGCATCTATTAAGATGGAAGAATATGCAGTGTCACGTAAAGTGAAAAAGGGTTCAGAACAATGTACTCATTCTTTTCCTTTTCAATTAAAAGAGGGTACTACAAGATATATTCGTGAGTGTATGTTTATGTATATATTGGGTGTGTCTATAAGAATACACAGGAATTGTTTACAGTGGTTTTTATTAGGACTTTAAAAGATGGAAACAAAAGTTAATGGGTGTCCTTTTATTGATTTTAATTCTGATCATCCAGTGAGTAAAAGTAAAATTAATTTTTTTTTTTTTTGAGACAAGAGTCTCACTCGGTCACCCAGGCTGGAGTGCAGTGGCGCAATCCCAGCTCACTGCAACCTCTGCCTCCCAGGTTGAGGTGATTCTCCTGCCTCAGCCTCCTGAGTAGCTGGCACTATGGGCATGTGCCACCATGCCTGGCTAATTTTTGTATTTTTAACGGAGACGGGGTTTTGCCATTGTTGGCCAGGCTGGCCTCGAACTCCTGACCTCGAGTGATCTGCCCACCTCAGCGTCCCAAAGTGCCAGGAAAGCAGGCGTGAGCCACAACATCTGGCCTAAAATTAAATATTTATAGCATATATATTCATTATAGAATATGTGAAAAATGACAAAATAGAAGAAAAGTCAACCAAGATAACTATTGGTAAAAGTTTGCTTTAATGTGTTTCCTTTCAGTCTTTTTGTTTATTTGTTTGTTTTTGCAACTTCTGTCTCCCTGGCTCAAGCTGTCCTCCCACCTCAGCCTCCTGAGTAGCTGGGACTACAGACATGTACCATTATGCTCAGCTAATTATTTTGTATTTTTTGTAGAGATGGGATTTCGCTGTATTGCCCAGGCTGGTCTGGAACTCCAGAGCTCAAGTGATCTGCCCGCCTTGGCCTCCCAAAGTGCTGGTATTACAGGCATGAGCCACTGTACCCAGCCTTTTCTTTTTTTAAGAGACAGAATCTTGCTCTGTTGCTCAGGCTGGAGTGCAGTGGCACAATCATAGCTTACTGCAGCCTCAATCTCCTGGGCCAAGTGATCCTCTGGCTTTAGCCTACCCCGTAGCTAGGACTACAAGTGCATACCACTATGCCCAGCTCCTTTTAATCTTTTTATTTTGTATTATGCTTTTACTTTTTAAATATTAGTTTATTTAAATAACTTACCATAAAATTAGTGTTTTATAGTTTTCGTATACTCCATAACATACTTCCTAAAATAAGACAGGGACGTAAAATGAACTTCCAAGCCTCATTTTTAGCAGTCAGTTAATAATTTCATTATAATGATAGGAAGGCAGTGTGATTGTGTGTATTACCATATCAGTTGTCTGGGCTGACGGCTGATCTTGTGGGTTGGGTAGGTGTCCTCTTCCTTTCTCATGGTTATATATCTGTCTCTCTCCCAGTTTCGTTGAAGATAACAGCCCCTACTGGTTAGGAAAATCTTCTCCCATTGGACACTTAGATTTTTCTCAGGTTTTTTTGATGTCATAGATATTGTAGTGATGTATCTTTTTACTACATTTTTTGACCCAGTAGACTGATCCTCCAAGGATGTTGTCAGTCCAGTTTAGTCAGTTTTACCAAAATTAATGAATTTTCATCAGAGTATTTTATATGAAAAATTACACTATTTTACTGGTCAATTTTCTACATAGCAACTTTAAACTTTTTTAGACTTTTTTCCCTCATTTTTATTTTTCCATTGTTGTTATTGAGACAGGGTCTTACTCTGTCACCCAGGCTGGAGTGCAGTGGCGTGAACATAGCTCACTGCAGCCCTGACTTCCTGGGCTCAAGCTGTCCTCCCACTTCAGACTCCTGAGAAGCTGGGACTACGGGTGTGCACCACCATGCGTGGCTGATTTTTTTGTGTGTGTGTAATGGCAGGGTCTTGCCATGTTGGCCTGGCTGGTCTCAAATTACTGGGCTCAAGCAGTCCTCCTGCCTTGGCCTCCCAAAGTGCTGGGATTACAGGTGAGAGCCACCTTGCCCGACCCATTTTTATTTTACTCAAATTATTTTTACTGGGATTATTTTCCTTTTACATTTTAGAATGAACATTTACTTTATTGAACTGATTTTTGTTCTTAATTTTGTAAATTGTAGCTTTGTGTTTGTTAGTTTTCTTTTGTACTTCTACCAAATTCAGTTTTTTTAATTAAAAATTTTTTTAACCATTTCACTGCACACTGAGAGCTTTCCTACGTCAAATATTGCACACTAAAATTCTGTAATCATCAATTTTTAGACAGCACTGTAGTTTACCAGGTATAATTTTAGTCATGATATGCTTAATTTTGTTGATTGACTCTGTCCTTGAGTCTCAGAATATCTTCGTTTCTTTTGTGTTTTATATGTTTCTTCACCCTGAAAGTCTGGTCATAATGTTGGCCTCTTGTTCTGGAGCCTTTGTGTTCCAGTGATGAGATTCTAAAATGTAGAATTTGGCTTGTTTGTGACTTATCCTTAGCTTTGATAAAGTTTTATTTTGTAGATTTCATTTATTGTTCTGTCATACAGATAACACCTTTGGAGTACAGGATGGCAATTTGGATGTCTCAAATATAGATCTTTACACTGCCTTAAACCAGGCTCTAGCTCATTTAAATTGACTGTAATACTGACTCTGAAGTGCTAGGCAAGGTTGAAACAGCGCACATTTCTTTAAATTTTTTGCTTAAGTAAAATTTCTAGACATGAACTTACTAGATCAGAGGATATTACCATCATTATGGTTTTTGCATTAATTTTCAAAAAGATTGAGGCAATTTGTAATGTCATCAGCAGTGTATAAGCATTTCAATTTTAATATACTTCCTTTAAAATTAGGTATCAGTATTTTAAAATGTTTTACCTAATGAACTAAGAGTAAAATGGTCTTGTGAATTTTCTTTCATTTACATTTTCAGTTATTTTGTATAGAAATTTAATAGGAACAAGAAGTCAGAAGCAGATTAGAGACATGCAAAACTTAAACTCCTAACCAGAGCATTTGGCTGTGTAGACTACTATGCACTGCACTAGTGTTTTGAATCTAAACCTGTTTAGTCCAGGCGCCGTGGCTCATGTCTGTAATCCTAGCACTTTGGGAGGCCACTGTGGGCGGATCACTTGAGGTCAGAGGTTCAAGACCTGCTTGGCCAACGTGATGAAACCCCATCTCTACTAAAAATAAGCTGGATGTAGTGGCACCCACCTGTAGTTCTAGCTACTTGGGAGGCTGAGGCAGGAGAATTGCTCGAACCCAGGAGATGAAGGTTGCAGTGAGCTGAGATCACGCCTCTGCACTCCAGCCTGGGCGACAGAGCGAGATTCTGTCTCAAAAAAAAAAAAAAAAAAAAAAAAAATTTGGGCACAGTGGCTCATGCCTGTAATCCCAGCACTTTGGGAGGCTGAGGCAGGTGCATCATGAGGTCAAGAGTTCAAGACCAGCCTGGCCAAGATGGTGAAACCCTGTCTCTACTAAAACTACAAAAATTAGCCGGGCCCAGTGGCAGGTACCTGTAATCTCAGCTACTCGGGAGGCTGAGGCAGGAGAATCACTTGAACCAGGGTGGCAGAGGTTGCAGTGAGCTGAGATTGCACCATTGCACTCCAGCCTGGGCAACACAGTGAGACTCTGTCTCAAAAAAAAAAAAAAACCACAAAAAGACAAAAACCAGTTAAAAAATTAAGATAACTTATTAGCATGATGAAATAGAGCATCCCTGGAAAGAAAGCCATAAACAGTACTATTCTACTCTTGGATGGGGGAGTTTGTTCCTTTGTCTTATGTCCTTCTAGAATCTACTTTTATCCTGCAATTTGACAGTCACCATGTGTAAATGTCTCTTTGTCACATGTGCACTCTCACTCTCCCTCGCTTTCTTTCTCCCTCTTAAGACTCTCTTGCTCAATTACCCAGGCTGGAGTGCAGTGGCATGATCTCGGCTCACTGCGGCCTCCTTCTCCTGGCCTCAAGCCATCTTCTCACCTTAGCCTCCCAAGTAGCTGGGACTACAGGCGTGCACCGTCATGCCTGGCTGATTTTTATATTTTTTGTAGACACAGGATTATGCCATGTTGCCCAGGCAGGTCTCAAACTCGTGGGCTCAAGGGATCCACCTGCCTCGCCTTCCAAAATGTTGGGGTTACAGGTGTGAGCCACCACGCCAGGCCTATTTTTAAATCTTTTGCCAAATTAGTAATGCTTTAATAAATTTTTCAGAGAAATAAATGGAAAACTGTCATGTTTATTAGTTTTTCTTATTTTTTTTGTTTTATTTAGCCAAAAATTATTAGGGTAGCTCCACTTTTTCCTTATTGCTTTTGAATATGGTTTTTAAATTGTAAATAACTTAAGAGATGCTTGGAAATGATTTAAAATAAGGCATGTTATTAGTTCATTTATTAGAAAATAAGGAATACTTATATAGGAGTTTGAATTAATATTTTTATATACTTTCCCATTTATGACACTTTCAGGACTCTTATTCAAACCTCCAAGCCAACAGTTTTATTAAAACATTAAAACTACATTCTAAGGTACGTGAATCAATCTTTTCTTAATGTCAGTAAGACTATAAATTGTATTTTTTTTTTTTGAGACAGAGTCTTGCTCTGTCACCCAGGCTGGAGTGTAGTGGCATGATCATAACGCACTGCACCCTCGGCCTCCCGGATTCAGGCAATCCTCCCACCTCACCCTCCCATGTAGCTGGGACTGTAGGCATATGCCACCATGCCTGACTAATCTTTTGGTTTTTTTATAGAGACAGGGTCTCCCTGTGTTTCCCAGGCTGGCCTTTAACTACAGGGCTCAAGTGATCCACCCACTTCAACCTCCCAAAGTGCTAGGATTGTAGGTATGAGCTACTGCAACCAGCCTTTATTTGCATCTTTTAAAAGATTTATTTTTTACTTTTAACCTTTGTTTAGAATTTTGTGTAATTCGTGTGTTGCATATTTAAACTTCTTTGTTCTGTCTCTTTAATTTCCTTTGGAGCCAATCATTATCTCTTAGGGACAATTCGAAAGGGTTAAATTCTGTGAGATGCTATGACGTACTTATGGTGAGGATCACTTTATATATATATATATATATATATATATATATATATATATATATATTTTTTTTTTTTTTTTTTTTTTTTTTTTTTTTTTTTTTTGAGTCGGTGTCTCGCTCTGTCGCCCGGGCTGGAGTGCAGTGGCATGATCTCTGCTCGCTGCAAGCTCCGCGTCCCAGGTTCACGCCATTCTCCTGCCTCAGCCTTCTGAGTAGCTGGGACTACAGGTGCCCGCCACCACGCCTGGCTAATTTTTTGTATTTTTAGTAGAGACGGGGTGTCACTGTGTTATCCAGGATGGTCTCGATCTCCTGACCTCATGATCTGCCCACCTCGGCCTCCCAAAGTGCTGGGATTACAGGTGTGAGCCACCACGCCCAGCCTGTATATTTATATATGTATTTTTGAGATAGGGTCTTACTCTGTGGCCCACGCTGGAGTACAGTGGTGTGATCTCAGCTCACTGCAACCTCCACCTCCCAGGCTCAAGCGCTACTCCTGCCTCAGCCCCCCAAGTAGCTGGGGCTACAGGCACTTGCCACCACACCTGGCTAATTTTTGTATTTTTAGTAGAGACAGGGTTTCACCATGTTGCCCAGGCAGGTCTGGAACTCCTGAGCTCAAGTGATCCGCCTGCCTTGGCCTCCCAAAATGCTGGGATTACAGGTGTGAGCCACCGCGCCTGGCCAATATATTTTATATAGTAAGGTCTCCTTCAGCTAGTCAGCATGCCTTCCAACTCTCCGCTAGGCATAGGAACACTGCTCAAGGTGCCAATATATTGGCTAGCGGAGTGCCAAGATTTACGTGTATAACGTAAGACACTTATGGAATAATACAAGTCATTGTATATACAGGAGCTGTAGAGTTCAGAGAACGGAAGAGTGTATGGGTCAATAGTTTACTTTTTATTATCTCCGACCAGCTGATAAAAGACAATAATTAAATACATACATATATACATAAAATAGATAATTTACTTTCAAGGCTGCTATTCTGCCTATAATTTTATGTCTTGATAATCTTGCTTCCCAAAACATAATTTTATCAGATTTCTTTAAACTTAGTCTTTAACTTGATTCTTTTATGCATACTTATTACCATTTTAGTTAGGAAGATGCTACTTTTAGGCATGTGTCACAACTCATAATAATTGCAAAATATTCTACAGTTTAATGGTTTTTTTGAGGACCCTCAGATTTTATAAGTTTATAATAAAGTGTCTTAAGTTTCTTAAAAGTATCAACTGTTTTCGTTTGTTTGAGTGGTCTCTGAATGAATTGGCATGCTTAGAGACTTTTTTTTTTTAATCAGAATCTCTTATCTCTGTTTCCATACTGTCTCCCAGTCTTCTCACTGAAGGTTTACTATGTAATTTAGCATAACTGTTCTGAGTATACCAGAGTTTAGAGTTGCAAGGTATGTTCTAAAAGACTACCTTTTCTCCCTCAACCCACTGTTGGGTGCTTCCCTCCAAGTCTTCACCACCAGCCGAATAGTGGAATGAAATTACATATAGTAGGCTTAACTGTAAGGGTTCTGCAGACATGGAATTAAGTCGAGATTTTGTTCATGGCTTAAAAATCTGTTTTAAGTTTGAGGTCAATTATATACAATGAAATACATAATCTTAAATAAGTGTTAGATGAGTTTTGACAAATGCATGCACCTGTGTAACCCACATCTTTATCAAGATATAGAACATTTCCATCACTCCAGAAGCTTCTCTCATACTCCTTCCTACTCAATACCTGTCTCCCAGATTCAACCTTTGTTCTGATTCTGTCACCAGAGCTTAGTTGTGGCTGTTATGGAGTTTTATATAAATGGCATAATTTTGTGACTGGCTTCTTTTACTGAGCATAATGCTTTCCAGGTTTGTTCATGTTTCACCTATTAGCACTTCTTTTTTATTGACGAGTAGTATTTAGTATTCTGTTGAATGAGTATACCACAGTTCATTTATTCATTTACATGTTGATGGACATTGAGGTTTTTTTTTTTTTTAAGACAGAGTCTAGCTCTGTTGCCCACTCTGGAGTGCAGTGGCACAATCTCAGCTCACTGCAACCAGCTCACTGTGCCTGGCCAGGTGGACATTGAGGTTCTTTCTGTTTTGGCTATTATGAATAAAACTGCTTATGAACAGGCCAAGCATGGTAGCTTACATCTGTAAATCCAGCACTTTGGGAGGCTGAGGAGGAGCATAGCTTGGGCCCAGGAGTTTGAGACCAGCCTGTGCAATACAGTGACGCTTCATCTCTACAAAAAAATTAAGAAACTAGTGGGGCATGGGGTTATGTGCCCGTGGGTCCTAGCTACTCAGGAGGCTGAGGTGGGAGGATTGCTTGAGCCTGGGAGGTCAAGGTTGCAGTGAGCCATAATTGCACCACTGCAGTTGCTGTGCCTGGGTGACAAAGTGAGACCCTGGCCTCCCCCCCCAAAAAAACACACCAGGCTCGGCACGGTGTCTCACTCCTGTAATCCCAGCACTTTGGGAGGCTGAGGAGGGTGGATCACTTGAGGCCAGGAGTTCGAGACCAGCCTAACCAATGTGACGATACCCCAGCTCTACTAAAAATACAAAAAATTAGCCAGGCATAGTGGTGCATGCCTCTAGTCCCAGCTACTCGGGAGGCTCAGGCAGGAGAATTGCTTAAACCTAGGAGGTGGAGGTTGCAATGGGCTGAGATTGCGCCACTGCACTCCAGCCTGGGCAACAGATCAAGACTCCATCTCAAAAACAAACAAACAAACAAAAAAACCCACACATCACCACCAACAACAAAAAACTGCTCATGAACATTTATGTATAAGCCCTTTTGTGGATGTATGTTTTCATTTTTCTTGGGTTAATATATAGAATTGGAATTGCTAGGCCATATAGGAAATATATGTTTAAAACTATTTTCCCCTGGACCATAGTGATAGAGGGGAATGGAGGTGAGAGGTAAGTCAAGGCTATACCATAAATGACCTTATAGTTCATATTAAGGAGGGTTTTATCCCAAGTATAAAAAAAGCCATGGAAGTGATGTAGGAGAATAAAACCATCAAATTACATTTTTACACCTGACTGCTTTTTGTAGATTGAGTTAAAGGTGAAGCTGAAGGAGGAAGATCCAGTGAAGAGGATATGTCAGTTAGAACTCTGTTGCAAAGAACATAAAACTTGACCAAACTAGCTTAAACAAAAAGAGAATTTTTGTTTCACATAAATGAGAAGGTCCAGGAAGCATTGTTCATTCTCAAATATTTAAATACTAAATATGTCTGATTCCAAAATTTGTATTTCATCAGCTCTTACCTCTCTTCTGAACTCTAGATATGTTCACTAAAGAGATCCTTATGCTTAGAAAAGTACCTGATGTATATACTAGATACTCAATAAATAATTTGTTGAATAAACAAATGTTCTTGGGCATCCCTCAGAGTTATACTGGGAATCATACTTGAAACCTCCTGCTCTTCCGTTTATCATCATCAATAATTATCTATCCTCCTGACAGATTATTTGTCAAACTTGTTCAGTTTTCTCAATCTTCACTGCCATTACACCCCTGATTTCTTTCCTACCCTTCTTGAGAACCTTCTGTGGTCTTCACATGCTGCTTCTTTCTCCATTACAGTCTCTAAAGGTTGGAGTTACTCAGGCCTTGGTCCCATATCCTCTTCTATTTCTTTGTAGCCTTCCTTGGATGGAAGGTAAATATTAAAAAAGGAAGATAATAAGTATAATATTAAGAGTAAGGCATAAGGGTTTGAATTGATTCTGACATATAGTGAACTACATGCTAATTTGCTGTAAAGGGAAAGTGGAAAACATACCAATAGGTACTCTAAGCAAAAGTCCAGGGAAGGAATAGATGTGTAAATTTTTTTTTTTTTTTTTTTGAGACAGAGTCTTGCTCGTCACCCAGGCTAGAGTGGAGTGCAGTGGCATGATCTTGGTTCACTGCAACCTCTGCCTCCTGAGTTCAAGCGATTCTCATGTCTCAGGCTCCTGAGTAGCTGGGACTACAGGTGCCCACCACCACACCTGGCTAACTTTTGTATTTTTAGTAGAGACAGGGTTTTGCCATGTTGGCCAGGCTGGTCTTGAACTCCTGACCTCAGGTCACCCACCTGCCTTGGCCTCCCAAAGTGTTCGGACTACAGGTGTGAGCCACCACGCCCAGCTGAGATGTGTGAAATTTTTGGTAGAGTTCTTCATGGCTTATCTGAGAGTGGGGAAATGTATTGTTCCTTTGCTTCTGGAATCTACAAATTAACTATTCAAAATATGACCTTAGGCACACATCAAGTGATCTGTAATAATATTTTATTTATTTATTTATTTATTTTTATTTCATTTTATTTTTTTGAGACAGAGTCTCGCTCTGTCGCCCAGGCTGGAGTGCAGTGGTGCCATCTTTGCTCACTGCAAGCTCTGCCTCCCGGGTTCACGCCATTCTCCTGCCTCAGCCCCCCAAGTAGCTGGGACTACAGGCGCCTGCCACCAAGCCTGGCTAATTTTTTTGTATTTTTAGTAGAGATGGGGTTTCACCGTGTTAGCCAGGATGGTCTCAATCTTCTGACCTCGTGAGCCGCCCGTCTCGAGCTCCCAAAGTGCTGGGATTACAGGCGTGAGCCACCACGCCTGGCCGATCTGTAATGATGTTTTATTTTTGTAAACCAATAAATGACTTTAAAATTTGTGAAAGAAATGAAGAAGTGTGCTTAAATTAAAAAGTGTGCTTAATTAAAGCACCAACTTCCTTGTTTTCTCTCTGTTCTTTCCTTTATTTTTACCATTCGCACACTGTGTTTCCTCAGATATTCATATTTTCCAGAAGTTTTTTATCTTTTTTTAATTAAAAAAATTTTTGGAGACAGGGTCTTGCTCTGTCATCCAGGCTGGAGTGCAGTAGCATGATCATAGCTCATTGCATCCTCAAACCCCTGGGCTCGAGAGCCTTTTGCTCCAATCTCTTAACTAGCTGGAACTACACATGCACGTCACCATGCTCAGCTAATTTATTTTTTATTTTTGTGGATATGGGGTCTTGCTATATTGTCCAGGCTGGTTTTGAACTCCTGACCTCAAGCTATTTTTTCATCTCAGCCTCCCAAAGTGCCGGGATTACAGGCATGATCCACTGTGCCAGGCCCCAGAAATTTTATGTCTTTACATCATAAAGTGTTGACTAAAGAAGGCTGACTCACAGCGATGGTGGGGAAAGTAGTGGCAGCATGGAATAGACAGATTTGCACAGTAGTTTGCATAGCTATGTTTAGACCGTAGTTGATAAATTTTGAAATCTTGAAGAACCTGAAATTTGCCTGTGTAAACAGAGTGAAGGTGACAGAGTGCTTAGTAAATTTATTAATCATTAATATTTCTTCCTTGAGCAACATCATCATCATCATGATCATCATAAATGCCTAGTATTATGTCTGATACATAGTATATGCCTAATAGGATCTTTCGTTTTAAAAAGAGTTAAACTTGAGTTTCCTGGAAAATACACAGATGGTGAAAGATAAAAGTAAACATTACTAAAAACTGAAATGCTCTGTCCTAGAAATGGAAATGTACAGTTATGCATCGCTTAACAATATGGCTAGTTTTGAAAAATGCATCATTAGATTATTTTGTTGTTGTGTGAATGTCATGGAGTGTACTTACACAAACCTAGATGGTGCAGCCTACTGTACACCTAGGCTATTTGGTATAGTCTATGCTCCTAGGCTACAAACCTGTATGGTATGTTGCTGTAGTGAATACTGAAAGCATTTGTAACACAATGGTATTTGTGTATTATACATATCTAAACATGAAAAAGGTATAGTAAAAATATGGTATAAAAGATTAAGAAATGGTACACCTGTTTAGGGCATTCACCATGAATGGAGCTTGTAGGACTGGAAGTTGCTCTGGATGAGTTGGTGAGTAAGTGTTGAGGGAATACGAAGGCCTAGGACATTACTGTACACTACTGTAGACATTGTAAACACTGTATAGTTAGGCTACACTAAATTTATATTAAAAATTTTCTTCAATAATTAACCTTAGCTTGCTGCTTTAACATTTTTATATTATAAACTTTTTTTTTTTTTTTTTGAGACAGTCTTGCTGTATTGCCCAGGCTGGATGGAGTGCAGTGGTGTGATCTTGGCTCACTGCAACCTCTGCCTTTTGGGTTCAGGCGATTCTCATACCTCAGCCTCCTGAGTAGCTGGGATTACAGGTGCATGCCACCACGCCTGGCTAATTTTTGTATTTTTAGTAGAGACATGTTGTTGGACAGGTTGTTCTCAAACTCCTGATCTCACATGATCCGCCCACCTCAGACTGCCAAAGTGCTGGGATTACAGGCATGAGCCACCATACATGGTCTATATTATAAACTTCTTAATTTAAAAAAAATTTTAACTTTTATAATAACACAGCTTAAAACACACATTGTACATATTTACAAATTTTTCTTCATAGTGTTACTCTGTAAGCTATGTCTATTTTAATTTTTAATTTTTATTTATTATTATTTGAGATGGAGTCTCGCTTTGTTGCCCAGGCTGGAGTGCAGTGGTACAGTCTCAACTCACTGCAACCTCTGCCTCCCAGGTTCAAGCGATTCTCCTGCCTCAGCCTCCAGAGTAGCTGGGATTACAGGCACTTGGCCACCACGCCCGGCTAATTTTTGTAGTTTTAGTAGAGCTGGGGTTTCACCGTGTTGGTCAGGCTGGTCTCGAACTCCTGACCTCAAGTGATCCACCTGCCTCGGCCTCCCAAAGTGCTGGGATTACAGGCATGAGCCACCACACCTGGCCTTATTTTAATTAAAAAAAAAAATTTTTTTTTTTTGTTAAACACACACACATGCTTACATTCGCCCACACCTAAACAGGGTCAGGATCATCACCATTGTCTTCCACCTCCATATCTTGTCCCACTGGACATGGAACTGTCATCTCTGATAACAGTGCCTTCTTCTGGAATATTTTCTTAAGGACCCGCCTGAGGCTGCTTTTCCGGTTAACTTTTTTTCATAAGTAGAAAGGAGTAAACTCTAAAATAATGATAAAAAGTGTAGTGTAGTAAATACATAAACCAGTAGCATAGTTTATCATCAAGTATTACATACTTCAGGCATCCATTGGAGATCTTGGAATGTATTCCCCTTGGATAAGAGGGGACTTGTATTGAATAATTATAAATTACTGATCTCTGCCATAAATACAAAAATGTGGGCGTGTGTTGTGGGAGTAGCAGTCAGCGTGTATATACACATGTCTGGTGTGGGTGAAGATTCCAAGGGGAGATCCAATCTAACAGTAATAGAAAAAAATATTCCATTAAAATGGGTGTGTGCTTGGATTTTTGTACATTTATATAAATATAAACATGTAAATGAATTAAACAGTGAACTCTGTCCTTTTATTTAAAATTAATTTATTAAAACCAGAGAGCAGCAGCTTAGGAAATACACCAGATTTATTAAAAATCTACTTTAATAGCCCAGCTGTCTTCCAAATTATCTGTGATAATTTAGTGTATCAACAGCAATCTGATGTATAAAATAATAGTATGTATACAAAAAAGTACTCTAATTCAGATTCTCTTCCAATTCAAATTAGTAGCTTTAATCTGTGTTTCTTGTACCTTAGGAAAAACTCATTTGTGCAATATCTTTAGATTTTTCTGGTCATTACTAAACACTAAAAGCCATTTATTAACAGTAAATATCAAAACATTGGGCTTTATTAAATAACAGTTTTCTTGAGAATGGTGACAGACTTAAATTTTAGAATTATAAAATTATTTTATTTTTTATTTTTAAATTTTATTTTAAAATTTAATAGTATTATAGAATGTTGATTAGCATTGTATTTTATTCCTATTGTAGGTTATCACAGTTTTTTTAAAAACTTTTAGGTTTGGGGGCACATGATAAGGTTTGTTACATAGGTAAACACATGTCACATCACCCAGATATTAAGCCCAGTACCCAACAGTTATCTTTTCTGCTCCTCTCCCTCCTTCCACCCTCCCCACTTCCCCCTCAAGTAGAGCCATGTCTGTTGTTTCCTTTTTTGTATTCATAAGTTTTTTATCATTTAGCTCACATTTATAAGTGAGAACATGCAGTATTTGGCTGTCTGTTCCTGCATTAGTTTGCTAAGAATAATAGCCTCCAGCTCCATCCATATTCCTGCAAAAGACATGATCTTGTTCTTTTTTTATGGCTACATAGTATTCCATGGTGTATATGTACCACATTTTCTTTAATCTGTCATTGATGGGCATTTAGGTTGATTCCACGTGTTTGCTGTTGTGAATAGCACTGCAGTGAACATTCGTGTGCATGTGACTTTATGGTAGAATGATTTATATTCCTCTAGGTATATACTCAGTAATGGGATTGCTGGTTTGAATGGTAGTTCTGCTTTTGGCTCTGAGGAATTGCCATACTGCTTTCCACAGTGGTTGAACTAATTTACATTACCACCAGCAATATAAGTGTTCCCTTTTCTTCGTAACCTTGCCACCATCTGTTTTTTTTTTTTTTTTGACTTTTTAATAATAGCCATCCTGATTGGTGTGAGATGATACCTCATTGTGGTTTTGATTTGCATTTCTCTAATGATCAATGATATTGAGGGTTTTTTTTCATATGCTTCTTGGTGGCATATATGTCTTCTTTGAGAAGTGTCTGTTCTTGTCCTTTGCCCTCTTTTTAATGAGATTGTTTGTTTTTCTCTTGTAAATTTGTTTGTTCCTTATAAATGCTGGATATTAGACCTTTGTCAGATGCATAGTTTCCAAATATTTTCTCCCATTCTGTAGGTTGTCTGTTTATTCTGTTGATAGTTTCTTTTGCTGTGCAGAAGCTCTTAAGTTTAATTAGATCCCACTTGTCAATTTTTGCTTTTGTTGCAGTTGCTTTTGGTGTCTTTGTCATGAAATCTTTGCCGGTTCCTACATCCAGGATGGTATTTGTCTAGGTTGTCTTCCACGGTGGTTGGTTGGTTGGTTTTTTTTTTTTTTTTTGGGTGGGGGGATGAAGTCTCACTGTCGTCCCCCAGGCTGGAGTGCATGGCGCGATCTCGGCTCACTGCAACCTCCACAGCCTGGGTTCAAGCGATTCTCCTGCCTCAGCCCCCCGAATAGCCGAGATTACAGGCGCCTGCCACAACACCCAGCTAGTTTTTGTATTTTTAATAGAGACAGGGTTTCAGCATGTTGGCCAGACTGGTCTCGAACTCCTGACCTCAGGTGATCTACTCGCCTCGGCCTCCCAAAGTGCTGGGATTACAGGCATGAGCCACCGTGCCCGGTCTTCCAGGGTTTTTATAGTTTTGGGTTTTACATTTAAGTCTTTAATCCATCTTCAGTTAGTTTTTGTGCATGGTATAAGGTAGCGGTCCAGCATTGTTTTACCTGACTTCAAACTATACTACAAGGCTGCAGTAACCAAAACAGCATGACACTGGTACAAAAACAGGGACATAGACCAATGGAACAGAATAGAGGGCCCAGAAATAAGGCTGCACATCTACGGCTGTCTGTTCTTTGACAAAGCTGACAAAAACAAGCAGTGGGGAAAAGATTGCCTAACCAATAAATGGTGCTGGGATAACTGGCTAGCCATATGCAGAAGATTGAAGGTTATCACATTATTTAATCCCTTTAAAATCCGTTGCTTAACTGCAAGAGGTTTACTGTAATCATTTTACATTTTTAGAGTTTTAGAATGGGGAGGGATCTTAGAGGTTTATCTAATACAACCTCTTCATTTTACTGACCGAAGCTCAGGTCTATAGAAACCTATGACTTGACCAACTTCTCAAAACTCGTTATTTTAAGAATCCAAGACTGTAACCTAGATCTGCTATACACACCTTATTTTCTAATGCTTTCTAATTTGAATCTAATTGAAATACAGAATGTGCTTAATATTTGCATGTTAAGAGGTCTTCATTAGTAAGAAAATCTTCAGAAGCTGTAATGGACAAAAGTATAAGGAAGTATTAGGAAGGAATCGAGTTTCCTGTGAGAGTAAGGGTCTTTGTGACATGCGGTTGATAACTCTCCTCCAGTCTTTTATTATTTCATTCCTTTCATCCCTTTTTTTCTCCTGGATCCCTCCTATCCCCTTTTCTCTTAGAGTGCAGATGGGATGACTGTAAAGTGGACCTTTTAGAGTAGACCAGAATAAGGAGATTGGATCGAGGGAGATGGGGACAGAACTGGTAGGTTAATTATATTTTGTAACTTCCCAAGCTGGTTCTAATGTTCCAGCACAGTTACTGGAAACCAAAAGAACTAAAAACATAGATTTTTTTTTTTTTAGAAGCACTCCACACTCTGCTGAAGTTGGTAATATTATAAAAGTTGTAGAATTCTCTGTTAGTCTTCCAACCTACACCTGTCAAATCTACCTTCTTTGTTTTCTCTTTTAAAAATTTTCCTTTTTTTTCACCTTTTTTCCTTCTGTTCAAACATTGTTTGCTTCAAGTGATTTTTTTTTATAAGGGAATAGGAAATATAAAGTGAATATACTCTTAAGACGGATATTCTTTCTTTTAATAAATCTCTGGACTGTCGCAGTTCTTATCCTTTTTTAAAGAGAAGAGTTTGCTGAAGTGGTTAAAGATATTTTACTGAAATTTCATCTTGGTAAAAAAAAGACAGTTAATTTTTAATATTATTTTATTATATTTGCTCTGCTTATTTCCTTTTTCTATTTTATTTTATTTTTTTGGGACGGGATCTCGCTCTGTCGCCCAGGCTGGGGTGTAGTGGTGCGATCTCGGCTTACTGCAGCCTCCACCTCCCAGGTTCAAGCAATTCTCCCACCTTAGCCTCCTGAATAGCCATAATTATAGGGGTGCACCACCACGCCTGGCTAATTTTTGCATTTTTAGTAGAGACGGGGTTTTGCCATGTTGGCCAGGCTGGTCTTGAACTCCTGACCTCAGATAATCCACCTGCCTCGGCCTCCCAAAGTGTTTGGATTACAGGCGTGAGCCACTGCGCCCGGCCTCTGCTTGTTATTTCCAAAGATTTAATAGGTAAAGCAGGGACAGGCTGTGAACTGAGATAAGGACAATTCGATGATGATATTTATTCCTGTAGCTGTGAGGCATTATGTAGCCACAGCTGGGTGTACAGGGTTTGTTAGGAGCAGCCTTTCAGGGAGTATCTTCTGAATATTTGATAAAAGTAGTTGATAAGTTATGAACATTAGCAAAACCATTTATTCTAATAAGAATCTTTAAAATTGCTTATTTCTTTTTTGCACACTAGACTTCATAAAAATTTAAATTATAAATTTTGATTAGTCTGTGTGGGGGTGAGAATTAAAAGAGGATATATGAAATTTATTTCTTAAATGTAGCTAAGAATCATTACACTAGACTTTCAAAAAAAAATGTGACTGGCACACACCACCTAAAATTGTGGGGTAATTTTCTGCTTTCACAGATCTTTGTAGAATGTGATCTAAACCAGGTGTTGGCAAACTATGCCCTGCAGGCCCCATCCTATTCATGGACTGTTTTTTGTAAAGTCCATGAGCTAAAAATGCTTTTTACATTTTTACAGGTTTGTAAAAACAAAACAAAGAATATAGAACAGAGATTGTATGTGCCTATGTAGCCTGAAATACCTACAATCTGGCCCTTGCAGAAAAAAATTTGTTGAATCCTGAAGAAAGCTCTACATGGTCACATAGAACCGTTTCAGGCAATTCAGAATTACAGGCGTAAGTTGCCTTATTGTGTACTGCTTTAATAAGTGCTTCATAGATACTGCTTTTTTTTCAAATTGAAGGTTTGTGGCAACCCTGAGTCAAGCAAGTCTATCAGTGGCATTTTTCAACAGCATATACTTGCTTCATGTTTCGGTGTCACATTTGGGTAATTCTCACAATATTTCACACTTTTTAATGATTATTATGTCTGTTACGGTGATCTCTGGTCAGTGATCTTTGATGTTACTATTATAGCTGTTTTGAGATGCCGGGAACTGCACCTACGTAAAATGATGAACTTAATTAATACATGTTGTATGTGTTCTGACTGCTCTGGTGACTGGCTATTGCTCTGTCTGTCTCCCTCTGGGTCCTCGTTACTCCCTGAAACACAATATTGAAATTAGGTCATTTTCTAAGTGTTCAAATGAAAGAAAGAATCACATGTCTCTCACTTTAAACCAAAAGCTAGAAATGATTAAGTTCAGTGAAGAAGGCATGTCAAAAGCCTCATGAGATAGGCCAAAAAGTAGGGCTTTTGCACCAAAAAATTAGCCAAGTTCTGAATGCAAAGGAAAACTTGAGGGAAATTGAAAGTGCTACTCCAGTGAACACATGAATGATAAGAAAGCGAGACAGCCTTATTGTGGACATGGAGAAAGTTTGAGTCGTCTGCCTAGAAGATGAAACCAGTCACATAATTTCCTTAAACCACAACCTAATCCAGAGCAAAGCTCTAACTCACATCCAGAGCAAGGCTCTCTCTTCCATTGTATGAAAGCTGAGAGAAGTGAGAAAGCTACAGAAGAAAACTTTGCAACTAGCTGAGATTGGCTCATGATGTTTAAGGAAGGAAGCCATTTCCATAACATAAAAGTGCTAGGTGAAACACCAAGTGCTGATGTAGAAACTGTAGTCAGTTGTCCAGAAGATCTAGCTAAGATCATGGATGAAGATGGCTACACTAAACAGATTTTCAATGTAGGTGAAACAGCCTTCTAGGACTTTGATTACTAGAAAGGAGAAGTCAGTGCCTGGCTTCAAGGCTTCAAAGCTTCAAAGGATAGGCTGACTCTTATTAGGGGTTAATGCCGCTGGAGACTTCAAGTTGCAGTCAGTGCTCATGGACTATTCTGAAAACCACAGGGCCCTTAGGAATTATGCTAAATCTACCCTGCCTATGCTCTGTAAATGGAACAACCATTTTATATGAGGGACTTTATGATCTTCTGATTTTTGTATCCATAGGCGAGGAGGTCCTGGAGCAAGTCCTCCAAGGATACTGACAGATGATTATATTTCATGTTATATACCACAGCTTGTAAAAGTACATCCTTAGAATAGAGAAACCATTTGCCTAATAGTCAAAAGATTTCTTCAGGGAGAAGTATAAGAGAAAAAGATTTGAAAGAGGTCTAGGATTTAGACTTAACGATCAATTGTGAGGTTTCCTTGTTGGTTTAGATCAGAGCAGAGGTTGGTAAACTGCGTCCCACTGCAGAAATCCTTCCTGCTGCTTGTTTTTGTGAGGCATGAGAGAATGGTAGGAAGCCTGGCTGACAGCCTATCTGTTTACAGCATGGTTTAGGGAACGTTAAGCCCGCTGTTGAGACCTACCGCTCAGAAAAAAAGATTCCTTTCAAACTGTCCCTGTGCATTGCCCTGGTGACCTGAGAGCTTTGATGGAGATGTACAAGGAGATTAATGTTGTTTTCATGCCTGCTAACACAACATCTATTCTGCAGTCCGTGGATCCAGGAGTAATTTTGAGTTTCACGTAATCTTATTTAAGAAATACAATGTTCATAAGGCTATAGTTGCTGTAGATAGTGATTCCTCCAATGGATCTGGGCAAAATAAATTGAAAACCTTCTGGAAAGGATTCATCATTCTAGAAGCCATTAATAACATCCCTGATTGATGGGAGGAGGTCAAAATACCAACATTAGCAGGGGTTTGGAAGAAGTTGATTTCATCTCTCATGGATGACTTTGAGAGGTTTAAGACTTCATCGTGGGAAGTAACTGCAGATATGGTAGAAATAGCAAGATGACTAGAATTAGAAGTACAGCCTGAAGATGTGACTGAATTGCTGCAATCTCATGATACAATTTGAACAGATAAGGAGATGCCTCATAAGAATGAGCAAAGAAAGTGGTTTTTAGAGATGGGACCTTCTCCTGAAGATGCTGTGAATATTGTTGAAATGACAACAAAGGATTTAGAATATTTAATAAACTTATTTGACAAAGCAGTGACAGGGTTCGAGAGGATTGCCTCCAATTTTGAAAGAGGTTCTACGTGGGTAAAATGCTATCAAACAGTATCACATGCTACAGAGAAATCTTTCGTGAAAGAGAGAGTCAATGGCTGTGGCAAACTTTATTGTTGTCTTATTTTAAGAAATTGCTACAGCTACTCCATCTTTTGGCAACGACCACCCTGATCAATCAGCAGCCATCAACATCAAGGCAAGACCCTCCACCAGCAAAAAGACTGTGACTGTCTGAAGGCTCAGATGATCTTATCATTTTTTAGCAGTAAAGTATTTTTAAATTAAGGTGTATACATTGTTTTCTAGATATAATGCTATTGCATATGTGATATACTACAGTATAGTGTAAACATACCTTTAATATGCACCACAAAACCAAAAAATTTGTGTGACTTGCTTTATAGTGGTAATTGCAGGTGCCTGGAACTGAATCTACAATATCTTCTGGGTATGCCTGTGTAGGTGAAATAACATAAATGAGGAAAATCAACACACATGGAGTGTTTGTTACAATGTTGTTTACAGTAGCAAAAACTTTGAAACAAATGTTCAGTAACAGGAGACTGGTTAAATAAATTATAGGACATCTGTGTAGTAGAATATAATATTCATTGAGAGTCGTAACCTATGATTTACACAAAGGAGAAATGTTGATTGCATTAAGAGTGGGGGAGACCAAATTCCAGAACTGTATGCAGTAAGATCCTTTACAAAACACACACATGCACATACATATGCTCTTGATATCTGTATAGGTACAGAAAGTTTTATATGCTATAGAGTCCTTGGTGACTTAGATATTTTTTCTAATTGTTGCTTTTATGTCATTGCTAATTGTATTACAATGAAGTTAAGTAATTTCCCTTTGGGTATGGAAAAATTAAGTCTGAATAGAGTTTTAAGTCACAAAGAGAACAGATATTTTATGTAAAATAGTATTAGAAGCGTGGAAACGCCATTGAAACTTACAAATTTTTGGAAAAATTAAAATAGAACTTATCTCAAAATCCTATTAATTTATTATTCTTAAAGTTTAAATAGGCTGAGCATGTAATAATGATAGTTAGTTGTCCAAAGAAAATAGTACTATTTTAAGGTATATCCCTTACAATGCGAGATACTGTGTATCATAGAGAATGCTTCTTTCCACAAAAGCATGCATTGGTGTTACTTTCAGATACAGATTTTGACTTAGCCAAATCATAAAATTAAACCTCAAATAACATTTCTTCCTTCCATTTCTCTTTCCCTTTGTCTCCTTCCCTTCCCTTCCTTTCCTTTCACTGTGTATTATTGAAGTACAGTTAGATAATACTGACCTTTTACAACTGTATGCTCCCTGTTGTTGCCAACATCCAGTCTTCTTTCTTTTCTCTCTCTAGTATTTTGTGGTTTAATGTAAATGTGTTGCACATCTCATTAAATTTATTCCTTGATATTTGATGTTTTATTTGATGCTGTTTAAGTGTTATTACAATTTTACTTTGTTTCCATTGCATGTTGCTAGTATTTTGAAATACAGTGGATTTTTATATATTGGTTTTATAGCCAGTGATCTTGCTGAATTAGTAGTTATAGTAGTTTTCTGTTATTTTGGGGTTTCTATGTACAAAATCTTATCATCTGCAAATAAAGACTAGTTTTACTTCTTTTCCCACCTTACACAGTAGTCCTCCCTTATCCATGGGTGATGCGTTCCAAGACCCCCAGTGATTGCCTGAAACCGCAGATAGTACTGAACCCTTTATATACAGTTGGCCTTCTGTATCTGTGGATTCAACTACCCATGGATGGAAAATTTTCGGGGATGGGGTGGAGACAACAAAAAATATAAATAAAAAAATTATGTCACAGTAACTGTTTATATAGCATTTACCGAGTTATAAGTAATCTAGACATGATTTAAAATAAATGGGAGGATTGCATATGTAATATGCAAATAGTAAACCATTTTATATAAGGGACTTGAGCTTCCTCTGATTTTTGTATCCATAGAAGGTGGGGAGGTCCTGGAACAAGTCCTCCAATGATACCGACGGATGATTATATTTCATATTATATACCACAGCTTGTAAAAGTACATCCTTAGAATAGAGAGAAACCATTTGCCTAATATGTAGTCAAAAGATTTCTTCAGGAAGAAGTATAAGATAAAAAGATTTGAAAGAGGTCTAGGATTTAGACTTATGATCAGTTGTGAGGTTTCCTCGTTGATTTAGATCAGAGCAGAGGTTGGTAAACTGCATCCCACTGCAGAAATCCTTCCTGCTGCTTGTTTTTGTGAGGCATGAGAGAATGGTAGAAAAAATAATTCAAAAAAATCAGTTTGTTGTAATATGAGAAAATTAACTGAAATTCAGTTTTCAATGTCCGTAGATAGTTTTATTGGAATACAGCCACACTTACTCATTTGTGTATAGCCTGTGACTGCCTTTGCATTTAAGCAGTAGAGTAATTGTAATGTTTGAATGGCCAGTAAAGCATAAGATATTTACTGTTTAGCCCTTCAACAAAAATGTTTCCTAATGTCTAGATTCTCTTCTGTTTTCGTCAATGTTACATTTTTAAATGGGGGTTTTACTTTCTAAGATGGCAGTGGTGTAAGTGAGTTTCCATCCCACAATTAAGTAAACAAAATATTCTGTTCTCAGATATTAACACGCTTATATGTTTTAGTCTTTTTTGTTTGTTTGTTTTTTTGAGACAGTCTTGCTCTGTTGCCCAGGCTGGAGTGCAGTGGTGCAATCTTGGCTCACTGCAACTTCCACCTCACAGGTTCACCTCGTGCCTCAGCCTCTCAAATAATTGGGACTACAGGCATGCACCACCATGCCCAGCTAATTTTTTATTTTTAGTAGAGATAGGGTTTCAGCATGTTGGCCAGGCTGGTCTTGAGCTCCTGGCCTCAAGTAATCTGCCCGCCTCAGCCTCCAAAAGTGCTGGGATTACAGGCATGAGCCACAGTGCCTGGCCTTAGTCTTTTTTTTTTTTAAACCTGTGGGCTTAAACTTCCTGAAGACACCTGAAGTATGTATTTATTTAAATAGACCACTTTTGTTGCAAAATAAATTCCTTTGTCCATGGTTGGTAGACTTTTATTTTGAAATTGTTTTTTAAATGTGTATAGAATATATTTATGTGCAATTTCAAGATTAGTAAAACTAGCACCCATATATGTATTGACCATTATTTTCTATATTCAAAGCACAGCCTTTGAGTTGGTTGAATTGGTTGGCATTGCTATATGAATTTAAAGCTTTTTTTTTCGCCACATAGTTTTTTTTTTTTTAGGAGAACAGGATTTTGCTCTCTTCCCGAGGCTGGAGTGCACTGGTATGATCCTAGGTCACTGCAGCCTGGAAATCCTTGGCTCAAGTGATCCTTCCACCTCAGCCTCCCAAGTAGCTGGGACTACAGACACACACCACTGTGCCTGGCTATTCTTTCTTTCTCTTCCTGTCCTGTCCTGTCCTTTTTTCACACAGGGCCTCGCTTTGTAGTCCAGGCTGGTTTCCTAGCTTCAAGTGATCCTCTTGCCTCAGCCTCCCAAAGTGCTGGGATTACTAGTGTGAGCCACTGTGGCTGACCAATTTGTTTTCCACAATTGTAATTGACCTAGTGTTGTGTATATTTGGTCCTTTACGTTTACAGAATGTTTTGTTTTGTTCTATTTTATTTTATTTTGAGACGCTGTCACTCTGTCACACAGGCTGGAGTGAAGTGGCATGATCTCGGCTCACTACAACCTCCTCTTCCCAGGCTCAAGTGATTCTTGTGCCTCAGCCCCCTGGGACTACAGGCACACGCCACCATACCCAGCTCATTATTGTACTTTTTGTAGAGATGGAGTTTCACCACGTTGCCCAGGCTGGTCTCAAGCTCCTTTTTGTTTTTACTTATTTACTTTTTTTATTTTATTTTTTTGAGACAGGCTTTTACTCTTGGCTCACTGCAACTTCCACTTCCCAGGCTCAAGTGATTCTTCTGCCTCACCCTCCTGTGTAGCTGGGACCACAGGTGCGTACCACCGCACCTGGCTATTTTTTTTTAATTTTTTAATTAATTTTTTATTTTTATAGAGATAGGGTTTCGCCATATTGCCCAGGCTGGTCTTTAACTCTTGAGCTCAAGCGATCCACCTGCCTTGGCCTCCCAGAGTGCTGAGATTACAGGAATGAGTTGCTGTGCCCGGCCTTGTTTTATTCTTGAAAACATTCTGACATATACATTCTCTGTGAGACTTTCTGTAGTAATACTAATTTGGTTAACATTTTCTATTGGAAACAGGAATGAACTAGTTGTGTGTGGACCAGAGGACTCTTGACTTTACTATTTTAGTTTTATGGTGTAAAACGGTTACCATTCTAGGCTTTACTGAGTCATAATAGAAGTGAGGCACACATGGAGATTAGAGAGGAACAAATGTTAAAACACTAAATTTTTTCTTCCTTTTAAAGAAGAATTAATAGCTATATTTCTGTATTTTAGACCCCTTAAAAGTATTTATTATTTAGTTTTATTCCAGATGGCTGCATGGTAGCATATCTAGAAATCAAATATATATATATATATATATGTATATATATTTTTTATAGAGATAGGGTTTCGCCATATTGCCCAGGCTGGTCTTGAACTCCTGAGCTCAAGCGATCCACCTGCCTTGGCCTCCCAAAGTGCTGGGATTATAGGCATGAGCTGCTGTACCAGCTATATATATAATATATATATATATATATATAAAATATATATATTTATTATATATATTTATATATAAAAATATTTTTGTATCCATATATATGTTATATTTTATATATATATAATATAACATATATATATAAAACAATTCCAGGAAAATACTCATACATAAGCTTGATTGTTTTATTTTTGTTTAAATTTTCAAAAATCATTTTCTTTCATTTAAAAATCATTATTTACCCAGATACCTGTTATCTGCCCTCCTTTATGAATTCTGTCTTACTGTACGCTTCCTCCATGTCCCCTTATGCCCTACCTAGCCCAAAACACTGAAAGGTTGGACTTCCATATGAATCAATGCTTTCCATGAAGTAAAACTGCAGAAGTGGTGGCAGGATATTCCTGAATGAAGTTTGAGACAGATACACTGGCAGAGATCTCTTGGTGGGCAAGGAGCATAAGATTAGTAGCATGCCATCTGGGGTTAGAATTTAGGAGGTGGTAGAATGTAAGTGACTAGCTGACAGTTTGGCTAAAGAAGTGGTTGCATTTAACCAGGCTAATAAACATGAGCTTAAAAAAAAATTCACTGGCTAAGACTGGGTCTTGCACTTCATTTTCAGTTTAGTGTTTCTCCTTGGATTAATTTTTTCTGTTTTATCCATTACTAGTGGTATACTGTAAATTGATGTACAGAAGTATCTCTAAAAAGACTAATTTATAGGAGTCCAGACGGACTAGAAGGGTTTTAAGCTTATAATACCTGGATCCTTTTGTTTTAATTAGGTTTCTAGATAAGTCCTTACAAACTTCAAAGGTGTTATACCCTATCAGATACTTTTTCCCCCAAATAAAACTGTATTTTTCAGTTGAAAATAAATTGATATAGGCAATTCCTTTTCTTGACAACCTTCACAAGTGTGGTAGAGAATTATTTAGCACACTAATTAGTCTCAGCTTCGATTTTGTGCAGATTTGATTTTACCTATTAATAACACTTTCATCGGGCTTAGCCTTTAATTTTATAAACTCCTGGCCTCCTCCTGAGCATTAAATTGATAGGAAACATACTGATGCTAATCTCTAATTATACATTCAGAAGTTTTTTCATCTCATCACTCTATTGTCCCTTTTTATTTGTCCGTCATACTTAAATTTTCAACTAATTTAATATAGTTTTTCTCATTATACAAGTAAACGTTCATTTCTAAAGATTGAAAAATAAAAGGAAGAAAACGAACTACCTCTAGCCCTCTACTCAGTGACAGACACTGCTATTTTCTTTTCTTTTTCTTTTCTTGAGATGGAGTTTCACTCTTGTTGCCCAGGCTGGAATGCAGTGATACGACCTCAGCTCACTGCAACCTCCGCCTCCCAGGTTCATGTGGTTCTCCTGCCTCAGCCTCTCAAGTAGCTGGGATTACAAGTGTGTGCCACCACGCTTGGCTAATTTTTGTATTTTTAGTAGAAACAGGGTTTCGCCATGTTGGCCAGGCTGGTCTCGAACTCCTGACCTCAGGTGATCCACCTGCCTTGGCCTCCCAAAGTTCTGGGACAGGCGTGAGCCACCATGCCTGTCCCTATTTTCTTACATGTCCTTTGATACACTCTTTTATTACTATTCCTCTTTTAGAGACAGGTTCTTACTCTGTCACCCAGGCTATGGTGTAGTGACGTGATCATAGCTCACTGCAGCCTTGAACTCCTGGGCTCAAGCGATCCTTCTGCCTCAGCCTCCGCAGTAGCTGGCACTACAGGTGTGCTCCTCCATGCCCAGCTATTTTTTGTACTGATAGGGTCTCGCTATGTTGCCCAGGCTGGTCTTGAACTCCTAGCATCAGGTGAGCCTCCCTCCTCAGCCTCACAAAGTGCTGGGATTACAGCTGCGAGCCACTACACACAACCTGAATCACTGTTTTATTTGTCTCTCTGCCATCCTCCATATACAGTTTTGGGAGCATATAATACTTGCACATGTCTATGGTACAGTGTTGAATAACATAGGCACAGTCTTTGCACTCAAAGGATTCAAAGTTTAATACTCTTTAAAAAGTTGCCTTTTAAAAATTAATTGCTATTATAGAAGAAATACATAAATAGTCTCTTTGCAAAAACACATAGATAAGGTTCAGCTTTCTGATTGCTCCCATTCCCTTCTTTATTTTCCTAAAGGTAGTCACTATTAGCAGTTTATATGTCATTTTTCCCCCTAAGGGTTTGCTTATACTATACATATGTAGAGAACATGTATGATTTCTTTTTTAGTGTAAAAACAGTTGGCTGGGTGTGGTAGCTCATACCTGTAATTCCAGCACTTTGGGAGGTCGAGGCGGGCAGATCACTTGAGTCCAGGAGTTCGAGACCACCCTGTCCAATGTATGAAACCCCATTTCTACTAAAAATACAAAAATTAGCCAGGTGTGGTGGTGCATGCCTGTAATCCCAGCTACTAGGAAATCTGAGGGATGAGAATTGCTTGAACTCGGGAGGTGGATGCTGCAATGAGCCAAGATCATGCCATGCATTCCAGCCTGGGGTACAGAATGAGAATCTCTCGAACAAAAACAAGACAAAACAAAACACAACTGTTATACAGTACCTGCAATTAGTTTTCTTTTCATTCAGTATGTTAGTATGTACAGATTTAGTTCTTTAAAACTGCTTTATTTAATTTTACTGATACACAGTAACTTAGCCTTTCCTATTGATAGACATTGGGAGTCCCAATTTTTTGCTATTGCAAAACATTCCTGCAATTGCTTCTACTCATGCAGATGTGCAACTGTTTCTCTAAGGCTGTTATGCAGAGGTGGGGTTAGTAGATCATAGAGGATTATGTGATTACCCTTGAAATTTTACCATTCATGTTACTCTTTTTTTACCCTCTTTTTCTGGAGGGTCTTATTTTTCTTTTTTGAGTCAGTCTCACTTTGTCACCTAGGCTGGAGTGCAGTGGCGTGATCTCGGCTCACTGCAACCTCTGCCTCCTGGGTTCAAGTGATTCTTAATGCCTTGACCTCCCGACCATTCATGTTACTCTTTAAGTTGGACCTTAGAGCAGTTTATCTTATATCACTCCCCTCCCAATAGACATTTTATCCTTTTTAAATCTAACAAATTAGACAGACATTGTTGTTATTTTATAGAGAAATGTGTGATTCAGTTTACGCACATTTTTACCACATCTTTCCTTACCATGCCTTCAATTTCTGACTGTAGCTGGGCACAGCGGCTCACGCCTGTAATCACAGCACTTTAGGAGGCTGAGGCAGGTGGATCACTTGAGGCCAGGAGTTTGAGAACAGCCTATTCAACATGGTGAAACCCCGTCTGTACCAAAAATACAAAAATTAGCCAGGCGTGGTGGTGTGCACCTGCCTGGTAATCTGGGTCTAAGGATTACTTTTAACCAGAATATCAGCTACTCAGGAGGCTGAGGAAGGAGAATCGCTTGAACCCAGGAGGCGAAGGTTGCAGTGAGCCGAGATCACGCCACTGCACTCCAGCCTGGGTGACAGAGGAGTCCCTGACACAAACAAACAAACAGAAAAAAAAATTTCTGACTGTCCTCCTGGATTATTTTCCTCCTTCTTAAAAAACGTCTTCAGAAGTTTCATTAGTGGAGGTCTTTTAGTGGTAAATTGCCAGTTTTTGTTTATTTAATTTTTAATTTAGCCTCATTTCTCTTTTTGAGTCAGGGTCTTACTATGTTGCCCAGGCTGGCCTTGAACTCCTGGGCTTAAGCGATTCTCCTGCCTCAGTTTCCCAAGTAGCTGGGATTACACGTGTTGGCCACTGTGCCTGACTATTTTTAGCTGTTTGTCATGAAAATTTTTTAAGCATACATGAAAGTAGAACAAATGCTATGATGAAATCCAGTATTTCCATTCCTCAGTTTCCTGTTATTGATACTTTATAATTTCATGTTTAAAGAGGGGTCTCTTTACCTCTCTGTGCCTTCCTTCCTGCTGGAATATCCAATCATGAAGTCTGTCAATACTTTAGAATGTATCTCCTAGAGAAGAGGTTAAAAAAAAAAAAACCCACAATATTCTCATTCCTAACTAAATTAGCAGTAATTCCTTAACATCATCTAACACCTAGTCCATGTCAAAGTCTTTTCAGTTGTCTTTGAAATGTCTTTTTATAATTTTACTCTCATTTTTTCAGGGTTGTTATTTCCTAGGTGCTCAGTTGTAGGTTGACAGTAATTTTCTCTTCATATCTTGAAGATACATTACTGCCTTCTGGCTTCCTTGCTGTTACTTGCTGTTACTCTAATTATTCCATTGGGTGAAGGATTCTTTCTTTATGGCTTCCTTTATGGTTCTTGTTGTCTTTAGTGTTGTGCAATTTTACTACTTTGTATCTGGATGTGGGCTTATTGATCACATTTGGGTATGTTGTACTTTCTGGGTCTAGGGATTACTTTTAACCAATTCTTGGAAATTTGCAGCTAGTGTCTCTTTCTTTTAAAACTTTGAAAAAGGAAATATACATTCAGAAACATATAAAACAGGTACAGTTTCGTTATAAAGTAGATGTCTTTGTAGACTCTTCCGAGGTCAAAAGCAGAATATTTCACGTACCTCAGAATCCCCCTGCCCCATACACCCCTTGCCATTTGAAGTCGTCTCCCTTTCCTTAGAGGTAGTCACTATCATGACTTTTATCACCTTTATGTGCATCCCTAAAATATAGTTTCCTTTGTTGAAATTTATATGACCAGCATCGTATACTTTGTCTTGCTGTTTTTGCTCAAATTATGTTTGGGAGATTCATCTGTGTTACCTGTAGTTCTTCATTTTTATACAGTCATCATTACTTAAGATAGTTTTTCTTTCCCTTTCCCTCTCTCTCCTGTCTGTTTACTACTCCCATTATGTGTATGTTCATGTGCTTATTGATGTTTCATATTTCTCTGAGGCTTTGTATTTTTTTCACTCTTTTTTTTCCTCTCTATTCTTTGGATTGCATCATCTCTATCAATCTGTCTTCAAGTTTGCCAGTTCTTTTTTCTGCCAGTTCAAATGTACTTTTGAGCTCCTCTAGTGATTTTTTCTAGTCAGTGTTCAACTCCAGAATTTCCATTTGGTTCTTTTTAATAATGTCTCTTTATCGATATTGTCCATTTGCTGAGATACTGTCATTATACCTTCCTTCTGCAATTATGGTATCCTTTAGTTCTTTGGACATATTTATAATGGCATTTTGAAGTTGGTTAAATCCATCATCTGGTTGCTCTTGCAGGTAGTGTCCTTTGCCTTTATTTTTCTCTGGTATATGGGTCCTTCCTTCCTTCCTTCCTTCCCTCCCTCCCTCCCTCCCTTTTTTTTTCTTTTTTTGACAGAGTTGCTCTGTCACCCAGGCTGATTCTCTGCTCACCGCAACCTCTGTCTCCTGGGTTCAAGGAGTTCTCCTGCCTCAGCCTCCCTAGTAGCTGGGATTACAGGTGCCCGCCACCACGCCTGGCTAATTTTTTGTATTTTTAGTGGAGATGGAGTTTCACCATGTTGGCCAGGCTGGTCTCGAACTCCTGACCTTGTGATCCACTCATCTCGGCCTCCCAAAGTGCTGGGATTACAGGCGTGAGCCACCACACTCAGCACTTTCCTATTTCTTTACATGGCTCGTAATTTTATGTTGGAAACTGAACATCTTGTATAACATTGCAACAACTCTGGGTACTGATCTTTCAACCCCCTGCTCGTTTCCAGGGCTTGTTACAATTATTTGCTTATTTGTTTAGTGACTTCTGTTGCCCTGTTTCAGTGATTTCTGTTTCCCCCCTTGCAGTGTTTAAGCCTCTGGTGTTGCTCCTTAGGGGCACAGACTTGTGTATGACCACATGGCACCTGGCAGTGTTGGGCTGACAGTGTTTGGCAGAGCTTTCTTCTGTTTCTTTTTCTGACCACACCCAGCTTTTTATCTCCACTGATTTCTGGCTGACTACTCTATTGTCTTTAACAATACTCTAGGACATAAATTGCTTCTTAGCCAGATCCATACGACTCTCGAGGTCACTGCATGTACAATTTGTTCAGACCCAGAGGGGCGCATCCCAGCTGTCTTATTCCCTGGTTCTCACCTGCAAACTAGCTGGCCTACAGTTTAGCCTGTATTTTGAATCTCTTCCAAAATGCCTTTCACTCAACCTTGGGTTTGATATTGCTTTTAGGCTTGAACGTCACACTCTTGCAAATGAAGTCAGTTCCATTGGGAAGAGATTCCCAGCTATCTCTGGGGACATGTTAAATTATATGAGATGCTTTGTATGCTGCTTTTGATTTACATCTTAGAAAAGTAAAATACAAATATTTTACTACATAAATAGCAAAGTGATAGAGAGGTAGAAAGCAGCCCTACATAGTTGATTTTTTTGTATAACAGCAGTTTAACCTTTAATGAGAGAGGCTTTTAGAAGTTGTCAGGTAGATAGATTTCTAAAACATAAGTAAGCTTTTCAGCTTCCTAAAGGTAATACAGTCCTGAGTTCTATAGTATATGAATATTCATGGTAGATATACATTGGTACTTTGGCACCTAATTTAAAAGGGGAAATTAAGTATTAGTGCTGATATTTAAACTTTTTCACTTAGCACACTGTTCATAGCTACTCTTTAGTCTGTTTTTTGTCTTCGTGTAGTTTATGTAAATAACATGCTTTGTGAAATGTGTCTAATACAGAAACAATGGACAACTTAAAGTGCTGTTTCTTATTTTTGAAGGTTGTCATTTATAACAGACATATAACAATTTATTCTTTCTTTTACGTATTCATCAAATGTGTGAATGCTTAGTATTTACTGGAAGCCATGTTGTAGCTGCATGGTATACCGTCATAAATGTGATGCACCGGGTCATTTCTGCCCTCCTGAAGTTTCCATTCTAGTGGGAACAGACTAATTGTGAAGTCCTGAAGTTTCCATTCTAGTGGGAACAGACTAATTATAAAAATATATAGTTTATAATTTTATGTATATATTGCATGTATGGTTTTTATGGAAACTTTTTTTTTCTTTTTCTTTTTTTAATCTTTTTCACTTTTTGATTTCTAGCTAGAACCACCTCCAGAATTTATGGAAACTTTTAAGATGCTATACAATACCAAAGTGTGCATGTGTGTGTGTGTCTGTGTGTGTGTGTGTCTGTGTGTGTATTTCATATCTATAAATAGCTTTCAATTATGTATAATTACAGTGTATATATAACTTTGGTTGTATAGTATATACTTAGGAGTATTATTTCTGTGTAACTGTATTCAGTGGACTTGCACTAGCTACATATTTAAGTTATTAAAAATTCATCTATTAGATTGGCAAAAAATTAAAGGGTTAATTAAATATAGTAATCATTTCAAAATTTTATAAAAGTACTGTTATGTACTATAGTTAAGTGTATACAGCATATTTTTCTTTTTTTGACTTTTTTATTGTGGCAAAATATATGTAACATATTTACCATTTTAACCATTTTCAAATGTACAGTTCAGTGGCATTAAGTACATTCACATTGTTATTTAACTATCACCACTGTCTGTTTCCAGAAATTTTTTCAGCATCTCAAACAGAAACTCTGTTAAATTAAGTAATAACTCCCCATTCTTCTCCCCCAGCCCCCTAGTAACCTTTATTCCACTTTCTGTATCTTTGAATTTGTCTATTCTAGATACCTCATAAAAGTGAGATCAGGCTGGTCATGGTGGCTCATGCCTGTAATCCCAGCACTTTGGGAGCCTGAGGTGGGAGGATCACTTGAGCCCGGAGTTCAAGACCAGCCTTTGCAACACAGGGAGACCCCATCTATATAGATATTTAAAAAATTAGCTGGGTGTGGTGGTGCACACCTGTGGTTCCAGCTACTCAGGTGGCTGAGGTGGGAGGATTTGCTTTATAAAGCCCAGCATTTTGAGGCTGCAGTGAGCTATGATCCCACCACTCACTGCACTGTAGCCTGGGTGAGAGAGTGAGACTGTGTCTCAAAAACAAGAAACCAAAAGTGAAAACATAAAATATTTGTCCTCTTGTTACTGGCTTATTTCACTTAAAGCATAGTGTTTTCAGGGTTCATTCATGTTGTAGCATGTATCAGAATTTGATTCCTTTTGTGACTGAATATAGTCTTTTTTTATTATTATACAACATTTTATTTAAAAAAATTATTTTCATAGAATACATTTTCACATTAGAGATTCCCATTGTGCGAAAATAACAATTTATTACTTATAGTTTTATATTTGTGGACAGATTGTTTTAGAACAAGTAGAACACATTTGAGAAATAAATCTAAGTTTACAATTGGTAATATTTTGATACGTCTACAAGGGGAAACTTGCCCTTAAATGGAACTTCTCTATATTCAGAAGCACTCCAAGCATTTCTCCCTAGGATTTAGAAATTTATAATGTGAGATATCAGCACTTCCTAATTTTAAAATTTCCCTGGTATATGTAACCATCAGTAGGTGGTATCTACTGACTAGAGAGGGAAGTTTTCGAAAATTAATCACTGTCTAATTTTCTACAAAGTTTTTATTCATGAATTAAGAGTATTTCCCTTTGTCCATTATTCCCAGGGCAAATATGGAAGTTTGATCATATACTAATAGTAATAAAGCTGGATTCTCTTTAAGAGATTGATAAATTAAAAGGCAAAAGCTCATATATCATGTTTAGCTATACTGTGAGTCTTATAAGAAGCTGGGAGGCAACCCCATTAACTCACCAGAATACAGAACTCAGTCTCACAATTTCTTAGATATAGTTCCTCTCAAACCTTTTCCTCAAAGATTAAATTCTGAAAATAACCTTGTGATTAAGAGAAGAAGGCTGTCCACCAACAGACTTATCTGTTATTTCTTCCTTATTGTGAGCTTAATGGCATGACAAGCAGAGGCAAAGAGGCTTACATCAGTTCTTCAAAGTATGAAGTCAAAAAGGTCAGAGCTTCCACAGCATGGCAACAGCTTTGCAGATGCCCACATCGTGATAGTTGAAATAGCAAAGCCCAGCAAAGGTTAAAGCTGAAAGTGCCAAAAGCCCTGCCTTGGCAGCTTTCTGCGAGGCATCCCCATGAACATAGTCAGTAACAACTTGTCCAAGGCCCCAGTGACCATGAAGAGTGAGGGTCGCAGCCAGGGAATAGCCCATCGCAGAGCAAGGATTCAAACAAGCAGCCGGAAGCAGACCCAGGAGCAAAACACTGAAAACCTTCTTGCTAGTCCAGTGGAGAGATGCAGCCTTGGAACCAGAATGGTGGCTCGGTGACAAGTGTATGTGCTGTACTCCACATCATTCTGGGATAGGTCGGTCCTGAAGAAATGCTGAGATATAAGCAGGTCTGACCACTGGCGTTCACAGCAACAGAGCTCGACCTCCTTGGGCACTGCAAAGGGCACTCAGCCTCCAGAGAACCGCCATCTCGTTCCTGAGGATGACTGAATATATTCTAATATTCCATGGTATGGATATACCACATTTTGTGTATGCCTCCATTGATGGACACTTGGATTACTTTCCATTTTTTGGCTATTGTCAAAAATACTGTTAGGAACACTGGTGCACAAGTATCTGTTCAAGTCCTTTCAGTTCTTTGAATATACACCTAGGAGTGAAATTGCTGGGTCATACACTAATTCTAAGTTTAATAACCACCAAACTATTTTCTGTAGTGTCTGTACTACCTTACATTCTCGTGTATTATTATTATTATTATTATTATTATTATTTTTTGAAACAGGGTTTCACTGTCTCCCCCAGGCTGGAGTGCAGCAGTGCCACATCACGGCTCACTGCAGCCTCTCCCTCCTGGCTCAGGTGATCCTCCTACCTCGGCCTCCTGAGTAGCTAAGACTACAGGTGTGCACTACCACACCCGGCTCATTTTTGTAGAGATGGGGTTTCATCATGTTGCCCAGGCTGGTCTCGAACCCCTGGGCTCAAACGATTTGCCTGCCTCAGCCTCCCAAAGTGCTAGGACTGTGAGTGTGAGCCATTGTGTCCAGCCTCTCATGTATTCTTACACATATGTTTTGAACAGGACCCTAAACACAAAACCATGTATACAGCAACACTTTATAAGTGATAAGACACTTTCAAACATAATTTTGACTGTATGATTTTTATTTTGTGTACTTACTACATGGTATGTGAGATTTTTGGTGATGCAGGAGCATTATTACACATGTCACAGTTACTAGTTACAGTTGATGTAGAGAACAAGAACTCAAGTAATAAGGTAAAAATTTGCCATAGAGTTTAACTTTTTAAAAAGTAATGTCGTTTTATTCTTTGGGCATTTGCACTCCACTTCCAAGTATACATAGCTCCAACATCAGTAATCGTGACTTCTGTCTTACCATGTTGGAAAGGGCGTGAGTTTTGAAGTTGGGTCCTGTTTTTGAATTGTATCTTTAACACTCTAGCTTCAGTTTCATATTTTATAAAGGATATAGTGTGTTCTTACCAAGTCACTGTGAGGATTGGATCATGTATATGAAAAGGCTTTTTTTTTTTTTTGTGACAGGATCTTGCCCTGTTGCCCAGGCTGGAGTGCAGTGGTGTGATCTAGGCTCACTGAAACCTCTGCTTCCTGGACTCCAGCAATCTTCCCACCCCAGCCTCCCAAGTAGCTGGGACTACAGGCATGTGCCACCAACCCAGCTAATTTTTTTTTTTTTTTTTTGGTAGAGATAGGGTTTCGCCATGGTGCCCAGGCAGGTCTTGAACTTTTGGCCTCAAGAGATCCATCTGCCTTGGCCTCCAAAAGTGCTGGGGTTACAGGTGTGAGCCAGCGTGCCTGCAGAATTGTTGTTGAGACAGGGTTTCACTCTATCACCCAGGCTAGAGTACAGTGGCGTGAACATGGCTCACTACAGCCGCGACCTCCTTTGGTCAAGCAATCCTCCTGCCTCAGTCTCCCAAGTAGCTGGAACCACAGGCACACAACACCATACTTGGCTAATTTTAAAAATTTTTCATAGAGACAAGGTCTCCTTGTGTTGCCCAGGCTGGTCTTGAACTCCTGGCCTCAAGTAGTCCTGCTGCCTTGGCCACCCAAGGTGCTGGGATTACAGGTGTAAGCCACTGTTTATGGCTAAAAATGAATATTTTTTTTCCCTGCCAAATTAATTCTAAGGACTCCTGCACCCCACTCAGGAAATCATTGGCTTTTCTTGCCCTTTTCATTTAAAAAGATATTTCTATGTCTTGTAACATTTTAAATCTTATTATTTGAATGCATTGTTTTATTTTATTTTACTTATTTATTTTTGAAACGAAGTTTTTGCTCTTGTTGCCCAGGCTGCAGTGCAGTGGCACAATCTCGGCTCACTGCAACCTCCGCCTCCTGTGTTCAAGCAATTCTCCTTTTTCAGCCTCCCAAATAGCTGGGATTACAGGCATGCACCAACACGCTCGGCTAATTTTTTTGTATTTTTAGTAGAGACGGGGTTTCACCATGTTGGCCAGGCTGGTCTCGAACTCCTGACCTCAGGTGATCCGCCCGCCTTGGCCTCCCAAAGTGCTGGGATTTACAGGCATGAGCCACCGCGCCGCCCTGTTTAGTTTTAATTTTAATATTAGTTGTCTGGCTTATTAAGTAAAATTATTCTCTAAATGAAAATTTGGGCAAGGGTATTTTGGAGAGTCGATTTCAAAGCTTATTTTAAAAGCTTAGTTCAGAGGGGTACTATAATACATTTAGGAAATTGCTCTGTACTTGAAATTCCCTAAAAGTTTGTGTTTCTTCATTGTTCAGATGAGTACATCAAATTCTTTTGGATTTCTTATCCAAGATCATATAGTTACTTTGTGAAAGAGGTGAGTCAGTCAACTCTTTGACCTTGTATTGCAGTGTTCTACCACATCAGACTACCCTCCTCCTACCTTTTACCATTTATGAGATTACTTTTGGCAGCTGGCTTCTGTGGCTTCTCTCCATGGTGCTAGAGGTGCACAAATGTACTTACTTTTGTATTAACTATCTAAAGGATTTCTTTCTCCTTTGTCCCTTTTTTGTTCCTCTAAACCTCCCCCTAAACTGAAAGATACATACTCTTGTAAACTTTTTTAAAATTAAAAAACAGAAACAATCAAAAAGCAAAACATCAGTATATCATTTTTTATTTATGGTAATTTACCTTCTAGAAAGCTTTTCTATTCATAAGCCCCAATGTATTGCTTCCTTCCCAACATTCCATAAATTATTTCACTAAAACTCTAATAACCTGTAGTTAAAGAAATGATATCTTAGAATCAAAGGTATTAGAAGTGTAGATAGCACCATTTGATTATTTCAGTTTACTTTTCTGTTATTGGAACCGATATTTGAGTCTGTGTTTTCTACAGGTACAGTTTTGGGATGTTTAAAGTTGGGGGACCTATTAGAAGTCAGCTTTAAACTCCTAACTGTATATATGCTGAAAACTGATAGTGGCAAATCTGGGCATTTCTTTTTTTTTTTTTTAATTTTATTTTGAAATAATTATAGATTCACAAGAAGACACTATTTCGTTGTATTTTTCTTCTAATTATTAGCAAAAGTGAGAAGTAATTTAATTTTTCTAAAGGAAATGAAAACAATTTTCCTCTTTTTTTAAAGGGCCATTTGAATTGTGAAAAAATACATTTTTTTTTGCAGCATTTAGATAATATGGATTTTTCTTTAAAAAATTAGTAGTCTCCTACCTCCGTTTTGTCTTTTGTGAAATAACAACATTTTGGTGTCTAAACGTCCATGTGTTTATTTTCTTAGCGAAACAAATATATATGCATACAGGGTTTATATGTTTTAATGAAAGTAATTGTATGTTCATACTTGCTGTTCTTTAAAAAGTATAACTAGAATAGACATTCTGATCAACATACCTTATGTTATATCATATTTACTTAATGATTGTCCTATTAATGGACAGATGGACAGTATACTGTTTGCAGTTTTCTACTCTTTTTTTTTTTTTTGAGACGGAGTCTCTCTCTGTCACCAGGCTGGAGTGCAATGATCTCGGCTCGCTGCCACCTCCGCCTCCTGGGTTCAAGCAGTTCTCTTGCTTCAGCCTCCCAAGTAGCTGGGAATACAGGCATGTGCCACCACGCCCAGCTAATTTTTGTATTTTTAGTAGAGACGGGATTTCACCATGTTGGCCAGGATGTCTTGCTCTCTTGACCTCGTGATTCACCTGCCTCGGCCTCTCCAAGTGCTGGGATTATAGGCGTGAGCCACTGCACCCGGCCTGCAGTTTTCTACTCTTATATTGCTGTAGAACATAGCCAAACACTTGGCTATGTTGGTGTCACTATTTATGTAGAATAGGTTCTTAGTTAGGAGGTGGTATAAGGGAGTTGTTAAGAGCACAGCTTATCTAGGGCTAAAACTTCCTAGAAGGAATCCAGGCTATACTAATAAGTGTGTAACTTAAGGCAAAATAATGTGTTCCCATTTCCTCTTTTGAAAGAGGCGCTAGATCATTGATCCTCTCTACTTCTCTACTTTGGGTGAAAACTAACTTCTTTGACAGGCTGATGGGGTAAAAAAAAAAAAAAAGTTACCTGGCTGTTAACTAAAGATTGATCATTTTTTCATGTATTTTAATCACTTGTAATTCTTCTGTGAACTGCTTATCATTTTCTTGTCTCTTTTTTTTTTTTTTTTAACTTGTCTGTGTCTTACTGCTTTGTAGGATTTCTTTATATATTCTGGACATTAGCTTTTCATTATATGTAGCAAATGTATCTTTTACTCTGATGCTTACTTTTAATTTTATTTATGTTTTCTTCTTTCCATGTTGCTAAGTTGATTGTCTCCTTTTATGGCTTCTGAATTTTTGTTTTGCTTATGAAGACCTTCTATATCCCAAGATTTTTAAAAAAATCTGTTTTTTTTTTCTTTAACACTTCAATAATTTATTGATCACTAGATCATTTGGGATTTTTTAAAATTGCAGTATTAGATTATATACTATTTTTTATTCAAATGGATAGCCCAGTGTCCCATCACTGTTTATAAAATGGTCCAGCCTTCCCATCTTTAGTTATACATTTTAGCAAATATTAAAACCTCATAAATTCATGAGTCTGTTTCTAGATTTTTCTGATTTTGAGACAGGGTCTCTGTCACCCATGCTGGAGTGTGGTGGCACAGTTATAGCTCACTGCAGCCTTGAACTCCTGGGCTCAAGCGATGCTCCTGCTTCAAGCCTCCCAAGTAGCTGGGACTACAGTGTGCGCCACCATGCCCAGCTAATTTTAAAATTTGTTATAGACATGAGGGCTTTGCTATGTTGTGCTGGTCTTGAACTCCTGGCTGGAGCTGAACTCCTGCCCTCAAGCAGTCCTCCTGCCTTGGCCTCTCAAAGTGCTGGGATTACAGTCATGAGCTGCTGTACCCAGCTATATCTAGATTCTTTAGTTTCTTTGCTCTTTTGTCTAATTTTATACTAATAGGAAATTATTTAAATTACTGTAGCTTTATAGTATAATTTAGTATGTGACAGGGCAAATTCCCACTTTTTTCCCCAGAAGCTTCAAAATGATTCTCATGCATTTATTCTTGTATGTAACCTTTAGGATCAGTTTGTCCAATTATGTAAAAAATTACCACCGTGATTTTGGTGGGGATTACTATAGAATTATAGATTAGTTTGCAGGCTATCAGATTTTAACTTAAAGTAGTGATTTCAAGCTAACCTTTTAATCTAACAGTGGCTTTAGCCTAAGATATTACCTAAAAATTTAAAACTCCCTATAATCTAAAAAGTTATATTATTTAACTTTTCAAAAAGTGTTTGTGATATGAAGGTCTATTTCTTCCCTTCTTTCTTCCTGTTTATTATAGGCTTTTTGTAGTATTACCATAGGAATACTTTTGTTTAATACGTGTTTCTCAGAAGTTTTCATTAGCATGTTATTACATAATTAGTTGTATTGTTAAGGTCTATGGTTCTATGGCATCCGAGTTTTTCTGAGTTTTAGCCTATGTTTCTCTGTGTCAAGAGTTTGATGTTAACATGTAACTATAGATGATTGAAGTATCTTGTTTTCATTCGATTTGTTTTATAAATTGTGACAAACTTTAGAATAGTGTAATAGTCTTCTAGTTATGTGGCAATATTACTAGGTTTTAGGTCAAAGATGAGACAGTTAAGAGTGCTGTTTTACCTTATTTATTCCCCTAAAATGTGTTATGATGAGTGCTATAGGCTAGTACTAAATGTTTTATCGAGAAAAAAGGGAAGTTCTTTTTTATTTATGTTGAATCCAAAATATTAATGATGCCAGGCCTTTTGTTTTGGTATTCAAAATTTTCAGAAATCCATTCTGAAAGCCATTTCAGGTTGATAACAGTAGTTGCTCAGTCAGTATTTTTCAAATTTTTTGACAGTGTGACTCTTAATTGTTGACTGTGCCATTTTTCCAGTAGTAAACAATGTATTTTGTTTCTTCTCATGCAGGTCGTCAAAGTCCTACATTTTAGCTTTCAGTGCTGAACTTCCTTCTCCCTTAAATTATTATAAACTTTTGCTGCTGTTTAATAAACGTGAAGATGTCTCGCAGTCCTGATGCGAAGGAAGACCCTGTGGAGTGCCCTCTTTGCATGGAGCCCTTGGAGATAGATGATATCAACTTTTTCCCTTGCACCTGTGGCTACCAGATTTGCCGATTTTGTTGGCATCGAATTCGCACTGATGAAAATGGGCTTTGTCCTGCATGTAGAAAGGTAAATACTTCAAAATAACTTCACAGTGATTTGTTTTAATTGTATAGTTTTTTGCTGCCATGTATATGAGCAAGTGAATTTAAAAGACTGTGCAAACCTCACCTGATTATATTATTTTATTATGTGTATTATTTTAAGATATAAGGTGGAAAGAACACTGCACTGGGAGTCAGGGCCACGTCTTGGCTTTGTTTACTAGCTGTATGATCTTTGTAAAGTCATGTAACCTCTCTGATTGGCCTTTAGTTTGTTGTTGTTTTATCCGAGGAGAAAGACATGGTCAGGGATGCTTACTGCTTAAGGAAATTAAGAATAGAGAGGTAATGGATTTGGATAGGGTTGCATGAAATTAGAAAAACATTTTATATTACATGTGGGAGGAAATTCACCTTAATTTTCTAGTACAAAATAGGAGAGAAGATGTTTACTAAAAAGAGTTAAAATGACAGAGAAATCCTCGTTCAGAAGATAATAAATGCTCATTTCTTGAGCCCTTACAGCAATTTTAGGCTGGTATTGATATTCCCATTTTACACTCAAGGAAACAGGAGCTTAGATAACTTGTCCAGAGTCATCAACTTGTGAGTAGTAGGTAGGAGGTTTGGAATTCAAATGTCTTTTGAGTCTATAGTCTGTTCTGAACTATTGTATTATTGAAAAGCCCCTCCTGGCCGGGCGCGGTGGCTCACGCCTGTAATCCCAGCACTTTGGGAGGCTGAGGCAGGCGGATCACAAGGTCAGGAGATCGAGACCATCCTGGCTAACACAGTGAAACCCTGTCTCTACTAAAAATACAAAAAATTAGGCAGGCGTGGTGGCGAGCACCTATAGTCCCAGCTACTTGGGAGGCTGAGGCAGGAGAATGGCGTGAACCCGGAAGGCGGAGCTTGCAGTGAGCCGAGATCGTGCCACAGCACTCCAGCCTGGGCAACAGAGCGAGACTCCGTCTCAAAAAAAAGAAAAGAAAAGAAAAGAAAAGCCCCTCCTAACTCTAAAAATCTATTATTTTTAATATTCTATGGGTTTTATTGTTTTGATAAGCACCAGCGACACAATTACAGTATAGTGAATTAACTACTAGGATAGGTAGGACTGCCACATTTGTATTTTGAAGGACTTTATTTGTGACCTTAGGGATTAATGCAAATATCTGCCACTTTATTATGGAATTTGCCTTTTCTTTAATGTTTGTATAATTTAAACTTTATTTTCTAATTACCCATTTTAAAGACCTCTTGTGTTCATTACTATCAAATTTTGAGAAAGCTGAAATGTGTTTTAGATATCTAAAATTTAAAAAATAATCTGTCTCTTAGTTTTCTTACCTGAGAATTTATAATAAATCTCAGAAGGCAATGCATTGTTTATTTATCATTAGATTTTTAAAATTAATCCAGTGGATATGTATATATATTATATGAATAAAAAGTTAGGTCTATTTCAATGTTAATATAGTTTATACATTTATATAGTTACACATATATTGTATATGTAACATATATAATGTGTATATATAATTTGTATATATATAATATTTCATGTAGTTAATATAGTTTAAGAAATGTGAATGGAAAGGTAAATGAAAACCCTAACATTAGCTTTGGGAAAAATCTATATAAATTTTTGTTTATGGATTTGAACATTTAGTTATATTTTAGAAATTGGTTCCCCAGTCATTCCATAAGAAGACAATCATATTGAACTATTTCATCAGAAGTAATGACTTTCAGGATTGCCCAAGACTCTAAGGATTGTAAATTTGATTGGCTTCATGATGTTTATCTTTTTCTTTTCTTTTTTTTTTCCCTTTGGGATGTTATGAAGTCACCTTAAAAGGACCAGTTATTAAATTGTCATTACAGAAAAATAAGTTATTTGGGGAAATTACAAAGAAAGTCATTTCAATCTTAAGAGATTACCTAAAATTACTTCAAGTCCTTAGAAAGTAAAAAAAGAAAAAAAAATAGAAGATTTTAAAGGTAAAAACAGTATAACTTTAGCAAGCTTGATATGAATAAAAGGGTGTCCTGGGAATACCAGAAAGTGTGAGGAATCTCTGAAAGACAAGAAGGACATTGGAATCAATTTCAAGGAGGAAGCATTAGATCAGCTCAAGAGAAAACTGCTTAAAAAAAAAAAAGGAATGGGAGTGCTTCAGGATCCTAGGAAAAATATCAGTGTAGTTGGGTCAAGTATGGTGTCAGAGCAGCCTTATAGGCCTACCCCCTTTTTTGTGCCATGTAGCAGAGACAGATGCCCTCTAATTAAAACAGTGATTATAAGTTTGAATCAGAGCCTTAAGGTTAATGGAAACATTCTGGAGGAACTAGGAGCTTCTATACCTAGCAGATTACCTGTCCAGCAATATGTCTTTGCTACAGTCACAAAGGAGAATCTTGCAGTAAACAGAAATAGCATTTATAGGCAGATTACCAGGATTCTCACATGTAAAGGTGTGCAAAAACAAGAATTAACACAGATTTCAGGAAAACCAACATCATGAAAGAGAAGCACAAAATTCAGTAAATAGAAGATCCTAACACAGGAAACAAAACAGAAAGACATTTAAAACTATCATTGGTACCTTTCGGAAAGGAAAGAGGGAATGTCATATTCATGTAGAAAGATTATATTTCCTTATAAAAAGAACAAATTAGAGAGGTCTTGAAAAATCTTATAGATGGCCTGAAAAGCAAAATGGACACATTATAAGAGCAAATTGATAAATTGGAAGCTTGTGCTGAGTGGGTTTTTATTGAAGAATATAATGCAACAAGAGAAAAAATAGAAAGCATGAAGGAAAAGCAGCATAGATCCACAGGTTCTAATCTCTGCTGAGAGCAGTCTCAGAGGAGTGAACTAAAAATGAATAGGAAGAAATAATCAAAGAACTAATAGAAGAAAATTCCTCTTAGATTAGAAGGGCCCTGTGAGTGTGAAGCAAGGTGACTGAAAAAGATCAATGTTTGTTTATATAATTGTGAAATTTTAGAACATCTAGAATAGAGAAAACTCTAAAAGCTTGTGAGAGATAAATATTTAGAATACAACAGAACAAGACTAAAATTAATACCGGTATTTTCATTTTACAATTACAGAAAATAAACTGAGAAATTTATTTTCCCAAATTTTGAGGGAACGTAACTTTGAAAGGAGAGCTCTCAATTTTATTAATATGTAAAGGCATAATAAAACATTTTCACACATGCAAAGATTCATGAACTTTATTATTCATGAACCACCATACAAACAGAGAGTTGAGGATGACTGCAGGGTTTTGACTGAACACCTGAAAGTAAAGAATGGCCATTAACTGAAATGGGGAAGACTGCACCAGGAATAGACATTTGAGAAGATCAGAAACTCAGTTTTAGACATGTTAAGTATGAGATTCCTATTAGAAATCTAAGTGGAGATATTGAGTAGACAGGTGAATGAATGTTCATGTCTGGATTTCAGGTGAGGTTCTGGTATGGAGATACAGATTTTGGTGTCAGTTAGCATATAGTGTGTTATTTATAACATCACGAGACTGGATAAGATCATGAATTGAAAAGATGAAAGATTGTCTAAGGATAAGCACCAAAACTTTCCAACAGTTACAGAAAAAAGAAATCCAGATTACAGAGGTCTAAGACAACCTCCCTTTAGGGTCTCCAAGTTACATCTTTAGCTGAGGTGGTTATTGTTATTAGGCCAGGAATAATTTTTTGGTTTCTTGTTGACTTAATCACATCTCCTAGAACCTCTTCTTGGTCTCCTGGTCACCAGACTTTGTAGTGCAGGCAGCAGAGAGTCTTGGAGTCTGAATCCTGGCCTAGTCTTGCCAGAGAATCTGCTCAGCGCAGCGCAAGATAAATATTTGTGAAGTTGCCTGTGTCGGTCGGAGTCAAGCAAGTCTTTGGTCTCTGGAGGCCATCTACAGTGGTTGTGTTAACACAGAGGAAAACCACAATGTTGCTAGAGGCCTAGAGAGGGTCATGAAGCTGCCATTTACATGTAACCCAACCCTGCAGGCACAGGGTCTACAGAGGCCATGCTGTGAGGTGGCATATTGAGATGATCTGAAGAAACTTGGGAGATGCAAGTAGGGAGCTAGTTGAATCAAGCTCCTGTTCTCAGTCTACAATATGAAACGTGCCTGTTTTGCAGAAAGTTTCTCTTAGCTTTAATATCTTTGAAAAGCAGAGACAGCCAGATTTTAAAAACCAAGAGAGTTTAGTGTTCCCGTTTGGTCCTAGCTGCTAAACACAGGCACAGGCTACTTGGTTTTTTCTTAGACTGCTTTCATGTGTCCTTTTAGTGCAGCATTTCTGAGAAAGCTACTAGTGGAAACAGCAGATATGGGAACATAGGTGGTGCACTGATGTGGCATTCTGTATTGATTCCCATGGAAACCAGAGACTATACAAGGAAATGAGAACTTCAACAGAAGTATTATTATTTTTATTTCAGAAATAATAGAAGATAATGTATCTATGAAACAAAAACAGGATGGTGGTTTGGACATGGTGGCTCATGCTTGTAATCCCAACATTTTGGGAGGCTGAGGTGGGAGGATTGTTTGAGGTTAGGAGTTTGAGACCAGCCTGGGTAACATGGCGAGGCCTCATCTCTAATAACAATAAGAAAAATTAGCTGAGTGTGGTGGCACATGCTTGTAGTCCCAGCTACTCGGGAGGCTAAGGTGGGAGGATCGCTTGAACCCAGGAGGTTGAAGCTACAGTGAGCCATGTTCATGCCACTGCACTCCAGCCTGGGTGATAGAGCAAGATACTACCTCAAGAAAAAAAAAAAAAAAAAAAAAGAACAGGATGATATAAAGAAGAATATTCAGTGAACAGTAACCATTGTCATTGAAAATTAAAATATAATAGCAAAAATAACTGAAGGAAAGCATTGGAAGATGAAGTTGAGAAGATCTTTTAGTGAAACAAAAAGCAAAAGAGATGAAATATTTGGGAGAAGAGATTAAGTTCATCTGAGGATCAATCAAGGACGTCAAATACCAAACAATTAAGTGCTCTAGGAAGAGATCAGTACTCTAGGACGAGATCACAGTGATACAGAGGGGAAGTAATCATCCAAGAATATGATCGAAGAATATTTCCCAGAACCAAAGAACACATTTTCAGATTGAAAGGGCCTATCAAGTGTCCAGCACAAACTTTTTTATTTGGAAATACCAGAATACCAAAGACAAAGAAGTTCTACAAGCTTCCACAGAGGAAAATAGCAGATCGCATGTAAAAGACAAGGAATCCGAATCGTTTCAGATTTCTCAATAGCAAGACTTCAAGCTAGAAGATACTTCTGAAGGAAATTAATTTTCATCTTCGGATTCCGTATCTGCTCAACTGTTAAGTGTGACGGTACACTAAAAGACATTTTCAGACCTGAGAGGCCTCAAAATTTTTTTACCTTCCATGCATTCTCTCCCAGGAATCTATTGGAGGATGTGCCCCACCAACATGAAGGAATAAAGAACAGAGAATCATGGGATAAAGGAAACAGGAGATCCAACACAGGAGAGAAGCCCCTGGGGAAAGGATGACAGCTGTGCCCAAGGTAAAGAGGGCAACCAGTCCAAAATGCAACACATCAGAGAACTGCAAGAGGGATTTGTAGAAAAAGATAAAATTAAAAGAATACTTGGTGTTCTAAAAGAGAAATGTCTTGTGAGACCATTTTGCCAGTTTGAAGAGATTTGATGGTTGAATTAGTAATGAACACCTAAAAATATAATCAGACAAAACAGATTAACTCTAGGGGAAACAAAAAGTTGTAGAGAAATGAAAAAGCAATCATATTATGCTGCAGTGGCTCACATGTGAGGTAGGGGTCATGATATATTTTTTTTTCCTATGCTGATATTCTTGTTGCAGCATCGTTTGCAGAAAAGACTGTCCTTTCACTCTTGATTGGTTTTGAAATCTTTCCTGAAAGTCAATTGCCCATAAATGTATAAATCCAATACTAGCATCTGTATTCTGTCCATTGATGATTATATCTATCCATATGCTCATACCATACTGTCTTTATTATTGTAAGTTTTGAAACCTGGCGTGACAAGGTTTTCAACTTTGTTATTCTTTTTAGAATTTATTTTGGGTATTCTAAGTATTTAGCATTTGCACATAAATTTTTGAATCAGTTTGTGAGTTTCAACAAAAAGCCTACTGGGATTTTGATGGAGATTACCTTAACTCTACAGTTAGATCATTTTGAGGAAAAATGACATCTTAAAAATGTTGACTCCTTTAGTTCATGAATAAGGTATATCTTTACATGTTTTAAAATTTCTTTAGCAATGTTTTATAGTTTTCAGTATACATAATAGTACAGCATGTTTGTTATATTATCCATATTTTATGTTTTTGAGCTATGGCCCATGATATGTTTCTTTTTTTTTTTGAGATGGAGTTTCACTCATGTCACCCAGGCTGGAGTGCAGTGGTGTGATCTCGGCTCACTGCATCCTCCACCTGCCGGGTTCAAGTGATTCTCCTGCCTCAGCCTCTGGAGTAGCTGGGACTACAGGCGTGTGCCACCACACCTGGCTAATTTTTTGTATTTTTAGTAGAGACAGGGTTTCACCATGTTAGCCAGGATGGTCTCAATCTCCTGACCTCGTGATCCACCCGCCTTGGCCTCCCAAAGTGTCAGGATTACAAGCGTGAGCCACCGCACCCAGCCCGATATTGTTTCTGAAATTTCACTTTCCAGTTGTTTATTGCTAATGTACCACTTTTGAATGTTGACCATCTATATCAAGAAGCCTTGTTAATTAAATAGGTTCCTTAGAATTTTCTACATAGGTGATTATGTGTTCTATGCAAAAAGACAGTTTTACTCTTTCCTTTCCAATCTCTGCTTTTTAAAATTTTTTTAGAGACAAGGTCTTGCTCTTTCGCCCAGGCTATGAAGTGCAGTGGCACAAATATGGCTCACTGCAGTCTAGAACTCCTGGGCTCAAGCAGTACTTCTGTCTCAGCCTTCCCAATAGGTGGGACTATAGGCATGTGCCACCATGCCCAACTAATTGTTTAAAAAATTTTTTTGTAAAGGTCTCGCTGTGTTGCCCAGGCTGGTCTTGAACTCCTGGCCTCAAGCATCCTTCCACCTCAGTCCCCTCCAAAATGCTGGGATTATAGGCATGAGTCACTGCACCTGGCTCTGTGTTTTTAAATTCTTTTTCTTGCCTTAATTCTACTGGGTAACTCCTCTAGTGTTTAATATTAAAAAGAAGTGATAAGAAAGATATCTTTGTTCCCAATCTTAGCAGGAAGGCATTAAGTATTACATCATTAAGTATGTTGCTGTGTGTGCATTTTTTGGTCTGGTCTTTATCAGGTCAAGGAAGTTTTCCTTTATTCCTAATTTGCTGAGAGATTTTATCATGAATGGTGTTGAATTTTGCCAAATACCTTTTTTGATACTATTGAGATGGTTATACTTTTTTCTCCTTTTATTCTGTTGAAACAGTAATTTATGTTTTTTGGTTTTTTTTAAAGCGATAGGGTCTTGGTCTCTCGCCCAGGGTGGAGTACAGTGGCCTCATTGTAGCTCACTGCAGCTTCAACCTCCTGGGCTCAAGCAATTCTCCTGCTTCAGCCTACCAAGTAGCTGGGACTACAGGTGTGCACCACCACACCTGAATAATTAAAAAAAATTTTTTGTCTTTGCAGAGACTGGGCTCGCTATGTTGCCCAGGTTGGTCTTGAACTACTGCCCTCAGGTGTTCCTCCTGCCTCAGCCTCCTAAAGTGCTGGGATTATAGGCACGAACCACTACGTCTGGCCTATGTTAATTTTTAAATCACCTTTTCTTCTCAAAGATAAACCCCACTTGATTATAATGTATTACCCTTTTTATATTCAGTTTGCTAATATTTTCAGAAGATTTTTTTGTCTGTGTCATAAAGGGTATTTCTTTGTAGTTTTATATTGTTTTCAGTTTTGGTATCAAAGGAATACTGTCCACATAAAATGAGTTGGGAAATGTTTCCTCATCTTCTGCCTTCTGAAAGAGTTTGCGTGTCATTGGTATTCTTTTTTTATTTCTTTTCTAAATTCATGATTGGCATGGACTCTACTAGGTATCTTCGTTGGAAAGACACCTATGAAAACTAGCTATCACAATATTCCTGTATGTAGACCTCTGGGATTCTTTTTGGACTAACTCCATCTTTGTGGTATTTTGCCCCCATAAATTTCAGTTGTCTCAGCCTCTTCTAATTTTTATCACTGTCTGTCCCCTCCATTCATTATGACTCTTGAACCCAGTACCAGGATCTGGTAAGTACTGGAAGAGCAGAAAGCTGGGGTAGTTATGGTATTCATCGGTCTTATTTCTTTTTTCTCAGAGATCACAGTCCTGCTGTTCATTGCCTGTTTCTTCAGTGTCTGAAAATAGTTATTTCCTGTATTTTGTCTAGTTCTGCAGTTGTTTATGATGATAGGGCTTGTCTGTTACTTTCATGGCTGGAAGTGGAAGAGTGTAAATAACATTTGCATTTTATAATAATGTAATCCTGAATATTGCCCTAACCAAAGTTATGGTAGAAATTAGAAAGTGGACTCGGGATGTTTGATGAGGGGAACTGACAGGGCTAAATCTTCAAGTTGCATAATGTGATGATATCTAAAACTGAGAAATCAAGAAGTAGCAATATGGATGTATTATTTAGAGATATGGTAGTAAATGACAAAGAATCATCTAAAAGAGTCAACATGATTATTTCTAGGAAGAGGCAACTGGTTGTAGAGGAGGAGGGAAAATGGGGGACTGCTCTTTTTCCTAACAAAACTTGTAGAACCAATTGACTAGAAGCATATTCAAGAAAAATATCAATGAAAGGAGGGAAAAATGATACAGTGGGCAAATGGAAATCATAGGAAAGAAGATATAATAGTACTGATATTAGTCATAATGAAATTCAAGATCAAACACATTTTAAAAGGGCAAAAGTTCCACAAAGTCATGAATCTTTACTTAACAGTACAACTTTGAAGTATATTGAGCCATTATAAACACCAGGAGAAACTGACATCCGTATTTATAATGGAGAGACTTCCCCTTCTGTATTTTAGAAATAGATGAAGTAGACAATGAAAAGAAAATGGGGAATTTGAATAACAGAATTAGCAAGATGTGTGTGTGTATGTGTGTGTGTATAACTTTGTACAGATAAATTTGTCACAATGTTAAATACAAGAGCAGTGGTCAAAAAACAGGCCACAATGGAAAAATTAGCCAATTCCAAAAAGTAAATCTCCCTTGTGTATTTTAAAAATTTATCCTCCTTGGGAGACTTTTTAAATCTGTGGGCTGGTGAATTTCCTTAGTTCAAGATAAAAATTAAGCTATTATCTCTTCAGATACAACCTTTTTTCTCTTTCTTCTCCTCTGTGACTCTGATTAAATATTTTTCAGATTTTTTTTCACTGTCTTCTATGTCTCTTAATCTCTTTTCTGTATGTTCTTTCTCCTTCATACCTTAGTAAATGATTTATTCTGACCTGTCCTCATGTGCGAATAGTTTGTTTTGTATCCAATCTGCCACTAAATATGTCTGTTGAGTTTTTAACTATTGGTTTTGTGTTTTCCATACCTAGAAGTAATGTTTGCTCTTTTTTTTCTCTTGCTGTTATTTTAAAATAGATTATTATACCCTGTAGGTATTTTCAAGGTTATATATTTTTTAAACAGATAAGCATTATTTTTTAAAAACATCTTTGTCCAGTAATTCCAGTGGCTGAAGTCTGTGGGCTATATTTCTGCTTATTGTTGCTCATGTTGTTGTATTTCTTTGTGTTTGGTTAATGTGGCTGCTTCCTTGTTATTGTCATTGAGAAAATTATTTGTAAGGTTCCCCAAGGACTAGTGTGGATTTGCTCCTCTCTAGAGAGGCTTCAATTTGGCTTCTGCTGGGTCCTGTAAGCATTGGCATTAGGGCTGCCATGTGCTTAAAGGTTTTTGGTCTAGCCAAGCAATATATCTCCATGCTGCAACTCTTCCCTAGGGTTGATTTCAACAATTTCTCCAGGATGGTTTTCCCCTACCTACTTTTTCTTTTTTCTTACCTTAGTCTGACCTTTCTGTAGTTTGTTCTTACCCTGAGACTATCCTCTGGTTTGTAATTTGTTCTTATCCTGAGCCCACCGTTTGGAGGTGGGCTGTATCTCAGCTTATCATGGAACCTATCTTGCCAAAGACTACCATGAGCTGGTGTTGGGCTTTGAATGTTCTTTCTCCTTAGCTCTTTCTCTCCCTACCCCATTTATTGTTAATCAGATTTTCTGTTTAGGCTCTGAATTTTTACTTTCAACCAAAAACTGGCTTGGGATTTTTCCAGTATAGATTTTTAGGATGTTAGTAAGAAGAAAAAAAAAATTTTTATGTTGTATTTTTCATGGTTTTTAGTAAAAGGGTTAATTAGCTCTCCATTACTGGAAACTAGAACCCTAAAAAAATAGTATAATCAAATTAGATGTTAACAGCAAAAGGATTTTTTAAAAGTTCATTTACCTGTAATACATAAATTATGGTCTTCCATAACTCTTGGTTTAAAGAGATCAAAAAGAAAATTACAAATTATTCTGAATCAATACTTGGAACATGATTTCTGAATATCTGGCATGAGGCCCAAGTGGTATGCAGCAGAAAAGCTAAAGCTGTGAATACATTTATTAGAAAACAACAAAAATTAGAAAAAGAATGAGTACTATGACAGTGGAAGGGATCAGAAAAAGAAATCAGAAAAAGAATAAGCCCTGGGACAGTGGAAGGGAGTGAGTAAGCAGAATTTTGTGAAATAGGAAAAAAAAAAGTTTTTCAATAAAGATTAGAGCTGGTTCTCTGAAAAGACCAATAAAATAATTAAAGTCTTAGCAAGTTTAATAAAAAGTAAAGAGAAGACACATGTAAATAGCATTTGGAATAAAAGTGGAAACATAACTACACATATGGAAGAAATTAAGTAATTACACTAGAAACTGCAAACCATGTTAACTAGTAATTTGGCAGTTTATAACTATTAAAAATAGTGTTATATCTAAATACTTCTCCATAGGCAACCTATTTTGCATTAGTTTGATATGTAATGCACAATAGTATGTTTAAAGAGAAATTTTCTGCTTGTAACTTTTCATTTGATGCTATATTCCTAGAAATTTAACATGTGTTTTAGTCAAAAAGTTGATCAGATATATTTTTCCTTTTTTTTTTTTTTTGAGATGGAGTTTCATTCTTGTTCCCCAGGCTGGAGTACAGTGGCGTGATCTCCACTCACTGCAACCTCCATCTCCCGGGTTCAAGCGATTCTCCTGCCTCAGCCTCCTGAGTAGCTGGGATTACAGGCACCTGCCATCACGCCTGGCTCATTTTTGTATTTTTAGTAGAAACAGGGTTTCACCATGTTGGCCAGGCTGGTCTCAAACTCCTGACCTCAGGTGATCCACACGTCTCGGCCTCCCAAAGTACTGGGATTACAGGCATGAGCCACTGCACCCAGCCTGTATTTTTCTTTCTTTCTTTCTTTTTTTTTTTTTTTTGAGACGGAGTCTTGCTCTGTCACCCAGGCTGGAGTGCAGTGGCACGATCTCGGCTCACTGCAAGTTCTGCCTCCTGGGTTCACGCCATTCTCCTGCTCCAGCCTTCTGAGTAGCTGGGACTACAGGTGCCCACCACCACACCCGGCTAATTTTTTTTTATTTTTAGTAGAGATGGGGTTTCACCGTGTTAGCCAGGATGGTCTCGATTTCCTGACCTTGTGGTCCGCCCGCCTTGGCCTCCCAAAGTGCTGGGATTACAGGCGTGAGCCACCGTGCCCAGCCTTTGTATTTTTCTTTATATCCATTTTTAGTGCTAGTAATATTAGCTTTGTGAGTCTCACTGTCTGCAGTTATTCGTGTTTGGTTTCTTCATTTCCCCCCGCTTTTTTGAAATAGGGTCTTGCCTTGTCACCCAAGCTGGAGCACAGTGATGCCATTGTAGTTCATTGCAGCCTCGAACTCCTGTGCTCAAGCATCCCTCCTGCCTCAGCCTCCCAAGTAGCTGTGACTGTAGGTGCACACCACCATGCCTGGATAATTTTTTTTTATTTTTTGTAGAGATGGGGGTCTCACTGTGTTGCTCAGGCTGTCTTGCAATCCTCCTACCTCACCCTCCCTAAGTGCTGGAATTACAGGTGTGAGCCACCGCACCCAGCCCTCCCATCTTTATAGTCTACCTCTCATCCTTATTTTATTGTATTAGTTTATTGATATTCTGACCTTGGGTTTGTGCAGTAGGTATATATGGTGGTGTGTGTAGTGAAGGAATTGTAATGGAGGAGGAACTTTTTTGGAATACATGCTTTTCCAATGTTTTAATAAAACTTTTGGACAAGTTGAAGTTAATAAACCTTTTGATTATGCATTTGCTATTTGTGGTTAGCATATTTTATATTTTTCAGGTGTTAAGATTAAACAACTAGTATTTATAACTTCTTTTAAGGTACTGGAATAAGATATATTTGGAGGGTAAATTGTAGTAGAATACTCTGTCTCATGTTCTTCTGTGTTTGTATCTTTTGTATTATGTAGCAGTTATGTTCCAACAACGTTGACTTTGAAGCCTGATGGAAATATATTTCCATAGGAACAAAACTTGGAATAACATAGCAAAAAGACTAAGAGAACAATATAACTCAGTGTTATATGCTTAACATGATGGTGCATCAGTAATATACTTGATAAGAGTTGATATTGCAACCTGATTTTTCTTACTTGTCACTCTCCCTCAATTTTTTTGTGTTCATGTATTTTCAAATATTACATGACTTTGCCTCATGTGTAATCAGTATTTTATACAACCTCATAGAATACTAACAAAGGAAACAGCTTGAGGGTGTTTGTCACATTCTGCCAGTTCTCAGAAAAATCTAAGTCCCAGAAAAGTTACATCATTGCTTCTTACGCCTTCTGTGATGAAGAACCAGATTTTTTCTTTTCTTTCTTTTCCCCTGTCTGTTGAGGACTGATATAGAGTGCTATTATGCATGGCTAATATTTTGCTTGTGTCATATGTTCGACTACATTGAAAAATATCTTATTCTGCAGAGTCCACTGGTGATGGACCTGAATGTTGGGGTAGTGTCAGTTGCTCTGAGAGTTTCTGAACGCTTATCTCAGTTTTTGTACTTTCCTTGTTATGGACTGGTAAAAGGCAGTGCGTCAACTATACTTTGAAACAAAACTAGGAGCAATCCATGTGTTTGATCCATTCAGGCAGTGGAGCATCGGTGTTTTAGATGTCAGTGAAGAGCAACAGCTTTCAAATGAACTTGTTTGTTTTTTTTTGTTTGTTTGTTTGTTTGTTTGTTTTTGAGAAGGAGTCTGGCTCTGTCGCCCAGGCTGGAGTGCAGTGGCACAATCTCAGCTCACTGCAACCTCTGCCTCCCAGGTTCAAGCAGTTCTCCTGCCTCAGCCTCCCAAGTAGCTGGGATTACAGGCTCATGCTACCACACCCGGCTAGTTTTTAAAAATATTTTTGGTAGAGACATGGTTTTACCATGTTGGCCAGGCTGGTCTTGAACTCCTGACCTCGAGTGATCTACCCACCTCAGCCTCCCAAAGTGCTGGAATTACAGGCGTGAGCCACCGCGCCTGGCCTCAAATGAACTTAATTGTAAACACTTCAGAAGGAACTACCCCAGGAATTCTGGGGTAGAAAACAGCTTTTCTAGGTGCAAATGAAAAATTTAAGTTATCTTATAGAAAAGTGTTTTAATTAGTTAATATATAGTTCACTTTTATATCTTTTTACATTTGTGCCTTTAGAGCTCCAAATAGCTTCAAGGGATTAAAATCATCCAGGCAGATAGATTAAGATTTGAAGGAGATAATTAATGTAGGTACAGAAAAGTAAGTGGAGAAGGAAGTTTTGAGAGGAAGGCATTAAGAAAAAACTTAAATGTGGATGACTACGTAATTGATTGAGGAACTGAACTTACCTTAATAGATCTTTAACTGTTTGGTTCCTTAAATTAAAATGCAAGAAATAATTTATGTTTTAATAAAAAATGTGTGTGTGTGTGTGTGTGTGTGTGTGTGTGTGTGTGTGTGTGTGTGTGTTTTGTTTGTTTGTTTGTTTTGGTGGCTTTTAAAACACAGAAATGCTGAGTTTTCAATTCTGGAGAGTAGCTTTTGATGTTTGCTTGGCAAATATTTATTGAGCTTCTGAAATCATACTAAATTTATATTTGATCCTGGAGAAAGTCCTAAAATCATACCAAAATCAGGTAAATTACTAAGCAAGCTGCTTTGTATGCCTTCCACTCACAAATAAGTTGGAGTATGCCAAATAGGATCCACTAACTCAAAGATCCAGATTCTTAATGTGGGAATCAAGTGGTATGGGTGTTTACATCCTACCAAACTGTTAAGGATTAAGCCTGAATCTTTTTTGGGTCACCAGCTCTAATTCATTGATAACAAGGTAAACTATGAAGAGTATTAAGTTTCCTTAAAAAGCAGTAAGTTAAAATTGAAAGTGGGAATAAAAGGGAAAGAATAGGGTTCTTGGAGACCTCAGGGTATATACTAGTAAAAGTTGTGAAATATAAGGTGAAATCTCACTTTCTTAATTGCCGTCAGCGTTACTCTGGGTATGTTCACAAATTTGAGAGGTTTTTTTTTTTTTTAACGCTTATATATGAAGAGATGGAGGTTAACTTTACTTTAAAGTCATAGCAAAATTTCAGGCCTGTAGCTATTTCTTCCACCCTTCCTTGTTTCCACCTTTTTTTTTTTTTGGTTTGGCATTATTTCTGTTGTTCCCCACTCTTGTATTCTGATAGGTGCCAATTTCCCTACCAGTTGAGTTTCCATCCCTGGAATCTCTTCCTATCCAGTTTAAAATATTATGGCATTTAATGTGCCCCTATGTTGGTGTTGTGTGTGCACGGGTCTTGGGGGAGGGAAGAAAAGAAAAAATAATGTGCCGCATCTTCCATTTATCATTAACTATTTGTTTTTAGTAGTAATAATTGACTTTTGAATACTTATATGTAGGACACAGTGTTAATCACTTTATAGGTGAATAAATAAAGTACTGTAGTTTCCATTTTACAGATGAGACGACTGAGGTAGAAAGGTCATATGACTTTACCAAAGTCACTTAGATAGTAATGGCTGAGCTAGGATGCAGTGCCAGCATTCTGTCTCCAGAGCCCTCATTTGGTAGCCCTGGCATTAGTAGTAGGAATGAAAATGGTATCAAAATGCTAAGAAAGAAAAGATCACACAACAGTGTGATTGCTAGTATTATACTGAGAGATTACTATGTTCCAGGCACAGTAATAATTGCTTTAAGAACAAATGTGTAACTTCATTAATCTCCTAGCACATAGTAGGTTTTCATTAAATATTTGTTAATTATAATGTGTAAAACCCACATTTAGATGCAAGAACTTACACTCCTTGCCTCTTACATAGCACCTTAGAGGCTTAATCTTCCCATAAACTCTGTTGGACACTGCAGGGAATATCAAGATTGGTTTGTTGTTGTTTTGCCTTTAAACCGTAGATGTTTTAGCACTAAAAGTGGTCTGTGCTAAGCTCCAAAAAATTTTTTATTAGAACTATTTTATTTAACATTTGTCTTTTATTAAATAAAAAAATTTTTTAAGCAGTTAAAACATTCTAATAAAGGGAGAATGTAACAGATAACCACATACCCACCACCAAGAATCAGATAATTACTTACGCAGTTTTTTTAATTAATTTAATGCTAACGTCTATGTTTGTTTCATGCTTAAAGCCATATCCAGAAGACCCAGCAGTTTATAAACCACTCTCCCAGGAAGAGCTGCAAAGGATAAAGAATGAGAAAAAACAGAAACAAAATGAGAGAAAACAGAAAATATCAGAAAATCGCAAACATTTGGCTAGTGTACGTGTCGTACAAAAAAACCTCGTCTTTGTTGTAGGTTTATCTCAGCGCCTAGCAGACCCAGAGGTAAGTCCTCTTGTTTTCTTTGTCATCTTGATATTTTTTGTTTCCTTGTCTTACTTGGAAATAATATTTGACCCTGCTCAATTGTGTGATTCCTCTGAACACATTATATCTTGAAGGAGAAAATAAGAAATTACTTTTGAATAATTGCTAAGAAACCAATGACCAGTCGTGATCTTAGGCAAGTGTCTTAATCTTTCTTGGCTTCAATTTCTTCAGTTCTAAAACTAAGGAGTTGAACTAGATTTCTAACGTGCTGACAATCTGTGAAAATTGGATAATGATTCTATTTTGCTGTTAAGGCTAACATGTGATATGAATACTCTGTTTCTTTTCTCTTTTCTGTGTCTGTATAAGAACCAACAGTGGAGGTGCAGTTGTTTGAACTCACTAGAGATTTTAGTAACCTAGATTTTAAAAATTCTGCCCAAGTAGTAATTCTTGATTTTTCAGAACTATTACTATACTGTCTCATCATTCTTATTCATTTTAAGCCAGTTTGGAGGAAGAGGGAGAATTTGGTAATGTGAAATAAAGGACCCAATTTCTTTGTCATTCATTCGGGGGAGGAGAGAGCTTAACCTTGTTTCTTAGTACCTCTTTTTTCTCTTCTTCCACCAAAAGCCTTGTTAGAGTAATGTCGAACTCATACTTTCCTTGAGGCCCTTGGATATGCATCTGGTAATTTTTAGTTTCTGATATACCATGAGATACTGACTAGATTGTTGAGAAGGCAAATATAAGCTGATCGACAGGCAGAGTGTTTACTTGGTAGGAGAGAGCTGGTTTTGGGGGATCTTCCAAAAGATCCTTGAGAAGAATTTAAAGTAATACTTGGCATGGTACCAATCAGAGGAAAGATTGTAGTGAACATGCTTAAGGAGATAGGAACCTTGGGAATTGGCTGAGCGTGTTAAAGGCCCCAGAAGGAGGATCTTTAAGGAGTCTAATGTCTGTTTTTGTAAAAATTAATTTAAAAAATAGTTAATCTTTATTGATGATGTGTTTATATGTGTTGCAACTATACAGGGCTTCAAAATCAATACGAAATGATTTTGACCCCGCGAAAGTCAGGGACATTAGTAAGAAGGATCTGTCATGGATGATAAACATGGAGGCAACTCAAGAGTTACTATGACCTAGGTCCAGGGATGCTGGCAGTCGTTAGTTACATGATACTCAGGACATCAAGTTCTTTCCAAATCCAAAGGAGTGGTCTAGAGTTGATATAGAAAAAGACTTCTTTAGTAAGAAATGTTCAGCAAAGAGCTCATTTTAGGTGTATGACTCACCTTCTGTAGCCAGTTCTCCCTCTTTTTTTTTTAAGCTAGTGGTTATTCCCCAGACAGAGAGAATCCTGCCTCACCTTTGATCGTTTCCTTGAACAACATCTCAACTTTGCACTAATCCTTTTATCTCCATCTTTTAACTCTATTAAATAGAGTTAAAAAGGTGTGAGCTACCTTTTTTCTAACCACAGGGCACTTCTATATACTCCTCTAACCAACGGGCACTTATGCCAGTATTTACACCTACTAATCTTACTGATTAGAATCTACTTTTTTTTTTTTTTTTTTTTTTGGAGACATGGTCTCACTTTGTCACCCAGACTGGAGTGTAGTGGTATGATCATGGTTCACTGCAGCCTCAGCCTCCTGGGCTCAAGTGATTCTTGTGCCTCAGCCCCCCAGGTAACTGGGTCTACAGGTGCATATCACCACACCTGGCTAGTTTTTGTATTTTTTGCAGAGATGGGGTTTTGCCACATTGCCCAGGCTGGTCTTGAACTCCTGAGCTCAAGCAATCTGCCTGCCTTGGCCTCCCAAAGTGCTGGGATTGCAGGTATGAGCCACTGCGCCCAACCTAGAATCTACTTTCACGTTTCTGACGTGCAGTTCCAGTAAATGAATGGAACTTTTATCTTGATTTGAGAGCTCTTGGATATGGATGTACCTGTTTTTATTAATACATCTTGGATCTGATCAACTGTAGTACTGGAGGCATATGAAATAGCATCCAAAATTTGGATGAAATTAAGGCATAGACTGAATATGATATTTGGATTCTAAGTTTCCTACCTCTTTGGGTATGTGATTTATAAGAGGGTTTTTGTTGTTGTTTGTTTTTTGCCCAGGCTGGAGTGCAGTGCACAATCTCAGCTCACTGCAGCCTCCACCCCCTGGGTTCAAGTGATTCTCCTGTCTCCACCACCTGAGGAACTGGGATTACAGGTGTGCACCACCATGCCCAGCTAATTTTTTTTTTTTTTTGGATTTTTAGTGGAGATGGGGTTTCACCATGTTGACTAGGCTGGTCTCAAACTCCTGACCTCAAGTGATCCACCTGCCTCGGCCCCCCAAAGTGCTGGGAGTACAGGTGTGAGCCATCGTGTTTTTTATTTACTTACAGAGATTTCTTATTTCCGTTTCAAGTAACTCTAGTAAGATTAATCTTAACTATTATATTGAAGGAAATGAATCTAAGTAGTGACTACTGAAAGAGAGTACTTTATCATGAGTCTAAGTATACTTAAAAATATACTCTACTAGTTTTATATGTTTGAAATAATTCTTTCTTGGTGAGAGGACATTGGATTTTCTTAAATAAAATAAATGGGTGCTTTCCTTTATTTCTCTTGAAAGTCCAGAAAGACCAGAGACAAGTGTTTTGTTTTTTATTAAATAGTACCACTTCTAAATAATATCTTTTAAAATTCTCTTAATTTGTCTTTATAACCTTTTTAGTATTTGGAAAACTTCTAGTGAAGTTGGCTTCACTCGAAAACTCAAAAGAAGGTTCAAATTGTTAGCGTCACTTTCAAGTCAAAGAAGGATCCTTGTAATTTACTTATCTTTGGATGATGAACAATTTGATATTTGACCTAATTCTGATTAACAGAATAGGAGAGTTTAGGAACAATTAAAGCTTATTTTGAAAATAATTTTTGCATACCAAAAAGCTTCATACCAAGATTGATTGTCAAATGTATTCATTTGTTGGTTGATAGAAAAAAAAAGATCTTAGAAGACAAGGTAATTAGAGCCAACGATAGAGGTAATGATGATCACCTTCTAAGTCCTAAAATTTTAGATTTGTGAGGACCTAATTCATTTATTCTGCAAATTAATTCTTGAATACCTACTATTTGCTAGATATTTTGATGCCAGGGGGCGGGTAGGGGGGAAGTAGTTAGCAAGCCAGACACAAGCTCACAGACTGGTAGGGAAGACAGAATTTTAAGTGCTTAAATGTGTGCTGAGTATTTATAAAAGGAAATTACACAGCTTTTTGGGAACATATATTAGAACACTTAGCTAGTGTGGAGATTGACAAAAAGCTTCTCTGAGGAAAGGATAATTAGGGTCAGCTTGAAGAATTAATAGGTGTTATCTAGGTAGCACATAAAGAAGAGTGCCCTGGGTATATGTGATAACCCAGGAAAGTAGCTTGTTTGATGAGCTATGACTTTAAAGACACAACATTTCATTTTACAAATAAGAAACTGAGGCAAAAGGAAGTTGAGTGACTTGTCCGTGGTCTTACAGTTCCTATTCCAGTGTATTCTGTGTTGATTATTGGCATGTTGTTCATCCATCCATTCATTTATTCACTCATTCATCCATCTGATTACCAAGTTTTTGTTTTTTCTCTGTAGTATCTATGAATACTTGACTGTTTTCCCAAGGAATATATAGCAAGATATTTTGGTACTAGACATGCCCTTGAACATTTATAATTCTGTCACATGGCCTCTTATTTTCTATGTTAGTAGGAAAATTGGCCCACTGTGAAGGACATCGTGATATTGAGTATATAGATAATGTGCTGATGTACAGGGTGCTCTGTCTACTCTCCATAACCTTTGTTAGTTCACTAGAATACTATTTTGCTAGTTGTTTAGGCAGAATCTAGAGTGTTCAAGTTAATATGGAAAGTTTAAATTCATTGTTTTTCCCTTGCCTGGGCAGCCTATTTCTTATCAACCGCTTGCCATTTGCTAATACTTTGAGGCCCACTATTGTTACAAATCCGTGTAATTCTTTTTGTTTAATGCTAAGATAGTTCAGTTTTTCAGTAAGCATTTATTGAGTACCTGCAATATGCCAGGCATTATTTAAGACACTGAGCATATACTGATAAACAAGTAGTAGTAGATAAATAAGTAGTACCTTCCTTTTTACGAAAGTAACAATATGAGAAGTGTTGTGTGCTGTAAAGGCACAAGGGATAGCATTCCACCTTGGGAGGGAGGTACGTACCCCTCTGCTGTCTTTGGGGTAAAGTGCTTCTGGCACAGCAACTATACAAATGCTTCTGGATGAGAAAGACCTCAATCTGCAAGTGATTTGTTTGGCTGGAAGATTAGATTGCAGTGGTGAGAAAGAAGGTGCCAAGGTAAGTGGTAATGGATCATGAAGGGCTTTCTAACCACGCTAAGGAGTTTGCACTTTATCCTAAAGGCAGTGGAAAACTTTTGAATGTTCTTAAGAACAGAGTGACACGGTTAGATTTGTGCTTTGACAGTACCATTCTGGCTGCAGTGTGAACATGTCATCATAATTACATACCAATCTCATGTTGTTATAAAGGTGTTACACCCAAACGTTGGCCAGAAAACATTTCCATAAACCAGTGGCCTTCAACCTTATCCGACTCAGTGTCCACTTTTTAAAAACGAATGTAACACCCCTTGACTTTCATGAAATGACTTCTTGATAATATAATTTGTCTACACACATAATTTGAAAAAGTATATATAAACAAGGAATAAAAGGAAAGTAATTATAAAAAGACTATTTGTACATATAAATGCTTGTACATTCCTACTCTAGAACCTTGCTATTCAAGGTGTGGCCTCTGGGCCCATAACATTAATATCACTGGAGAGCTTATTAGGCAAACTCTTCAGCCCTGCCTCAGATCTGCTGGATCTGAATCTGCATTTTAACTAGATCATTGAAGAATTTCTTTACATATTGAGGCTCTAAAGTACTATTTTATCCTATGTAATAAAGAAGTAAGATACTTGCACCTATTTGTAAAATCATGGACTGTGACAACTACAAATGCAGATTGTTACTGGTGTATGAATTGGCAACTCAGGTACCATGAAACATCAATAATGTGATTTTTCTCAGATAACTCTTAGTAAAATTTTAAACAAAGCTGGGAAAATACTTTGTAATTACGTATAATATGAAATTTGTTTCTGGCTCAATAAACAGCTTCAGGCATGTCTTGCAGGGCATTCAGAAATTGTGCGGGACAATTCTTTGTTGTACGGGGCTAGCCTGAGCCTTGAAAGACATCTCTGGTCCCCATCCACTGAACACCAGTAGACTCTCCCAGTCACTTTAACAGTCTCTCCCAATAAAAGTTTCCACAAATTTCCAGACTGCCCCTTGAGTGCTTCCCTCATTGAGAACTACTGCCTTAAACCTATGATGCTGATGCAGGACAACCTGTGACCGGCCTGACTGAACCCTTTGGAGCAGGTATCTTAGCTATGACGCTGGTTGCTGAGTTGGTATGCATCCAGCTGGAATATTGAATGCAGTTCCAAACTCCACTAGCCAGAAAGCTTTTTCAAACTCTGCTCTTCTCTCTTTATCAACCCTGAGACTTTGCTACGGATGACTTAAGGGTCATTGTGTTAGCCACTGTTACTATCATATCCCTCAGGGGTTTTGGGTGGAAAAGAGATTGAAACTCAGTGTAATTACCTCACCTTCTAATCCATTAGAATTGGCTACAGCAAACATAACAGTTACCTTATACTTACAAGCACCTAAAATAAAATATAAGATTAATTACTTTCTATTAATTAGGTAGAAGACTAAGAATTAATGATACACCCGCCGTAGATTTATTCATGAAGCTTTGATTCTATCAAATGCAGAACATAATAGCTAAATTATAAGTCTGTAAGAATATTATCAAATATGAATGGGAAGAAATACTTTACACACACTTGAATAGTTACATGCAGAAAGCTTTCATTTGCAGAGAGCTTGCTATTTGGAGAGATTGTAGGAACAGTAGGTCTAAAGATACATTCTAGGAAAACAGAATTTTGAGGTAGTTGCAAATTATGTGAGATGTCTTTTTATCAAGTTACATACCGGTCAAATTAGCCAAGGTTAAGTTTGTAAGAGAAGCTGAAAGAATGCATATAGTGTTCACAAAGTAAAGGAGATGAGGTACGTAGGTACCACCAAGAAGTAACCAGGTAATAAAGAAAGAAACGTGTAAATTTGTTTCCGAAATGTTACGTACCAGGAAAAGTAGGGGAAAAAGCCTCATGAGACAGATGAGAAATGGTAAAACTGATTGACATAGGAAACTGTATGCACAATGATAAATCATAAAGCATAGAGGGTTGAGTGGGCACTCTGTTACTTGAAATTTGTGATTTATAAACAGTGTTATATGCAATAGATTTATGAGTAAAGACTGTCTTTATGTCTGTTCTTTCAATTCTGTCTTTACCTTTAATACATAATTTTGGTCATTGTTTTTGAAGAATTGCTTTCGTGTAAGGATCATCTCTTAATGGCAATGTAGTTAAGATCTTTGATCTGTTTTGTGTTTAAGAATACTGTACAGGTAAGATCCCATAGACTATTGGAGCAGTTATTAGAACATAGTAGATAATACCAAATTTAGTGAGTCTCAGTTTCTATTCAGTGGGTCAAGAAAAAAAATAGCTTTTAAACTCTTTTGATTTCCTATAGGTTAGCTACACAAACTGCAATTAGGAGGTAGTGACATTTATTAGAAAACTTTAAAAATTATCTTTTTCCTTTTGCTGAAGAGGGATGATGAATGTCTCCATTATAAGGATAAAGTTGTTTAAAATGGGGACAGTTTATACCTTATTTCTTCTTCTTTTATAGGTTTTAAAACGACCAGAATATTTTGGGAAGTTTGGTAAAATACATAAAGTTGTCATCAATAATAGCACATCATATGCAGGCTCACAGGTAACTAATTTTAGGGATTTTTGCTTTTCCTCCCTATGGTCTGGGCTTGACCTGGGCTGTTCCAAAGGAAACTTTGCTCTCTCTGATTAGAAAGCTTGAGGGACAAGGACTTAAGCAATGTAGTGACCTCTGTTGGTGGGGTGGGGGATTTTTTGCTGCTTATTTGACCCTTCTAGGACTTAACAATTAAGAGGGAAATAGTAAAACAAACATTTAGTGATGGAGTGAAAGGGAGGGGGAGGTGAGTCTGTTATCAGGCAATGTGATAAATAGATGAGGATTCGATAGTGATTTCTAATCTGTAATATTTTCAGATATTGAAAACTTAATAGTGTCTTTGTTATGCTGCTGTTATCAGATAGAATAGTTTTCCAGATTGCATTTATTTTTGAGAATGTAATTTGACATAGTCTTTAAGTCTTATTTTTTAATCTAAATTTTAATTTTTTTATAACCTTGACGAGCCTGTCAAATGACTGTCTAAAAAAATAAATCCCAAGCCAAAGTAATATTTTATTCACATATATTACAGTATTCTTAAAATCAGATAAAATTCATTGAGTATTATTACTTTCAAATGAGCTAGTTTAGTGTTTAATCAAAACTGCCACTACTACTACTAATTATTGTCATTAGTAATAGTAGTAGTCAGGGTCTTTAGAATTCCCTAGGTTGCAGTAGAATTTTTTTAGTATTGTTTAATTTTTAACTAATAACAGTGGAATGGGATGTTTTCACTTTAGGGTCCAAGTGCCAGTGCTTATGTAACCTATATCCGGTCAGAAGACGCTCTCAGAGCCATACAGTGTGTCAACAATGTGGTAGTAGATGGCAGAACACTTAAGGTAATATAGTCCTCTTGATTCTTTTTTTTTTTTTTAAGGAAGACGAGATAAAATATAGTAAGTAGAGGAGAACTGAGCATTTATATATTAAATTTGACAGTTAATTTGAAGAGTCTGTCTTAGGGTCCATACCATCTATTATAGCTAATTTGTTTACTGCTGGTTTCTGTAGGGTCCTCTTTTACCAGATAGGAATAAACACATTCATTATCGGGGATAATCTTTTAAAATATCGCATTTTTACATATATCTTATTTTGTGAAAATAGTACCATTATTTTCTTCAGAAATAGGTAGTCCTTAAATATATGGACATTGATTCCAGTTTCAGTGAAGAGTCCCACTAAGCAAAGCTTTACTGTTAGTGGAAGGAGGATGGCATAATTAGAAAAAGGAATTTGCCTTCTTATGTGTCTAACCACTCATAACATGGAACAGATTTTTTTGTCTATCTCCTCTCCTTATATCTAGGGAAGATTTGGGTGTCCAAGTTTTGGAAACCATAGACAGATGTTTCCTTTAGTTCTTCCAAATGAGCCTCATCTATAATAAATCCTGCTAATAAGAGTTTAGTTCTCTAGTATTTGCAGCCATACTTTTTGTTTTGTCATGTTTGTGCCTCATTTTAGGTGACTTGAAAACACTAAACATGGAGATTCTCATTGTGTTGTCAGTTCACATTGAGTCTTCTTTTCCTTTACCCCTCTTCCTCCTGCAGGCATCTCTAGGTACAACAAAATACTGCAGTTACTTCTTAAAGAATATGCAGTGTCCAAAACCTGACTGCATGTATCTTCATGAATTGGGGGATGAGGCGGCCAGCTTCACAAAAGAGGAAATGCAGGTAGTAAAGTCATGTGAATTATCAACTTTGCAGAAAAGGGAGTACTTTTTTTTTTATTAGTTAACATTGCAAAAGCAAAAACTAAGGATTTGATTTTGTAAAAACTGATATTACTTTAAAGTAGCATTTGCCAAATGAAGTGTTTAATGGAAGGTCAGTTCTGCAGGATATTGTTACAATAAAAATGTGTCTGTGGTCAACTAAGTTTGAAATGCTAGATTAATGAAGATGAACAGGTTTCTTTGCTTTAAGACTTTTCAGAGTCCTTAATATGCTAATACAGATCCACGAAGGGAATTTACAACCAGAACTTAGTTGACCAGGAAAACACTTTGGGAAATGCTATTTTAAGGGGAATGTCAACAAAATGAAAGCTAAGTGGGATATTGTAATTATTTGTTAAACCAATCTATACTCTTTACAGAGCTTGCTAGAAAATAATACTCTGTCAAATGATGCTGATAAACTAATATTATTTTTACAAAATTATTCTCCCCATGCAAGTGTCCACTGAGTCAGTATCCTGTAAAGGGTGAATTGAAGGCTTAATATCCTATGTTCTTTTTTACATTTCCTCTTCTCCTGTCTCCTTTCAATTTGTAGTATAAACATGCCTTAACAAGTAAAAATGTTGACCATACGACATATTAAATGAGGATTATACCAAAGCACAATGCTGCACTTCCCTATTGTAGATGAGGACTTCAGATTGTTGCTGTGGACTTTTCAGGAATACTTCTCATTTAGAAGGTGGGGGGCATTCATTGCTACCTTTCATTCTCCAGGTCAAACTAGAGAAAGTCTGGTAGGGGCTCCTTTAAGAAAAGATTGTTAAATGGAGTATTACCTTTTTTGACTTGGAGCTAGTACAGATTAAATCCCATTATAATAAATACATCAGAGTTTTCTTGATAGTATGGTCTTTATGATTCAAAAACAATGTTAAAATAAGGTCTATCTGATATTTAATAAGGACAGATGACTTAACTGATTTCTTAATGCTTTTTTTGTTTGTTTTTTGGATGAAACCTTCTTGAATGAAATCTAAGGTAGAACCATTTCAAAATTTCAAACTAAATTTTAATTAGTAGAGGGTATACTTTATTCATATTTCCTATCAATTTCTGTCTATCAGAATTTACAAGTCCCACCCAGTTGATCTCATTTAAAGTAATATTAAACAATAAAATAAAATGTATGGGCTGTCCTTTGGAACTTGTTTGTAATGGGATTTAACCTGTCTTTATGAACTGCCCCTGTAGAGTCATTTTAATATCAAGTTGAGCTCTTTGTGGCTTTCCACAGATATTAGTGAAAGCCGTATCTCCTGAAGTATTGATTCCAGAAATAATTTTCAAGACTTTTCATGTTTTAAAAATGTAAATTTCACATCTAATGTATTTTTAAAAATAATTTAAAACTAATTTCATAATGTTGTCCTGAATTTATCTTGCTCTTCTTTAGCTGAGTTTAAAATTACTTTAAAAGGGGATTTTTTGTTGTTGTTGTTAAAACACTTTCTTGATGTAGGAAAGAAATTTGAATAAATTTTATGGCAAAAATCAGAAAATCTTTCCTTGTTACTGCGTAACTCAAAATTTAGTGCCATAGGAAATATTTATAGGTCCAATAGAAACAAGCAAGTGGCCTCTCAGAACAGGGAACGATGCATTGTGCAGTATATATGACACAATTATGCTCAGTTAAGTGCAATTGCCCTCACTTGTTATTGTTTTGATTTGTTCCGTTTTGGTTTTGTTGTATAACATCTATTTAGACCATAATTTAAAAAAATTAACATCCCTGAAGGTAAGTAAAACTATTCTTCCAGTCTAGATATACATGCAAATAGTAAAATGTTACTCAAAGTAAGTTCATTATCATTTATTTTTGTGTCTAATTAGCTTCCACAGGCAATCTTTGCCTAATTTTTCCCATAATATTTGTGACATTGCCTTTTGATGTACACCTACCCAGCTAGAGTAAGCATAGCATTCTTTTGTGTATAGAGCAGAGGTTGGCAAACTTTTTCTGTAAAGGCCAGTTAGTAAATATTTTAGGGTTTCTGAGCTATGTATGTAGTCTTCTGTCACAACTACTTTACTCTGCCTCTGTTGCACTACTACATCCTGCCTTTGTAGCAGAATGGCAGCCAAATACAATATGTAAATGAATGGGCATGACCATGTTCCAGTAAAACTTTATTTATAAAAACAGGCAACTGGCTGTAAATTGCTGACCCTGGGTCTAGAGTTTAAAATACATTAATTTTTATTTTACTTTTGATAACCATAGAAGAAAAGAGAAAGCAAAAACTAATTCATGGAAGTTTTACTTAGTGTCAAGATAATGAAGAATATAGTAAAACTGTTCATCTATGTATTACTTCAAGTGCTAATCTCCAAATTAAAAAGGAGACTGATGAATTTTGGCTGATTTTCAGAAAACTCAGTGTTACAAGACTTAATTCTTACATGAAAGACTTGGAAGTAGGTTTAAAGTGGACCTTACACTTTTTGAGCTAGCAAAAATGTTCTTCCCTTAATATGCTTTTCTGTACAATAAATGGGTTGATGAAATGCCTTAATTTAATTTATCAGATATATATCATATAATTTTGTTGGAATGACTTTCATTGATCTAGAAGTTTTGTGATATCCTCACAGGTTTCTCTTACTTGTTTTATTTAAAAATTTATTTAAAATTTATTTAATATTTTATTTTTTAAAAATATTATTTATTTTATTTAAAATATATTTAATAATTCAGAAGATTATTCAGTATTTTATACCAGCCATTTTGTGAATCCCACTGCAGTTTTAATTTCTTCTTTCGTTAGGCGGGTAAACACCAAGAATATGAACAGAAGCTACTTCAAGAATTATATAAATTAAATCCCAATTTTCTTCAGCTATCTACGGGTTCAGTTGATAAAAATAAGAACAAAGTGACACCACTGCAGAGGTACGATACGTAAGTATTGATATTGATAGTCAGACATCTTACCTTCTTATCAGTTGATCTTCTCTTTTCATTTTAGATCTTTTTCAGGCAAAATCCTTGTTGACAAGGTCTGTCATTTATGCAGAATTGTTTAGCTGTATGGGAAATGTTGAGTCACAATTTCTGGGTTTGAATGCTTGCTGCCTACTTTTCCCTGGTAACACTTCAGACTAGCTTTTTGATGGGTTCACCTTTTGTGGTGATTTGCAGACTACTCTGAGCCCAGGGAATACTTTCCTTATTAAAGAGAAAATTAAGGGATTTTAGGTTTTAAAAGGCTCTGATTACCTAATTGAGGTCCCCCTTGATATAATTAGGGGGAAAATACTATAAAAGGGAAAGTGGGTGTTATCTGAAGGAAGCCTTGTGTGTTGGGGACACAGATATTCAAGGATATCTAGTTCCAGGAATCACTAAAGTCATTTAAATCCTGTAAATGAACAGGGAGTATCCCATATTCAGAATCTTACTTATCTTAGGAGACCAGTCATCTCCTATCTTCCATCTCATTATGGTTTTGGGTAAACTATATTGTGTCAATGCTTAAATAAATTTATGGTCTTCAGTAGAGAGTCTCATTCTGATATGTTGATCTTCTTATCTTAGATTATATTTTGTTATGGCCTGTCAGAAAATCATATTAATAAATATAATTTGGGAATTTTATTCTATCCTGAACTTTCTTTAAATTTGATGTGTTAGGTTTTTTGTTCTTTTTTATTTGATAAGTTTAACTTTTATCAAATGAATTTTAAAAGTAAATGTTGTAATTAATTTATGTTGATGATCTTTTTTTAAAATTCCAAAGTTAAATTTGTTTGAATGTTGTCCTAATGTCTAGGTGTTAAATATTATAGCCCAGTGTCTGTTTGGTGCTAAAATGATGTAAGAACTATTTTCAAACATAGCTAATAATAACTACATGGATTATTGTTTGAGTCCATTTCTTCAAAAACACATTCTTTAAATTTTGAAGTCTGTGTTTATTCATTTTAAGAGTAAAGATTATTTAAATTATTAAAAACTAAATTAGACACATATATATGTGTATGTAAATATAAATAAATATAAAATAGGCCACAAAGCGAAACATAAAGTTACTGTATAGTAAACTATGTAAAATTTGTTTATATCAAAGCTAAGAATAAAAGCTAAGTCAAAACAGATCTTTCTGGTTTGACAAGCTTTGATCTTTTCCTTTAATCTTTTGTACCCACCCTTTTCTAGCCCTGTATGGTTATTTTATGGCAAACCATATGCTATTACTTATCTTATTCGTTGCCACCTCTGTAGTGCTTGGTATAAGAATGAAGTTATTGTAGTAAACAGTGGTTTATTTTAGATGCTTTTAACATTTATGCACATCATTGTTTGCATTAAAAATGTTGTCATTCTAATTTAAGTCAAATTCTGGGTTTATAGCCCTTGGTGATTTCAGAGCAAAAATTTAAAATTTAGATGATCTCTTTGAGATAACATTTGTTGTCTTCTGAATATAAAACTATATGTTTTTATTGAAGGAAATGTGAAAAATTTATGAAAGCATACAGAATAAAATAAACATTGCATATGATCTTAATACCCAGAGCTTTTCATTGAAAGTGATTTGTGTACAGCATGCCCTCCAATAACATCATTTCATTCAGTATTGTTTTGTTACAATGTTGATGAGAAAAAAATCGATTCCCAGTTGGGGCCACTGCCTCTGTGGACTTTGCCTGTTCTCCCCATGTCTGCGTGGATTTCCTCTGGGCACTCTGGTTTCCTCCCACATCCCAAAGCTGTGCACGTTAAGTGAATTGACATGTCCAAATTGTCCCATTGTGAGTGAGTGTGAGTGTTTATGTGTGTGAGGGGACCCTGCCAAGGTTGGTTCCTGCCTTGCCCTCTGATTTGCTAGGATGAGCTCTGGCCACCTGCAACCCTGAACCCCAGTAAGTAGGTTGGAAGATGAATGCATGAATAAATACAAATTATTGTAAAATGTAAATTTGTAAAGTGTTAGTGTATTTTCTTATACACTAATTCCTTGCATTGTGTATTTTCTTAGTCTTTTTTCTTCTTGCGAATGCCTATAAACCATTATACACAGAGTACCTTGGTTTGTTACATTTGAAAACCTAATACATATTATTATGAATAATTTCCCCATGTCACTAAAACATAATTTTTTATGGCTATGTAGTATTTCACTATATGTTCATATTTTAAATTTATTAAGCCAACCTTCTGCTATTGTATGTTATGTTGACTTTGTTGATATTATTGATAACACTGTGATATGAACATCTTTACATATAAATGTTATATGGTTGTAACATATAAATGGTTATAGCTTTGATTGTTCCTACAAGTAGAACTGCTGAGTCAGAATATGAGAGTACCTATTTCCTTGAATTGGGTATTTTTTTTTGCCTTCTGCATACTTGCCAATTTGATAAACAAAAAAAGCTGTCTCATTTTAACTTGTATTTGATTAACAGAGTGAACTTTTTATGCACTGTGAGTTTATGTTTCCCATGTTTTATTTGTGTGTTTAAAAGTTTTATATGAGTTACAGAGATCTGAACTTCCCCAATCAGTTGATCAATTATTTGTGTTTCAAAATACATTGAATTTGTAAATCAGTATTGGAAGAATTTATATTCTGTGACACTGAGGCCGGGCCTGGTGGCACATGCCTGTAATCCCAGAACTTCATGAGGCTGAGACAGGCGGATCACTTCAGGCCAGGAGTTCGAGAGCAGCCTGGGCAACAAAGCAAGACCCCTGCCTCTACAAAAAACAAAAACAAACATTGACTCCTCCCAACCATTAGCATAGCATATCTCTCTTGTGCCTTTCGGGAAAGATTTTCTTTTTCCTGTTTTATTGTATTGGATCTCCTACCACCTCTTTCTATTTGAAAAATGCTTAGGCTAAACAGTGCAAAAACAGTGTTAGACTGGTAGCACTAGCAGGTGTTTTTACCTCATACTTACTTTCATGGGGATGTCTCTAGTGTTTTATTTACTCTTTAAGGATGATTTTGATCATTTACTTGAGATAAGTATTTTTAATCACAATATGAAATACCTTGTTATTCCTCATTTATTGAGACTTTTTTCCTTTAGATTGGAAATGAATATTGGAATTTACCAAAAGTATCTTTGGCATTTATAACAAGTAGTTAGCTTTTACTGTGTTTAGTCTGTTCTTGCATTGCTATAAAGAAATACTTGAGACTGGATAATTTATAAAGAAGAGAGATTCATTTGGCTCACAGTTCTGCAGGCTGTACAAGCATGGTGCTGACATCACTTGGCTTCTGGGCAAAGCGGGAGGCAGGCACATCATATACAGCGATAGCAAGAGGGAGGGGGTTGGAGGGGGAAGGTACCACACACTTTTAAATGACCAGATCTCCTGTGAACTCAGAGCAAGAGCTTACTCATCACCAAGGGGATGGCCCAAGCCATTCATGAGACGTCCACCCCCATGATTCAAATGCCTCCCACCAGGCCCCACCTTCAACACTGGGGATTATAATTCAACAGGAGATTTGGTGGGGACATACATTCAAACTATATTATTTACTTATTTTTGTAATCAGTTATTAATAGATTTGCTAACATTTTATTGACTTTGCCTTTATTATAAAGTATAGTCAGGTAGTCCATAGAGCACATTCATAACTGTTTTGGTAGCAGGAGAATGTCTAGGAGCCACAAGTTGTAAAGGGGGAAACAGGAGGAAAAGAGGAAATATAAAACAAGTAAACTCATTTACTAATTTTGCCCAAAGCCAGTGCTACAGAACCTCAGCTGGGACCAGAATAAAAAAAAATTTTTGAGAGTCTTGCTGTCACCTGGGCTGGAGCACAGTGGTGTAATCGTAGCTCACTGCAGCCTTGACCTCCCAGGCTCAAACGATCATCCCACCTCAGCCTTCTGAATAGCTGAAACTACAGGTGCACATCAACACACCCAGTTAATTTTTCTTTTTTTTTGTAGAGATGGCGTTTCACCATGTTGCCCAGGCTGGTCTCAAACTCCTGGGCTCAAGCGATTCGCCTGCCTTGGCCTCCCAAAGAGCTGGGATTATAGGTATGAGCCACTGTGCCTGGCCAGAGCAAATTTTGACATAGGTGTACATGCTTTGCATAAGTACATGATATAGAAACTTTTTTTGGGGGGGAGGGTGGGGGGTGGGGATGTTTTCTGTTTTAATGCGGTTACCTAAATTTATTAAGTGACAATTAATGGCCCAAGTTACAGAGAGTAAGCCTTTGGCTGACTGTCAGTCATAGCGAAAGGTCTGCTTTGGTTTCCACTTCCACATTGCCATCACCCAGGGTAGGCATACAGAGGCAGTAGGTAGTAGGGATGAATTTGTAGATAAGATTTCTCACAGGAAAGACTTGCCAAATTAGAGTGATGAGCAGTGTAACTCTTTCCAAGGTCATACCCAAGAGATAGGTTTCTTCATCTTCAAGGTAAGTTAAGACTTAAACTTTCTAGGAAAAAAAGAAACTCAAAGAAGGGTTTCATTTTCACATTTCTTGGCATTCCTAGATAGTGGGTAGCAGTTTTACAGAAAGAATTGCAAGAAAGCAAAGCCTGGAACCTTATAGATTGAGGCTCTAAGCTTAAAATGTGATTTTCTCTTATTTTCAATTAAGCCAGAGTACAAATCTTAAGATTACCATAGCTATTAATCCTCACTGAACCCTGACATGGTCCCCGATGCACATATATGTTAGTAAGTGAATTTTTCTATAATATATTTTACTCTTATTTCACCTAGTGAGCAGAAAATTCTAAAAAAGGAATTTGTCATCTGCTCCCCTTCATTATTATGAATTCGAGAGTATATCAGTCTTAATGAGTTTTGAACTATATATGTGCTATGAATAAGTTGCTTTGAAATGATGAATACAAGTAATGAGAGTGGGAAGTGATGAAGCCTTGCAGTAATGATGCTTAAGGACTGGCTATTTTATTATTTTTAAGTTTGGGGCTTTGAAATATCTTCATTTAGATTGAGATGCTATTTAAGTACCAACTGTGAAAGGAATAGTAACTAGGTAGGCTGCTGTGCCCAAGACAGTGAGCAGGCCTAGTTACAAGAATTGTGGGGTATGCAGATCACTCGGTGTAAATGGTTATGACTTGATATTGTGGCTGAAACAAGCCATCATTGAGGAAATGGAGATGTTCGGCTTTAGATTTAGGTGGAGCGAGGGTGGAATAAAAGTTTTGAGTCTTCTGTGTTCATTTAATATCCTCAGTAGGCCTGTGTGGTATATATTGTTTTCTTACTACGGGTAAAAAAACTTAAGTCTCAGAGAGTTTAAACAGTTTACCAGTATCCCACACAAATAAGCAGTAGATAAGATTCTGACCAAAGTCTCTGTGACTTTAAAGCCCAAGCTCATCCCTCATTCTCCCACTCTTCAGTCTAGAAGAGGTAAAATTCTTAAGAGCAGCTCTTAGGAAAAACTTTTTAAAACATAAATCAAATTTGCTTAAATGAAACTGTGCCATAACTATATGTAGTTTGATCTTGAAAATATCTGGTGCTTGAGGCTTGTTATCTGAAGACAGATGTAGTGGATGGATTGTAAATTCCAAGGAATTGATGTTATTTTTAGCAAACTTTCCCTGAGCCACAGATTGGTGGCAGTAATGGATTAGCTAGAGAAATGGTGAAAGGGAAACTTTTATAGGAATTTATCGATTTTTATTACATTTGAGAAGGAGTATACATCTTTTAAAATAAAAATACAGCTATATCCTTACTGAAAATCAAGTATAATCTCTGATAGACTGAAGGTATAGTCAGAGTACCTTATTAGTTCAGCAGAATGGGAATGGTCACTGCATGAATTCCATTCTCATAATTATTTGGTAAAACTCTTGAGATTTAGAAAAGACATAGTTCATAGATTTGTAGAAAAAGGTCTCAAGCAGAGATTGTTAGATTATGAATAGGCCTCAGGATATTTGTGAACACTGAAATTTTATGTAACATTTTGCATCTGTGCACATTCTTTTGAGAGAGAGAACTGACCTAAAAATAGTTATCAATTAAATATTGGTGTAGAGGGCACTGGTCTGCTGATACTTCTAGATAGATTAGAGGTGAATTCAGGAGTGGAATAAAGCAGTGATTCTCAAACTATGGTCAGGTGCCATGAGAAATGGACTAGTAAGTTAAGTGAGTGAGTTAAAGTTTGCTAAGATTTTATATTTACATTAAAATCAGCAGATTACTAGGTTTTTCTGAGTTTATATCTCAGAATCTTCCTTATTTCTCTTGAAAAGTTTTCTTCCTATGTCGTATTTGGCTACATACAGAGTTAGTGCACATGTGCATATGCAGTGAAAAACTAGTAAGTGAACTGGGATATCTTGGCCCACCTAAGTAGAATATGGTCAAAAAAGAAGTTAGAACCACTTGTCTAAAGTATTTGTTCCAGAGGGTGGGGTGGGATGAGTGTGGGGTTAAGGGGCAGTTAAAGATAGGGTTGTGTGTGCCCTTGTTTACTAGAATGAAAGCAAATAAGAAGTGTGTTTAGGTTTAACTTAAATATAAATCTTTTAAAAACATTAAGTGTATTACTGAAATACAGAATTTATGAATAAGTGGAGACTTGCTGTTTTTGAAGGTTACCACATTTTGTGATATGTTTAGGCTAGTAGATGTCCATATTTTGACTTTATTATTAAAAACTAATTCTTTGTACTTATTAATAGTTATCAAAACATTTATTTTCATTCATGTTAAGTAGGTCATGGGGTTATGAGAAAATTCTAATTAAAATCATATTTACACAACTACAATCGTTCTAGGTTTAATAAGGCACATTTTTCTTACCTTTTTATTTTATTTTTTTATTTTTTAATTTATTCTAAAGAGAGAGGATCTTGCTGTGTTGCCCAGGCTGTCCTCTAATTCCCGAGCTCAAGTGATCTTCCTGCCTCAGCCTCCTGAGCAACTAGGACTATAGGCACGTAGTGCTACACCCAGCTTCTTGTTCTGTTAATAGCTAATTATGCCACTTAGATGTGGCCATGTTTTAGTAGCAAAGTAATACTTTACATGTTAATGTATATTTGAAGCCTGTGTCAAAGTATATTCTGTAAAGGCAAGTTTTACCTGTTGATAACTTAAATATATCCTTTGTGTTAGCAAGTGTTTAAAAATATCTCAGAATTACTTAGGGACTCTGGTAAATGGCAAAATTAAGATAGATTCTTTGAAATGAATATATGTGGGAGTATTTAATTTAGAAGCAAAATGAATATGTATTTGTATATATGGTAACATGACAGTGAAATTTGGAAATGTCTGTTATGTTGACTTTTATCCTTATGTAAATTTTATGTTTAAAATGTAAGTAAATTTTATATTTTGTTTAAAATGTAAGTAAAAATCAGTAAGTCACTTTGACTATTTTTCTTTTGAATTTGGTAAGCAGAAAAACTAAACCTTCTAACTTTTTTTTAGTCCACCCCCATCCTTGAAAATGTTTTTTCTTTGATTCTTCTACTATGTAATTGGTTTATGTTGCAAATTTTTTTAAAGTAATCATGAGACTATATTTAGTGATTTGGTTGGCATCGCCATTAAGGAAGTAGTAAAAGAAAGTAAAATTCAAGCATTGCCTTTGGAGCAAGTTAGAAGAAATCAAAACTTGGCTGAACATCTACAAATCCAAACTGAGACCCAGCTGTGTCAGTGACTACCTGTTTGCAGACAGTTTTGAATTTGATTTCTTTATCTGTAAAACAAAGTAATTAAATTTGATTTTAGTGATTTCTTCTACTTGTGAAATCTAATAATTTGAGAGACTTTGAGGAGTCTTGATGCCTTTTCATTGTGTTCCTCTTCTCTTTGTTTCAGTGATCATCAAATACCAGATGCCTCAATTTAGACTAATTGAATAGAATTTTCATGATGGAGTCTGGATATATACTTTTTACTTTAAATAAATAAATATGTATATATTTTGTGCATATATGTATTTTAAAAAGCTCTGTTGCCCTTTTGGGTTAATTTACAAATATTTCCTCCTAAGAAATATGTAATCTCAGCCAGGTGCCGTGGCTCACGCCTGAATCCCAGCATTTTGGGAGGCCAAGCCTGGCAGATCACTTGAGGCCAGGAGGTTAAGACCATCCTGGCCAACATGGCGAAACCCCACCTCTACTAAAAATACAAAAATTAGCCAGGCATGGTGGCATACATCCGTAATCTCAGCTATTCGGGAGGCTGAGGCACAAGAATCACTTGCATCTGGGATGTGGAGGTTGCAGTGAGCCAAGATAGTGCTACTGCACTCCAGCCTGGGCAACAGAGCAAGACTCTGTCTCAAAAAAAAAAAAAAAGATATAGTCTTACCATGGATTTTTAAAACAATTTAGGACTGAAACTTTAAAAAAAAGGAAAAAATTAGATCGTTTGTATGAAAATACATGTTTTTGAATTTTTATGTACAGGGATTTATACATACAGCATTGCCTTCTGGGAATATCTTGATTGTGTTAGGAGACCAGATTACCTATTAGTATTTCTTAGTCCCACTTGAATCCAGTACTTTTCAATGAACTGCATGGTATTTATGGACTTCAGCATCTTGATTTCTCTTTCTCTCAGATCATGACAGTTTCATTGTATGAGTGAAGTACAGGTGTAGTCAGTCTTCTCAACTCCTAGCCTTTTCAGAGATGGTTGTCAACCTCTGTTTTTGCCTCTCTCATTCTTTGTTTTAGTTCAGTTTATATTATCTGCTTTTCTTTGTTTCTATCCTTGAGGATAGAATTGGTATCTCCAATTTTTCAAACACCTTTCTAGCTTTTTCCCTCACTAGGCAACTTCTGCCCCACTGCTTTTTGCTGTACAAATGGTTTTTTTAAAAAAAATCTCTCCCATTGAAAATGGAATGAACAACAAAACTTTAGCTTCAAAATGCAAGTAATTTTGTTTAGTGCAGTAGAAAGAGGTTGATTTAAGAAAACCTGTAGGTTTTTTGTTTGTTTTTAAATAAAAAAAGCCCTGTGCAATTTATCTTAGTGCATCCAAATTCTTATATCTGATAACATTGGGACCTGGCAATTTTTGACCAGGGAATAGTCCATGTCATGGAATACTCTCTTCATGAGTAAATCTGGTATTTATTAAAGTTTTTATTTTCTTAGCAGTTACCCTCTTGGCATATAATGGGTGGGTGGATGCTGAAAGTAAAAGAAATTTATTAATATTACCAGACCTTAAGCAGACTCAGTGCTTATCCTTCATGAGGAAGGAAGTTCTACATCTGATGCCAGTGGAGTTGTGAGGACTCTGACCTGTTGGTCGTAGTCTCAAGATAACTCTTTTCTCTCCAGCCATTAGAGAAACAAGGAGTTCACATTTATTGGAATTTGTAAATATAGTTTTTCTTTCTATTGGGGTTACCCATGTATTTTCAGGGATTCTCCTATCTTTTATTCTTTTCCACTGATAGTTCCAATTATTAATATAATATCAGGTGTAACTATAATTGACTTGTTATAGTCCACATAGGAAGTAAAATAATTTCTAGTTATATCTTTATTCTTTAAGCTTTTCATTTATTATTCCTTTAATTTGTTATTGTTAAAATAAATTGAGAAGAATATAGTAAAACTGAGTAGAACATACATTTACTGGTCTCTTGCCATAATCCTGATTTTTCAGCAGCTATTATCGGATAGATAACACAATCTACAAATTTTAAAACATCTTTGATAAAACCTTCCCAGGTAAAGCATAAAGTATTATGAATCAGTGCTTAGGAAATTGCAGTTGGATGGTGGACAAAGTGATATAAGTTATTCTAATTAGTTGTAATCCAGAAACATCCTTAAGATTTGTTTTTTATGTAATATTTTCATATGTTGCCCTGGCCATTAGCAAGACCTCATTTATATTGAAAATTATTATTTAGTGCTCTTATGGAAGCACTAAATTGGGTGGTGACTGGGAAGATGAACCAAGATCCAGACACTAGAAATCGTCCTTTGTAATATCTTTCTTTTAGCCTTTTGTTTCTGTTACCACCTCTTTCTCTCAGCTTGAAGCCCTTATTACCATAGTATTAAGTATAGTGCAAGTTTATCTCGGATTATCGCTATTATGTTCCGCCACCAAATTAATCTTTCTAAAACACTGCTTATTTAGGTCATTTCTGTGGCCTATGGAGCCTAACCTGTGTTTACCTTTCTGTCCTTACCTTCCATTATTATTCCAGCTATCCCATTTGTTAGCTAAACTAAATACTTAGCTCTGCCAACACTGTCTCCGACATTTTGACCCTTGACACAGGAGGTATTCCTACCTTTAATGCTGTTCTTTCCCCTTTCCCCCTTTCTTCTCCTGCTGAGTAAATCTTTTTAAGGACCTACTTAAATTTGAACTCCCCTAGGAAACTTTCCCTAATTGCCCCACTTGTAGTAGCTTTGCTTTCTTCTTAAGATTTATGGCATTGTTTTTGTTTGTTTGTTTAAACAATTCATTTGATAGCAAGCACTGGCTGATGTTTGTTTGTACTTACCTTATTTGTGCACTTATCTTCTTTCCCCCAAATACTTCTAAACTTAGTGGGCTCAGGTCTATATCTTTAAACTGTTTGCATTACCCATATTACTTAATATTCATTGATTTATTGCTATTTTATGAATAATAAGTAAAAATGCTCTTCAAGTAAATTTCAAATCTGTTTGCTTATAATCAAGAACATCTGGCAATGTCTGCAGAAGATGCACCTGGGATTCAGATTGGGTACTAACCCTTGTTAGATATTTTTTTTAGAGCAATTAAATATGGTATCAGTAAGTTATCTGTTTGAAAGGGGACTTTGTGTATATTTTCAGGGAATAAAATAATTTTAAGAAATTTGGAATCTTAATTTTTTTCCTATAACACAGTATCAGAACAATACATTTGAGTAACGATAGTCATGTACCACATATCAATGTTTTGTTTTGGTCAACAATGGCTGGACCACATATACAATGGTGGTTCTATATAATTAGAAATAACTTTTTTACTGTACCTTTTCTATTTTTAGATATATTTAGATACACAAATGCTTACCCTTATGTTACATTGCCTACAGTATTCAAAACAGTAACATGCTGTACAGGTTTGCAGCGTAGGAGCACTAGGCACTATATAGCCTCAGTGTGTAGTAAACCATGCCATCTAGGTTTATGTGAGTGCACACTTTAATGTTTCCACAATGACAAAATCACCTATCAATGCATGTCTCAAAATGTATCCCATCATTAAGCAACCCATGACTATTTTTGTTCATGTGCTGAGTTAAATAAAGTTAGTTATAGGAATGATATCAGTACACTGTTGCAGTGCTTATAGAGATTTTATTTTGTCTTTAAGTCAGTCAAGATAAAATGGATTTGAAGTCAGTGATTTACTTTACCATGGTACTACATTTTCTCTATGTGAAAATAAAATGTTAATGTTTTTGTTTGAATCAGTAGTTTGCCCAAAAATGTTTCTTTTGTCTCATTTCTCATGCCTTCTCTAGGGTTATGATTAGTATATAGAAATATTAAAAGAAATATATTGCTCTTAAAAACCTATGGAGAATATTTCAATAACTTTTATGCCCTCTGTCAAACACCCAGAAAAATGTCAGTATTATTTCAAAAACTGAAATGGGGAATATGTTTATCACATGCACAAAAATAAATGGTAGGTTAGACTTTTGATCTATTAATTGTAAGCAGTGCCTTTTTTCCCCCTATAAGCTATTATTTTACCCATTATTTTTGGAGAATCTAATTACAATGTAAGTTCCTTAAGGGTAGAGATTTTATACAGGTTGAGTATCCCTAGTTGAAAACTCTTGGGAACAGAAGTGTTTTGGATTTCAGATTTTTTTTTCTTTTGGATTTTGGGATACTTGCATTATACTTATTGGGCGAACACCCCAAATCTGAGAATCTGAACTCTGAAATGCTCTAGTGACCAATTTTCTTTGAGTGTCATGTCAGCGTGCAATAAGTTTCAAATTTTGAAGCAGTTCAGATATTGGATTTTCTGATTTGGGATGCTCAACCTGTACTTCTTTGTGTCCTCAACATTTAATCAATGTTTTACTTCCCAGTACCTCAATAAACATTTGTTAAGATGGTAAAGTGTCTGTTTTTTTTTTCTTTTGAGGAGTTTGTTTTTATTGTAGGAGAATGACTATATTCTGATTTTATTCAATTTGTTTTCTTTTTATAGCCCCATTGACAAACCTTCAGATTCTCTCAGTATAGGGAACGGTGATAATTCCCAGCAGGTAAGATTTGAATACAGTATCACTTGATTTATTTGCCATACTCCGAAAGCAAGGTATTCCATGCAGGTGAATTTTCTAAAAATACTTTACTGACACAATTTAAAAACACTTTTGATGCTCATCTTTATTAATCATATTATAATTAGCCTTTTCCCCCCAGAATATATAGAGCATAGTTTAACCCTTTTTTAATGACTCAGAATTATCATTATGACCAGATACTATTATCTTTAGAGTCTGCTAATGTTATTGGTCTTTTTGACCCTGTGCCAAATGGTCCCAGGCTAGCATGCCTTCTGAGTTCCTTGCTTTTAAGAATTGTATTCCTACCACATACTCCCCTTGCCCCTTGCTCTCTACTTTAATTTTCTATTTCAGTCAAGTGTATTTGTCCCTAACAGTTTCCCTTCTTATTTTCCCCAAATGACTATCAGCTTTGAAATGATAAGCCAGATAAACTGTTCAAAGTTGAATTTACTATGAAACTGAGTGGAGTGCTGACCGTTAGAGCATGCTTTATGTCATCTTGTCTTATTGCTCAGGGAACTTTTTTTTTTTTTTGGCTAGTTTTTCACTCCTTGAGTTTCTATACATCTTCTTACATTGGTAAAATAAATGTAATTTAGTATCTCCCGTAAAGAATAGCCAGTCCTCCACAGTATTTATGAAAAACTTAGAGATCTAAAATATAATGCTTTTCTAAACGTTTTAATGACACATTTTGTAAAAGAATGTGGAAATCTGTATATCCCCTTGTGTATTTTAGTTGCCCATTAACATTTTTTACAGGTTAAAAGTAGTTGCAAAGGATGTAATTTCCAGCATATTAGAAATATTGGTATCTGAAAAATTTAATGTTTTGATATCCCATCATAATGTTTTGATCATAATTCTGTTTTATTATCCTGTCATCCATTTAAAAAAATACACATGCTCTCCTTTAACAATCAGAAGTTTTACATTATTTTTTTCTCTGTGAACTAATTTTTCTCTTTCTGTTATTATAGAGTTTTATCTTAATGCAATATAGTTTTTGCTTGAAAAGCATATACTTCTCTTAAAAATAGGCATATAAATTTTTGGATTGAAATAATGTTTTTGCGGTCACAGACTTCAAATGCCAATTTTTGTCTTCTGAATTTTATTAGTAGTATTGAGGTGACACTATACATAAATGTAGATTTTAATTTTAAAAACCATGAAACAAATAGTAATAAATGGTAAAATTATAGTAAAATAAATAGTAAAATTATATTGAAAATTCATCTCTTAATGAAGAATAGGGCCATTTTAAAATTGGTTTGTATGTATCTCTAGATTAATGTTACCTATTGGTAAAAGAGCCAAGTTTCAGCAGCAATCTAGTCGTGTTTTTTATTTTTCTAAGATGTAAGTGTTGAGATAAGATACTTTGTTCATATAAATAGGTAGATGGAAGGAGGAGTATTATATCAGTACCACTCAAGTCTTTCAATTTCTTCTGAATTAAATACCTAAGAATCATACAAAGATTTATTATACAAAATTATTTTTAATGATGTGTTTGGAAACAACTTAATTAGATCTTTCTTTAATAATCTAGCCATTACAGTCAGTTTCTCTCTTATCACCAATCCATGTATTTCTAATAATTTGTGTTTGGCCTCTGGAAAGTTTTCACTCTTGAGCAAAATACTGTAGTAAAATCCCAGAATGAGAAATATTATTTTCTTGGTAAAGTGAGAGAAGTAAAGTTGTAAAAAGAGAGGAGATGGCCGGGCACGGTGGCTCATGCCTGTAATTCCAGCACTTTGGGAGGCCGAGGCGGGTGGATCACGAGGTCAGGAGATCGAGACCATCCTGGATAATGCGGTGAAACCCCGTCTCTACTAAAAATACAAAAAATTAGCCGGGCGTGGTGGCACGCGCCTGTAGTCCCAGCTACTTGGGAGGCTGAGGCAGGAGAATTGCTTGAACCCCGGAGGCCGAGGTTGCAGTGAGCCGAGATCAAGCCACTGCACTCCAGCCTGGGCAACAGAGTGAGACTCCATCTCAAAAAAAAAAAAAAAAAAAAAAAAAAAAGGGAGACTAGTTTAATCTTTTCAAGCAGATTAATATTTTTTTAAAGAGTATATATGTAAGTTAATGATTTAATTGATTTTCTGAAACTTCATGCTTTCATTAAAACATCTTCAAGTACCAGTTTGTGAAACACTATTCTAATACATTTAGTTGCAAACTTTTTAATTGTGGCTTATTAAAATGTATAAACATGTAGTTATTATTTGTTTTCCTTTTTTATTCAGATATCTAACAGTGATACGCCTTCACCACCACCTGGTTTGTCAAAATCCAATCCAGTCATCCCCATCAGTTCATCCAATCACAGTGCACGGTCCCCTTTTGAAGGGGCAGTAACAGAGTCACAGTCGTTATTCTCAGACAATTTTCGCCATCCCAACCCTATCCCAAGTGGGCTTCCTCCTTTCCCCAGCTCCCCACAGACATCCAGTGACTGGCCTACAGCACCAGAACCACAGAGCCTCTTCACATCAGGTATATAACAATAGTACCAAGTATTAGTAATTATGCTCTTAACGTATTGTTGACAGACTAACATGAAACTCATTAGTGGATATATTTTTATCTTTTGCCTCTCTGTTCTCTTTTAATAAAAATGCAAATATTTAAACTACATGGAATTAGGTGGTTAAATACATTGTTGTGTGACCTAGAAATTACTGTGTTAAAAGATTTCTCCAGAAGTAAAGGGTTATATTGTTTTCCCAATAGTAAAAAGCTTATTCCATTGGGAATTTTTTTTTTCATTTTTACTTTTTGGAGGTGGGGGTCTTGGTCTCTCGCCCAGGCTGGAGTGCAAGTAGTGTGATCTTAGCTCACTGCAGCCTCACACCCTGGGTTCAAGTGATCCTCCCACCTCAGCCTCCTGGTTAATTTTTAAATTTTTTGTAGAGACAGGGTCTTGCTATACTGCCCAGGTCTTGAACTCCTGGCCTCAAGTGATCCTCCCACCCAAGCCTTCCAAAGTGCTGGGATTACAGGCATGAAGCACTGCACCTGGCAAGGACTTAGATTTTTAATTAGATTTGTATTTTTATTTAATTAGATTTGTGTTTAAGATTTTCCACCCCCAGCTGACAAAGATGCAAGTTATTTAGTAGTAACAGTTATGTTACTACTAAATGGTATTTTTGAGCCATTTCCATTTTTATCCATTCTAAATTCTCTCATTACTATGAAAGGTGGCATAAAAGTAACATTGACAACAGCACCTGTGGAGCAGAAAATTCCAAAAAACTATGAGGATTAATATAAATACTTTTTAATTAAATTATATTTTTCTTAGTATAGAAAGCATGTATTCAAAATTATTTGTACTTTGATAAATACATTTAAAAATCAACTTTACTAATTAAAATCTGTTATATTTATTTGATGGAAGTGACTTAGGTTGGTTTTGATTATGAATGGTTGAGAGTATAATTGGAGTGTCAAGTACATTTTTTTCCTTTGATTAGCAAAATCAGTCTATATCATTCAGTTTTTGAAGCTAGTAGCTTAAGAGTTAAGTAACTGCTAGAAGTACATAAGGCCTTTTGTAATTATATGATCTTAATGTGCTAAGAAGTCACATAGATTTTGCACTTACTTAATTTGTAAAATGACATGTTTAACTTTCAGTAGCATGGATACTTATTAAGTATGAAAATGAGCTATGTATCTGATATTCATCACTATTTTTCTTCCCAACAGAAACAATCCCAGTATCATCCTCTACAGACTGGCAAGCAGCTTTTGGCTTTGGTTCTTCTAAACAACCAGAGGATGACTTGGGTTTTGATCCCTTCGATGTCACTCGAAAAGCCTTAGCAGACCTGATTGAGAAGGAACTGTCCGTTCAAGACCAACCTTCCCTTTCGCCCACATCTCTTCAGAACTCCTCTTCACACACTACAACCGCCAAAGGTCCAGGCTCTGGATTCCTGCATCCTGCTGCAGCTACAAATGCCAATTCTCTCAATAGTACCTTTTCAGTCTTGCCCCAGAGGTTCCCTCAATTTCAGCAGCACCGAGCGGTTTATAATTCATTCAGTTTTCCAGGCCAGGCAGCCCGCTATCCTTGGATGGCCTTTCCACGCAATAGCATCATGCACTTGAACCACACAGCAAACCCCACCTCAAATAGTAATTTCTTGGACTTGAATCTCCCGCCACAGCACAACACAGGTCTGGGAGGGATCCCTGTAGCAGGTAGGTTCATTTAAAACCTTTGAGAATTTTTGAATAACTCATATTTTCAGGTTGTTGGGTGGATAGGGAAGTAACTGTTGAATAACAGAGTACTAATATCTTGGAAATGTCTATGAAAGATTAGTCTTTATCATAATCTAAAATATATTTTTCATTAGATGGATGCCTTGTAATATTGAGCTTTATAAGGATGGTGGAGTATTATACTTAGTTATTGTTTGGAAGCATTTTACTTAATAGGATAATTACCAAACTTTCATATGGTATACAAATGCAAAATGAAAAAGAAGAAAATGGTCTCTGAAGTTATGGTACTATAAAGTCCAACACCGTGGTGAAAATTATGATTTTATATTCTAAAGTAAAATGGTTAAAAAAAATTTTTTTAATGATAATTAATGAGAGCATGAGGGATAAAGCCACTCTCTACCTACTTTTGGCAGTTACTTGTTTTGACTGATACACATATACACACACATCAAAACTGAGCTATAAATATACTTGAGAACTCTGATTATGAATGTTTTACAAGCATATCATATGTCTCAGACATACACCTTTTGTGAAAGAGAAATTGTTCAAGGAAAGATACTTTCCCATTTGATCTGCCATGTTTTTATTTCTGGGGAAAAATATGAAGTATATATAAGGTAATGTAAGTTTGATGCCAAAATACTTCTGGTTTTGTACTGCTACCCTTGAAGGTTTCAGAACTTTTGGGTTTTAAGATTCTATATAACATTTTTTAGATGAAGTATCTTCTATATCCAAGGGAATTATTCTTGTTAATAGTGTTCTCGTTTAACTTTGGCTTTAGAGATGATGTTAAAAAAAGTTTGTTCCTCTCCTGATTCTCTCAAGTGAAATAGAATCATGATTCTCTCAAGTAGAATACAATAGTTTCTCACTCTGTTAGAATAGTTCTTCACATAATTCATACAATTTATTGTTATCCCTTGTTAGATATGGCATGGCACAGTATTATTGTAATAGGATACTTTTATCAGCAGCAAGGCAGAAGTTCACGCTCTTGTTTTTAGCAAGGCTGATAGATGAATTTACAGAGGTCTATCAAAGTTCTTTATCCCTGTTCCCTTTGGGACCGACAATATTTCATGTTTTAGACGAGTAGCTAGGTTAAGAGAATATAGTTTGTGGCTGTTGACATAGTGAAATTTACCGTTGATACAGTGAAGTTAATTTACATAAGCCTGGTAGCACGTAATGTAGTTATTTGCACAGTGTTGGGACTCTTATTTGTTCATTTAATTATGGTAGTTAGTAGGTAACCAGAGTGACATTTTTCAGTCCTCTTCTTCTACATGATACTTACTTGTGAAACAATGTGTTCAGTTCCAAATACTCCTTTTATTTCCTTCCATTCAAGATAGCATATTAGAATGTAATTTTCTTTGATTTTACTTTGCTTTAATCATTGAGAAATGTGGCATTTTAATTACTAGTAGTGTATCTCATAATTGATTATAACATTCATTAAAAGTTAAAGTTAAGTTCTCCCAAATCATCAAAACATTTAAAGATTAGACCAATTACAGTGAATATGAGGGTTTCTATTTGCCCATCAATGAATTAGGACATGTGGGACATATTAAAGAAGTTTAAGATATGGATAAAATTTCCACATACTTAAAGTATAGTTGAAGAGACTAAAATAATGTGTGAAAGTGGTAACTATATGTCTGATACTGGAATCTGAGAGACATCAATGTACCCTGTAATTCTTGGGGAGGCTTCATTGAATAAGTAGGAATTGATCCCTACTATCATATCTTAGATTTGGGTTAGCAGCAGGGGAAGAGAAAAGGCCTTTTATGTTGATGGAAACCTCCTGAGTAAAGGCATAGAGGCAGGAATTAGTATGTCATTACACTGAGAAGTAATACAGCTACCTCCTATAACAGGAGGTGCTTCTTAAATTGTATAGATATAATGGATGAGAAGATGAGAAACTCTGACAATGAGGCAAAATGGCATGGACTTGGTATGATAGGAAGTAGGATGCCTTTATGGGATTCTAGTTATTAGCTGTCTTCTTTTTGTGCTTTTATTTGACTTATTACATGACGATCTTTGATTTTCTTCCAATTTCATAGTCATCATATTATCCCTTAACACTGAAGAGTAGTTTTAACCCATATATTTCAAACCAATAGTTATTCTCAGAATGCTGCACTGGTAATGAGAAATCGCTGATTAGTGAGTTTAGTTGTCCTTGTGTTAGTCATTTAAAATCTTCGTCTAAAGTAGATGCTTTATGGAAAAAATGTGACATTAAATTATGGTCCTATCTTTGGGGATTTTGTTTTAATTTTTAAAACTTTTACCATATACTCAACCATAGAGCATTAAAACCTTTTTTTTTCAGAGATGCTAAAAATGTAGTCACCAACTTTAGGTTCTGAATCGTTGTACTATTTGGTAGGGGGTGGGAGAGTTTATTTTGGATTTTCAATTTCAGGCTATGCAGACTTGCTTGGTATTTAAATGGTGACTTATGGTTAAGCTTATTATTAGGTTATTTTTAAGGCTCTGATGACTAGAGAAATTTTAGTTTTAATGTACCAAAATTTAAAAATTTTTATCAAGAGTCTCACACACCAGAATCCTCTCATGGATTATAAATATTTGGTAGATGCCCCAGAAAACTGAATGTGCTAAGCCTCAGAGCAGAATAGCTGTGTAATTGTAGCCAGAAGATTTAGGATTTTCAGTAACTATTAGAAATGACAGAAAGTGAAAATCTGGAAAACTATATATACATCTTAACTATGTCTAATTTGAAGCAATTTAATACCTAGGTAACTCACTTGCACCTGTTGTAACTCACTTGCACCTGTTCTAACTCACTTGCACCTGAGTTGAACTATTGGCAAGGATTCAACTTTGTATCTTTTAGCAGTTATCATGATACCTTACACAGGGCAGCTGTCACTAAATGCTTCAGTAATGGAGAGAGTACATACCTGTTTCAGTGGGACCTGCTACTTTAAGATATACTTAGACAATATTTTAAACTAATTCTACACTCTGGAAAGGCATATATATTTATTCTCTAAATATGTAGAGCAAAATATGGTCTCTGACCTGTAAGAGCAAATCAGAGATGGCAGTCACCTACATGTCATACAGATAGAATGTCTACTTACTATACATTTGTACTTAAATTTTTATTTTTGGTTTGTTCAGTGAATTATTAAAGATTGATATATCTGAAACCTATCATGGGAAAAACAGTTGCCAGAGGTTTGACAGAAATGCAGCTTCCTTTTTTTTTGATCTAATTGAAAACTGTTTTTGTGTTTAAAATTAGTAGTTATTTCCTTAATTAGGTGAAACCTTTTTAGCAGCATTTGGTTTACTAAGTTTAGAAATATTTTTGACATAAATATTCTTGGGGGAAATTTTGATTCGTGGGCAGTTACAGTAAATTCATTCAGATCTTTTTTTTTATTATTATTGGAACCATATGCCTTCTTTCTACAAAGTGATTTACCTTGTCCTAAAACGTGACTTTGTTTTGTCCAATTCCTTCATTTTAGGAATAGCAAAGCTGTGTTCCAGAAAGCTTAAATAATTTGTTAAAGGTCACATATTCAATTAGTAGTGGAATTAGGGTAAGAACTTAGATCTCAAATTCAACAATGGAAATGTTTTTGCACTACAACGATGCCCTCCTTCATAAATGAAGATCACTGGCATGTGCTTTAACTTGGCTTTCTTCCCGTGGCAATTGTTTTTGCTCTCACACACTTGGAAGTCCCTTTTTATCAACAGTATCAACTCATGAGACAAATTGGCCCAGCTCAGGGGTATATGGCCTATTGTTACAAAATAGAATAAAGTGTATCGACTTGATAGAAATCAGTCTGTTTCTTAGTCCTTATTAATATCATTTTCTTGCTAAGAACTCTAGTCTAAAATTTGCTTTACAGAGCCTCATTGCTATGTTCTTGGGGTTTATAAGAATCTTTGCCAATTTACTGAAAAACTACAAAATCACCTGTTATATGGATTGACAGACTCTTTTTCTGCTTTGTCAGTTATCCTTCCACATGTAATTTTGCAGATTTGTTTTAAAAAAATATTCTGCCAAGTTGTTTTTATTCCATGATGTTAAAAATTATTTGGAAAACATAAGTCAGTAAGCATTGTTGTTTCAAGATATACCTCAAAAAATATTTGAAACTGTTTAGGATTGGATTTTTTTTTCATGTTTTTGTTAATTTAAACTTTACTTTTGAGAGGGCATTTTTCTTTAAATTTTCTTTGTTTCTATATGAACTGTTTTAACAGTGACTTGATTGAATTTTGAGTCATGTGTGAAACAAGTCACTTGTAGTCAAATAATTTTCAGTTATAATCAGGAGAACCGATCTCATTCATCTATAATTCTCTGACCTAGAAGTAGTCATCTCATTTTCAGTCAATTGGATCATTGTACTGTTAACATTTTACTATTTTTCAATTACTTCAAAGGTAAACTTGAATTTTCAGATGCTGTATGTTAATTTACTAGTTAATATTTATAGCTTTCATTTTTTTCTAGTACATAATTTATGCTTTCAAAACATGGATTTGTAATTTTTCTCTTTTAAAAATCAGTTTTCACTTCTGTAAATCAAGGTTTAATTTTTTCACAAAATACTATTAATATTTACCATTTACTAGGAGTATCTATAAGGGTCCAATTGGCTTGGAAAAGAATGGCTTTCCTGGTCTTTTTTTTTTTTTTTTTTTTTGGTAGTATGTTTATAATCTAAATCTATTGTATTTGTTCTTATCTCTGAAACAATATTACTCAGGATATATTTAGAATATAACTACTTTCCAAGTACTTGATAAGTTTATATTTTAAAATTCATGTCTTGTTTCACACCTGGATTCCAAACATTAAGCATGTATTTTATATATGTATCAGTATTCCAAATATTGAAATCATTTTTAAAGGGACTGTTAACAAATCTAGTCACCCATAACTAGACCATGACTGACTTTTCCACAGGGGAAGAAGAGGTGAAGGTTTCGACCATGCCACTGTCAACCTCTTCCCATTCATTACAACAAGGACAGCAGCCTACAAGTCTCCACACTACTGTGGCCTGACAACAGAACTGAGAGGAGAGGATTAGACTCTGGGGTGCTTGCATGGGCAACTGGATTTTTGCATGATTCCTTTATGATTTTGCTTTTAATGTATACACCCAGAAGAGCCAATATAAACGTTCCTCATGCCTACAGCTAGCGTGTTACCTCATAGTTGTTGAAGTATTTCTTCATTAGGCCTTTAACATAATTTATTAGTGTAATAATTTTGGCATTGTTTCTCATGAGTGATACTATTTCTAACTCATAAAAATAAACTTGTAGTACTAAGATCCCAGGTGAGATTAGCTAGAATTGTTGTTATTTTGGCTCTATTATTGAAAAATTATACAAAGGTAATGGTAGTATCTTGTTTTCTGGTTTGTGAAAAAATAATATCCTAATCTCCTGAAAAATTTGCAAATTAACAAGATAATGTCTATTGCATTCTTTGAATACTTGAGAAGAAAGAATACATATAAAACAAAATTGGTGGTGTCATTTAATGCTCAGAAGGATATTGTTGGCGATTGTTTTTAGTTGTCTAGATTTATATCCTATAATATGCATTACATGTGTAGAAACTGTTTTGTTCTCTCTCTTTTGCACTTTTGCACTTTCTTTTTGAATGGTTGTTAATTATGCATAGATGGTTAAAAGATAATTATTGTAGCCTAAATGCAATATAATCTCTTTTCTAATGCACTGCCTAGTATACCAGGAAATGCCTCAAAAACAGAACTTCAGTTTATAGTTGACTTATCTGAAACTTGAATACGGAGTAAACATTGTATGTGAAAAGCAACCATAGTAGTGTAACATTGTTACTGAACAAACAGTAATTCTGTGGGATATTGTTTTGGAAATTTCATTGTTTAATAATTAAAATGTGATAATAAGATAATATTATAAGTACCTGACCAGAATGAGACTAAGGCAGAAGAGAAGAGATTGGATGTCCTCTAAAATTAGGCCACCTAAATTGTAACAGATAATTTTAATCAAGAGAATAGTGGAGTACTTTATTAGGACATAATGTGAAGTGATATTTCTGAAAACACATTTCTTGAAATAGTTTTAAAACTGATAATAAAGGAAAAGAAACTGTACTTAGTTTGGAGCAGTGGACAAAAGCTGATTCAGAAAACATGACCATATTCTGCCTACATGAAGCATCTGGGAAGAAAGGGAAAGTCACACCTCCTCTTGAGATTTTAACCATTATGATAAAAGGTATGCTTTAATTTGTTAAAAAAAAAAGTATGAAAGGGGATAATGTGAATACAAAAAAGAAGCCTAGAGATTGAAAATAATAATAATAGAACATGTTATTAGGAGATGGTACTTAATGTCATGTTGGAGTTGGAGTTTTCAAGGTTACCTCTATATAAAATTGGATTATTTTCTGTTAGATATAATGTGACAAATTAAATGACTTTATCCCAAGGTACAGTGAGGTAAACAAAAATCTATTCTTAGATATCCTTAGATTTGGTTAACTGAGGCTGTAGAAGCAGCGAATTGTCTAGCCATTTAAGTTATTTTTGTAAAATTCAGCATAAACATCAATCTCTAATTTCTATCTAGAAGTGACTTTAAGACATTACAAGAACATTGCCAATTTGGAAAATGCCAATAAAATACTGTAGACTTATTAATATTGTAGACTTATTATCAGTCTTTTACTATAGCTTAATTTAATTATGGTTTTCATTTTTACTGTAAGAGGCCAAGACTTCACTTATGTCTCCTGTGGAGCTGAGGCTCCTGGGCCTTGTTATTATAACAAACTCTGGCTCCTTGTAATGATGCTTACTAGCTCAAAGCCTTCTCCAGCATTCAGTGTTAGCCTTTCATTGCCTGGATCTTCTTACAAAGCCATAGCAAGTGGTTAGTGCCATTTGCTCCTTGGTGTTGAGAGATATACCTGTTAAATGAGGCTTCTTTCCTTTCTCATTCATAGCCAGCGTGGAAAAATCATCAGGTAGTTTGCCCAGATTTGCCAGAGCCCTAAATAAAATGGCAAAACGATCTCCCTGCCTGCTTCTCCTCCCCACCCCCACTTACATGCACACCGTAAATCAAGAAATGCTTTTTGGGCAATTAGACTTTATCTTCTAAATTTTTGCATAGAATGGCTAAACATGATCTTTTGCCTCACTTTGTAATTCCTACACCTTCCTTGTAAGCTTCACCTTTTGCTTACCTAATATTTTATTTAAACATGGTTTTTTAAAAAACCTGAAGCTTTAAAATCATAGTCATAATTAATTTTACACTAAAGGACAGAAGAAATTATACAACACATAAAAGAAGCCACTACTTCACATAGCAAGCAAATTGAAATCAAAATGACAGAAGAATGAGAAATTCTTTAAAAGCTTCAGGTTTTTTTTGTTGTTGTTGTTAAATTCCTGCATGATGCATCATGTGCAAGGGAAACTTAATATACTTTTACACCCTTAACCTTTATAAAGTGACTAGCTTTTCCCTTAACATAGGAATTTTTAACCTGGAGCCCAGATTTTTGAGAGTACACACAAAATTGTGGGTTTGTGTGCATGTACATATGTCCATTTTTTTCTAGGGAGAAGATCCATAGTTATTAGATTTGTGAAGGATTTGGTGATCCCCTTCTCCCATCAAAAAAAAAAAAAAAAAGAACAGCTGCCTTGAAATGTTTTTAGTGCCACTTTAGGGAATAGAGTCCTGTACTGAATGATTTTAGTTGTATGATGAATTATAAGTGCCTCTTTATTTTCTCTAAGATTGCATTAGAAAATATTTTTTTCTGACTAATAATGCTTTCCTTTTCATTCTATTATTGAATTTTGGTTTTCCATGTGTTACTTTTGTGTACTCTCCCCTTATTTCAACAAAGCATTAATTAAATATTTGAGTACCTATTCTGTATAGTGACTTGAACTAGATCTTTAGAGATACAAGGTTGAATAAAATACAGACCCTATCATCAAGGATAATTCTAGTGACAATTATATTTCACATTATTTCTGTCAGGTCTTGATAATATTTTAATCACAGGAACCACCATAGCAGTCCAGACTCATTTTATTATTTATCATCTCTCAGTAACTGCTCCGACAGTGGCAACAAAGGGTATTGAATACTTATATTTCAAATTTTAAAATTTATGATAATTTGGAGGGAGGTGAAAAAACCTTACTAGGAAAGACAAACATTCATTATTCTACGTGTGTGTGAGCTCATGTCTCTTACTCTTAGCATCCTGGGAATTAAGTACAGCCTTCTGTGTAGGTGTTCCTTTAAAGAAAACAACTTTAATGCATTTTACCTCTGCACATTTCCACTGACATGACTCCTATTTGTACAGTGTTCCGAGCACTGTCAAGACTGCCAGAGCTCTGGCACAGGTCCATAGGTACTCCCACGGAGGCATTGCCTCAGAAAGACAAGAGAAAGGAACAAATTGCAGTTGCTTTGAAATCTTACAGTGGCCTATAGGGGTTGGGATAGGGCAGTAAGGAGATCCAGCTGAGGTATTCAGGGACTGGTAAGCTTGGATAAGTGTGTTTAAAGCCTTGAAAACCAGAAGAAGAGTTTAGTCTTGATGTGAATGTGGTCAGTGGTAGAGAACTATAGGTTCTTAGCAAAAATGTAGTTTGAACATAGCATTTTAAGAACAGTAATGGGGTAATAGATTTGATTGCAATTAGGACCGGTTAGAAAGTAATTCCAGTAGTATGCCATTGCTGGCCAGTGCAAATAAGTTGGCCTAGACTAGCACAGTAGTGGTTGGAATGGAGAAGAACTATGAATTAGAAATTGGAAAGCGTAAGAGCTGAGAAAAGGCCTTCAGATTTGGTTAGATCTGTGGTGATCTTTAAAAATGTAACTTTCATAGAAAAGTACAGAATGGAAGCCCATCTTTTTAGGATTAATGAGGAAATGTCAAGAATATGTATGCAGCAATCATTGACTACTTAGTGTTAAGACATTTGACAACAAAGTTGAAGAGACAAACAAGATGCTAACTAGATGGGTGGTAGATCTTAGAAGGCATTGCTTTAATATAAGGGAGAAGAAGAACCTAAATATTTAAAGGCAGACCTTACAGAGCCAATTGAGAGGAAGAGACTGGCAGTGCTGAAGAGAAGATAGGCTCATTCAGTAGGATAATAGATGTCGTTGGGTGGTGGGAAGAGATAAGCTCCTGAGACGAGCATGTGGTATAGCTTAAGAGAGGTGGGTGGCCAGGCGCGGTGGCTCACGCCTGTAATCCCAACACTTTGGGAGGCCAAGGCAGGCAGATCACAAGGTCAGGAGATCGAGACCATCCTGGCTAACACGGTGAAACCCCGTCTCTACTAAAAATACAAAAAAATTAGCTGGGCGTGGTGGCGGGCACCTGTAGCCCCAGCTACTCGGGAGGCTGAGGCAGGAGAATGGCGCGAACCCAGGAGGTGGAGCTTGCAGTGAGCCGAGATGGTGCCACTGTGCTCCAGCCTGGGCAACAGAGCGAGACTCCGTCTAAAAAAAAAAAAAAGAGAGAGAGAGAGGTGGGCTGTATCTTCCTCTGTGATTTGTAAGAGCAAGAAGAACCTGGGGAAAGAGAAAGATGAGAATTGATGAAATGGCTCATATCAGTAATTATTAAAATGCATTATTGTTTGAAAATGGGGGTGAAAGAGTGGAATTGGGAGCCTTTTAAAGGAGATTAAAAAAAAAAGTCTTTTGTGAGAATAAGCCCAGAAATGCATTGTAAATAGTTGCTTAGTTGCTGTGTAAAGATAAGAGTCAGCTTAAAGATCTCTAAAGTTGAAATATATGTGGTTTTGTATGTTCCTCTGGTTTAGCACAAAGCATAGGAGTGGAAAAAGCAAATATTGAGTGTTTGGTTAAAAGGGGAAAAAGACAAAGACATAGAGACATTCAAGAAGACCACATTGAAATGTATAATCTTGTGCCAAGAAGAGTCTATTAAGGCAGTTTCCTGTGAAGAAATGGTGTGAGTGATGTGGAAGGGAGTTGAATGATTTTAGATTTTGATGATGACAAAGAACATGTTAGTGTTGCTAAGGGAATGATAACTAGGAGACTGTGGTCACTGTGATAACCACTCAATGCTAAATGATGATTGAGAACCAGAGAAAGGAGAGGGTTGGAGTTTGGAAAGAAGCTTGTCTTTTGTAACCGTCTATATACTCTCTCCTCCAGTCTTTTCATGAGTGTAGGAAGTCAAACTATGTGAGAGAGAATTGTAGAAAGCATGGAAGCAATTCCATGCATCCGCAGATGGGCACCTGGGGAATCCTGGGTCAGGTTTCCGGTGAGTTGAAAATGATCAAAGGAAAACTTCCTTCCTCAAAGCATCGTAGGAGGACATGGAAGCAGAGTGCTGGGGAGGACCAGGAAAAGCCAGGGATGAGATGAGACAGCTATAAGTAAGCAGCCCCAGTGAGTGTGAAGGATTGGTAGAAATGTTACTGATGATGTGAAAGATTTAGACAGAGGGATTAGGTATGGTGTATGATGAGTTTGGTAGTTGAGGAGCCCTTATTACAGGTAATATAGCTTCTCCCAAGCTCACTTGCAAACTGGAAGGCTTTTTTAAAAATGGGCTTCCACCTATGAAGGGAAAGCATCTGCTCTTACATAGTTGGATTAGGTCATTCTGCTTTATTTATATATCAAATAAGAATTAAGGTACTGGTGAACAGTAGAGATAAAGTAAGAATTTTATTGTAACAGGTTATAAAAATATTTTGATAATTTCCCCCAAAGAGAATGTACTATGAATAAATAAAATCTACAAATTATTGGGCTAATTTACCCTTGTTTCTTATATTTTGTATACTTAGGAGGTGACCTCTAGGAAAAAATTGCTGAAGAGGTAGTAGAGCAGGGTGAAGATACCGTATACTGTCATCCCTAGGTATCTGTAGGGGATTGGTTCCACAGATTGCAAAATTCTTGGATTCTCAAGTCCTCGATATAAGACAGTGTAGTATTTGCATATGACCTGCACATATATGGGAGGCCGTATATTTTAAATAATCTCTAGATTACTTCTAATACCTATTACAATGTAAGTGCTATGTAAATAGTTGTTATATTGTTTAGAGACTGACGAAAACTGCATGCTTAATAAATTACACAATTTTTTAAAAAAATTTTCTATTCGATGTTGGTTGAATCCACAAATGTGAAAACCCCAGGTACCTGGAGTCAACTGTGTGGTTTTTTTTTTTTCTCCTAGTCAGTTAATAATAAATATTCCTAGTTTGGAAGCAACCTTAGTTTTCTAATAAAGTATTTTTAAACTCACTCCGTATATGTCAGCTGAAATATCAACTGTGACATTTAAAAAGGATAATGCTTCTAAGTACAAATCATTGCTCAAGAATACTATGTTTGTGAAACCTTGTTGATGGATTGAGAAGCCACTGCTCCTTGGACCTCCTTATCACCCTGTGATTTGCTTCTGTGAGTTGTAATCGAGCCACCTAACATTGCTGGTCATACTAGCCTTCCACTTCTTAGTCAGGGGCTATTTCCAAAGAATCACTCTTGATAATTTGAGATGCATTAAGAAGATTCTACTCTGTTTTTTGGTCTTTTAGAGAGTCTTCTCTGGGTTTGAGTTATAGAGAAATCGAGTTTAGGTACCTAGAACTGAGAGCAAGCCTAAGTAATCTAAGCTACTTGAGAAATGGACTGAAGTACCCAGATGTTCCATAAAACAGCTTGAAGTTGTTGACCTTGAGAACCATTTCCTTTTCTCCAGGTTCCTCTTGACCACACTTCCTAAGGCAACTATTGACTTCACTGTCTTAGCCCACTTTACCTTTATTCTAAGAGTTCCTGGAAGCTCCAAGCTGACCCTGGAACATACTGTGCTTATAACAATTTTGTTATTCCAGCTCCTGTTGGGTGCTCAGACCCACTATTGTGCTGTTACAAAGCAACATCCCAAAATGCTTTTTCCCCTCATATAATTTATAAAGCCTTTAATGCATCCATTACCTTTCTTTCTTTTTTATAGCGGGTGAAATTCACATAACGTTCAATTAATTATTTTAAAGTGTATGATGCAGTGACCCAGTACCATTCTTTAATTATCTCAATGGTAAAATAGCAGAATAAGTAACCTACTCTGCTGTAAGAATTTTAGTCTGTTTCTTGTTGGGGCTGTGTGGTAATAGCTGCTTCTAGACTCTGTGTTTTACCCAGTAGGCTGAAAGGCAAATGTTAAACCTTTAAATATTCCGTATTTCTGCATAGCAGTACTACTGCAACTTAAGCTTGTGAATCAAGCAACTTGTATACACCCTTTTAAAAAGGCAGTGGGGGGCAGTGCAAGGAGCTCTAGGCAAGAGACACTTAGGAGATTTGCTTTTCTGAGTGGTAAAAATGTTTGAAGCAACTCTAAATAGCTTTGAAATGTTAGTAATAGTCTTACTGTCTTCATGACATTTAATTAGCCTTCTGTAAGAGTTTGTTTAGCAAAGGTAAACCATAAGCCTAGCCCTCTATATGCATGTGTGGTTGAATGTGTGTGTGTTTTTATATAAAGCAATTTTCAGTTAAATCTTCCACTTAATGAATGTAGTAGAGGAAGATGTCTCATGTCATTTTGGTGACCTTGACCTATGTCTATTCATGTATTTATTCCTGCTGTGTTCCAATTCATATCTTCAGGATAAATGCTGTATCTTTATTGTCTTTCTCCAATTTTTTTTTGAAGGAACCAAAGACCCTATTTAAATGCAATAAGGTTGTAATACTGGTGCCCACTTCACCCTGGTCATGTTTTTTCTGAACAAATATTTCATAGCTTTTCCTCATCAAATTCCAGTCCCACTGCTAAGATACCCATCTATGACACAGTCTTTGGGAAAACCCAAGGAAAGGATAACTTAAAAATGATTTGTATTGGAATCATGACACTTCAGAGCTATGAATAAATAAATATAACATAGTCTTTAACAATCCTTTTAAAGACCGAATAATAACAATGATGATAATAAACAAGGCTCCGAAGGATTGTGATTTGTCTATAGTCACATTCTAACAACAATTTGAAGTTTCTTTAGCCCTCACCATGTAAATGTGCTTTCATGCTTGAAACTCAGTGGAGGAAAAAACTTTTAAGATTCAGAATCTGTCTCCTCTAAACATTATTGTGTCTTACAGTTTAATTACAGTAGGTCTCTCAAGTCAAGGGCTTACAACTGTGAATTCATTGCAAACAATGAATTTGAAGGCTTTCAAAATGACCACCAGCTGGCAGCTGTTGTCACAGATCCTGTAGGTTTTCAAAGCTGCCCTGTGTTAAATGTGGCCCAGTGATCTTGGAGTAACTTTAGCAGGGGAAAAAATTGTAACCTTGCAGGTACTCTTAAAATAAACTTATGCTAACTACAAAATTACCAGTGTCAGAACTAAAAGAGTAAAACAGAGGTGGAGTTTAATTTACCCAGGATTTTTCTGCAGTACCAAAGAGAATTTAGGGGACAACACACATAACCACTAGACTGGTGACATCTCTAATATTACAAAATGGAAAAAAACTTATAGTAATGGCACCAAGATGTATTACATACACACTAAAGATGTGATCTCCGATTCATCTTTGAAGAAGAGCTACTCTGTGTTACACCATATAGAATGATAGCATATCTGCTGGGTTTTTTTGTTTTTTTTTTTTTCCCCAATCAAGGAAGTTGTTGTTTTCAGCATAAGGAAACAGGGAGAGCTCCACAAGGATTTAAAGATGATAATGCTATCACTATCTCCAAGAAGAAATGCAAGAAATCTGCAATCAACTTTTGTAGCCTAGCACTGTTGCTTAATATAGTGAGATCTTGGCCCAAGGACTGCACTTAGCATTTACACTCTGTTATCAGACTTGCATACTGAAATAATGTATTGATGGAACAGAAAGTAGTGATCTAGAACTTTAGTGGGGTGTTCTAAAACATTGTCGTGTTATATGTTGGCATTTGCAAGAAGTCTGACAACTGTATATTTTTATTTTTTTCCTTTATTACATCTATATGTTTAGTATCCAGCTAAAGGTAAAAGATTGCCTGGGTTATGACTTCATCAGCCAAGTAGGAAGTTTTTTCATTGGCCTTAAACTGAATGTTTGGTTACAGCCATAGTTCCACTTAGGTTTTCTCTGTTAAAAATGTTAGTTTCTATTAAAATTCATGATTATGGATGGCTGATATATATATACACACACACATATATATATACACATATAGGCACACACATACCCTACTCCCCCCAATCCCCATTTAGAGTAAGATTTGCTACCAGATATGTTTCCTTTTCCTTCTAAACTGTTAACATTTACTAATTTTTTCCTTCTGAACTGTTAACATTTACTAATTAATCTACCCATAGTCTTCCCCTGGTTCCAGACAAGTGTAACATATCTTGATTTCTAGTCTGCCCAGTGTTGATAGATGTAAACTCCTAAGACCTCACCTGCATTTTAAATGGTAGATGGCTATTTAATTGAAACGAAGCATATTATTAAAATAAGGATTTTATATAATCTCCAAATACACAAGCCCTGCAACCTTTGTTTTATAACACGCTTTCAGGTTTTAACTATTGACTATTATAAGTCTCTTTCCGGTAGCTTGTGTTCACCCCTCTAACCAGTTTCTTTTTCTTTGGACAAAGGAGAAGTTTCTTTCTCCATGTAATTTACCACAATTAACAGGGAAGTCATGACTAAATCTTAATGTACACTACCTATATGATTTTCCTACTGGATTCCTGACAGGCTTGAATTTTCCCTTTTCTTCTTCTTCTTCCTTTTTTTTTTTTTTTTTGAGACAGGGTTTCACTGTGTTGCCCAGATTGGAGTGCAGTGGCGCAAACACGGCTTACTGCAACCTCGACCTCCCTGGCTCAAGTGATCCTCCCACCTCAACCCTCCAAGTAGCTGGGGCTACATGCACACACCACCATGCGTGGCTAATTTTTGTATTCTTCTAGAGACAGGGTTTTGCTTTGTTGCCCAGGCTGGTCTGAAACTCCTGATCTCAAGTGATCCATGTGCCTTGGCCACCAAAAGTGCTGGGATTACAGGCGTGAGCCACCGTGCCCGGCTAATTTTCCCTCTTCAAAGGAGAGAAGTCTCTCTCCATCAGTCTACTGAGTGTTTTCTCAGTCTTTTTACTCAATTACCAGAGACAGCAGACCCTCTATCTGCCCAATAACTACTCTTACTCACCTGTCAGCTTATTCCAAACTGCCTTTGATCCTAAACGAGTATATTCTTGTTTTTTTTTTTTTCCTTCTCTCTATTTTTATTTTGTTTGAGACACTCTCGCCCAGGCTGGAGGGCAGTGGTGCGACGTCGGCTCACTGCAGCCTCTGCCTCCCAGGTTCAAGTGAGTCTCCTGCCTCAGCCTCCCAAATAGCTGGGATTACAGGCATATGCCACCATGCCTGGCTAATTTTTGTATTTTTAGTACAGACAGGGTTTCACATTGTTGGCCAGGCTGGTCTCGAGCTCCTGACCTCAGATGATCCACCTGCCTTGGCCTCCCAAAGTGCTGGGATTACAGGCGTGACCCACTGCGCCCAGCCTTCTCTCTCTTTTAAATCAAAACAACACATTTAAACAGAAATCATTGTCTGGATTTTGGAGCAGATTGGGGAACGACTAATGCACTGTAAAATTTTGAATCAATAAAGATTTTTGACATTGTAAAACTTGGGCATTACTCAGTTCCCCCAACTTCTAAGGCAATTCTAGCTCCTATAAAAAGTCACTTAACACTTCTCAACAATATGACTAAAATTCAGAGTTTTACAAATGTGTTTTTAAATAAATTTTTTTCAGTAAAACAGTTCTAGTTCAGTATACAGCACTAGCATATCTGAAGTAAGAATATTGCTGTTTCTGATTTGTATTTGAAAATATTTTCATCTAGTCTTCTTTTTTGCCTTCCTTCTTTTGAAATAAGATTCAATATTGACTGAGAATTGGTTCTGTCAAGATTGTCTCTGGCAATCTGTCCCTAATTCAACTATAAATTATTGCTAAGGATGAACACTTAAATAACTATATATTTTAAATGATTTTTAAACTACGGCCCCTTAGTAATGTGATGAGCATATAAATTTTTGAATTCAGGGTCTTTTGAAACTCTGGAGTATCATATGTATGTATAGGTCTGGAAAAGATGTGTTCCTATTAAGACTTAATTCTTTTTAGATTGAGACACCATTTGCAAATTGAAAACAAAAAAAGTTTGTATTTCCCCTAGTATGTGAATATACTGTAAGGAGGAATAAAAAGCAAAATAGTCTTTTTAAAACATAGACTTTAATTTTTAGAGCTATTTTAGGTTCACAGCAAAATTGAGTGGAAGGTACAAAGACTTCTCATTATATTCCCTGCCCCATCACATGCACAGTGTTCTCCATTATCAGCACCCCCAACCAGGGTGGAACATATGTTACAGTGGATGAAGCCAATTGATGATCTGGGTGGTGAATAGGTGGAACACAGAGGAGTTTCAGGGTCATTTTTAGAAAGTACAGATTAGTTTTAAAACTAATGTAGCTTTTTCAGATTGTCTTCTTCCACTTAGTAATGTGTGTTTAAGTTTCCCCAGCCTTAATTTTTAATCACACATTTTACATAGCTAAAATCATTGAGTTTCAGAGTATCAATGCTTATTTTAAAAAACAGACATTTATTTTAAAAACAATCTGAAAACCTTAATAAATGTCTCTTAATGAGAAAGAACTCTTAAAGATGTATGCTTGGTCTGTTGTATTGGAAATGTTTATCACCATAACTATATCCATCTCCATTTCATTTAGTTTTATAAAATAATGAAGTTATATCATTTTCTGAAATAATTTTTCTTCTGAAATGAAAGTAAATACTCTTAATGCCTAAAAAATACTTTCTAAAAATGAAGCTCATAACCAGATTATGAAGAATCTGTCAATTAAAATGATGTTTCAGAAAAGTGGGAATTTTATTCTTATTTGGGATTTTTGTTATGTTGATTTAAATGCTTAAGACAATTCGATGCTGATAGGAGCCATCTTTTAGAAAAAGATAAGACTGACTGATCTTTACTATTGAAATAAAGTGTGCTGTGTAATCAAATGCAGTAAAGAACTGGGTTTGATGTTTTAAATAACTTTTAGATAACTTGGAAGTCTTTTAATTTGGAAAATTATGAACATCAGCAATCTTAGGAATTTCAATAGGTATATAACCATAAAGGGATTTGCTGTATAGGAAGCACAATACTTTCATCTGAATGTAAACCTGAAGAGAGACTTCTGCCCCAATAAAAATATTTTATTGCTACTAAACAATCAAAAGCTATTACTGACTTCATTTGGAATGGCCAGTCCCGAGTGATCTGCTAAGAAATAAGCAGAACTTCACTTGACTAGCCTTAAAAAAATAAAAATTAAAATTAAAAAAAAGCAGAACAGCATGGTTTTTAGGAGGCTGTTAGAGAATGTCATAGCATCAAGCTCCAGAGAAAATGGTACAGAGTAGACATGCAATAAATGTTTGTGGAAGGAAAATTGATGGTTGAGAGTGGTGTCAATTCGGAGGCCTGCAAAGCATGGATGTGTTTTGTGTTAATCTGGACTTTTGGAAGCATTTAGTCAGATTCATTTGCATATGAGTTATAATTCATTTTTTGGTTCTTTTCTGGCATTGTGGTGTTCATTGTTAAGATTTTCCCCCCTACACGTCACCCACTGACTATGTGATTAATTTTTCTTCTTTCTTTTTTTTTTTTCCTCTGAACTTGGGAAACCTCAGCTCTTGGCTTTTCCTTATTTTTCCAACACCCCCTGTACACACATACACACACACACACACCCCTTTTGTATATTTTTTTGAGACGGAGTCTCGCACTGTCACCTGGGTTGGAGTGCAATGGCACGATCTCGGCTCACTGCAACCTCTGCCTCCCAGGTTCAAGCAATTCTCCTGCCTCAGCCTCCTGACTAGCTGGAATTACAGGCGCCCACCACCATGCCTGGCTAATTTTTTGTATTTTTTAGCAGAGACGGGGTTTCTCTATGTTGGCCAGGCTGGTCTTGAACCCCTGACCCCGTGATCCTCCCGCCTCGGCCTCCCAAAGTGCTGGGATTACAGGCGTGAGCCACCGCGCCCAGCCCTAACACACGCCTTTTAAAAAAACTAACACATTTTTCTTACCAGGCGAGTCCTCATTTTTGATACCCATAAATCTATATATAAATATTGGTAAATCTTCCGTGAAACACATACACACAGTCCAGAAAGTCTCTCTAATACCTACTTTTTCAGAATGCTTTGTGTGTACTCCTGAGGTGTTTTAGGAGCTTCGTACTTTGCTAGGTAGGGAGTTCTTTAGGGTAAAATTGTTAGAAATTTTTTATCTTGGTTAAGCCAAAATCTTTTACCAATTGAACTTCTTAGGTGCATTTTGTTAAACACATGAAGACCACTTGTCTGTTAACTTCTGGATGTAGATCAAACATCCTCACTTCTTTGAACCATTCCACACTTAACATGATTTTGAGTTCTCTCTCAGTTTAATTCTCTTTACACATATTTTGACTTGACGTTGCCTTTCTTAAAATATGAAGCTCACACTTGAATATAATAATCCACATATGATCAGATAATAGATGTCTTTTATTAAAACTTGTTACTAATATTTGTATTTTCCCTTATGTTTATAGAGTTCTTTTATAAAAATATCTTGTAGGGTAGTTATCTCCATTTTATAAATGAGAAGCAGAGTGGTTATCATTCGTGATTTGCCTAAGGTCACACAATTGCTAATTTAGACATTGCACATCTATTTATATGGTCTTAATGTTACTTTTTTAGGCGTTCCATTACCCAGTTGCCAGACCAAGTATCATAAGCCTATTTAAGTAAAACCACTAGACCTTTTCCCATACACGCTAATGGTTAGATCTTTTCCATTCTACCCTTTCCAAATGCATTTTTAAAAATCTAATGTATATCTGTTAAATTGTATGTGTTTGGATTTGGTATTGTTAGAATGTATCCTGTTTGTATATCCCCATCTTAGAAGTTTGTCTTATGAAAGAACTATGTGATTATAAAGTGATAGATGCATGTTATTAATAACACTATTAATAACATTTGTCAAAGAATGTTAAGAGTTTTAATTTAAGAATAGTTGTAGTTTCCACTATTCTGTCATCTGTAGAATTGGCTTTCCGTTTGCATATTTAAATGAACTTTGTGGCTTTTGTTAAGTATAATAAAAAGCATGGAGTCAAATATAAGCCAAGAGTATTACAGAGACTTTTAGGCTGACTCAGTATCTCAAGTTCTGTGTAGATTCATCTAAACACTGCTGTTATCCATGCTATACTTTACCATGTTATCCCAAAAGGGAATCATCAGCAAATTTTACCAGAAACTGCTGAATTCAAGATATATTCAATATATATTATACTTCTGACATCCTAGGAAGCCTATCCAAAGAATACATTACTTTGATAGAATTTGTTCTTTATGAAAATTCATTTTGACTCTCATTGATAACTTTATTCCATTTTGGGGGAGGACTGAGGAGTCAGTGGGATGGGAACAGAGCTAACTACAAAGTCTTTGAGTTTAGATGGGCAGCAGAAGGGGAAAGGAAGTAGGCCGTGGGATATATAAGGACTTTTCCAATGGAAAACAATTGTCAGTGGAACCTCTATGACTACTTGTTCAATTTCAGAATTAAACTTCCTGTATATTTTAGGTGGAATCAAGCTGAGTTCTAGTCAAAATGCTACGCATTATTTCCCATGAAAAATACCCCCAAACACAAGCAGACAGAACAGTGGTTGATAAACCCATCATATTCATTTCTGAAGAAATCATCAAGCCCCAAATCTGTTTTAGAAATTTCTCAAGAACTAATTCTAGACTGGGCATGGTGGCTCAGGCCTGTAATCCCAGTGCTTTGGGAGGCAAGGCAGGCAGATCATCCGAGGTCAGGAGTTCGAGACCAGCCTGGTCAACAAGGTGAAACCCCGTCTCTACTAAAAATACAAAAAAAAAATTAGCTGGGCTTGGTGGCACTTGCCTGTAATCCCAGCTACTCAGGAGGCTGAGGCGGGAGAATTGCTTGAACCTGGGAGGTGGAGGTTGCAGTGAGCCGAGATCGAGCATTGCACTCCAGCCTAGGTGACAGAGCAAGACTTGGTTTCAAAAAATAAAAATAAAAAAATAATAATTCTAAGCATGTTGCTTCCAGAGTCTGCCATTTCTTCCATTTTTGGTATTTTTCTAACAGTGGTTTTGTGCTCTCACCTGTGAGGATTAAGAGCCTGGGATAAAACTCATTTTCAGTCTAAAGATTTAAACTCATTTGAATTGAGTAGATGCTTTTGTGATGTCTGCATCTCTCCTGACTTAATAGTTCCCTTCTTCACATTACTTAATCTGTCCTTTTGGTTAGAAGATCATGCTCTTACCTAAAGATAGAAGGAAGCAAAATGAACATGGAACTACATTGCCCTGCCTTTTCTCCTGTCAAATATGGCATCAGGCTGAGCAGTGGCTTTTCCTGATATTCCCCTTATTCAAAACATAGCTTTGTCTTGCTTTCAGCATTTTTCACTTTCCTCAGATCATTATGGATTCTGACTTTAATCCGTAAGAATTATACTTTTATATACAAGTAGGTTATATACCTCTACCCATCTTTTCTAAGCTTTCTTTGCAAATCTAGTCCCATCAGATTCTCCCTGTGTAACAACCAACTTCTTTAGATTTCCTCTAATTTTCTTTTCTTTATAGATTTATTTATTATTGCATAGTCAAAATGTCATGTTTTAGCATCTTCTGTGGCCTGTGAATCACTGCTCTCTATAACCATGGGACCACTCCCACCCATCCTTTTCCCGATCTTTTTTTGGATAGTTGTTTTCTTAAAAAATCTGGAAGCAGGCTGGGTGCGGTGGCTCACGCCTGTAATCCCAGCACTTTGGGAGGCTGAGGCTGGTGGATCACGAGGTCAGGCATTCAAGACCAGCCTGACCAACATGGTAAAACCCTGTCTCTACTAAAAATACAAAAATTAGCCGGGTGTGATGGTGTGTGCCTGTAATCCCAGCTATTTGGGAAACTGAGATAGGAGAATCGCTTGAACTTGGGAGGCAGAGGTTGCAGTGAGCCGAGGTCGCACCATTGCCCTCCAGGCTGAGCGACGCAGCGAGACTCCGTCTCCAAAAAAAAAAAAAAAAAACATGGTAGCAAACGTTCAGGGTTATATGTTTGGGAAACATACAGTACCTACTGAAGTTCAGGTTCAGGCATTGTCTACTACATAGAAATGATTAAATCGAGGTCCTTTTCCTAGAGGAGCTCAAAGTCTAGTTGTAAAAAGTGAACATGTAAACAAATGATTGCAATACACTGTGGTATTTGCAAAATAGCGAGGATGCCTGCCATCTAAGAACTCAAGTATAATTATTCCCATTCCCTGCTTTTGTAAATCCTAAAATTATGTCACGTCCTCCTAGGGTTTCTGTTATTTTTGCAGTAGCCAACCAGTTCTTCGTTGGTCAGAATTAAGTCCAGAATAAAAGTTTTCTTCCTTATTTTCACCTTGGAAAAGAGAGATCGTCAGCAAGGAATGTTTTATCAGGTTTATTTTCTTCTAGCAGATTTAGACTTCAGAGATGTTAGGGTGGTTGACACCTTCCATGTCTCTGCAATTTTGTCATTTGTTTTGGGGAAGTCATATTGGGTGAATATTCTGGTGATCTGTGTATTGTCTCCTTATTTTACATTCCCTTGACCATCTTTGGATCTCCTCACAGGGCTTTGTTCATGGTCACTGCTCAGTTTTGTGCTCACTTAAATGCTTCCCTCCAGGCTGCTGCTTTGACATTGTAAAGATCTTTTATATGAATCTTTTTTGTCCCTTGCCCTCATTTAGCGTTGCTTACATATTGTGGTTCGGGTCTCATCTGATCCAGTCTGTGATGCTTCTAAGGGTGTATGTATCTTTTATATTCAAATTTGTTTACTTTTTCCTCTTTTTTTATATAACTTTGCACATGAGTATTTTTTATTTTTTCTTAGATTCTGATTCCTTAGATCCTTCATAAAGCAGCCATCTAGATTCTTCTGGTTCTCATTAATCTGATTCTCCTTCAAAACAGATTTATAGATCCTTATAGGAACATTCTAGAAGAGAATAATATACATTATGCCAAACACATCTACTTATATTTTGAAATGTTCCCACTGTATTTTTTTATTTGCTGCCTGTGGCCTGTGTGTCCCTGTGTTCTCTATGGGATGCCCTTTCCCTCTTCCACATCAGCTGCTTTTCCTCTGATGTTTTCTTATTTGCCGTTTATCCTATATGTAGAATGCAAGAATTATTCACTTCCTTCTTTATGCCCCACAGGTCTTTGCTCATACTAGAATAGCATTTATTATCCCATGTTGTAGTTATTTAAACACATTTACCCTTCCCTTCTGTTAGCCCATGAGTCCTGCCCAGGACACAGACTGGTTGGTAGTATGCTTGATGGCAAGAACAAATGCTTTGGAGTCAGACTGATTTTAATTGCTGACTGCAACACTTTAACTCCATAACCTGGGACAAATTCTTTAAACTACAGTGCCTACTCAGCCTCCTCATTTGTAAAATGAACCTACTACTTAACCTCATTGGATTGTTGATACTAAAGTAATTGAGTACATAAAGTGCATAGTGAGTGAAGGAATAGTGGCTGAAGTAGAAAAATGGGTAGAATATATCTTAGAGACTTTTGTTTAATATCCTGCACACATAATAGTGGAGTATTTGTTTTTAATAAAACATTCCTTCTTTAAACAGTTTTGATGCGTTGGACTTTTTAAAAGTATATTTGCTTGTGTTTTGGCATCTGAAATGCTATTAAAAACATATCATCTTAGTGGCTCATTTCCTTCAGTTTACATGCAGAGAAGCCTCTTGGACCCCAAAACTTAACTTACTCCTCCTGCATTCAGAAAGCTTTGCATCTTTTTGGAGAGAACCATCTGTTCACAGCATTATACAGATAGGAATTAAACAGATTTTGTTGGGGAAAGTCACTTTCCAGCTCTTCTCAAGTCAGACCCTCAAGTCTGCAGATATCTTGATGCATGTAACATTTCTAAGACACTGAGCTACATGCTGAAGAATGTACAGGATGTCCCCATCAGGCTTTTCAGCGGAGTTGTGAGAGGTGAAGTATGAGTACATGGAAAGGTGGACAGTAACTGCAGTCGATGGCACGGCATGGTGTGCTGCCAGATGAATGGTTCAGACCCTAAGTGCTGGCCGGTGGAAGAGAAGAGACTTCGACTTTTGGAAGATTGAATAAAAACTACTTGAAGACAACAAGAAAGCATTCTAGACAAGGAGAATGGAGGGAATAGAGTTTAGAAAGCACAAGTCATATGTAGCGTGTCTGGATTTTTCTGTTTATGTCATTTCTACTAGTATAAACAAATATTGCCTTTTTTGTTGTTGTTGTTTTGACTGTTACTTTGTTCAGGTTGTTTCTGCTCAGAACTCTTTTTTTATTTGGGTTCTTAAGATTTTCCACTTAATCCAAATTCTACTTTCAGATCTATTAAACCCTTAAGATTTTGTCTGTGACCTAGTGGAGTATTGGTGTGTCTTGCATTATAATAAACATAGTTGTAGAAATTTGAGTGTAAACTATTTAACTAGAATAACATTTTTCATAAACTGATTTTATAATGTCTGTAACAATTCATTTACTAAGAAGTCATTTTCTCTGCATATTTTAGTTAATAAATTGGAATGATTTTTGTGACTGCCCTGATGTACAGTACACTTATATTATGAAGGCTTTCTTTTAAATTTCAATATGACAAATTTTGTCTGCTCTTTGAAGTTTAGTTCAGCATAAATCATTTGTATTTGAGTCACTTAGAGATTCATTGTTGAGGTTTGAGGAAGTTTAGACTTTGTTCAAACCAAGACTTTGTTCAAATGAAGATGCACTCCATCCCAAAACTGGTAGGAGATCACTTATAAGAGGGAGGGGTGTGGGGGCAGGAGCTAAGACAGGTTATTCCCTATGTCCTTCTAAAAATGCACAAAGGTTTGAAAGTCTAAATGGCAAAGAGTTAATCATAGTAGGAACCAGGTTTCTGATGTGTAGCCACTTGCACCAAGAAAGATTTGTTTAAGTAACCTAACCACTGGAGCCTGTGGTTTTGAACTATAAAGGACAAGAGTGAAGATGGAAGACAAAAGCTTTTTAGAAAAACAAAATCAGGTTGTATTGAGCCTTTTGGTAATGACCATTAAATATGGCTCAAAAACTGAAGTGCAGAATGAACACTTTTAGGTGTATTTTGTGACTGGGTCTCTCAGTGACTGCTTCCCGGTAAGGGTGTATTTATTATTTAATGAGAAGACCTTGAGGAGGGGGTACCAAAAATAAAGTAGAGGCAGGAATTCCAAGACGGCACAATATCCTGATTTGGTGGCACAAAAATATATTCGTGGAAACAAATCTACTGGAATTGTCTTGTTTGGGGGCTTGTTTTACATGTGTTTTATCTCACTATGTTGTCATTATGCAGAGGTCTTCTATGTCTTTACCCTTTTAGCAGCAGATCTTATTTTTCAAATTAAATCTCACATGGTACCCTAATACATAAACTACATGAAATCAAGGTGGGAAGGAAGGATGCCTTGTCCTGGTACCCTGCGCCCTCAACTTCCTCCATTCTTTCAGGTGAAGCTTTTATGCCAGCTGGAAAAACCCATTGGCTTGTTGCCAGTGACAGCTTACTGTTAGGAGCAGGTTTTCCCACATTTTGCTATTTATAGTTTTACATTTCATAATAATTAACATATTGCAGTTAACCTGGAGAACAGAAAGATACCCACTAGGTGCTATTAATGCTAACTGTGTGTGCTTGCCCAAGCAGTGTTCTGTGAAAGGTCTGATGTCAGAATTCATTCTGAAATATAGTCTATAATATAGTCATTGTTTAAATGCCTTTCTGTGTACTTCCTAGTAAACAGTTGGACTAGTACAGTGTTATGCAGAAATACTAAAGATAGTTTCAACCTGTTGTGAGATTTTCAGGTTTGGTGTGGGAGGAGGGGGAGAACTATGTAGTAACTAAAATGGCAACTCCACGAATGCTACTGTTCTTCACCCACCAACACGTTCCCGTACGTGTCCCAACTGGCCTGTCTTTTTACTGAACTTATGTAGCATATTTTAATCATATACCACCTTGGCATTTCTTCTGTTGCTTTTTCAGATGTAGTTGTTGAACTTTTCATTTATTTTCATTGTCCCACTGTCTAGACTTTTAGCCCCTTGAAAACAGAGGTCATGGTTTAAGTGCTTTTGTGTTTCATGTACACTGTAGGCATTCAGTAAAGAGTTGCTTTGATTTTTAGCTTGGTGGTCTTAATATATGCATTTTATACTGATTTTTTAAACTGTTGTTGTTGCTGAAAACTAGATTTGTCAGCTTGTTTAGTGCATCATGATCCGCTTACTATGGATTCTGCTACCTTGACCAGCAAGGTAGCAGAATTTTAACTATAATTTCTTCTTTAATAAGAGATTTTCTGAGGCAGGTAAATGAAGTATACTGATACTTCTTACACAGTGGAATATGAAAGTGTGACACGTCGCATCTTGAAAGTACTTTAAATTGTGTGCCTTTGAGTTCTACACTGAAAAATAAAACTACTACCAACAACTTGACCCCCTTTCCTGCCCTCAAATTGTTTAGAACTGAAAATAGTGTTTTGTTGTACATATTTATATTCCATAAAGTAAAATTTTTTAACATCAGAAAACATCTAAATATATTATCGATTCCTTAAGAATAAACACTCATTCCCTGATGTATTATACTATTACTAATTACTTTAAAAATAAAATTAGTATTGTTTTTAATATAAAATGTTTGGTAACTTGATTTTTATTATACTTTGCTTGCTCTTTTCACATCTTATGGTAAGTTTAAAGTACTTTCTGATGTCTTGTCTTTGTAATGTTTTAGTGATAAGAAGACTCATTATTAGATTGACTACACAGTACCTCTGAGAATGATGAGTGTTATTCCTAAGTTCCTAAAAGGAGACTAGTACACAGGGCTAGTTCCTGGCAGTAAGAAATACCCTGCCTTAGCTTTTTGGAAAATTTACTATCCGTTCGGTATTGACCACCAGTGGAGCATTTGTTATTAGGCATTTAGCAAGTAATGTGCTCCAAATTGCATTTCCTTCTCTTATTTTTATCCTTATGAGAGAGTAAGGCAGGTGTTATTTTTAGTTATGAATTAGGTGTCCTGGGATGTACATGCCTAAATTATATTGACAGCCAGTTGTGGAGATGCCTTATACAACCTATCTACAATGTTTTCTCTATGAGACCTGCTGACTTATACACGTTGAATTGTACTCCAGTGTGAAGTCCTGTATAAAGAAAAGAAAATGAACTTGCATCAGGTTGAGTCAGTGGGCAAAGTCCTGGTACTATTTGAAAGGAAAATGTGCATTCAAGCGAGATCATATAAGAGCCCTGGAAGCAAAGGAATCGACTTCCTTTGTGTCAGTGGTTCTCAACTGGATACAATTTTGCTTCCCTAGAAGACATTTTCAACGTCTAAAGACAATTTTGGCTGTCAAAACTGGGGAGTTGGTACCCCTAGCATCTAGTGGGTAGAGGCCGGCAATGCTGCTAAACCTCCCACAGTGCTTAGGACAGCACTCCACAACAGAGAATTATGTAGTTCAAACTGTCAGTGGTGATGAGGTTGATAAACCCTGCTGTATGTGTTTCAAAGAATGGAATTGCCAGAAGCCCTCGCAGCCAAGACAAATTTGGGTCATTGGGAGGGAATAGGGAATCAAGGAGGTGACTTCAGGTATGGCCGGACTGAGATGAGCTATTTTGATGGGATTAGGATTAAGCTGATTTCCTTTCTCTCACCTTTTCTTTGTGCCAGCACTTGGCATAGCAATAGTGGAAAAAACAGTGAAATAAACTTCTTTTCTTCTAAGCTAGATGGAATATGATCCTATTCCAAGAGCTAAAAGCATCATTCTACTTCCCTGTAACACTTGCAGCTTTACTGTAAGCCACATCCATGCTGTCAGGCTCCCAAAATGTCAAGGCACATGATTTTTTGGGGGGAGGAGGGGTGTCAAGATTGTTGCATTATAAACTAGCTAATTTATTTCCCAAGGTATCCTGTAATCATAGTGCACCTGGGAGGATCTAAATTTCTCACTGTTTCTGCATCATGCGCCATATGTGAATTTCTTTGGCTAACATACCCTTGCTTGATTTGATTAGTCTACAATTACAGGAACAAATGTCCCTTAAAACAAACTTTTTTTTAGAGTAGTTTTAGGTTCACAGCAAAACTGAGTGGGAAGTACGGAGAATTGTCATATAACCCCTCTGCCTTTATTGTCTTTTGACTTTATTACTAATTTTCAAATAAGATTTATGTAAATGCAAGTGTTATTCTGTTAATGCAAAATTAAATGTTCCTCAATTTCATTGCTCACTAAATGGTAAAGCAAAAGTTAGGAGCAGATTGTTCTGAGTTATGGGATATTCTCTCTCTCCCTATTCAGTAGAAGAGGGAGGATCATTTGCATGGACTTCTTAGGGACATTAGCCACTCGGTGTAAGATCATTTATCTTCCTGAAAATGTTCCCATGTAGTTATACATCATCTTTTTATTTCTGGGGGATTTTATTTTTCTTATAGGAAGTTTTCCCTGTTTGGCTTTTGCCTAATTGGAAGCTATTTTAAGTTATTCAGCATGACAGTTGGACTGCTTTAAAAGTTAGAGTGTACCATAGCCGTAAACCTTACTGTGATTGAGAGTGTTCTAGGACTTATATTTATGATCTTGTTTGTGTCTCATGTAGTTAGGGAGCCAGGGGGAAACTAGTGATTGTATTCTTGAGCAGAATTTTTTTCTCCTGGCCGCAAAGTCCAGTTTCTTCCTTTAGTCACAATATCTCTCTGCTAATCATGGCCAGTGGACACACTATAATGCTTCTCTGTTTCTCTTTTGCCTCCTTTCAATCATGGGTCTTCCCCTGGGCTTTCCCTTTAATATTTGACCCTTTAAAAAATTAATAGTCTGTACAGAGTAGATCGAGAGAGTAAGCTTGCTTGCTTTTTTTTGGACAGGGTTCAGGTTCAAGTTCTCAATAACAAGTTTTGTGAACTTGGGGAAATTATTCCTGAGTCTGTTTCTTTATCTAGTAAATGCAGATTATCCTTGTCTGCCTGCCTCTCAGGGCTGTTGTGAAGATCACATGAAATAATTGACTATGAGAGTGCCTTGTAAACCATACAACACATACAAATGTAAAATAATATGCAAATATAAGAAATGTGAGGTTTAGTAAATTACATCAATTATGAAATGAAAGTAGGGTTGGAGAATTTATTTTCCCTTCTGTTGTCTTGTTTTGTGTAGCCTAGAGTGCTTTTTCTTCATCTTAATAAGTTCAGAGATGACCTTCGTTCAGTTTAGTTGTAGTATTTTATCTTTTTATAAATAAGGTCAATGGAGTTAAATGCTTCACTTGTTGAAACATGATATAATTTGGCATTGATCAGTGGTTGGTGCAAAGCAAAATTTCAAAAAGAAAATTCTGATTTTGCTAAGCAGCATAGATCGTGCCTGTTAGAACATCCTCCTCCTCCTTCTCAGCGTTGATTGCCAATCAGTTCTGTAGAATCAGAAATATTTTTCTATGCTTTTTTCAAAAACTCCAGTTTGTAATTTGACTTACATTGCTATTTTCAAAAATAAAACAACTATCTAAGTATTTGTTAAACAATTAGGTAGTTGTTATACTTCACCCTTTTCCCCCTGACCAGTTAGTTATACTATGTGGATTCTGGATGGTAGTAGATCAAGTTAGTTTAGTCACAATTTATAAAAAGCCTTTTCTATGTTGCTAGTGTCTTCTCATGTTTGATACTATTCATAAATAGACCCAGAAAACTGTAGGACTCCGGGACTCAGGCTGTGAATGATTGGTAGAACTGTTGGAGTAGAGCAGGCAGACTGTGTTGGAAATTATTCCATCTAGAAGGTATCAGCTCCTGCCTCCTCGGCCTTAGTGACTAAATGGAAATACATTCTTTTCAAATTCAAAAGCCTGTTCATTACTGCTTTTCTCTTCTGAAGCACATTGCCAGTTTTATAATGAAGAAGGACTTAATTATTTTTCTTTTTCTATTGCTTATGTTTATTCTTCATAAAATGACTTTTCTTCCATTTGTGGGCTGAGAAATAAGCTCCTATATTGGACTTTGCAGACTTGGCTTTTTTATAGCGTAAATCAGCTCAGCTGGCTAAATGCCTCACTAAGTGAAACTTCATAATGTAGCTGGAACTAAATTGTGCTCTGGAGCATTGAGTCTTTAAACTGGATTATTGATTTACAAACCCATAATGGTGAAGAGGCTATAGAGAGACAAGAACCTCCCTCTCCTGATCCTTGAGCAAGTTTTTCCTCACTTCAGGGGCTCTGAGCTCACGAGCAAAATCCTAACCAAGTTTATCTTGCTAGGACAACCCATTTTAAATGCTCAATAAAGAAAGAATAATTCTTCTCCCGCTTAACCACTAAAGAACAACATATGTTTCTAACGTAGCTTTTTATTTTTTTTTATCTTTCATTTTTTTGTTGGTAAATCTCCCAGACAACAGCAGTTCTGTAGAGAGTTTAAATATGAAGGAATGGCAGGACGGGCTAAGGGCACTTCTACCCAACATTAACATCAACTTTGGTGGACTGCCCAATTCTTCTTCCCCCTCCAACGCCAACCACAGTGCACCAACGTCCAACACTGCCACCACCGACAGCCTGAGTTGGGACAGCCCTGGCAGCTGGACAGACCCAGCCATCATCACAGGTAACTTTCTCACTCCCTTCAGCTACACTGACTGCCAACAGTTTGGTTTTTAGCACAGATTAAATAAAAACCGAGATCTCTTCAACATAAGCTGCTTTTCACAAAGCCGCAAGTGTGGAGTGGCTTGTTTCGTTCTCAGGGGTCATGCAAGTCTCATTTAACCTGTCGGCCTAGTTGTGTATTAATAAGAAGGCATTTGGTGCCTAGGTTGCTTCTTCTGGTTTAAGTAGGTGTTAACATCTGGCAACATGTGTATTTTGTAGGCCTCAAAGTACAAAAGGATCTGACTTACTCTTCTTATAAGGAACATACTCCACTTTTTGTTATAAAGCTCTCTATTATAAGGCTGTCTTGTTACGCATCCCTGTCAGAGGAGGAAAAGCACAATTGGGAAATGCCATCAGGCAGTTCTGGGGAATGGTGTTTTGCAGCTCTGCCTCTGTGACAGTGGGGGACTAAGTCTAGTTCAAGAGGAGGCATGGGTTTGTGTGCCAATAAGTTCTTTGTTGTTGGGGGAGGATTGGTTTAAAAGGTCTTATTTGGAAGGAGTTTAAAATTGTAATCTCTTCTGTCTTTCCTTTTGGTTTTGCTTTCTAAATTTGTTTGACGACCTTATTCTTTCCACACAAACTCACCATTTTCCCTCTTTTTTCTTTTCTCTCCTTAGGTATTCCAGCGTCTTCAGGAAACAGTTTAGACTCTCTTCAAGATGACAATCCTCCACACTGGCTAAAATCCCTTCAGGCCCTCACAGAGATGGACGGCCCCAGCGCTGCTCCATCACAGACCCACCACAGCGCCCCCTTCAGCACACAGATCCCGCTGCACAGAGCCAGTTGGAATCCCTACCCTCCTCCTTCAAACCCTTCCAGCTTCCACTCCCCACCCCCAGGCTTTCAGACAGCCTTCAGACCCCCCAGCAAAACCCCCACAGATTTACTACAGAGTTCAACACTGGACCGCCATTAGGCAAAGAGGAGCAACCATTAGAAAATGCAGGATTTGTCCCACTCTGTTTTCTCCCTCTCAGCCCACCACCCACAGCTCCCTTCTCATCTCTTATGTTCTGAAGAATCCAGTACCTGATCAATTTTTTTTCTCCCTAACCCCAGATGCAATGCGATCACAGGGTCATTACCATCTCTTTATTAATTGTAAAAATTTTTGTTGATCCAGCATTTGAGTGACACTGTTGAATGTTTCTAAAAATGCCTTTTTAAGGAGAGAAAAAAAAATCAAAGGGCAGTCTCAATACTTAGAAAATTATTGTTTGTCTGTTGCGCATAATAATGACATAATCTGCTTAGCAGAAAATGACGATTAATCTATAGGAAAGCTCAAGTAAATGCATTATCAACTGCAGAAGTTTGAAAACCAGGTTCATTTACGTGAGATTGCTAAATGCATGGGGGAAAGCAGTGGTCCTAGCATCCATCTTGTATTCAGCTTATCATTATTGCAGGGAAAATGCTTTTAATTTAAATTAATTTTTAATTCTTTTGGCAAGTTGATGGCAAGGACTTGATTGTGTCATTAAGCAAAAGAATGTATTGGAAGTTGATGGAAAGACAAATTCATCTGTAGTAGTAACTGGCCGATTGCTAAAGAGTTCATAAGGAGGTGAGAAGTAATTTTTTTAAAGGAGAAAAATTTTTTGGCTTTAGATTTAAAGTAAATTGAAATGTTTTAAAGAAAAAAGTATTCACAGATTTAATACCTATTAATAATATAAGAGCTGAAATGTAAGTCATTTCTTCAGTCCTTCTCCTCTGTCGGAATCTTTTTTGTTTTACCATAAATTCACCTGACGAGGGCACTCTGAGATAGCACTGCTCTGGGGCCATCTGATCACCATCGGGAGCAAATCTCTGACCTCCTTGCCTGCAGCTTTTACTTAACCCTGTAGTTTCTGGACGTTTGTGCAGTATTGAAAAGACAGGAGAAAAGAAAACAGAAACCTGGTTATAACCTGACGCTAAAACTAAAAACAAGGAAATGTACCTCTTTCTTCAGAATTAAAACTAAAATCTTAAATAAAACAGAAAACTTGATGGTGACACTTGGGTTGTCCTTGTTTTTGTTTTTCTGTTTTGTTGGATGTGAGTTTGAAAGGTTTTGTGACAAGTAGCCATCAGATGTTTCCATTTGATTTTACATCTTCAACAGTGGGGAGGGAGGATGGTTTAGAAGAAGAAAGTGGAGGAGAAACAACCATTTTATTGACAGTCAATGGCATCCTTGACGTTCAGCCCATCTTGTCCTCAAGAATCCCTCTTCCAGTGCCTTTCAGTAGAAGATTCCTCTTTCTGCTATTGTATTATGCATGCCAAGCCTTCCCAACTGAGAAGCCTTATGTGCCAGTAATGGAGAGGTTATTGACATGTTGAGATGTTGGTTCTCTTTAGGGAGACCTGGCAGGAGCAGCAGTCACTATGTCACACAAGTGGCATCTCTTTGTGAGTGCCATGATGGGAAAGAGATCGGGAAACACTGATGTAGATGATCCACAGACACATCTTTTATGACTGACCATTTTAGGAAGTACCTGTTGATGGGGCAACGATCGCACCACTGACCAAAAGAGGGTAGAGGATGAAAGTTACCTGTTCCCCAACAGAGCACCAGGATCTGTGTGGTTTGTATGTCTTGCCTTGGGCTGCATTCAGAAGCCCAAAGCTGGAACTGGCATATTTTCAGCCATGTCCATTAAGGGATGTGATGTAGGATCAACTAAATAGATCTAGATCGTACGTTCTGTGCTTTCAGGTGGGTTTTTTTCGTCCTTACCTTTATGCTGTACTTTAATTTGTTAAAATTTCAACACAATTTTTAGAAACTTAAACATGATATTCTCAAATAAATGTCACCAGAAATAGATGGTGATCAAGTGGATAGTAAATTGTTTTGTAAAACTAACAAAATTTCCCTGGATAAGAGGAGAGGACTAGAAATGACAGGCTCTCTTTGCCCTTGAACTTCACTTCAGTCTCCTGAACCTTCACATTGTACTGCAAAGTGATGGACCAATGCACAAATAATATTCAGATGGCAGTGAATTGTAATCAAGGCTTTTTGCGGGGATGCGGGGAAGTCCTGAGATGGGCATATCAATAAAAATGTTGCTTTTTTTGTAAAAGGAGGGAACTCCTACCTTATAAGGCTGTGCTGTAATTGTGTGTGTGTTTAATCAGTCATACAGAAGAGTTTATAAAAAGCATGACTTTATAAAAAGTATGAAGAATAAAAATAATAATGACCTGTGTGTCTACCACCAAGGTTAAAAATAGAGGCCAGGCATGGTGGCTCATGCCTGTAAGCTCAGCACTTTGGGAGGCCGAGGCGGGCAGATCACTGTAGGTCAGGAGTTCGAGACCAGCCTGGCTAACATGGTGAAACCCCATTTCTACTAAAACTACAAAACAAAAATTAGCTGGGCATGGTGGCTCGTGCCTATAATCCCAGCTATTCGGGAGGCTGAGGCAAGAGAATCTCTTGAACTCAAGAGGCAGAGGTTGCAGTGAGTCCAGGTCACACCATTGCACTCCAGCTTGGGCAACAAGAGTGAGACTCCGTCTCAAAAAAAAAAAAAAAAAAATAGAACCTCTGGTATCTTAAAACCTCTATTTGCCCCTCTCCAGTTAGACTTCATTTTCTTTCCTTATCGTTTCAAATAGCCATTATTTTAATTTCTGTGTTAATCTTCAAGAGTTTTGCCAGCTATGTATCTATCCCTGAATAGATTGTTTAGTTTTAAAAAGCTGAGTAATAAACCCAAGCCTAGCTGTAGAAGGAAAGGGTGATGTTGTCACTATTAGATTAAGACTTTTAGGAGAAGATAAACTAAATAGCTTCTGGGGCATAGTTTGGCTTTAGCGTCTCCGATCATTTATGAAAGCCTCTTAGAAGTACAGTGGCCAAGGTTATGAGTGAGTCCTGGAAAACAGGGCTTGCCAGTTGGGGTAGGTCTTGTCAGGTAAGCACAGTCCCGGGTGTCTGGCAGAAATATGGTCTACAGGATCAGTTTGCTGTCTGTTTCCTGTGTCAAAGCTCACCATGGCTTCCCTCCAGTCCTCTGGAGTAGATCACAGACACTTAGTGAATTAAGTGTCTTAACCCTTTGGGGTGAGAGGTGGCGTTTAAAACAAGTGTCAGCTGATTAATTCACCAGGGCTTGGCGGGGAGAACAGAAACTTCATTAGGCTTGGTCAAAATCAGAAAGTACAGAAAAGAGCCTGAACCAAACTGACTTAGGTGGCCTGTTGGTATAATAGCAGTGGGAATCTTGGTACTGACAGCTGTCATGGATCACAGTACTCAGATCTGGTACACAGCAGTCATTTCTAGTATTTCACTTTGTTCTCTCTCCTTTCTTAGATGATCTTCCTATATTCCTAGATCCCACACCCTAGTCTTTTATTTATTTATTTTTTTAAATCTCATTTTGCTGGAGTGACATCCTCCAGTATTTCTTAAGGAAAGGTACATGGGAGATAAATATTTTAGTAATTTGCTTGTCTGAAATAATATTTAATTCTACTTCTCAGTTGATAGTTTGGTAAATACAGGATTCTAGGTTGTAGATATTTTTTTCTGCAGAAATTTAAAGGCTTATTAACTTCTTGCTTCCAGTTTTGTTGTTGAACAATCCAAAGATGCTGTTATCCTCTATATGTAATCTTTCTCCCTCTCTGGAAGCTTGTAGCAAGTTTGTCTTCTGTGTTCTGGAATTCCATAGTGATCTCCCTTGGTGTGGGTCTATTTTATTTTATTTATTTATTTATTTATTATTTTTTTTATTATTATTTATTTATTTATTTTTTGAGACGGATTCTCACTCTGTTGCCCAGGCTGGAGGGCAGTGGTGCGATCTTGGCTCACTGCAACCTCCGTCTCTCAGGTTCAAGTAATCCTTCTGCCTCAGCCTCTCAGGTAGCTGGGATTACAGGTGCCCACCACCACGCCTGGCTAAGTTTTGTATTTTTAGTAGAAACAGGGTTTCACCATGTTGACCAGGCTGGTCTCAAACTCCTGACCTCAGGTGATCTGCCTGCCTCGGCCTCCCAAGGTGCTGGGATTACAGGCGTGAGCCACTGCTCCCAGCCAGGTGGGGGTCTATTTTAATTCATTTTGGTGGACACAGTGGACATACAGTATGCTTTTAAAATCTTATGACTCATTTTCTTCAGTTCTCGGAAATTTTCTTGAATTATTAGTGAACTTCTTGCACTTACTTTCTCTGTTCTCCCTTTCTAAAAATTCTATTATTTAAATACTAGACTTTCTGGACTTCTGCTTTTTAAAATATTTTCTCCAATTTTCTATCTGTGTCTTTGGCTCTTCTTTCTAGGAAGTTTTTTTCTCAACTTTATAGTTTTCTTCTCCTTGTGTTGTCTGTTTCTCCAAGTTGCTTTTATCTGTTTGCTTTAATTTCTGTCTTCCTTGTTAGAGACTTCTACACTTGATCTTAGCCAAAAGGCCAAGAACTGATTATATTAGAGACTCCTTAGATGCTTGGTAATCCTTGGTTATCTGCTCATGAATGAGACTGAAAAATTGATGGGGAGTTTTGAAAACATGAGTAGGGCTTGCCAACTTTGAATTCCCCTATTGGAAGATCTGGGTGGTCTATTCTACTGGGTAACCTCTGTTGTTATTGTCTTTAGCACTTGTCTGTTGGCCTTGGCTGGTCAGATTCCATACAGAAGAGTCTTATAAGGACTGGCCTAGCTGGTAAGGGTCTGACTGCCAGGGCTTCAGAGCTGTGTTGGTGGTCTCTGTATGTATTTAATATTATACTACATATAATCTCTCTGACGTAGTCTTTACCTCGCCAGAGATTAACTCTCCAAATATCTGCCCATTTATGAGAAGAATAGCATGGAGTTGGGGAATGAATCTAGAGAGTTAACTTCTTAAAACAACTTTCTTAGTAATCTTTATTTTAGCCCCACTGCACACACTTTATCTCTGGTTTTAGTGGTATCTGGTCCTGTCAGTTTCTGCGCCCTTGAGGATTTTGTGATGTAAATTGGATTGGATCTCAGTTTTCCCCACTGTTAGCTTAAGGTTGGACTTTCTCAAATGAGCTAGGTGAGTCCATCCAACCATCTACTTTCTAGGTCCTTGGATTTTATTGCTGTCATTTCCTCTTGTTATTCCTGTTTTTCTTTTTTTCTTACTTGAATTTTAATGGACCTTTAGGAAGAAGTAAAATTAGGTATGTAAGTTCCATCTACCATCTTAGCCCAGATCTGTGCTCTGATTTTATAAACCAGTAGGCATAGTTTGTCTGCCAGTGAAGTAGAGTAAAGTAGAGGAAGCACTATCTTTTGCTATTGGCCAATGAGTGCTAGCCACCATGTTGTATATCCCTTGGTTTGAATAGTACCTGTTTGTTTCATTTACCTTGAAGTGGTTTATCTTTTTAACATCCCCTTTTCCAATGAAGCTCTTTTGGTTTACAGTCAGTAGTTTGTTTTTCAAGGGGTAATCACACGGGATTTTAATGGTTAAACTTTAGGCTGGATGTTAAAGGCAAATTTTACTGCAGTTTTAGGGTCATTTGCAAGTCAGATGGATGTGGGTCATTTTCTAGGCTTAGCTGAATTAGAACAAGTCTAGAAATTGCAGAGAGGGAAAAAATAACCTACTCTTACTTATGTATGCTGTGTATGAATTGTGTTTTAAGGATGCATAATAGTAACTGTCAACAATGTATATCTACAGAGATTATGCTATAATATAATAATACAGAGCTGAATTCAGTTAGCACTCTCCAACAAGGTTTGCTTAAACTTGAAGACGCAAGGTATACTGCACATAGCTTTTGAGTTTTATGTTAAATATTGACCAACATCATTTAATTTTAGATCCTTATTATTATAGTATGTAAACTCTTAAAAGTTAGAAAACTTACATATCTTACACATAATTTTGAGATATGCCCTTTGTCAGATGTATTTACTTCTGCCCAAGTGATCTATCCAAGTGAAAGATGACTGCAGGTCATTAGCATGAACTATTTGAAGAAATCAAATATTTATCTTGTCCCAAAAATCAGTACTCTATTTTTTGTGCTTGTTCAGTAATTGTTAATTTAGTTCAGACAGTCACAGGCAGTTTTCCAGCAGGAAGAGCTGCCTTTGAAAATACTTCTTTTTTTTTTTTTTTTTTTTTGTTTGAGACAGAGTCTCACTCTGTTGCCCAGGCTGGACTGCAGTGGCACAGTTTTGGCTCACTGCAACCTCCGCCTCCTGGGTTCAAGCAATTCTCCTGCCTCAGCCTCCCAAGTAGCTGGGATTACAGGCCTGCACCACCACTCCCAGCTGATTTTTGTATTTTTCGTAGATACAGACAGGGTTTCACCATGTTGACCAGGTTGGTCTCGAACTCCTGACCTCAGGTGATCCGCCTTCTTAGCCTCCCAAAGTGCTAGGCATGAGCCATCATGCCTGGCCTGAAAATACATTTTAAAAGTTGTTTCTGAACAAATTGATTTAAGGAAAATGAGTAAATTATTTAATAAATTCCTTTAAGGATAAAATAATTATTTTTATTGGTGATAACCCAGATGATTTGGGAAAGAACATGCATCTTGGCCCAAATGTTCTTGGTACACCTTGGCCATTCTCAAGAATATATTCTGCGTTTAGTCCATCTCTGTGGGAAACTGAGGGTATTAGGCAGGTGTTAGTAGGTGTAGTCATTGGACCTCCTTCCATGGCTTCCTTTCATGGGTGAAGGAAGTAAGTGTACAAGATCAATAGAAATGAATAGGCCAAATAGATATTTTTGGTGGTCTGAATGATTTAAAAACTCTAATAAAGAACTCAAGAGCATTTAAAGGGAAACAATAATCTGTGGCTTTCTTATTTTCAGCTTTAGTATTTGCAAAGCTAAAGTACTCTTAATAAAATGCCTGGCATATGACATCAAGTCCAGAGGGACTTTTTAATGTTGTTGGTTTCGTACAATGAATTCCAGTACTCTTATCAGATCCCATCATGTGGGAAAAGTAGGCAAACAAGCTCAGAGATGTTGAGGGTTTGTCCTGGGTCACAGGTTTTATAGCCGAGCTAGAACTACTTGTTACCCATCCTCACCTACATTTGCATGACTTTGGTTGTCCTTCCTTTCTGTTTCAAAGTTGCAAGTGCTTTTCTAGCTTTCTTGTTTATGGAATTACCAAGATGAGGGTGGTATTATTTGTCCCTCCCTTATATTAGGTAAGTAGTGGTGAGTGAAACGGTGTGAAGAGTTTCTGTATTTGTTCATCCCAGATCATAAGGTATGAGTCAAAGTTTAGTTGGGAAGTCCCTTAGGGACGTCTTGATTATTTTGTGCTCATATTGAGTTGTATTTACATTCAGTTGAACTACCAGGTTAGCCAGTATCTTCTGGATTTTATGTAGCTAAGGAACAGGGATGAGATACTTGTCTTCCAATGTTTGAAAGACAGTTATGTAGAAGAAGAAATAGGATGAAGCATGCAGCTTAGACTAAGACGCGGAAGAGAGATTTGGGTTCAATTTAGTTTTAACAATTTTTAAAAACACCTTTAGGCTCAGCATTATGCCAGGTGCTTCAGGGGGTACAAAAGTAAAATGATCCCTGCTCTCAAACTGAAAAGGTTTGGATAGTCAGCTCTAAAACTGAAACTGAGTGTGAGAAGTGCAAAGTGCCAAGGTAGCTCAAAGAAAGAGCTTTGGACAAACTTGAGACTTGGATTGGAGGGAACCCTGAACAAACAAATACATCAACATGAGCCTGCCTGGGGCATGTTTAGGGCTTGCAACTTGGGGTTCCTGTAGGGGACTTGTGAGAAATAAGGCGGGAAAGGTGAGTTGGGCACTGCTTTTGTTTCAAATGACAAGTTCTAAGTAGGAGAAAGGTAGGATAGGATTTTGCTTTAAATTCTAAGTGGGAATGATGAAGATGAGAGAGCCACTGAGGTAGGGTTCTTTGGGTCTATGAACCCAAATGAATGAAAGGACCCAAAGAAATCTAAGGTTTGGCCACAAAGGGACTATCAGTGACCCTAGAAATTGTATGCAAAAATGGTATGTGCATTAGTGTTTTATCAAATTATTTTTAAAATGTGCATGATGCAATAAAGTCTAGTAAGCTAAAAGAATAGTTCTGGTGAAGGTTTTGGGCTGATAAAGGGATTGAAAATGGAAAGAAGAAGAAAGAATTCAAGAGAGATTTCAGAAGGGCTAGAGATTTTTGCAAGTTACTAGCCATAGTTAAAGGATGAAAGAAAAACAATTTCACAGCCATCTTAGATTTCTTAGATCCTCCACTAGACTGTAAGCTTTTTGAGAGCAGACAGCATAGCTAGCTTGTTAAACATTACATTCTCAGAACCTAGCTAGCACATAGTAGGCTCTCAATAAATATTTCAGTAATTCTTGCCTAGAATTACTGAAATATTTGCATATTTCAATACTGCATATTGAAATATTACATGTTTTGAGCCAGATGATTGGAATAATTGTATCATGTTGAAAATAAATGTGGACTCATGAAAAGGAACAATTGCAAAAAGATGAATTTGTTGACTTGAGGTTCCAGCAGGTCATCCAGCCGGTGGTGTCCAAGAAATACTGGGAAATTTGTGTGGGATACAGAGAAGAAATACAGTGTTGGAGTCATCTTTATAGGGAGAGAGGTGAGATGGGAGCCTTGGGAAAAACAGATGCTAGTGGTCTAAAATGAAGGAGATCTGAGTGTATGGTGTCGGTGTAGAACAGTTTCTAGGCAAGAATTACTGGAAATTTTGTGCTATGTCAGTCAGGGTTTCATCAGGAAGCCAGGGATTTCACAACCACTGGAAGGGCTAGGAGAAGAAAGGTCAGGAAGACCTCTGCTGGCTTTCAGGAGCTCCAGAAGTACAGGAGTCATAGAAAAAGCCTCCACCAAAAAGCCCTCAGCTGCCTACAGCACCAAGTCGGTAATTCCCAGGAAGACTCTGGGAAGTGGCTACCCAATTCCCCGTTTGCCAGGGGCCACCTGCCTGCCCAGAGATGACACCCGTAGAATGATGGCTTTTTCTCTTCTATCTTTCAAATTGCCCTAAGTACCTCCCATTAGTAGGGTCTAAGCTGGGATCCTGTTGGAAGGAATCGGAACTGTGATGCAGGAGAGAGTAGCAGGGGTGGGGCTGATGTCAACAGACAAGCTAGCCCCTGTGGTTTAGAGCATCTCACAGGGTCATGTCACCTCTTTGTCAAAACTTTCCAAAAACATCTCTCCCCCAATACCTTCATAATGAAATTGAAGTTTTGCTGGTGTGGGACCGGGTGCCCTCTCCCCTAACAGGAGGATATTCTTTATTTCATGCGACTGTGTCTCTGTTCCATGCATATCTGTTTTCTCAGCCTTGAGTGTATATACTATTCCTATCCTCACCCTGGCAATCTGCTTATTGCAGCTTTTTCTCACACCTCTAGGCAGATTTAGGTGGCCCTCCCTGCCTTTGTATCTTATATACGCCTTCATTATACTGCAACCTCCTTGAAGAAGGGATACTTCTTTTCATCTGTTATACACAGGGCTTAGCACAGTTCCCGACATTCGGTTCGAATGAATGACGGAAGGAAAGCAGCTTTGGGTAGTGGGGTGCTATTAAGTTTTATTGGCAGGAGATCAGTCATGAACTTTAAGGCACTGGTTTTAATCCAGCGGAGGTACTGGAAGCCAATTGCAGTATGTTGAAGAATGGAGAATGACTAGGAGTTAAAGAACTGGAGATAGTATACTCTGAAGAAGTTTGATAAAGGGACGACAATAACACAGTTTCAAGTAAAGGAAGGTTTTTTTCCTCAAAGGAAGTCATAAGCCTTTTAGAGGAGACAAAATTATTTGAAAAAGTAAATTTGAACAAGAAAGCTGAGTTGAATGGAATCAGGAACATGCATAGTTGCTTCCCTCCAAGATAACAGCAAAGAAAATAAGAGAGAGGGTTTTAAGATAAAGAAAGGAATATTAAGGGAACCCCTTGGCTTAGCATAGTGAGGTAGCAGGAGATGGAATAGGAATTTGGAGCTTGAGAATATAGAAAATGTGCAACACTTTGGGGAATGTAACAGGAAGGTAAAAGAATGGGTTAAAAGAGTAGTAAGCAAGCAGCAAGGGCCTAGTTGAGGTTAGCATGTATAGATCCAATCAGAATAATTCGATGTGGCCTGGACTGTTCATCAATCTTAGAGAGAAGCAAAGGAGGCATGGAGATTACCAGGAGCTTCTGACCGATAGAAATGGTGGAAAATCATGGAGTTGAGGCTTTGGGAGGGGGCGAAGTTATCAGAGTGCTCACCACGGCCCATAGTATGAAGGTAAGTGCTCACCATGGCCCATAGAAGGCCAGCAGTAGGGAGCGCTCTTCAATCATTCTCTCAATCTGGAAATGGATTGGTGCCCACAGCTGGGCACACAGAAAGTACACAACCTATTGTCAGAGCACACAGCCATACAGTTGGACCCCTCTATGATCCCTAAAGTTTCTTTCAACATTTAAGATTTTATGATAATTTTGGGATTACTGCATAAATTACCAATAGCCAGAATTCAAAAGTAAGTGTAAAATTTAACAGAATGTATACAGAATGAATTATTTTATAAAACTCACAATAGCCTAATTCATATATTGAATTTCTTCCAGGGATACCTGTATTTTCTTGTTAATAATACCCACATCATTCTTTTTTTCCCCATCTGCTCAGTAACCATTTATTGAGCATGGAGGTACTAGACTGTGATATGCGTTAGGTATGCATTTGGGAATAGAACAGTCATAACTCTGTCTTTCTTAGAGCTCAGACTTAGGTGGTGAAGATGATCATTAAACAATCCAGTAAATATACTAGTCATATGAAAATGCAGAAGAATATATTTGAAGTATGTGTAAGCAATATCCAAAATACAAGACCCCAAAGAAAAAATATTGACAAACTTATCCTGAATTTAAGACTTCTGTAAGACAAAACACCATAAGCAAAATTACATCAACAATGGACTGGGAGAAAATATTTGTAACCCATGTAAAAGACTGAGGATTAATATCCCAAATATATAAAGAATGCCTACAAATCAGTCTTTCTTAAAAATACAAAAAGCCAAAGACAACTAATAGACAATGATTGCTGAGAATGTTTTGTTCTTATGATTAAGAAAAACAAAAAATATTGGTAAGGGTATAAGAAAATGGATATCTTATGTACTTTTGCTGTGATTATAAATTGGTACATCCTTTTATGGGGAATGAACTGACAATATGAAATTGCCTGTTCACTTCAACCCAATAATTTCCCTGCTTGTACTCATACACAGAGAGGAATACATAAAAGCATTCATTATAGCATTGTTTATAAGAAGAAAAGTACAAAATAGCCTGAATGTTCAACAGTTCATTGGTAGGCAATACTACAGAACACCATGAGAAGAATAATTACATGTATTTCTGTGTGCAGTCACACGATGAAAAAACTATATGTAAATCTACGGGTTTTTTGTTTGTTTGTTTGTTTTTGAGACAGAGTCTCCCTCTGTCACCCAAGCTGGAGTGCAGTTGCGCAATCTCGGCTCACTGCAACCTCCGCCTCCTGGGTTCAAGTGATTCTGCCTCAGCCTCCTGAGTAGCTGGGATTACAGGCATGCGCCACCACACCCGGCTAATTTTTTTGTATTTTTAGTACAGACGAGGTTTCGCCATGTTGCCCAGACTGGTGGTCTGAGCTCAGGCAATCCAACCCCCTTGGCCTCCCAAAGTGCTAGGATTATAGGCGTGAGCTACTGCACCCGGCCTAAATATACTTCTAAAGTATATCTGCGATATTTTCTACATTAAACACACAAGAACTAAAACTACATATTTGTATGTGCCTATGTAAATGGCAATGCATAGACAAGACTTGGAAGAGTTCATGCCAAAATGATGATAGCAATTACCCCTATGAAGAGGAGTGATGTGGGGTTGGGGCTGGCCAGGAGACATTAAGGAGAATTTCTTGCATGACTGATACTGTTTGATCTTTTTAAACCATAATAATGTATTAATATATTATAAAATGAAAACATTCATATAATTAAAAATTGTGCTTTGAAAGGAAAGTATAACATGCAATAAGTATGCAATGGAGAAACTGCTTTTCATCAGGGCATCAGAATGTAAACGCACTTGGAGAACAAACAGAATATTTGACTTTGTTTTTGTTTTTGTTTTTGAGGTAGGGTCTCTGTCACCCAGGCTGGAGTGCAGTGGCATGACTATGGCTTACTATAGCTTCAACCTCCCCAGGCTCAGGTGATTCTCCTACCTCAGCCTCCTGGTGCACCACCACCCCCAGCTAATTTTTGTATTTTTTGTATAGATGGGGTCTCACCATGTTGCTCAGGCTGGTCTCGAACTCCTGGCTCAAGGGATCCACCTGCCTTGCCCTCCCAAAATGCTGAGATTATAGGCATGAGCAATTGCGCCTGGCTGCGTTTGACTTGTTTACTCCTGTCTACCCAGCAAAGACATCAGATGGATGGGTGGGCAGATGGATGGATGAGAAAGCCTCACTGAGAAAGTGACATGCCAATCAAAAGAAGAAGAACAAGGAACCAGCCCTGCCAGTTCCACCAGCAGGAGAGCAGTGTGTGTGAGCATGTGGAGAGACCCCACCACGGGAACCTGGGCATATCCAGCTGGAGGCAGCCCATGTTGCCTGGTGCACAATGAATAAGGAGGAGAATGGTATGAGATGAAGTATGTGAGTTGATCAGGGGCCTCAGGCCTCATGGCTTTAGTAGCTAGTCATGAGGAGTTCTATTTAGTCTAAAAAGTGATAAGTATACCCTGACAATGACTGAGGTGTCTCTATGGAATGAGTATACTCACTAAGAAAAATAAGTAGCATAATGTGATTTGACTTGCTGCCAGTCACAGTGAGTGGGTGATGAGGATTAAGACTTGGTTCTTAGCAGCCAGTGCAGTGGCTCACGCCTATAATCCCAGCTTGAGGCCAGGATTTTGAGAGTAGCCTGGGCAACATAGTGAGACCTCACCTCTACAAAACATTAGAAAAAAAAAGACTTGGTTCTTAGAAATACCAGCCCACATTCTGTCCATTTAGCACATGAAGCTTTTTTTTTTTTCTTTTTTCTTTTTTTCCTTGAACTGGAGGTAGGGGGATAGTGTAGAGAAAGAATAGAAAAGGGTTTATAGTATAATGGTTTAGAGTTACGAACTCAGACTGCCTGCATTTAATTGCCAGAGTTCCCATTTGCCATCTGGGTGACAATGGATAAGTTACACAAATCTCTACACCTCAACCTCCTTTCCCTGTATGTCAAATCAGGATAATAAAGTGTGTACTATTATCTCAGAGGTATGGTGAGGTTTAAATAAAATAACCCACATTCAATACTTAGCATTGTTCCTGTCCAGTGGCTCGAGGGATCTGGAACATTTGGGCCAGAAAAGAGAGGAGACCACTCACAAATATTTGAAAGTTTTGCTGAGAAGAGGAATTATACATTATTTGCATGTCCTATTGAGGACAATGAAGAGTTATGGGGAGAAATTCAAGGGCAAGGGCAACCCAAGGTAAGGAAGACCCAACACAGCCAAGGATCAATAAAGGGAATTCCTTGCTTTTATTGAGAGGTTGGACTAGGTGACATCCAAAAGTCCTTCCAAATTCACTTATCAGTAATGGCACCAGATAATCTTGGAAGTGAATATAAAGTCATGTCAAGTCCTGCTGTAATCAATTTACAATGAAGACCTCTAAATAACCTCAAGATTCTCAGGCGTCAGCTGAGAAACCCCTAATATGAAACTGCAAAAAGTTTTACCACTTACCTTATGGGCTTGGGAAGACCATAATACCGCTTTTGGCCTCTGTTTCTTCATCTATGCAGCAAGATCCTTATACTCATGTGGCTGCAGGCTTAAATGAAATATTGCAAATGAAAGTGCTCTGAAAACTGAAGTGCAATACAAATGCAAAGAATGATTGCTGTAATAATTTGCTGCAAAATGTTTTCTTCTCATGAAATACTGCTGCCATACTTTACACTGGTGGCTGGGGATTTTGGCATAAGCTGTTAGCCACATGGATTTCTTTAGTGTCAATGGAGGTGCATCTAGGTATCCCCCACCCTCCCCCAGGCCACATTGCACTCTGGACTTCCCTCCTCCTGGGAGCAGTACCCACAATTTCCCATCAAGAAGACCTTCAGTTCAAGTGGCTTCCAGGTTTGAATTATGCTGAACAACCCTCCTGGGGAAAGGCAATGCTTTGAGTTTGATTGCCTCAGACTATCAAGATGACAACTTTGAATAATTACCCTGATTATCTTTGACACTTAAAGAGCTACTAATCTTAACCAGATGTTGTGATACAACTGTTATCCCCGCTTTTCATTTCGGAAGAAGATGCTCCTTTGTGGTATCTGGCAGAGTATCCAAATGTATTAGGTTGGTGCAAAAGTAATTGCAATTTTTGCCATTTACTTTCAATGGCAAGTACCATGAATACTTTTGCACCAACCTAATATAATGGAATCCTGTGCTCAAGAAGGCTTTTAGGGACAACTAATATGTCTTTATGCATCCAGGGAAGGCAGCATTTTAACCAGTATAGATGGATGAATATTTTATTGCTTTACCTATTAAACATACAGTTATTGAGTACACAACAGCCAGAGTGCCAAGAATGAAGAGACATGTTCCTGACTACTTAGGTAATCACAGACTCAAAGGGGAGACTGACATGAATAGTTCTTAAAGCTTTCAATTGTGAAGTATAAGACATAATGAAAAGTACATAAAGCCAAGGTGTGCAGAATGTTGTAGTGACATGTAGAGGGAGGGATTGGTTCAGTGTGAAGAATCGGGGCCAACTTCACAGGGCAAGGAACATGGAAGCTGGAATATAAAGGATGAGCAGGGTTTAGCAGGTGAAGCCCAGAGATTTGGGGTGGGGGTGGCAGAGGGGATGGAGAGGATATGGCATTCCCAGCCAGGGAAGTGACAGGTGCAAAGACAGAAAGACATGAAAGTGCTTACCAGGTAGTGGTGTGATTGGGGTATTGTTGGAGGAGTAGCAAGAGGTACTGAAAAGGCAGGTTTAAGCCAGACTTTTAAAGGTCTTGACTGTCATGCTAAGGAATGTAGGCTTCATATTGTGCTTGACATGGCAGACTAGGCCTTCTCGTATCTTAGAAAGTTACCTTGGATTGTACCGTGGTTGCAGGGAAGCTAAGAGAGGAGTGTCATGGTCAATTACGTCAAATGCCATGGAGGCCAAGTGAGACAAAGACTGAAAACAGTTCATAGAGTTGGAAATTTGGAGGTCACTGATCACCTTTTCCAGGGGGAAGGTAGAAGTATGATTATAGCAGATCAAGAAATGAATGGATGTTCTCACTTCTATGTGGCATCTAAAAAAGTTGAGCTCCTAGGCATAGAGAGTAGAGTCGTTGTTACCAAAGGCTGGTGAGGTGGAGTGGACAGGAACAGAGAAGACAGCAAAAAGGACTGGAGGAGAAAAAAATCCCACTAATTAACAATAGAGTGTGTGTGCGTGTGTGTGTGTGTGAGAGAGAGAGTATTTGATTAGTGCAATATTAACACACACAAACACACACACACACACACTGGAAGTAATGAAACCAGTTTAAAAGGTATTGAGAAAAAGCCAGACACAAAAGGACAAATATTGTGTGATTCCACTAATATGAGGTACCTAGAGTAGTCAAACTCCTAGAGGAAGAATAGTGGTTACCAGGAGCGGGAGGGAGGAGGAAGGGGAGTTACTGTTTCGTGGGTACAGAGTTCCAGTTTGGGGTGATAGAAAAGTTCTGGAGATGGGTAGCGCTGATATTCAGGCAACAATGTGAATATACTCAACGTCACTGAATTGTACAGTCAAAAATGGTCCAGACAGTAAATTTTATGTTGTATCTATTTTACCACAATAAAAAACAAAGCTACTGCAGTAGTCCTGGTAAGAAAGTGTACCTGAATCTGAATTATGACCATGAGGACAGAGAGGAAAAGAGTAATTTAATTTTTTTAATTTTTTCCCCCAAGAAGAGTAACTTAAATTTTAAGAGATATTTCTGGTACATAATTGGCAGGACTTATGTCTGTATGAGAAGGTGAAGGAAGAGAAAGTGATGGAGATGACTGAGGTCTTTGACTTGGACAACTACGTGCATGTTGGTTTAAGAGAGAGAGAACGATGAGTTTGACTTTGTGTGGTCTAATATGCAGTGAAAAATATACATGTATGTATACACAAGCATGCGCACACACACATACACACAACTAGAGCTCAGGAAAGAGGACAGATAAAAATTTAGGAGTTGTCAATATGTGGCTAGTATGGAACTGAGATCACTTAGGGAGGAAAAAAGGAGCCATAAGTGGGATCTTGGAGAACATGAACTGGTGAGACTGAGAAGGAACAGAGGGAAAGGAGGGACCGGGAAAAAAAATGGTTGCATGGAAACTCTCGAGAGAAATGTCATGGTCAACTATGTCAAGCGCACTGGAGGCCACATGGGACAACGACTGAAAGCAATTCATAGATTTGGAAATTTGGAGGTCACTGATCACCTTTTCCAGAGGGAAGGTAGAAGTATGATTATAATGGATCAAAAAATGAATGGATGATCTCACTTCTATGTGGAATCTTAAAATGTTGAGCTCTTAGGGGTAGAGAGTAGAGTGGTGGTTACCAGAGGCTGGCCAGGTGGAGTGAATGGGAACAGGAGAGATGCTGATCAAAGGGGACAAAGTTTCAGTTAGACAGGAGGAATGTTTTAGTGGTCTATTGCACAGCATGGTGACTATTGTTAATAATAATGTATATTTCAAAATTGCTACAGCAGGACTATTCAAAACATTCTCACACCAAGAAATGATAAGTATGTGAGGTGATGGATATTTAATTAGCTTGATTTAATGATTTCACAGTGTATAAATTTGTACTCCATAAATATATACAATTATTATTTGTTAAATAAAAATTAAAATTGATTTTTTTAAAAAAGGGAATGGGATACAGCAATGAAAAGAAATGAACGATAGCTATGCAACAAGATGGACTAGTCTCACAGCACACTGTTGGGAAAAAGAAAGAAGCAAGATGCAAAAGAACACATAGGGTCTATTCCATATCTGTAAACGTTTAATCTTAAAAACCGGTAAAAGAAAACTACGTAAGTGATATCATGAAAGAGAAGAGTGAGCGCAGGATTATTAAAAAGTGAGAAAGTTGCTTACTTCTAGAAAAGGTGGGGGTTGTGATCAGGGAAGCCATGGGACAGGGATTCTGAAATATGTATGTTGATACTTCTTGACCTATATGACTACAAGAGTGCTTACTTTAAAATTATCCACGATATGTGTGTGAACAAATTTCATGCGTGCATCTTTCTTTATGTAGATTATACTTCACACAAAATATAACCAGGTCAACAGTCTTATATCTGCTTCTGAAACTATTCAGAGAGCAAATTTTCAAGCAGCAAACAAAGCTTTAGTTTGTGGTGCTGCTTTAATGTAATTATATCATCGCCTTTGACCAAATCCTCCTGAAGAAGAAGAAATCCTTTCCTTTAGTCAGTTTCTGTTAATGAGGAAGGCAAGCTTAATAACTTGGTGGCAACATCACTATCGCTAGCACACTTCACTGGCAAGGTTAGCATCAATTTCATATTGGAACTCTGTAGTATGGTGATCAGAGAAAAAAAATAACATCTAAAAGTGCTGAGAAATCAGTTTCCACACTCTAATGTTAAAATTTGAATACTGTACATTCTTAACTCTTTATGTTGAACTAGTTTTAGTATTTTGGAAAGTTGCAAAACAGTACCGAGAATTCCCATATATCCTTCACTCAACTTCTCCTAATGCTAACATGTTACAGAACTACAGGACAGTGACCCAAACCAGGAAATTAACATTAGTGCAGTACTAACACACACACATGCATGTGCGCACACACACACGTGCACACACACACACATTTAGTAATAAAATTATTGAGAACCTTTTAATGTAGTTGGCAGTCATTTGGATTTTCTTTTCATAAGGTCTGCTTGGATTCTTGGCCAATTTTTCTCTTGGGTTGTCTAATTTTTTTTTCAAATTGAATTTGTAGTTTCCTGGTGGTCCTCATTCAAGAACTGTTGTTGGGATATTTATGTATCAATTCATTTAGGGTGACAATAATAAACCCATACATGTTAGCACAGTTAATGTATTTGATGAGGAATACCTATATTTTCAGGAACAAGAATCAGAGTAGAAGGTGGCACTAGTTTTTGCATTTTTGTGAGTTTCTTTGATGTCTGGCTTGGTGGAGGATAGCTAAATTCTCATACCTGCTTCCTCATTCAATTTGTTGGGTTATGTTTTTTTATTTGGCTTTTATTCAATGGTGTTGGCGTACCAGAGTTTATTCAGCCATTTTCCAATTGGTAGGCGTTTACTTCTTCCAGTTTTATAATTTTTGTGTTGTTTTTGCTACTATGAATAATGCCGCATTAAACATCCTTGCATGTTTTTAAAAAAGTGAATGGGAAGTGAAGAAACGGAGGTAGTCAGTGGAGACTAACATTTTAAAAAATACACGATTCTTCATCTCCTTTGCAAATAACACTAAAAGTTTTATTATTAACTCTCATTCTTCATCTCTTTATGTGTTCACTCTTAATTTCCATTAAAGTACACTCTTACTTGTTTGACTGTTAGTTGTTACTATCTTCAGCAAAACCTCATATCTCTGTTACACCCTCCATTCCTCTTCTCCGGTCTAAATGTGAGACTCTTCAACTAAAGGAGATAGGAAACCACTCAATCGAATATTCTCTTATAATTCCAAATGGTCCTGTAAAGATAGCTCATTCTTCAGTGGGCAGCACCCTTCATGTCCTTAGAGAATCCCCTCAGTAATGCCCATGATGTCCTCCTCTTCTTAGGTGAGGATGGTTTTCTTGACCAGCCGTCAGGACTTAAACGTTACCAGTGGTTGGGATACGCACGGTTGACATGTGACACACTCGATGTTAGGAAACCTGGACCCCACTTCTGTGGGACCTCTACCACCTGTGTGACCACTGAATACCTATGTTGCTTTGCTTTGTGGGTCAGTTTCCTCATCTATAAAACGAGGGATTTGCAGTAAGTAATTTTGAAAATTCTTCCCTGTTCATTCTTACTTCAATACCTTGCAACTGTGGCATCCATTTGCCAGATGATTGGCCAAGGCCACAGCTGTCGTGTATGACTGGGAATGTGGCAAAACTAGCTGGTCCATACTGGGACTTGACCTACAACTCACTTGTGCAGGGTGCTACTCAGTCCTCTTCCCTGGGGTGGGGGTGGAGGGCTCCAAGGCCTCAAGGCTTATCCCAATCAATGAAGCCCTTCTCCCAGGCTTGCTTCTTAGGGCCATGGTGTTGGTTGATGGATTAGTTGAAGGCAGGAGCTGATCTGGAAACCCTGGCAGGGAGGAGGTGGGAGAAAGATGTGGGGCCGAAGAGACCTAAAAAAGTGACATGAGATTCTCCTGGCTGCCTCACACAGACAGCGTCCCTTTCCTGTGCCACGATGGTGCCCACATTCAAGTCACGCATGAGGACAGGCTGGCTGAATGACAGTGGGCTCCTAGTACAAGCCTCTTAAAATAGCAGAGGTAGGGCTCCATTCCAAAACAGTGACAGTATCAGCAAGTTAATTAAGAGATCTGCCAGGGACGATGCGAAACCTGGCATGTGGCCCATTCAGATCAGCGCTGCTCAAGATGAACTGAGCGGGTGTTTGTTTGTCAGGCTGAGCTAAGTCAGGCTGAGAGAACAGCTCCCCGGAGAAGGTTTCATGTCAGATATTCAGAAAACTTCACTTCTCGCCGGTACATATGCTCTCAGATCAGATGACATTTTGATGGAAAACTGTGTAGGATTTCCATTTAAGTATCCAATATCACAGCCAGTTTGCATCATGCCTTTTGATTTTCTTTTAATGTAGCCTATCTAAATTTCATGATGTTTCATTTGGAAACTGGTCCTTGTAGGTGGATACTGCCCATCGTTAGGTTTTAGATGAAGTAAGGAAAGTGCAATCGCCTTCTCAGTGCAGTGACGGTAGAAGAAAGGGAAGGACATGTAGGGCAGGGGTCAGGGAGTTGAGCAAGTGGTTGGGAAAAGGGGAAAAGTGAAGAGGAAAAAGAAATGGGGGAAAATGGGCCTGCTCCTCCATGGGTTGTAGATCCCTGGTCTGCATGTGAATGCTGGTCTCTGGGCCAGCTGCTGTTGGAGGAGGTGTAGTCCTCCCCCACATCCAGCCACTTTTTCCCTATGGGCTGGAGTCCTGCATGTCCAGCTGCTGGCTGGCTATTTCCACTCAATGTCCACCGTCCCTTCACACCCAGTATGCATGAAACCTTCCATTTCCCCCAACACACTCTGCCTCTCTGACCCCTGTTTCTAGGCTGCCTTTGTCAGTACTGGCGAAGTGTGGAAGGGTGTGGGCAAGCCACGGCCAGGGAGTGACCCTGGGCTGTAGCCTCCATCTTACACTGAGCTGGGCCTTTCTGGGAAGACTCCAGACCTTTTTGGGTTGGGAAACACAGGTGGAGCATTACCATTACCTGTGTGAGCTGCCTGGCAATTCTGCCTGAGCAACTCAGAGCATGATATCGGACACATGCAAAGTTATCAAGATTTCAGTTTTGATTGGTCATGAGAGAAAACTCTGTTCACAAATGCCCAGCTTAAAAGTTTTTTTAAACTTTTAATTTTTTTCAGCACATGCCCACTGTAGCCAAACACTCTGTACCTCTTGCATCCATGAGCTGACAAATGCAAACCTTTTTCTATCTTTGCTGCTGATTACTTTTATCTGGGTTATTATAATTTAGTAGCTGTGCACAATATACATATATATTAGAGATGGGGTCTCACTCCAGGCTGGAGTGCAGTGGCATAATCATAGCTCACTGAAGCCTCAGACTCCTGGGCTCAAGCAATCCTTCCACTTCTGCCTCCCAATTTGTTGGGATTACAGGCATGAGCCACAGCATCTGGCTCTTCCAATATTTTCCCATTGCTTCTCTGGACCCATTTTCCACCCTTCTCCATCCTATGCTCTGCCCTGGAGGCCAACCTATCTGGGCTACACCAACAGGTTCCTGTGCTCTCTGGCTTTGGTTGAGTTTGGCCAATGGGGAACACAAGTCAAATATTAGAGGAAAGAAGGAGAGTGAGGCCATAATCTTTAGTCTCTTGGATCCCTACCCGGGAGAAAACTGGAACCCCTCAGCCAAAGGTCACACATTCTCAACTTATTTTCCTCAATGTGACTTTCTCCTCCTAGGGACCAGTCCCTTTTCTCTCCTTTGCCCTTGGATCTAAGGGTGGTAACAGTGCCTTCACTGTTACTAGCCCTGGGTTACTGGATATCCAATATAGTTCTCCCATATTCTACTTCCACCTTTGTAAATGATCTGATTTGATTGCTGGGAGTCTGAGTGGCGGAGAGTTGCACAATAGGGGCAAGAGGACAACTTGGGAGGGGACTTGGGAGGCACTGTTTCCGAGGCTTGTAGTTCCGCCTGCTGGCCACCTGTTAGTAGCAGAGTGAGCGGCTGTGCTGCCCTACCAGGATCATCCTTAGGCCTTGCTAGAGGGGCCCACTCTGGCCGTCCTCTGGGTATGCCCTCTACATGGGGCAAAGAATCTGGGGCCAAAGGAACATGCCAACCTGGACCCCTCTGTATAGACCACACTCTCATTCTAAGATTCTGCCACTTGCAGAGCCTGTGCAAGCCTCTTTCTCAGGTGTGCACTCCTAGGCCTCACAAAAGAGTAACCAAGGGAAGGTGCTGGGGAGGGGGAACATGGAAGAGCTCAGATGTTAGGACAGGGATGTCCATTTGCACACACCCAAGGACTGTTGTGTGGGATGGAGCAGGGGGTGGGCTGTAAGCTGAGGTCTGTTCTCCCTGTGCCACCCCATTTGAGCACAGAATTCAAGGAGTCTGCATTCCAAATGCAAGTCAGCTACCAGGTGGTTTTGAAGGTATATTCATCAAGGTTGGGCGATGGAGCATATTCATTTCACAGTTAGCTGGCCTTGTAACTTTTCAATCCATAGACACACAGTGTGTAGTACGTAAGCCTTCATTTGGATCTGTGCCTCAGGCCTGCAAACAGCATGGGTGGGGGTCTTCAGAGGAGTCCTGATTGCTCCTGTTCCATGGCAGGCAGCCTGGCCCCTTTCTAAAGATTTCCTCATTAACCCTTGCAGTGAACTCAGCCTTCTTATGAGGTTCTCTTAAGTCCAGCTCCATTAGGAAACAGATACCGTGACTTAGGAAGACTTTTCTGACAATGGAGTGAAGGCCATTACAGGGGCTGAGCTTGCGGTCAGAATCCCAGTCAGGTGGCTTGTACTTTCCAGCTCAAACAAGAAAAGGCAGGGATTGGGCGCCTTGCGGGAAGGAGAAGACAGAACAGATGGCCATGAGTGACAGTTTCTCTCTCTTGCCACAGAATTTGAAGGGGATGCCTCCTGCGGAGGGCAGTGTGCCCTAAGTCACCCCTGCTGTACTCACAGGCCCATAGCAGGAGCCCAGGCATGTGGGCATCTTGCCCCAGCTCCAGGGATTCCAGCTGTGCCAAGGAAGCTCTGTGGGTGGCAGGCAGCTGTCTGGGGAGGCTAATGCGGCAGAAGCAGATCCTTGGCTTCTGGAGCAGGTGGATGCATGTCGAAGCTACTGATAGGGCCCCTGGTGCAGGCACTTTTGGGGGTGACCCTGGCCTGCCCATTGGCGTGAGGAGGCTACCCCAGACTGCTGCAAAAAAGGAGAGAATAAGGGAGGAAATGAGAGGGAGCCTGGATGTGAACAGGTTAGAGCTGTGGCTGGGCTGGATGGGGTTGTCCTGGCTCACATGGACACGGATGCTCCTTCTGACTCCTAGGAGAGCTTGGGTCTCTTCTCCTAGTGTTCTGTGGCTGAGGGGATGGGCACTTTATCTTGTGACAAGCCCCTCCACTGCTTTCTTCCTGCTCCCGCCAATGTATAGATGACAAGTGCCAACAAGGGCAGAGTCCTGCTCCCTGCCGGAGCCATTTTCCAGCCACACTCCTCCTGCTCCCAATCACCATCAACAGGAAGCTGTCTGACCATCTAACTGAAGGCCTTGACCGGCCATTGGAGTGAGGTCTGCATTGTCTTAGTGTGTTCAAGGCAAGCAAAGTCCAGGTAACCAGTTCCTGGGCATAAAATGGGAGGAAGAGAGGGGTAGGTGGTACCTGCTTCTGGTGACACGTGCTCAAGGCCCAGATGTGTTCACCCTCCCCCTGCACCATGAGGTTGGCTGGAGAGGGGAGCCATTGAGGAAACCCAGGCAGGGCCTGAGTGGGGAGGCAGGGAGATGCTCCAGGGAGCAAAGCCCACCCTGCAGGGGAGGCTGGGAGTGCATTAGAGCCCTGGCACCTGGAAGGGAGACTCTTCATGGAGACCTGGAGGGTGCTGGCAAGAATGTGGCTGGAAGAAACTGGTCCTGAACCCAGTGTCTGGGCCACATCCGGCACTCTCAGTTCAGTGCGCTTCTGGTCTGAAGCCACCATTCAAAACTGGGGGCTCAGTTTCTGCACGACCCATACTGCCACCGCACCTGCTCATGCTTCTGGGTCCCTGGGAGTCAGGCTGAAAGCCTGGCTATCGGCCAGTGAGGGTGAAGAAATAAATGGCACTGTGGGGGCAGAGAGGTGGCTCCAGGACCCCTGCACATCCTTCTCCATGGGTCCTAAGTACCTCTAGGTGCCAGGCTCTTCCTCTTGGCTGGGGCTGCCTCCCTGGGTGGTAGCTGGGGGGCAGAGAGGGCAGGCCTGGTCCTGGAAGGGAAACTTTGAGAGCCACGTTGGCTGCGTGGGCTTCCCACCAGCACAGCCTGTGCTTCGGGGCCCCCGAGCCTCTGAGAGTGAACTTCAGCATGTGAAGGGACCCCTTCTTCACCACCAGCTGGCAGATGTGGGGAGAGGAATGAAGAGGTTGCCCAGCCCCCACCCGTTTACTTAAAAAAATCACAAGATCTGTACACTTAGAAAAGGAGACTTTATTTTTTGTAAAGGGTTACAGCCCGCAAAGTGCCTATCCCGCAGGCTGGGAAGTGTAGCCCCCAGCCAAGGCCAGAGACAGGCCCTTAGGAGGAGGAGGAGCTGGGGCAGGGCTTTATGCGGAATGGGTTGGCTAAACATATGTATTCAACAGGTTACAGAAGGAACTATGAATACTCATGAAAGTGGTCCTGACGCACTGGATTAAACATGCATGTAACATGCGACCCATGTTCACCTTGGGGTGGAGACTTAACATTTAAATGCACTACAGTTAGGCCCTACACGTCAAAAGTTGAGCAGAGACACAAAGGCACTCAAGTGTGCAGCCTCTGTAAACCGGCCAGAACCAGTCCATGGTCAGTGGCCTTCTTATTCAGGAGAGTTACTGCAATCAGCCTCTTGTCCAATGAAAGCTGTGGTTATGGCTGGTAGAACAGGAGGTTAGTCCATGCCTGTGAGCTGCAAGTGTTGTAATTGTTTCAATATTGCTTATCTTGAGGCCACTGCTTGTTTAGTGGCTGGAGAAAAGGAAGACCCTTGTGGCAGTTGGACATAGTTTATTCTTTAAGTGTGGGGGGTGCATGACTTAACTCTTCTCTGGCATGGTCCTAGGTCCTGTTGATAATTTGGTATCTTATTGCCACAAACAGTCTGTTCCGTCAGGCTTATGACCTCTGTTGTAGCATTAATGCTGCTCAGTCATTGTGTCTAAACTGCAAAAAGGAGGCAGGTGTAATAGTTGTGTCTGATCTCAGTTCCATGATAGCCAGGAATTTAGTTTTTCAAGATTCTCCGGGCACCCCTTGGCCAAGAGGGGATCCGTTCAGCCAGTTGGGGGGCTTAGGATTTTATTTTTAGTTTACACACCTTTCCTGTGTCTATTCCCCCCAGGGTCAGATCAAGGCCCAACATGACACATATCGGCCCTGCCAGTCTTGATGCATTGGTCTGGCTTATGTGGTTCCAGTGGTCCTGTCTGGAGGGAGCCCAGCCAGGGGCTGTGCTGCCGAAGGGAGGCATGGAAGGAAGGCTGGTCCTGGCCCCCAAGGGCCCCTTTCCCACTGCTTAGTGCCCTTCCGCCTGGTCCCGGCTTCCTCTCTCTGCTCAAGGATCTCACTCAACAGTTCTTGAATCAGGTGGGACCACAGTGACTGGAACCTTAGCCCGGGAACCCTAACAATGTGGTTCTCCCCTTCTTCCAGCTGCTGTTCCTGGACTGACCTGTGTGCCCTTGAGGCAGGTACCTTGAGGCTATTCTTAAGATGTTATTGTCAGGCAAGTGGCCTCCTGTCCACTCCTCATGCTGTCCTCTTTCTCTGGGCCTTCTCATCCACGCCTATGATGTCAGTGACCATGTATGCAGAGTTGACTCTCAGTGTTGACATCTCCATCTCTCTCCTGGGAGACCCTTTGTATGTACATATGCCTCCTTGACATTCTCACTTGGATGTCTCAATTCTCCTTGAACTCAACAACTGCATGTATGTTCATCCACTCCAAGCCTGGGCCTCTTCCAGTTTTCTCTAACCCAATACAAATCCCCACCTTCCATCACATCAAAAAGCCCCAAAACCCCATGCCATCTCTAATACTTCCTTCTCCCTTATTCCACCCCATGGCCAATTCATCACCAAGTTCTGTTGACTTTACCTTCTAAACATTTCTTCCCATTCAGTTTTGCCCATCTTCACCTTCACCATCACTTTGGTCTGAGCCACCACCTTTTATCATCTAGACCCCTAGCCTCCTCCCTGGCCTTTCTGCATTCATTCTTCCCCTTTCTAGTCTGTTCTCTACACAGCAGCCAGAGCAATCTTTTTGGAACATAAACCTGCTCATGTCACCTCCCTATTTAAAGCATATCCATGACTTTCCATTGCTCTTTAGATAAAAGACAAAACTCTTAACATGGCCAACAAGGCCTTGCATGTCTGGCCCCTGCCCACTCCTCCAGCCTCAATTTGCAGCCCACTCCTCCTCACTCCCTGCACTCCAGGCTTCTTTTAGTTCCTTGAGTGTTTTTGTGCCTTTGCACAAGCTGCTTCCTCTGCCTCAAACCCTCTCAACTCATCTACCTATACCAAAGCACAGTCATTATTTTCTCAGGGAAGCTCTTTCTGGCTTCCTTGACTAGGTAAAAAAATCTTCTTATAATAGTCTCACAGTACCATTTGCCTGTTCTTCATAGCACTTATCACATCTGGAATTACGGATTGATCTGTAGTATTATTTGATTAATGCCTATCTCTTCTACCAGACAATTAGTTTCATGAAGGCAGAGACCTGTGGGTCTGCTTTTGCTTGCTGTGATATACCCATCACCCAGCACGATGCTCAAATCATACCAAGTGGTAGTAAGTGCTCCAGAATGTGTTGAGTGGTGAATGGGTGGGTGGCTGGAAGGAAGAAAGAATGCAGTGAAGGAAGGGATGCCCGTTTCCTAGGCATGTTCGAACAAAACCCCACAGCTAATATTCTCTGTTAGGTTTCTGTTATTAGTTGCAAAGGCTTTGTAGGTTGGGAATACTATCTTTTATCTCCTTGCCTTCTTTTTGTAGGAGAGAAGAGAAATCGACAATTTGATAAAGGCCAGGACTTGAGGCTTGCCTCAGGGAAACACCATTAGAGGCTTGGGATGTCACCTGTGGTTGGTGGCTGCGTGAGCTGTGGCCTTAAAGCCCCTGAGACAGCAGACGTGCAAAGTCAGGCCCTGCCATCGACATCCAGTCTGGCTCGCCATTTCTCCCATCCTAGGATGTCAGCACCATGGACAAGACCCAAGCCGAGCCCTGGAAGGTGGGGTCTGTGGGGAATTCTGGTGAAGCAGGGGGCAGGCCCGTGCCCGTCTCTAGGTGGAAGGGAGCTGGTGTACGTTTCTCCACTGGGTGTCACTGCTGCCCTTGTTTTCTGTCACCTGAGGCTCTGGCAAGCTGCAAGGTGATGAATCAAAGACCGCCCCTCCCCCTCCTCCAACAAGGGATGGGGAAGGAATTACCTGGATCAACTTAGAGAATGCTGGCTTGGGGCCCAGTTATGGGTTTTAGTTCTCACATGCTACTTACCACACAGTGGCCCCATTTGACCCCAGTGGTAATATTAGGGTTGGGGAAAGCTCTCTGATGGAACAACGTGCAGCTGTTTGCTGCAGCCAGGACTTCCTATCATGTCCATGTCATCTCCTGCAAACATCTGAGCGGGGCGGTGGCATGAGCACTCCTGAGAAGGTGGAGGGGTATGGGGGGCTTGGTGCCCCTGCCTCCCTGTGGGCCCGTCCACTCAGGCTCAGAACAGGCCAGTGCGTGCTCAGTGTGCCTGGCCCTTGGGGCTTTCCATGAGGCCAGGGCATGTACACAGAACGAGCAGCTGCAAAGCTGCCCCGTGGCACCTGCTCCTGGAGGAAGCACAGGGAGAAGAAGATGGAGCCAGCTGGGAGGATGAGAGAGAGGTGCTCACTGCTCTGTAGAAGCCATCCTTGGAGGGCTCAGGGGTTACTGGGACAAAGACGGATTGAGAAAGTGAAGGGGCAGCTTTTGTCATGGCTCCTGCCTCCAGGGAGAACCTCACCATGTGTTGGTGTGGTGTGGGCTCACCCTCCAGGACTCTGAATAGCAACACTCTCCTCCTGGCAACAGGCCAGTGCTGTGCTGCCTGTTGGCCCCCAAAGGAACCTCAAGAAGCAGGTGGTTCAAGTTGCAGCAGCTTTCCTCAGCGCTAAGCTACTTTGCACCTACTTCCCTCTGAGATCTTTGGCACCCTCTCCCTTCCTTCTCAGCTCCAAGGTCAGTTTATTTTTCCTGTCAAGTGGCAGAGATTGTTCAGGAAGAATGAATGGGAGGGTTTTATTTAACGCTCTCCATTCTCTCTCCCAGAAGTCTTCCTTTGCCCTTTTCCACGGACCATTTTATGGAGAAAGGGACTGTTGAGGCCATTACAAAGGGGATGGGCCAGGTGCAGTGGCTCATGCCTGTAATCCCAGCATTTTGGGAGCCTGAGGTGGAAGGATCACTTGAGCCCAGGCATTCAAGACCAGCCTGGGTAAGAAAAAGAGGCCTCATCTCAACAAAAAAATTTAAAAATTAGCTGGGCATGGTGGTGGCACACCTGTGGTCTCAGCTACTCAGGAGGCCAATGCAGGAGTATCACCTGAGCCCAGGAGGTTGAGGCTGCAGTGAGCCAGGTTTGCACCACTGCACTCTAGCCTGGGTGACAGAGTGAGACACTGTCTCAAAACAAAAAAAAAAGAAAAACCCAACAACAGAAACAAAAACAAAGGGGATGGTGGCAAAGGTAAGGCCACTGGGTGACTGCTGCGGTGAGCAGTGTACTGGTGAGAAACCCAAAGTCTACCCATCTAGCATTGTATTATCTATCTTTTCTTATTTTTCGTATGTTTAATGATCTGGGATTTGGGGTTCTCTGACTGGAGACAGCCTGCCTTTCTAGAGCAATTCTTAGAGTGTTTTTAGAGGTAGCAAATAACTTCCCTTCAAGACTGCCTGTCATTTGCAAACTAACCAATCCAGAGCCCATACTCTCAACCACCTCCTTTATCAGGCTGAGCCACTGTCTTCATGCCATAAACACCCTAGGGCCAGGTGGAAGACAACTAGAGACAGCCCTGTACCTTAGAGCCTGCCAGAATTATTCAAACCAGCCAATCCTAAGCCTGCTCAGCTGTTTAGCATGGGTCACCCATACTTCCCCATGAAAATCACAATCAAGGTTTTTGCCTACACTTTCTCCCCAGTCCTTCTGCCTTCTGATGACTTTGGTGCCTCTCTGTGTGGCTCTGCATGGCATGGTGTGCCTCCTCCTCTTACGAACTGTAATAAACTATCTTTTCAGTGGCTGTCATGTCCTGATCTGCCAGCCTCACCATAACCGAACAAAAACAAAATCTCAGGTACATTTTAAAATTAGCAAAGGAGATGAAGAAGGGCCTTGGTAAAGCCGTGCCCCTTTCTGAGCAACTGTTTCACCCTCTGAAATGGAAATCAGATTTCTAGAGTTTTAAAGAAAAGCCCATCCTGTGACTTCCTCTGGGGCAATGAGAGCAGCAGCTCCTGCTTTGGGGGTCTACCCACTGAGTGGCCAGCCTCACATTGTCCATCCTGAGCGCAGGCACAGAGGACCGGAGCACAGCCTGTGCTTTCAGAGATCCCCTGTTGTTTTATAGTCAGAGCCTGGGACAGTGGAAGGAGGGCCCTGAGGCCTACCTCTTTATGGACAAAGAACTGGCCCAAGAGAGCAGAGACACTACTCAGTGACTGATACATGCTGAGTCAACTTGGATAATCTGAGCCAATCCAGTTGTTACTGGCTGTGTACCTACTTGTGTATGAGGTGCTGTGTGGGAGGGGAGTGGTGAGCAGTGAGGCTTGGCAGAGCCAAATCAGGTCATGAAAGACATCATAGGATGTGCTAAGGATTAGATTTACTTTATCCTCAGGGCATGGGGGAGCCAGGAAGAGTTTTTTTGTTTTTAATTTTTCCTTTGTTTTTATTTATTTATTATTGATATGGTTTGGCTGTGTCCCCATGCAACTCTCATCTTGAATTGTAGTTGCCATAGTTCCCATGTGTTTTGGGACAGACCTGGTGGGAGATCATTGAATCATGGGGGTGGTTTCCCCCATACTGTTCTCGTGGTAGTGAAGAAGTCTCATGAGATCTGATGGTTTTATAAGGGGTTTCCCCTTTCACATGGCTCTCATTTTCTCTCTTGCCTGCTGCCATGTAAGACGTGCCTTTCACCTTTCGCCATGATTGTGAGGCCTCCCCAGCCATGTGGAACTGAGTCCATTAAACCTCTTATTCCTTATAAATTACTCAGTCTTGGGTATGTCTTTATCAGCAGCATGAAAACAGACTACTACAATCTTTTTTTTTTTTTTTTTTGACATGGGGTCTCACTCTGTTGCCCAGGCTGGAGCACAGTGGCATGATCTCGGCTCACTGCAGCCTACGCTTCCTGGGTTCCAGTGATTCTCCTGCCTCGGCCTCCTGGGTAGCTGGGATTACAGGCACGTGCCACCATGCCTGGCTAATTTTTTGTATTTTTAGTAGAGACAGGCTTTCACCACGCTGGCCAGGCTGGTCTCAAACTCTTGACCTCAGGTGATCTGCCTGCCTCGGCCTCCCAAAGTGCAGGATTACAGGCATGAGCCACTGTGCTTGGCCTACTACAATTATGTTTTTAGAGACAGGGACTGGTTTTGTCACCCAGGCTGGAGTGCAGTGGTGCAATCATGTCTCACTGCAGCCTTCAACTCATGGGCTCAAGCAGTCCTCCCACCTCAGCCTCCTGAGTAGCTAATACAAGTGTGTGCCACCATGCCCAGCTAGTTTTTGTAATTATTTTTGTAGAGATGGGGTCTCGCTATGTTGCCCAGGCTGGTCTCAAACCCTTGGCCTCAAGCAATCCTCTCGTCTTGGCCCTCCAAAGTGTTGGGATTACAAAGTGCTACATGCCCAGCCAAGAGTTTTAAAAGGGAAGGACATGACCAGATTTATGTTTTAAGAGTTTACCCAGACTTCTGTGCATAAAATCAATTAGTGGAAGAAAATAGGCTGTGATGTGACACATAAGGAAGCCAGTATAGAATTGAATAAGAAGTAATGAAGGGGCTTAGATGAGGTTAATATATTTGCTACCATCAGAGAGAATGGAACACACATGAGAAATATCTACAAAGTGAATTTGGTGGAACTTGGGAACAGTTGCATATGGTGGACCAGTTTACAAGGCTGATGCTCAGGCTGTGGCTTGGGTGGTTTGTTGGATGTTGGATTAACTGAGACAAGGAGACTGACCAAGTAGTTTCCCTCCTTCTCTGGGCTTTACTTTCTTCCATAGTTCCTTCCTCCTTTCATAGTCTAGATTTCTACTTCTCAGAAAATTTCTCTGCAAGACGGTGGAGGCAAAATGTGGGAAGGGATGTTGACATCAATAGGACCTGTTAGCCTCTGAACATCTTGCCAGGCTGGCCTTCAGCAGAGGACTGAGGACAGGTGGGTCTTGGTCAGAGTGGGGCAGAAACCACTATGAGAACCACCTTGTGTGCTTCCCAGGAGAAGCAGCGGCCTGCTCTTCAATTCATAGCCCAAGCCAGTGCTACTCAGTTCCCTTAGAAGTGATGAAAGAGAAGATGAAGATGGAACTGTGAGCAAGATATATTTAGGTCAAACTCCTATCAAGAAGAATTGAGGGGGAAAAAAAAGGCCTGAAGCCAAAAGCACCATTCTCTTCTTATAAAGCCAATTGTAGGAATTCCACACGTCAGATCTTAGAAGTCTCTGGCCCTGGGCCCCACACCTCCCAGCTGCAGTTGATTCACGTAGAGGAGCCAGTGCTGCACGTTACAGTGGAAGGATATTGTATTAGTTCATTTTCACGCTGCTAATAAAGACAAACCCAAGACTGGGAAAGAAAAAGAGGTTTAATGGACTTACAGTTCCATGTGGCTGGTGAGGCCTCACAATCATGGCAGAATTCAAGGAGGAGCAAGTCACATCTTACGTGGATGGCAGCAGGCAAAGAGAAGAGAGCTTGTGCAGGGAAACTCCCCTTTTTAAAACCATCAGATCTCGTGAGACTCATTCACTATCACAAGAACAGCACAGGAAAGACCCACCCACATAATTCAATCACCTTCCAACGGGTTCCTCCTACCACAGATGAGAATTGTGGCAGTTAAAATTCAAGATAAGATTTGGGTGGGGACACACCCAAACCATATCAGTCATGCAGGAGCCAGGTGCTCCTCAGCCCTGGGCTCCCACATCCCTTAGCTGCAGTCAACTCTGTCTAGTGATGGAGCTGGGTGCCAGCACACCACCACTGTAAGGACAGCATCAGGGATGGTACAATGAAGGGTATGACCTTGGGCCTCCTCCTTGAGGGCTGATCCTCAGTGTGAGCATTTTTATGCAGGTGGCATGCAGAAAGGACAAACACTCTGATTCTGTCTCATCTGTGGCCTGTATGACCACAGTCACAGCCTGCAGAAATGTTCTGGGATCTGGTGGCTCAGCCCTCCTTTCTCCTTAAGGTGCCCATAACAAGTATACATCGAGTCAAAAAAAAACAAAAAAACAAAAAAACAAAAAAACAAAAAAACAAAAAAAAAAAAAAAAAAAAAAAAAACTGCAGATGGGCCACAGGTGAAAAACATTAACTTTTATTGTGAACCTCCATTCTGCTGGGGCTTTGCGAGTTCCCTTTTAAAACTCTTGGCTGGGCATGGTAGCACTTTGTAATCCCAGCACTTGGGGTCCTCCCTGTCTCTGGGGTTTGCAGCTGAGCTCCAGTTGTTGTGCCAAGGGGTTAAAGAAGGTCCCATCTGGCCCTGAGTCCCAGTCCTCAGGTGTCCCTGAGGTGTCTATCATCTGTGTGGTCCACATTCTTCAGTTCACATATGTCCCCACTGAGAAGGCTGCATCAGCCATCGTGACCAACTCTGAGTCAGGCTTGAGGACCCAGGAATCAGTCATTTGACTGCTTCTGTGTCCTGTGGGGGTGCTGTTTGTGGCAATGACTCTCTGGACCCATCACACAGATGTCCCCTCTCTGGGTTCTTGCTGTCCCCTCTGGACTCTCACCTAGGAATGGGGCACAGTTACCTCTTGGGAACATACCAACATCCAGCTGTCTTTATGTTCCTTGTCTCACGATTCACCTACCAACCCTCCAACCAACTACTTGCAGGGAGAAAGCCTTTCTCTATAAATAGTGCTCTTTTCTCTGAGGTATCCAGCATTAACTCCTGCATGGGTAAAACCTTCGGATGCAAAGAAGCAAAAAAAAAAAAAAAAAAAAAAAAAGCACGTGACAGATATACAGGTATTTTACTTTCTGTCCTCTCACAATGAAGGGAAGCAATGAAAGAGGAAAATACTTGAGGAAAAAAAAATAAATTATTATTCTTCAAGCATTGTTCTTCCACAGTTTTCTTCCCAACAAGTCTGTGTCCCCACAAAGAAGAGGGGAACTAGGCTCTGCCCAAATTGAATATCCCTGGTCAGTGGCTGCTCCACTCAGACTGCCTGCTCTGTGGGTGAGACTTTCCCAGGATCTCTCAGGACAGCTGTGGAGCCTGCACACTGGGCAGAATTCTCTCCTCCCTCCTCCTGGCTGGAGGCCTGTCCCCATTCTCTCCCTTGCTTCCTCTAGCCTTGCTGTGGGTTCATGTTTCTCCCCTAGCTCAGTCTCTGCACTGGGCCCCCCAACCTCTTGCTGGGTACTGGGGCCCTTTGTCTTGGCTGCTCAGTTAGAGGTGCCCCCACCTGATGGCTGGTGACACCTGCCAAGTGCCAGCCAGGGCTGCTGGCTCTGGTAGAAAGCCTCTTGCCCCAGAGGGCGGACCCTGACAGGTGCTTCAGAACTTCCCCGGAGGGAAAATTCTTTCTCTCCAGGAGGAAGGTCAGTTCTTTTAGAAATTCTCAGTCTGTCATAAAGGGCTTAAAAATCATCCTCTGGCCGGGCACGGTGGCTCACACCTGTAATCCCGGCACTTTGGGAGGCCGAGGCAGGCGGATCACGAGGTCAGGAGATCGAGACCATCCTGGCTAACATGGTGAAACCCCGTCTCTACTAAAAATTACAAAAAATTAGCCGGGCATGGTGGCGGGCCCCTGTAGTCCCAGCTACTCGGGAGGCTGAGGCAGGAGAATGGCGTGAACCTGGGAGGCGAAGCTTGCAGTGAGCCGAGATCACGCCACTTCACTCCAGCCTGGGCGACAGAGCAAGACTCCATCTCAAAAAAAAAAAATCATCCTCCATGCCCTTCTCTTTCTAGATATTTTCCTGGGAATCAGGAATTAATCTGGTCCACTGCCTCTAGTCATCTTCATCACCCCCATTCTTCATCCTGGTGATGGCCCTGAATCTGCTGAAGGCATTTACAGTGGTCTGTCGGACCCTCTCCCATGCAGCTTAAGGAGTGCACTCTGAACCCGGGCCACCTAGAGGTACACGATTCTGCCTGGGCTCCCCACTGCCTCGAAGGCATGGCTCTGTCTTGGTTTGCGACCAGTCCCCGATACAGACATGCTCTGCCTGAGGGGTCTTGGCCAACCAGATTGAGTCTCCACACTGAAGGGTAGGACTCTGAGTCTGCGAAATCAGGGGTGCAAGAAATTACTCTTCATTGCTCTAAAACTTGCTGAAGTGAGGATTCCTGCCAGCTTCCCTTGGAGTGGTGTCCTCTAGGACAGGTGGGGAGGAAAGAGGGTAATACCCACACAGAAAATGTGCATTCATAGTTCATACTGTGTGATAGCACAGTAAGGGAAATGTGCTGACTCCTCCAACCCAGGATATCCCCATCATGGTAACTAGGGAGTGACTACCTCTTTTTGCGTCTTCCTCCTGCCATTCTTTCCTTTCCTTTGGAAGAACTGCCCCTTGCTCTTTCTATGTGCTTCCTGGAGAGCTGCCACTCATAGGAACCCACTTCCACCCCCATTGGCTGCCTGAATGGGTGGGCGCATTACCAGCCTGGGCCAATCAGATCCTGTCTCCTTGGAATTTGACTGTTGAGTAATGGCACAAGGAAGAGAGGGTGGATGGAGCTATCTCACCTGAAAGTAATACCCTATAAGAGAAAGTCCACAGATTTCTGCCGCTATGATCTCTGGAGCCACCATTTCTATCCTTCCCAGTGCCTGGTTGTTGAACTCATTCGATGAGCACCCAGTGTTCTTTAAATGCATATTTGTTTCTTGCTTAAGTTGGTCGAGTCAATTTCTATGACTGGCAACTAAGAACCCTAACTCTATCCGCTGGTTTACACCTCTCAGGTGCCCTCTGGTTTCTAATTTCTCTGATGGCCAGGCAGTAGCAGGATGAAGCATGGGTTGCCAGGAAGGGCTTTAGAATACTGTCCTCTGGGCATGTGGGTAGCAAGCAGCCACAGGAAGGCTGCAGACTGGTCCTCCGGCCAGGGTGAACAGTCAAGGAGGCACACTACTGGACACCTTCAGGGTGAAGTAGTCTATTGGTCCAGGACTTCTCCCTCCAGACACATCTCTTTCTGAGAATCCATTCTGACTTTCACAGGACTTTACTCTGTCCGACTTATGGGAGCCCGACCTTCCACTCTGAGCCTTGGTGAACCAGCATGGGGAAACCCAAGCAGAGTATACAGGAAGAGCTGGAATCAGGAAGATGCCAAAGCTGGCTGCAAGACCTGCTGCTACAGAGCAGGAGCAGCTTAGGGCAGTAGTTACATTTTGGCAAACTGTTTTCCAGTTTGGAATCAGCATGATGATAACAGAGTAGTGATTTTCAACCGTAGATACTCAGTCAAATCATCTGGGTTTAAAAGAAAATCAAAAGCTGTTGCTGTGTGTATGGGGTGGTGGGGAGTCAATTAAGTGGGAATCTCTGAGAGCTGAAGCAATATGCACCCAGGACTGGGAAATGCTTCCGACCAAGTGAACCTGTATAAGCCCTGATCTGGCTGCATTTATGGGAAAAGTTTGGGCTGGGCCCTGGGCTCTGTGTCCTGGCCCCTCAAGGAAAGTTGCTGCCTCCCATTTCTGAATCTCTCTTCTGAGCCTGTTTGCTCTCAATTAGTGCCTTCTGCCCCTGGCCAGAGCCTTTGCACCTGGTTCCTGCCTTTTCTAAATGATACTAAGGAAGTGTGTGTGACCTGACACCATAAGCTGACTTTGCACCTTAGTTCCACATGTGCCAGCTCCATCCCCTCCAGGTGTTTGTTCCTGGCTCCAGGGACCCTACCTGGATATTCTTACCTGGGCCCTGCTTGTCCAGTAAAAGACCTTGGAAATGGAGAGACAGAGACAAGCTGAAGGGTTAGCAGAAACAGTTAGTTATACAAGAGCAGAGGTGGAAGATTGTAAATGGCAAATTGCCCATTATGACTGTTCCTGTTAAGCAGCCATAGAGTAATGTCTGTGTTCTGCAAGGCTGAACTCAAATAAAAGCTTGTAGTATGTTTAATCCCAGAAGAGAAAAGCAAAGCTGTTATCAGTTGAAGAGAAGAAAATAGTTTTTAAAAAGTATTTAGTTATACTAGTTGTTTCTGCTTATTTAAACCATATCTATGTTGTATATTAGTTAATAATAAAGATTAAAAATTATATGTTGAAGACTTAAAATTGAGTCTTTCTTTTCTTTTTTCTTTCTCTTTCTTCTTTCTTCTTTTCTTCTTTCTTTTGTTCTTTTTTTGAAAAAAACCAACACTATATTAACTATAGACTTTGGGCGATAATGGTAAGACAATGTTCATGTGTGGCTTTATGTACACTGGCTGTGTTAAATTGGTTTAATTCATCTGTCTACTAGAGGCTTGATAGCAGGAGACAGCTTGTGGAATAAAATCAAGAAATTAAAAGACGACCACCATCACTGCTTTAGTGAAGCTGAGTGATCTATGTGCAGATACTGAGTTAGGATGGGCAACAAAGTCTCTATTTACTCTGAAATTCCCCTAGGGAATATTCTGGCTAATTGGAAGGAATATAGTTATTAACATATGACTAGAAAAAAGATGATTTATTACTGTAATAATACTGTCTAGACTCAGTACCTGCTGGGTGATAATAGATTTTGGTCCCTGAATGGAAGTACCCAGTATTAGACTTTGATAAAATTAGAGGACCTTTGTCAGAGAGTAAGGAAATGGGACAAAATACCCCACACCCACTCTTTTATGCTATTGCAGAATCAGGACTCAGGACAGGAAGGGGGCCATAGGATACTAGCCATGCAGGGAGATGCAGAGAAGGTACTCCCAGATAGTCAAACTCAGGAAAAAAGGACAAGAAAGATTTAGCCCTTTTATAGGCCTTGAACCTGGCAACCACTATAGGTCTCATTGAGGCAGCTGTGGCTCAGCCAGCAGCCACCCTTCCCCCTGGCCAAGGCAGACCCAGAGACTTCTTCCAGGGATGCTGTGGTAGCTGCACCCATAACACAGCCCATTCCCATGGGGCCAGCAGCTGCTTTCTTAGCTGCCATGCCAACTGCTTCCACCCCACATTATGAAGAAGTAGATTTGAAAGAGGGGGCCACAGCCCCTTCTGAGTATGATGAGGGAGCTGGAATAGTTTCCCCCTCAAAGATCTGGCAGGGCACCCAGTTTGGACAGGGCAAAAGTAGGAATGGGGCAGGGCAACTCCCACTTAGGAGATTACCAGTAGGAGGTTTAGATAAAAATAGACAACCTGCAGGACATTGTTAGACATATAGCTCATTTTTAACATATGACTTATTGAATTAGAAAAGTTCCAATCCGGCCGGGCGCGGTGGCTCACGCCTGTAATCCCAGCACTTTGGGAGGCCGAGGCGGGCGGATCACGAGGTCAGGAGATCGAGACCACCCCGGCTAAAACGGTGAAACCCCGTCTCTACTAAAAATACAAAAAAATTAGCTGGGCGTAGTGGCGGGCGCCTGTAGTCCCAGCTACTTGGGAGGCTGAGGCAGGAGAATGGCGTGAACCCGGGAGGCGGAGCTTGCAGTGAGCCGAGATCCCGCCACTGCACTCCAGCCTGGGCGACAGAGCGAGACTCCGTCTCAAAAAAAAAAAAAAAAAAAAAAAAAAAAAAAAAAAAGAAAAGTTCCAATCCACCCTACTGGGAGGACCCCAAGAGGATGGCAGACCTTTTAAAATCCATTTTTGCCACCCCTCAATCCACCTGGGCAGATGTACAGACCTTCCTGAATATGTTTTTATTGGCAAATAAAAAGATATTAGCAATTAAAGAGGCAAATGAGGAGGTGCAGCACCTCCATAAAACCAACCCATAAAATACTCTCAATCCTGCCATGGACATTCCAGGTACAAACCCTCATTGGGACCCCAACCAAACAAATGATATAGCTTGCCTAGAACACTAATGTAAGTGTGTCCTAGTTGGACTCAGAAAGGGAATACCCAAGCAAAATTGCCTCAACAAAGTCCAAACAGTCATCCAGAAGGCAAATGAGGATCCTTCTGAATTCATAGAACAAATCTACCAGGCTTTTTGTAGAAATACAGGCATAAACCCTGAGAAGTCTGAGAACTCGAGGCTACTAAATGTGACTTTTATTCAGAGAAGTGCCTCCAACATAAGGAAGAAATTAGAAAAATATGATAAGGTGCTGGAAATGATCCCAGATCAATTGGTGTATATTGCTTTGCAGGTGTATAACCAAAGAGACCACAAGGGAGAAAAGGAACAACAACCTGGCACTGCATATATGGCACAGGCAGGGTTCCTCGATGCCCTAGGAACCAGGGCGAGCCCCTAAGCCACAAAAAATGTGCTTACTGCATGGAGGAAGGCCATTGGAAGGCCAGCTGTTCAAAACTAAAAGAGACAGGGGGCCAAAGAAAATCAGGATCCATCCAGGAGACAGGTCATAAACAGATGCAGGGACAGAGCTGTGATAATTAATGGGGATGCCCATGGGCTCCCTTAGGTCTTACAAAACCAATTAACACTTCCCCAGAAGGGCTCTGGATATTATTGACAGTGGAAAGCAAACTTATTAATTTCCTGGTTGATACAGGGGTTTCATACTCAATTCTTAACACCCCAGAAGCACAGAGCACAAGAATAACAGCACCCGTGACAGGAATAGCAGAGAGTATCCAGCAAAAAGCCTCTTTTCAACCTTTGAAATATAAGTTGGGGGATCTGGAACTAAGACATGATTTATATGTATGTCAGAATGCCCCATCCCTCTGCTTGGATGAGGCCTACTATGTAAATTAAATGCTCAAGTAGCCTTCTTTCCTGAGGAACAGCAGTGATGCTTGCAGGTTCCCCCAGAGCAAGCACTTTCGTTATAGATGTTGCTTACCCTCTAAAAAAAGGAAGAAAATCTTTTCCCTCCACAAATCTACAAAAAAAAATGAGTAGTTGTGGCAGATAGAACTCTGGGAAAAGCTAAAAATGTACAGCCAGTGCATCTAGAATTAAATAAAGGGGCTAAGGTGCCCCAGAAAAACAAAACCCACTAAAAAAGAAGGCCTTAAAAGAAACACAACCAATTTTGCAAAAATTTTTAAGGAATGGGCTAATTCATCCTTGCAGGTTCCCATATAATACCCCCATTCTGCCTGTAAAAAGGCCACACTGTGATGCAAACTGATTTGTCCAGAACTTAAGAGCAACTAATGAGATAGACCAGGATATTCACCCAACTGTTTGTAACCTTTCTACTTTACTAACTGCTATAGTTGGAAACTACAGATGGTTTTCAGTGTTGGACCTTAAAGATGATCTTTTCTGTATTCCAATTGAGGAAGCAGCTCACCAGTTATTCACTTTTAAATGTTAAGACCTGGAGACCAAAGTGACTTTCCAGTATTGTTGAATAGTACTGCTTCAGCGGTTCAAAAACTCTCCCACTGTTTTGGGGGAAATACTGGCAAGAGATTAGAGACTTGCAACTAGATGAAGGAGTTTTGCTACAATATGTGGATGACCCTGATTATGAGAAGTACCTATTCTAGTCCTAAATCACCTGGCTCAATGTAGGTAAAATGTATCCCCTGTGGATATAAGATATCCTAGCAGACAGCTCACATTTGCAAACAAAAGGTCATTTATCATGGCTTCAAGTTAAGGCTAGACAGGAGGAGCCAAATGACTGACTGAAAACAGGCAATAGCAGCCATCAAAGCCCTGGAGAAGAGGAGGCAATTGCATGGATTCCTGGAAATGACCCGTTTCTGTAGGATCTGGATTCCAATTTTGGGCTGATGGCCAAACCACTTTAGAAAGCCTTAAAGGGACTAGACTCAGAGCCCCTTTAAGGATAAATTAATAACAACCCCAGCACTGGGGATACCAGGTCCCCAGAAGCCATTCAAACTTTATATCCATAAAAAACAAAGAGTCAATTTGGGTGTGTTAATTCAAATGCAGGAGGCACACTGCAATCCATAGCCTGTTTCTCTAGGCAATTGAATCAGACAACCAAGGCATGGCCAACCTGCCTTCAGGCAGTGGTAGCTACCTGTATAGTTTTGCAAGAGGTAGAAAAATTTTCCCTGGGACAGTCAGTTACAGTGTTTGTGCCCCACCAGGTACTGACTTTACTAAAACAGAAGGGAGATTATGGCTCACTGCAGGGCAAATGGGCAAATACTAGGCCATCCTCTTAGATGACCCACCCAAATGTTACCCTGCAAACTACTACACCTCTAAACCCGATAACAATGCTCCCAGCTAAAGGACCCAATTCTGATTTACAGCAAGGCTGTTTAAAAGTCCTTAATGCAGACCAGGCGAGGTGGCTCATCCCTGTAATCCCAGCACTTTGGGAGGCCGAGGAGGTTGGATTGCTTGAGCCCAGGAGTTTGAGACCAGCCTGGGCAACATGGTGAAACCCTGTCTCCACTAAAAATACAAAAATTAGCCAGGTGTGGTGGTGCATGCCTGTAATCCCAGCTACTCAAGAGGTTGAGGCATGAGGATTGCTTGAACCCAGGTTGCAGTGAGCCGAGATTGCACTACTGCACACCAGCCTGGGGGACAGAGCGAGACTCAGTCTCAAAAACAAACAAAAAAAAACCTTTTTGCAGTCTATTCCAGCAGAACAGACCTGGCAGACCAGCCAGAGATCGGGAATTCTACACCAGTGGGAGCAGTTTCATGGAGGATGGACAGCACCAAGCCAGGTATGCCATGGTAACTATCAACCAGGCAAAAGAAGCCCTCGCCCTTCCTGCTGGTACCTCTGCACACAAGGCTGAGCTAATTGCCCTCATCAGGCCCATGGAGCTATCCCAGGGAAAATGGTTACACTGATTCTAAGTATGCCTTCATGGTAGTGCATGCTCATGGGGCCATCTGGAAAGAGAGAGGCCTCCTGACATTAGGAAATAAAGACATTAAACACCCAATGAAAATTTTAGCTCAACGAGAGGCGGCTGCTCTGCTCACCCAGGCCTCCATTATGCATTGCACCAGGCACCAAAAAGATGACTCATTGACAACTAAAGGAAATTAGGCAGCTGCTGGGAGCTTTAATTCCCCATTTGGACTTGCCAGATTTCAAACCCTGTTATACTGAGCAAGACAAGAAGTGTGCCTGGGGACTAGGGATTTGATAAAACAGACTCAGATCCATTCTGGAAAACTGATGCTTAGGGAACAGTCTTACTCCCCGAGGCCCTGGTCTATCCAGCTTTAAAACGTGCAGGAAAGAACACACTATGAGAGAGGCACGCTTGCAGACCTTGTGTGGCCCCCACCTTTGGAAAACTATTCAGAAAATTACACAGGGGTATGTTTTGTGCACCAAAAATAACCCCAAGACCGAACATAATTCTGCCAGCAGAGGAATGCAACACAAAGGACTGTGCCCTTTTAAAGAGTGGCAGGTAGAATTCACTCAGATGCCTACAGCCAGTGACATAAATTCCTCCTGGTATTTTTTTTTTTTTTGAGATGGAATCTCACTCTGTTGCCCAGGATGGAGTGCAGTGGCTCGATCTTGGCTCACTACAACCTCTGCCCCACAGGTTCAAGTGATTCTCATGCCTCAGCTTCCCAAGTAGCTGGTATTACAGGTGTGTGCCACCATGCCCAGCTAACTTTTGTACTTTTAGTAGAGATGGGTTTTTGCCATGTTGGCTAGGCTGGTCTCAAACTGCTGACCTCAAGCGATCTGCCTGCCTCGGCCTCCCAAAGTGTTGGGATTACACGTGTGAGCCACTGCGCCCGGCCCTGCTGGTATTTATAGACAACTTTTCAGGATGGGTAAAAGCATACCCCACCAAGTCCAAAAGAGCCACAGAAGCAGCTAAGACATTAGTGAGGAAAATCATTCCCAAGTTCGGACTCCCATGCACTACACAAAGTGACAGCAGTCCTTCTCTCATTTCAGAAGTTATCCAAAAGGTAAGTCAAGGATTGCAGAGCAAATGAAAACTACATTCATCATAGAGACCACAGTCAATGAGAATGACAGACAAGATAAACCACTCCTTAATAAAGACAGTGGCCAAACTCTGGCATAAAACTAACCTGAGTTGGGATAGTGTTTTACCTATCGCCTTGCTCCTGGTCAGGGTGGCACCCTGAAGAAGGCTTGGGTTAAGTCCCTTTAAAATGATATAGAAGAGGCGTTTTCAGACCCCTTTGCCAGAAACTCCACCTTTGGATGTGGTCAGTAAGGCCAGAGAAACAACATGTGCAGCAGTTGGGACAGACGTTGCTGGCTGGTCTGCGAGGGTGGGGGACTGTGGTGGGCAGAGAGGTGGCTCATTACTCTGATCCACTCTGGCCAGGCCTTCCCACGGCAACCAGTGGATGTTGGCCCTGCTCCCAGTCCTGGCCTGGCAACTCGCCCAGCCCAGGGGATTGCAGTCATATTGTTTTCAGGGGAACTCCATAGCGGCAGGAGCTCCTGCCTTCCTGACACCCAGCAGTTCCCATCTTACTTCTGGGGTGAACGTGGGGCCCTAAGAATGACGGTGGAGGATCCACACTTTTTCCATGGCCACACTTGTTGAACCTCAATCAGAACCTCTCTGGGCCATGGGCCATCTCCTCCGGAGCCCCTGCCCAGGCCCAGAGGGTCTTTACTCACTGTGCTCTGTATGCCATGGGCTATGGAACAGCCTAGGTTTGAATCTCAGCTCCTACATTTATTATGAACCTCGAACAAAAATGTAACTCAACAACACCTGAGTTTCTTTCTTTCTTTTCTTTCTTTCTCTCTCTCTTTCTTTCTTTCTTTTTTTTTTTTTTTTTTTTTGAGACAGAGTCTCACTCTGTCACCCAGGCTGGAGTGCAGTGGCATGATCTCGGCTCAATGCAACCTCCGCCTCCCGGATTCAAGCGATTCTCCTGCCTCAACCTCCTGAGTAGCTGGGACTACAGGTGCGCACCACCATGCCTAACTTTTGTATTTTTAGTAGAGATGGGGTTTTACCGTGTTGGCCAGGCTGGTCTTGAACGCCTGGCCTCAAGATCAATCTGCCTCGGCCTCCCAAAGTGCTGGGATTACAGGCGTGAGCCACTGGGCCCAACTCTCTGAATTTCTTAATCTATAAATAAAGATGTGAATGCCAGGTGTGTCATGAAGATGAAATAAGAGAGTACATATAAAGGCAGAGCATGGTGTACAAAGCCAAGTGTTCAGTAACAGTCAGTGACTTAGCAGCTTTTGACTGTCTCTTCATCTTGGTTTTTCTGTCACAGCCCAAGCCTAATCTGTCTTCTCCTTCTTCAAACATCTTCTGAATCCAAAATATCTAAGACAGGTCTCCTCAATCAACTTGGAAAGTTTATTTTGCCAAGTTTAAGAATGTGCCTGTGACACAGCCTCAGGAGGTCCTGAGGACATGTGCCCAAGGTGGTTTTATACATTTTAGGGAGACATGGTGGTGGGTGCGGGGGGGGGGGTTCCAGGTCATAGGGCGTAGATAAGTTTGCTTTGTTTTGCATCCTTGATCAGCCTTTCACTGAATACATAATTTAGTTTGGCTCAGTGAATCTGCATTTTTTTTCTTTTTTGAGACAGAGTCTTGCTCTGTTGCCCAGGCTAGAGTGTAGTGGAACCATCTTGGCTCACTGCAACCTCCGCCTCTAGGGTTCCAGTGATTCTTCTGCCTCAGCCTCCCAAATAGCTGGGACTATAGGTGTGCACTACCACACCCAGCTAATTTTTTATTTTTAGTATAGATGGGGTTTCGCTATGTTGACCAGGTTGATCTCGAACTTCTGACCTCAAGTGATCCACCAGCCTGGACCTCCTAAAGTGTTGGGGTTATGGGTGTGAGCCCAGCCAGAATCTGCATTTTTACATAAACAATAGGGCAGAGGAAGCAATCAGACATGTATTTGTCTCTGGTGAGCAGAGGGATGACTTTCTGTCCTGCACCTATGAAGATCAGCTGTCAGTTTATACTCCTAGGGTGAAATTCCACAGAGCTGTTTCAGGGTAAAGATCTTGAGGTCCACAAGGAGTTTCCTCGTGGGCAAATTGCGAGTGAGGTATGCAGCGTTTTTATCTTTGCAGCTATCTTATTTAGGAAAAAATGGGAGGCAGGTTTGCCTGAGGCCAGCTTGACTTTGCCCTTGGCTTAGTGATTTGGGGTCCCAAGATTTATTTTCCTTCCACAATCTCATCGTCATGTTTTTCAGGGCTTCCTTTTGGACCAACTCCCGTTGACTTTATGTGGGTCCTGTCATGCACTTCGTGAACCTTGGGAGCCAGTGCCACCCTTTCCAGAACATTCTGCCACCATGAGGAGCTGGTATTTGCTTGCTTTGGACTTCATGAAGTGGGGTTTGATCAAGAGCTTTTGAGGACGGGCTTTCAAGTGTTCTGTGCAGAATAACAGCGAAACTACACCTTCCTGGACTTCTGTCTTTAGAAGGCAGATTATCAGGTGTTTCTGGGTCTTTGGGAAACAAGCATGAAGGATTAGAAGCATTTGTCTCTCAGGCTCTCACCTGAGCCTTGTGAGGCCTTTGCCCTACCCATAAGCCTTAGCAGCTGTGGCCAGGACAAGGCGTAATCTTCTTCCCTATTAATCATCTCATTAGGCATCTCAGGGGTCACGCTGTTCCAGCTATTTTGCAACGATTTCCATTCAGCTCAACCAGTCACAAGGAATCAGCTTAGAAAATGGAAAAGCCTCGATGTTCCAGCCAGAGCCTCACCCTCATCCCCCTCCTTTTCTGCCCCCTCGAACCTGGTTTCCAGAAAGTGCTCTTCTGCTACACCCTGATGGGCTGTCCTCCCCTTGGTTTCCTGAGTGCTGTGGGGGATCATTAACTCCTCTGCAGCTACCGAAACTTATGAAACATTTCCTGCAACCGAATGCACCTTGGTTCCCTGCAGGACAGGCTGGAGCGGGAGTCTGTTTTAGAGGAGCAGGCACGTAGGAGCTGGAGGCCCCTCCCTCCTGAGGGCTGCCTGGGTAGTCCCAGGACCCGCCCTTGGTGCAGAGTCCTGCCTAGAGAAATTAATCTCTGGCTCCTGAGGCAGCTTCACTTTTTTTTTTTTTTTTTTTTTGGTGTTCCCTGTCCTGCTTCCCCAGAGGAAGCCAGAAGAAGACCCCAGTTGCCATGAACTCCGCCGTCACTAGCCGTGAGCACTCCACTTACTCGGTAAGGCCCGGTGGGAGACAGAGGGAGAGAAAGATGGGGAGCAGGAAGAAGGGCTGCGGGGAGGTCCTACTGCCCTGACTCCTTCTTAGTGCTAAGGCCTAGCCTCATGCTTTAGATCAGGGTTCAGATGATGAGACCCATGCAGCACTCCCTCCCCACCTCCAGCGTTAGTGCCCCTTAGTGTCACCTGTGGTCACCATCACAACAGACACAGAATCCGCCCCGAATAAACGGTAAATTACAAAGGAGGGGGGAAGATTTAGAAGATTGGATTTCCTGGTAATCCCAGCAACTGATCCCGTTTGCGACACCCTAATGCACAGGGTGGATCTGTTGAATCTGAAGGCCTGTTTTCCAGGTTGCATTTCAGTTTCTCTTTTCAGAAGCTTTCTCTGAATGGAAGCAAAGTGTGAGAGAGAAAGAAGTCACTTTTATTGAGCAGCCAGTATGCCCTAAGCACTTTCTGAACTTTATTTTCTTCCAAACAAGCCAATGGAAACAGGCACTTCTGTTCCCATTTTACAGATGAGAGACCTGAGGCCCAGAGAAGTCAAGTCACAGTGACTCATCTGATGATCTGTCTAGCTGGGCCCTGAGCCCTGGCCCCACCACCCCCTCCAACTTGTTTTGGCCACTTGAACATAACAGGGTGGACCCGGGCGGGAAGACCCTCTGTTCTTGCCAATACCCACTGCATGGGCCAGTTCTGTAGCCCTAATCAGGCCCAGGCCAGATGTCTGGGGACAGGGACCACCCACGATCCAGGCTGGGCTCTCAGGCTTCCCTGGAGCATGGCTGCCGGCCCCTGCCTGCTGCTGGTCAGCCTTCCAGCAAAGAGCCACATGCATTCTCTTCTGAGAAAGTGTGGGAGGCACCAAAGAACTCACGTCACTCAGCGGAGGTGCCACTAGCTCTCGGGAGCCAAAAACAACCCCTAAACAGCAACGACACAAAAACTTGGGAAATGAGTTGAAGATTCCATTTTCTGGAGACAGTTGTGTGTTCCTACATTTCTGGCTTCCCTGAGGCAAACTTGAGAGTGGGGGTTCTGGGCACCTATCCCTCTCCTTCTCAGTGGCCTTTCTTCCTGCTGTTTTTCTCACAGCCTCAGAGCAGCACCCAGATGACGAAGTCACCATTCTGAGATGCTGCTGGTTTTGGGGAGCACGTTGCTCTGCTGGAACTGGGTTATAAACTGGGGGAAGGCACCTTCCCGACCCTGAAAGCTTATGGCCCAGCTAGGCAAAAGCAGGAAGAGGCGGCATCTGAAAAATATCTCTGATACAAGGCAGAAAATGGCACATGATGCACCAGAGATAAAGGCCACAGGCAGGTGGGGAATCAGGAAAGGTGACGGGGGAGGAATTTGAGCTCTTCCAAGGAGGCCGCGAGTACAAGAAGCAGGTGGTGGAGATGGAGGGGGGCCCAGGGTGACAAAAGGCACTGAGGCAGGACCATGGAAGCCACATTGGGAGAAACCTGGACAAACCCACTGGGGAGAGCCAGGTGAACGGGAGTGTTAGGAAACGAGCCTAGGTCAGGTGAGCCTTGGAGGCTGGAAAGAAGGAAAGGCTGTATTGGGTATAGATGGTGTCAGAGGGGGAAAGGCATTCACCTTCCCCCAAGAAATCCCCAGCCTTGTCATTACTGCTCTCTGCACATCAGTGCCGCCTCCTGCTCTGCTAGTCTGTTCCCGGGAGCTGGAGGACTGTCTCTGTATGCCCAGGGCCACACCAGATGACAGACCTCAACTCTACTTGTCCCTATGTGGAACCTTCCTCCTCTGGTGGACCTCAGACAAGCCTTGTAACCTCAGGGAGCCTCAATCTCCTCATCTGTCAGAGGGAAGCAATAAGATGATGGTGAGTCTTCGATGAGATGTTTTCTTTTTTTCCCCCTGAGACAGAGTCTCACTCTGTCTCCCAGGTTGGAGTGCAGTGGTGCAATCTTGGCTCACTGCAACCTCTGCCTCCTGGGTTCAAGCAATTCTCCTGCATCAGCCTCCCAAGTAGCTGAGATTACAGGCCGGCACCACCACTCCAGGCTAATTTTTGTATTTTTAGTAGAGATGGGGTTTCACCATGTTGGCCAGGCTGGTCTCGAGCTCCTGACCACAAATGATCCACCTGCCTTGGCCTCCCAAAGTGCTGCGATTACAGGCATGAGCCACTGCGCCTGGCCTAAACGAGATGTATTGGAAACTCTTTGTAAACTGTAAAGTGCTATAAAATTCCAAACCTCAATCAGGATGCCTCTTTTGATCAAGTCTTATGGTAAAATTACAATCCATGCATTGAGTTGACAGACTCCTCCAACCAGAAGAGGAGGTTATGGCTCATATTCTCATACCATTCTCAATGTCGGGAAGTGCTTCATGAAGAATTCATTCTTCCTCCAAAAAGGGGCTTGCAAGCTTTCTTCTGCTGCTTTGAGTCACACACACAGACTCCTCCCAGCAAGGGATTCTGTGGAATTAAAAAGTACTTCATACGCACACACACACATACACGTGTGTGTGTGTGTGTGTATATGTATGTATATATATATATATGTGTGTATATATTTGATTTTTTTTTTTTTTTTTTTTTGGTAGAGACAGGGTTTCCCTATGTTGCCTAGGCTGGTCTCGAATTCCTGGGCTCAAAAGATCCTCCCACCTCGGCCTTTCAAAGCACTGAAATTATAGACGTGAGCCACCGTGCCTGGCCTACCCATATTCTCATATGCTCTGAGATGAGGCATCTCCTGCTCGCAACTGAGAAACCCGGCTCTAAGCTATCTCCGGGCTGTTCCTTGTTTCTGTGAATGTCTTTAAGCCCTTCCTCACCGACACACAGGACTCTTAGCATCCTGTGTCCCTGCTGTTCATTTCTATGCCCCCCTCTTTGCCTAGATGACTTGAGGAAGTTTACAACAAAAGGTATATTTATAAACAATTAGGTGAACAATACAGAGATAAACAATCAAGCACACAGAAAGGAGAGGAAAATGAGTATGTTCAGAGAAGGGCTGGTATCACTGAGCTCAAAGTATTCTCCCAGGCTCTGAGCTTTCTACCAGTTCTGGCTGGTGGGCTTCTTGGTCACACTCTCTTCACACGGGAAGGACCAGCTGTTCTCAGGGAAGGCAAGGTGTCTCCCGGTTCTATGTTCTAATTTTTTTTCATGTGGACCCTCAGGTAGGATCCATTTCCCAGAAAACTGTTTTAAAGCAGATGCAGAAGTGGTTTCCACGACCTTCCGATGGTCCACACTGATATGGACAGACCTTAGATGATTCAGAGATCATCAGACTGAACAGTCTTTGACATTGGCTCCTGCTCTACTGGGGAAAAAAAGGCAAGTAGGTTAGGGCCCACATTTTTTCCCCGTCATGCTGTCTCCCTCGCCTTCACCTTCCTGAGAATTCCTAGAGGTCCTGGGAGAGGGTGCGATGTGAGCTTGCTGGCACGACACACACAGCTGGAGCGGCCACGGCCCTGTGAGCTCATTCACAAGTATGCGCAAGTGGATGGCACACATGTTGCATGTATGCTAGCCTGCGGGCATCCTTATGACCCCTCCAGATTCTAGAGGGGGAGACAGGCTGGGAGAGGCGACGTCAGGTGCTTGTGGTTGCTGAGCTGGGGGGTGACAGAATCACATTGGCCCAACTGCTGCTGCTTCTCTGTGACTTGCCTGTTCAGAATCCATCGGTCAATCACTCCATCTCCCTCTCCCCCTCCTCTTTCCTCAATCGTGAATTTTCTCACTGTTCCTTGTGGATTCCTACACACATTCACTGAAATCTCAGCATAAGCACTCAGGATCCAGAGCTCCCTCCAGTCTACCTTTGGCTCGGCTTTGACCACTTTAGGAAAAGCAGATTTCTTCCACGTGCATCCCGTGTTCCAAGCAGCCTCAATACATCCTTTTTTCCCTAGAAGTCTAAAGAGAGTAGGCATGATGTTTCAGATGAGTTCCAACCAGCTAAAGTTAGAGATTTATTTTTAAAAATCAGTTAGAAAGATTCTCCATAGTCATTGTTTGTATATTTGTTCATTCGTTTCATCAGTGCCAAGAGCACTATGTACTAGGGATGGAGATAGAGAAGTTACGGGACTATACAGTCTTTTGGGTAAGGAATCATAGGATTATGATATGAGTGTCTGGGGCTGTGGTAAACATGCTCATGATTCTGTAGGAGCCCCTGAGGAAGGACAGACCTTCTCTAGTCTGAGGCTGGCTGCGGTGGAGTCAGGGAGGGCTTCCTGGAGTAGATGAGCAGTCACTAAATAGATGAGCTGAAGCAAAACTCTTACATAGATGTTTTAGGACCTAGTGTTAACGAGATGAATGAGCAAATGCTGATTTGTAATGAGAACCAAATGATCCTGCAGAGCTGAACCAGGGCCAGGTCAGTAGACCCCATATCAGGATCCTGGACCTTAGCCCTGGGTTCTTCTTGGTGTGCAATGCCAGGCTTCCTCCATCCCTGCAACAGGGCTTTGCAGGAGTATACTGGGAAGGAATTAGGATGAGCATTTGCCAGTGCTCGGCCCCCATGGAGAGGGACTGGCTTCCTTTATCTCCACACAGGACAGGGTGCTACCCACTCCACTCACCTCCCCATCCTTTCCACCCAGCACCGTCCCAAAGTTAGGGCTTCCTTGAGGGGACCAATGCTCTCACAATAGTGGTTCTTAATGGGGGGCAGTTTGACCCCCAGGGGATATTTGACAATGTCTGGAGGCATTTTTGGTTGTCACATGTTGGGGGAGGGAGTGCTACTGGCATCTCATGGGTAAGGCCAGTATGCTGCTTAGCATAATATCATGCACAAGACAGCACCCATGCCACCAACCACACAACACAACAAAGAATCGTCCAGTCCAAAACATCAATAGTGCCGAGAGTCTGAGGAACTCTGCTTAGAATATAATGTTTCCTTAGCACAGTGATCTCCTGGAGACGGTAGGGGATGACTGCCCAGTTCTTCTGGTGGCTTGCTTGCCTCTTTCCACATCAAAGCTAGTGGTAACCCCCACCCCCATCTCATCTCCTGCTCCTGCTTCTGCAGAGCGGAGCTGCTAATCCATTTAGGTGCAGGAAGCACGGTGCCCAGGACCCATGAATATGTCCTCATTTCTTTTAAAATTGGAAGGAATATATGCACTTTAAGGTCAAAGAAAAGGATTTAATATATTAATATAGGCCAGGTGCAGTGGCTCACACCTGTAATTCCAGCACTTTGGGAGGCCGAGGCGGGCAGATCACCTGAGGTCAGGAGTTCGAGACCAGCCTGGCCAATATGGTGAAACCCCGTCTCTACTAAAAATACTACATATATATATATGTATATATACACACACATATATATACATATATATATTCATCTTTACACCAATGTAGTCCTCAAATATAATATAATATTTTATTTTATTTTTGAGACAAGGCCTTGCTCTGTTGCCCAGGCTGGAGTGGAGTACAGTGGCACAATCACGGCACATTGCAGCCTCAACTCCTGGGCTCAAGTGATCCTCCTACCTCAGCCTCCTGAGTAGCTGGGACTACTGGTGTGCACCACCACACTGGCTAATTTTTGTGTATTTTGTAGAGATGGGGTCTTGCCCTGGTCTCAAACTCCTGAGCTCAAGTGATCTGCCCTTCTCAGCCTCCCAAAGTGCTGGGATTACAGGAGTGAGCTATCATGCCCAGCTTCCAAATACAATTTTAAATGTATTTTCTATGGAGGAAGGGGCCCACAGAGTCCAAGTGCTTAGTGCCTGTGAGCATCATAACGTGGCCCTGCTCCGGAAGTTGTTCTCTGAGGCTGGGCTGATGTAAAGGACATGTAGGCAGGGAGCTGGGCATTGGAGTGGATGACCTCAACATTCTCTCTAGAACTGTCTCCATGGGAAGCCCGCACTATCCTCAGGCTGTGACATTGTAGAGACCTGCCTTCTGTGATCTGGCTGGTGCCTAGAACCCTGTGGAAGCACATCACATAGAGTGGCCTGATCTTCATATTGGTGGCCTTACTAGCTTCTGGCCACACCAGAGACAATGCTGTCATGTTCTTCTCACTCATGACCAGATGCTCAAATGTTGGCCTTAAGCACATGTGCAAAGCCCTTTGAACATATGGAAATATGGAAGCTCAGAGTAATTAGATCAGCTAATATTGATGGGGCAATTACACTGTGCCAGGCGCTAGGCTATGCGGTCATGCTCCAATTTGATTTTCTCATCCATCTATGAGGTACGTGCTATTGACATTTCTTTTATATAGCTCAGAAAACTGAGACAGAAATATAAGGAAGGGGCCCAGTTAGTAAGCTATCCCACCAATAAGTTGAAGGGAAGGTCTATAACTCAAAGTTAATTTTGGTTACGCCGAGAGGAATGCAAGTTGGCTATCATTCTGTATGCACAGTACTCATTTACAGTGTTACATTCATTCGTTCAGTCTACACTGAGCACAGGGGCTTCACTAGAAGCTGGGATGAGTGAGAAGAGTGAGAAACAATCCATGCATGCTAGAAACTGACATTCCAGCAGAAGGGATGGGTAAGGAAGCCGCCCATTATGATAAACATGTTGTGAGGAGGACTTTGGCAGTTGGAAACACTGGTCCGTGTGGGAAAACTACCCATTTTCTGATCTTGGAGTTGGCCCCATCTCCTCTCCCACAAAGCTGCTCCTCTGCCGAGGCATCGGGTAAGGTGCCCACTCCCCTCGTGTGGCCCCAGACTTCACACAGAGGCCCTGCTGCAGATCATAGCATAGGAAGCCACTGCTCTTTTGAGTCTGCGCCTAAAATCCCTAGCTGGCCAACAGTTGTCCCCATCCCACTGCCTCTTGCGTTTTGAAGGCCGTCTGCCTGGATGAAATCAGAAAGTCCACTTGATCCCTCTTGAAATGCCCAGACGTGTCCTTTTCTTGTTCCCAGCAGAGGAGTGATGTCGTGCTCAGCTCCCAACCTATGGCCAAGGCAGGAGGACAGATAGGCAGCCCGGGAGTCCCGCAGCAGCTGCCTGGCCTATGACATCTTGGACATCCTGCCATGTTATCTCTGTATCTTCTTGGGGATTCAGGTAATTCCTCCCGAAGAGGCTCTGCCTCAAAAACCACATCAACGTATAGTCAGGTCAAATGAAGTTGTTTTGTCTCCCACGTTGACCTCTCGCGGGAACTCAAAGCTCCTGCAGTCTCTTTCTCTCCAGGGGTGTGGGGAGGGGTGTGGAGGATTAGAGGAGGATTTTCCCTCGTACTGCATTGACTGGCCATATCCAAGACTGGCTGGCCCGTTTTTCTCCTAGGTGGGTTCACTGGGCTGGTTAAAGGTCCAGTTCTCTTGGAGGAGGTGAGAGGTGCCAGGCCAGTTCTCCTTCCTTAGAGCAAGCCCTGCGGATGATAACTTCTCTTCCAAGTTCAGCTTCCATGAAAATGCCTGGTGGCCAGGCAAGGTGGCTCATACCTGTAATCCTAGCACTTTGGGAGGCCAAGGCAGACAGTTCGCTTGAGGTCAGGAGTTTGAGACCAGCCTGGCCAACATGGTGAAAATACAAAAATTAGCTGGGCGTGGTGGCTTGCACCTGTAATCCCAGCTACTCAGGAGGCTGAAGTAGGAGAACTGCTTGAAGCTGGGAGGCAGAGGTTGCAGTGAGCCAAAATTGTGCCACTGCACTGCAGCCTGGGCAACAGAGTAAAACTGTCTCAAAACAACAACAACAACAACAAAAAGGCCAGGCACGGTGGCTCATGCCTGTAATCGCAGCACTTTGTGGGGCCGAGGCGGGTGGATTACTTCAGGTCAGGAGTTTGAGACCAGCCTGGCCAACATGGTGAAACCCCGTCTCTGCTAAAAATGCAAAAATTAGCTAGGCATGGTGGCAGGTGCCTGTAATCTCAGCTAGTCAGGAGGCTGAGGCAGGGGAATTGCTTGAAACCAGGTGGTGGAGGTTGCAGTGAGCCAAGATCTCGCCATTGCACTACAGCCTGGGTGACAGAATGATACTCTATCTCAAAAAAAAAAAAAAAAAAAAAAAGGAAGAAAGAAAAGAAAATGCCTGTACGATCAAGAGATTTATTTGCTAATGAGGGGAAGTTGGCCCTGTCTATAAGGGTGGTTATAGCCAGTGCTTCTGGGCAGGATATGAGATGGGCAATCTAACACTGGTGGATTCTTGGCCTGGAGAATATTATGGTCTGCACTGAATTAGTGGGTAGCAGATCCAAGAACATCTATGAGAGACCATGAAGGACTGTAGGAACAATGGCAAGGATTGTCAAAGTGCCCCTGCAACACGTAGGCACCTCTTCTCTGAAGCTCCCCTGCCCCCTTATCGTCTTTCCCAAGGGGTCAGCCAATTTTTAGATGACCACAATTTGTCTGTCCATCTCTTTCCTTCCTTCCATCCTTTCTTCTCCTTCCTTCCTTCCTTTCTTCCTTCCTTCCTCTTCCTTCTTCTTCCTTCCATCTCCTTCCCTCCCTCCTTCCCTATTCTCCCTTCCTCTCTCTTTCCTTCTCTTGTTTTCTTTCCCTTTTTTCCCTCTCTCTCCCTGTTTCTTCTCCTCTCCTCTCTTTTTCTCCCTTCCTCCTTTTCTTCCTTCCTTCCTCTCTTCCTTCTTTCCTTCCTTCTCTTCTTTCATTTTTTATCTTGACTGACCCAACAACTAACTTTTATAAACCAAGCCTACATCTGCTGCTTGATTTATGCTGTATTCTTAGGGGATGAGTTAGAGAGCCTATACTCTTGGGTAAACCTGCAGTGGGACATTGGCTGCTCCTGCAGATGCCAAACCAGAGTGATTCTACTAGCACTAGGAACATGAGACCCTGTGGAAATGCTGGCCTCAGGTATCAGAGAGCCGGTTGCATCGAAGTGAAGGAGAGAAGCAGGTGGCTTCACATGTCTGTTCTCAGAATGTTTGGCTCAGTGGCCAGATTCGTGTGGGGACTGGAGCCATATATTGGCCAGTTAGTGTGGCTCAGAACAAAACTGACAACAGCCCACAAATGTACCCCTAGACCCAGCCAACCTTTCAGCTCTGGGGCTAGAGTGTGTGAGACAGAGTCTGCATTAGTCTATTTTCACACTGCTATAAAGATACTACCTGAGGCTGATTAATTTATAAAACAAAGAAATTTAATTGACTTATAGTTCTTCGTGGCTAGGGAGGCCTCAGGAAACTTACAATCATGGCAGAAGGGAAAGCAGGCATGTCTTACATGGTGGCAGGCAAAACAGAGAAAGTGAAAAGCCCAGGGGAGACTCCCACTGATTGACTGATTGATTGAGTCTCATTCTGTGGCCCAGGCTGGAGTGCAGTGGCTCCATCTTGGCTCACTGCAACCTCTGCCTTCCAAGTTCAAGCAATTTTCCTGCCTCAGCCTCCTGAGTAGCTGGGATTACAGGTACCTGCCACCACACCTGGCTAATTTTTGCATTTTTAGTATAGATGGGGTTTCACCATGTTGGCCAGGCTGGTCTCAAACTCCTGACCTCAGGTGATCTGTCTGCCTCGACCTTCCAAAGTTCTGGGATTACAGGCATGAGCCACTGCGCTGGGATGGGAGACTTCCATTTATAAAACCATCCGATCTTGTGAGAACTCACTCACTATCACGAGAACAGTATGAGAGAAACTGCCCGCATGATCCAATCACCTCCCACGGGGTCCCTCCCTTGACACAAGAGGATTATGGGGATTACAGTTCAAGATGAGATTTGGGTGGGGACATAGCCAAACCATATCAGTGGCCCATTTCTGTGTTGACTGGTTGCCCCATATCTATCAGTCAATTGGTCAATCTGGCATTTATATTTAATTTACCTTCTTTATAGCTGAGGCTGCCTGCTGTGGGCTCAGCCCTACCCTGAGCTCTGGGTCTAACTCTGTCCTGTCCGGTGAAACTCCAGTAGCCTTTGGCCAATGGCTGCAAGCTCATGCTCAGGCCCTCCTTGTAGATGGTCTGCTCTCACAGTGGGCCTTGTTTAATAACGAGCCTCTTGCCTTGCTCTTGTTCTTAAGGCCCTGTCTTGGTTCCTGTTACCCCCTCCTATGCTTGCCTCCCTACCTTGGTTTCCTCCCCAGGATATGAGTTCCTGGAGCTGGGTGCCTGCTCCTGAGGCCAGTCCCTGTGGCTGGGTCCCTGCTTCTCACCATCAGGCCTTCCTCATTCCCCCTGCCTGCCTGGTCTTCGCTTGTTACTCATGGCCAGGTGACTCTCAGAGCAGTGGGAAAGGCACCCCTGTTAATGTTGGGCACTCTCTGGTTTGGGGAATGAGAGTGGAGCTGGAGGCCACAACATCACATGCCTGCTCCTCTCACTCTCTGCCCACAGCACTTCCTCACAGCCCTGGGGGGCCTCATGGCGGTGCCATTCATCCTGGCCAAGGACCTGTGCCTGCAGCAGGACCCCCTGACACAGAGCTACCTCATCAGCACCATTTTCTTTGCTCCAGCATCTGCATGCTCCTGCAAGTGTTTTTAGGGGTCAGGTAGGTAAAATTGTTCCCCATGGGTTCTGACTTTTACCTGCCAGGGTGCCAGCAAGGCTTTCTTGGCTTATGGCTGGAGAGATGGCTGGGAAGCTGGTGTGGAGTAAGGGAGGGCGCACAGGGTTAGGAGACAGAGCCTGGGTTCAAGTTTCAGCTCCATCACTTACTCTCCACATTGGCTAGGATCCTTGATGGGAAGTAACACAAATCCAGATCAGCTTAGGCAGAAATGTATGCTTTATTAACTGATAAGGTTAAAACAAGAGAAACGCAGGGGTGCATCCAAGCCGCAGGAACACGAACCAGGGACTCAAATGCTGCCGGGATCTTCTCTGTCTCTTGACTCTGCTCAAGCCTGCCCCTAATATTTGCAAGACCCTCGGTACAAGTACAAATGGAGACCCACATACTCTGTGTCTAAATATTGGTAAGTTATAAACCAAGCTGACAAACTCTGAAATAAAACATGTTCTCATCATTCTGCCTGGAAGGCCAGGTTTGAACTGAGAATCCTCTGCCTCGTTAGACCTCTGCTTTGGAGCCTGGCAACATGGCAAGGGCCAGTCCCCAGCCTGCAGCCTCCCACTTCTCTCTCCAAGCTTTACTCCAAATCACAAATGGTCTCACATATGTGGATGTGGACACCCCAACCTGCACATCCAACTTCTTTTCTCGCCCCCATGACAATGGACTCCCCAAATAGCTGCCCCCAAACAGCTGGCCCATGGCCATCCTTGGGGTGTGCGCACCTGCATCATTGCCTGCCCTCAGCAGGATGGACCTAGAGAAGACACACAAGCAGCCTCTGGAAGAGGCCCAGGGCCATTTGGGCACAGAATTTCGGGGACTCAAAGGGGAGAGGGACACAGACCTCAGGGGAGCACATCCCCTTGGCCCTGCAGACTCCTCCCTGAGAAGCTAGAGCAGACCCTCTAAGGCATTGGGCCAAGTGCAGGGGGCTCTCTTCTGGTTGGAGGACAGGACCATCTCTTCATTACTCTGCCAGTGCCTGTGCTTCCTACTTGCAGACAGGCTTCCTGCACATGTGCGTTAGTCAGGGTTCTCAGAGAAGCAGAGCCAATAGGATATATAGAGATATATGAAGAGGAGATTTATTTCAGGAATTGGCTCACACAATTATGGAGGCCAAAGTCCCATGATCTGCTACCTGCAAGCTGGAGAACCAGGAAAGCTGGTGGTTCAGGCTGAGTCCAAAGGCCTGGATGTGAGGTTGGGGTAGGAGGCCAGCATTATAAGTTTCAGTCTGAGTCTGAAGGCCTGAGAACCAGGAGTACCAGTGTCTGAGGGCAGGAGAAGACGGCTGTCCCAGCTCAAGAAGAGAGCAAGAGAATCCAGTCTTTCTCTGCCTTTCGTTCTATTTGGATCCCCAATGGATAGGATGACGCCCACTGCATTGGTGATCTTCTTTACTCACTCCACCAATTCAAATGATAATCTCTTCCAGAGACACCCTCACAGACACACCCTGCAATATGTTACCAGCCATCTGGGCAGCCCTTAGCCTGGTCAAGTTGAACCATAAATTCAACCATCACAACATGACTGCAGGCAGCACTCCTAGACATCCTCCCACTTACCACCCAAAAGCAAGTGAGGGCTGCTCTGGCTAGTCCCCCATTGTAAAATTCCAGGAGAGCTCCACTGCCCAGCCCTGGAGCTGCCTGGGCAACAAATATGGCAACTCCCATTCGGGAAGATTTCCCAATGAAGCAGAGTAGAGGAATTCTGCTCTGGGTAGACAAGACAGCAGACATTCACTGTGGTTTGGGACCTGTGAAATGCAGCTAATGAGTATATGTGCCTTTGCTCCCTTACAGTATCATTGAGATGCTCAATTGGTATAATCAGTGGAATCCCTTTTTTAAAATAAAAAAATCAAGTCCCTTGTGTTCATATGTAGGCTGCTAAAGTTAGCCCGAGTAAAATGGAGCTCTATTACTCTGGCCTGGACAAAATTGTGAAGCCAGGAAATGTGTCTTTGGAGACCATTCCTCCCTCATTTCCACACATCCTCTTTTTTCACACTCTCCACTACCATTCCCTACCCCATCATGATTCCCTAGAACCTCACACAGTGGCTTCTTTAGGTTACCACCTTCTTGGGAAATTTCTCTTTGTAGGTCCTCTTGATCTTTCTTATTCTCCTCCCTCCCTGCAAACCTATTAGTCCAGTGTTCCTTCCTTTATGTTTATTTAGCTTCCAGTCCAAGGAGAGAGTGAGTTTTGCACAACCTGAAGCTTAGATGGTTTTTGGTGTCCCCTTTAAGAAAAAGAACAGAAAATTACACATATAAAATTGTGCACAAAAGGGAATATTTGTCTAGATTTAAGAAAGTAATCACAACAAATTACAGGTGTTAAAAAACAGATAAATACTACAAATGTCACACATTTCAGAAAATAGCATGACATTTTTATTATTTAACCATCTGACAGTCACCTATAATACTTTCTCCCTCTACATTTTATGGTTTCATCTCTTCAATGACCTCATTTTGCAGAAAAAAGGAAAGATAACTCAGTCATTCCTCTAGGATGGGTTAGTCCAAGTTTATTTGTTATTACTGCTAGCTGGGATGCCTCATTACGACTTTCCATGCAGACTGTGGTACTGCTATAGATTTGTGCCTTACAAACACAGGAGTTCTGTGGACCTGATTCCTGTCAAAAAATGTTTAAGTGCATAGTGCATTCATAAGTTTATATGCTGCATTCCTATGTATATTCCTGATAGGAGAAAATGTCCATTTTTGCCTAGACATCAATAACAACCAAATCTCTGGCAATTTTGCATATCTGATGATTGTCAAGTTTTCCACAGATAGCTTCTGGCTCCATACATTTCAAACCTTGTTTGTCATCCACTATCTGCATACGTCAAGTGTCAGGTGCTAGAGGACATATTCGTATCCTAATGTGGCCTCTGGTCCTGCACCATTATGTCATGACATCGGGTGGACTGGCCCAGTGGGTGTTAGGAGAATTGCTGGAAACCGTGATTATACCAGGAAGGCTAGCAATAAATTCGTTATACATAGGTGGGTCAGTGGTCTGCAACCGCATTAATATATCCCACTACATTCTAACTAAATGTATCCTGACTTGACTCCCTATTAGCCAAATCCCGTGGCCTTTCAAACGCCATCTGAGCCATGGTTTAGAGTTAGGGAGCTCAAAGTGGACAGAGACAGCTGTTGAAGCCAATGGCAGCTGAAACCTTTTGCTTTTACAGATTTTACAAATGTGTATGGTTAGTGAACACATTGCTAGACTCCTATCTAGGCTTTGGAAGGAACTATGCAAGGGAGGGGCCCATCACTGTAATTCTACTTTCTACCTGATCTGCGCCAAGCCTGTGCTCCGCTCTGGGGTTGCAAAGGAAAATGGAAAACATTCCCCACAATGTGCTTCTGCCTGTCTTAAGAGAAAATGACTCGGCAGGAACAATGAATATGCAATTAGTCTTAATTATCTGATCAAAGCTACAAAAGTGTAGACTAAGGTTGGCTAGTTATTTCCAAAGTAGATGGAATCTAGGCAGCATCTGGAGGAAAATATTCATTCCTAGAATGGTCTTTTTGTCTAAATCAAATCAAAGTACTTCCCAAACTACTTCCTTTGCCAGTCATTTCCAGGAGACATGACAGTGCTTAGGCTCTCCCTGTGTTCTGTAGAGGATGGGAGGCCAGTTCCTCCCTCTTGGAAAAGTGACTTCCCTTCCCCCTCTTCCTTCTTTGTCACTATCTCTGTGAGCCAAGATGTCTTCCAAGGGTTCACTCTGGTCTGTCTCTCAGGCCCCTAAAATACAGACCCCTCCCTTCCATGATTAGCCTCACAATGTAAGACGTTGCAGTAGCAGTAGAGAGAGAGGCCTTGTTAACCCCCTGCGGAGATACTCAGGAGCCCCCACCCCAGCCCCTGCCCCATGAAGAATTATAAACACAGAGCTATTATGAATGGGGGAGCCCTTCACCCAAACCTGAGGTGATGTTAATTTTAATTATGGAAAAGCTTCAAGTTTGGAAACTAGAGGGCTGAATTCTAGCTCTGTGCTGTGGGAACTTGGATGAATCATAAACCCTCTCTAAGGCTCGAGTTTCTCATCTGCAAATTAAACAGGATGAACTAGATAGTATCGAAAAGTCCCTTCCATCTCTAATATTGTGGACACCTCTGATGTTGACAGAGAAGTCGACCAAGTGTCCTCCTTCCTTCCTTCCTTCCTTCCTTCCTTCCTTCCTTCCTCTCTCTCTTTTTTCTTTTTCTCTTTTTTTTTTTTTTTTTTTTGAGACAGAGTCTTGCTCTGTTGCCCAGGCTGTAGTGCAGTGGCACCATCTGGGCTCACTGCAACCTCTGCCCCCTGGATTCAAGCAATTCTCCTGCCTCAGCCTCCATAGTAGCTGGGATTATAGGTGCGTGCCACCATGCCCAGCTAATTTTTGTATTTTTGGTAGAGACAGGGTTTTGCCATTTTGGCCAGGCTGGTCTCAAACTCCTGACCTTAGGGGATCCACCCACCTTGGCCTCCTAAAGTGCTGGGATTACAGGCGTGAGCCACCGCGCCTGGCCAAGTGTCCTATTTCAACTGAATAATCAGGACTGAAAAGGCCTGTGGGGCTAGCCTTCTTGTAAGTTCTGTGAAAAGCACAAACTAATCAGAAGTTAGGGTTCAAGGAATTTATACCCTAATTAAACATGCAAAGAAAAGAGAGAAACACAATTCAGAAATAAAATCATGCTCATGTCTTTAGACTAAGGTGGGGGCAGAAATAAACTTGAGTTTGGTTTCACCCCTGCAAATGGGCTTCCCTCTCAGATCCTAATGAGTGACTACCTGAGACAGATAGGTTGTAAAACCTAACAGATAGCTTATGAACTAAAGGCCAAGTAAATTTGATTGTTGGTTAAGCAGTATTTAATGATGGACTTTTCTAGATTAGAAACAAGAATGCCAATCTTGCAATAAGACTTCAGAAGATCTTAGCACTTCCTACCATGTTAAATACTTAGAAGGGAAAAGTGAGAGGTAATAGCCACTGTTTTGGGCATAAGAGCTAACAGCTGCTTCATCCAGGGTGGGCAGCAGCTGTAATTCTCAACTGTGGATGGCTGCCTCCTTGGTATGGCTTTAGAGGTGTATCCCCTAAAGATCTTCCTTACTTATGTGCTCACTTCTGAAATTCACATAAAGGAATGCATCACCATTCATTTCAAAAGAAGACATCAAGTTTAAAAGGCAATCGCTAGAGGAAGAAAATATTGACTATGTGAAACTCCAGATTTTAACTAATCTCTGGAATTATTCATGATTTTTGCATAATTCTGGTAATTTCTTTTTCTGGAGTGATGCCAGGCGATATGTCTCCCTTTCTATTATCCTTGGAATATCTCAAATGTGGAGCAAGAACTCTTGCCACAAAGCGACTCCAATGTCTCATGCTTACTTGCATACAGTTTGGCTGCATCCAGCCCTGGCCTGGGTCCTTTTCATCTACCATCTTCCCTGCTGGCTGAGCCCTACCTTGCCCTAGCTCTGTACCTGCCTCTGGTTCTGCAGAAAGGTCATGCTCACCACCAGGGGTCTGTAGCCATGTTGCCCCTGCCCCTGTTGAAAGCTAGGTTACCAGATGCAACCCTGGGGCTCTGCCCAGAGGGGTCGGAGAGTAAGCTGGTGATCAGCCATATCAGAGAAGCTGGAGGGACTGATGTGTTTGGAGGAGTAAGCTGGGTTTCTGTTGGGTAGTCATCCACAAGGAAGGCATGGGAGGAGCCCTTCCACAATTTAGCAGGTCCTTCCCTGCTTGATGTAGGGAGCTCAGGGGAAAAAGGAACAAAGTTGGGTCCTGTGAGGCACCCAGAATTTCTCAAAACACAGTGACCCTTTTAAATTCAAGAATTAATCAGTCCCATTCCACATTCCAGAGGCTCTCCTCCCCTTCCTGACCTATTTCAAAGAAAAGTCCTTGTGACATCATTTTTTACCCATTCACTGGATGGGCTCCAAGAAGGGAACACAGAGGTGATGACACAGGAGAGGTTGGATTCCAGCAACTGGAGCTCCAGAGGCATCCATCCCCAGCTGGTGACATCTCTGCCATTTACTCACAAGTTGGTCAAACTTCACACATCTGTAAGAAATTAAAGAAAGAGGAGAGAAACACGAAGTGTGGGTTTACAGTTAACAGGGTCATTAAACAAACCTGAGAGGGGCTGCTGGCTGAGTTAGGTTAGAGCCCCACTCTTTTACAGACTAAGAGTTTTTAAGGATTCATTGTGCGGGAGTTTATCAGAGGCTTGGACTGCTTCTGTGTCTTTTTGTTGTGCTTATTTGGGAGGGAGAGTTGTGTGTCTGTTCCCATACATCTTTCTGCAGCTGCAGGCATATTCCCCAAGTCTGCTTTTAGCTTCCCTTTCTTAGTGCATCTGAAGTGAAAGGAATGTGATTATTAAGGCCCACTGTTTTACTGGGGCCCATTGTATGAGGGTGAAGTTTGACAGTTACCCGAGAGACTCCTTCTGTGTCTGAGCTGCCTTATCTGTGTTTTACTGTCTGCTTATAGTTAGAAGAGAAGTGATTTCCTTGAAATGCATGAGGCTAGAAAGGGAGCTGGAACTTAAAGTGGCTGTGTTTGTCTGAGATGAAGGTGCTCTTGCTCTGTCAACGTCCCAACCCTAAACCTGTTGGGGGCTTCAGTCTCTCCAAGTCCCTAGGTGCAGAGGGCATAGTGCCCACCTAGTGGGGACTTCATCTTGCTCCTTGTCCTCCCTACCTCTGGCAACATCTCCATTTATCTTCTCTCAGAGACCTCCTGTTCCCATTAGGAGAAACTACTTGGTATTTTTCCAAACCTTGAAAATTAAATTAGATAATGCACATAAAGTACTTTGCTCAGTGCCTGGCACAGAAAATTTATTTTTCACATTAAAAAAAGGATCATACTATATATACAATTTTATATCTTCTCCCTCTTTAAAATAATTTTTAAATTTCTTAATTGTGTAGAAAAAACTAGCTCCATCTTTTTAAAAGCATATATAATGCATTGTAAATATCTTTCTATTTCAATTAACACATTCCTGCAATAGCACTTTGTAAAACACTGGTCATTTAGTATTTCCTAGAATAAATATGTTTTGGTTTATTTAAGCATTTCTTATTAAAGGACACTTAAGTTACTTCAAGTTTTTCACTGTTATTACTGTGACCAGTGTAACACCTGATTATGAGAGACATACATTATGGATGTGCTGACATACACTTGTCTAGTGAAAAATCGAAAAAAGACTGGAAGAAATGTTAATTTTTTTTCTGGGTGATACATATCATATATGAAAGGTATTATAATTTATGTGTGCTGATAAAGTTTATCTAGTTACAGATCAAAAGAGGATTGGAACAAACTATTAATGGTTATTTCTGAGTTGTAGAATTATGGTAATTTAAATTTATTCTTTATATTTTCCTTGATTTCCTATTTGCTTTTCTTCAAAGTGCACGTGTTTTATAACTGGGAAAAATAAAAACTATTCAAAATGTTTTTTAGAATAGTATCAGGGCATATTTTGCGAGTTGCACCCTTTGAATCTGTGCCTAAGAGCGAAAGTCCAGGAGGCTGCTCATGACTGTCTTGGGAGGGGGGCCCAGAGCTGTGGATCAAGGCCCCAGCCTCGAGACAACTGCTGAGATTCTGTGACCTTTGTGATTTCACCGGCTTTTAATCTTTGCCTCGGCAGTCTGTTTCTTTGTGATGATCAGCATTAAAGCCATAACAACAAAAGGGGCAGGCATGCTTGGTTTGGGAGCATAACAGAACAGACAGCTGGAGCAAAGGCCCCAATCTGTTGCCAGTTTGGGGTGTCAGGGCACGCTCAGGGTAGCAGATAAGAAAGGTTTCCCCTCCCCACCAGAATCTTCCTCTCCTTTTCTTCTAGGCAGAGGCAAGCACTCGTACGTTTCTTAGTTGGTGATATAGATATTTTCCTCTGTATCTCTAAATAATACACTTCTATTACTGATTGATGTGCCAATACGAATGATGACAATTTCATGTTCTTTCACTACCCCTCACTCCCACCACATGCAAGCATACTTCCCATCCTCCTATCTTCCCACCATCCCAGCACAGATCAACATTCAGTGTTTACATTAGAATGACAATGATGCTCTTCAGAGCTGAATCATAAAGTTGTTTTCCTGCCCAACTTTTTGTTTTTCCTGGAGTTAATGTGTTTCTTGTTTTTGAGATACTTAATTTTCTGTCCACTTATTTCTAATTCAATTCTAAATGCTCTGCCTATTGTCTAAATATCTTCTTAAAATTTTTATTCATATTAGAAGAATGAACTTCATCTTCTCGATGAACTCTCTCCTGGAGCTCTCTGACTTACTGCAATCTAAAACAGTTGCTGTCTATTCTTGGTGCTCAGCTGTCAACCAGAGATGCCCCTTCACCCTTATCCTGGGAGTTCCCTTTATGTCGTTTCTCTGCTGAATCTTTTGTTCCCATGTCTTCCTCTTAAAAAAAATTTTTTTTGGTGAAACACATAATCCCTTAGCTCCCTGAGAGAGAATGTATGAGAGGTTAATTTTGTGAGACTTAGCATGTGTGAAAATGTCTTGATTCTCCTCTCATATTTGATTGGTAGCTTGGCTGGGTATAGAATTTTAGGTTGAAAATAATTTTCTTTCAGAAGTTTGAAAATCACAGCTCACTGCAGCCTCAACCTCCTAGGCCCAAGCCATCCTCCCACCTTAGCCTCCCAAGTAGCTGGGACTACAGGCATGTGCCAATACGCCTGGCTAATTTTTGCATTTTTTGTAGAGATAGGGTGAAATCTTGAACTCCTGGGCTCAAGTGATCTTCCCGTCTTGGCCTCCCACAGTGCTAGGATTATAGTCATGAGCCACTGTGCCTGGCCTGAAACTCCTGTTATTCACATGTTGAACTTCCTGGACTAGTTCTCTAATTTTCTTATTGTTTCTTTCCTACTTCCATCTCTTTGTGTTTTTGCTTTTTATGGTGGGAAGAAATCACATCAATTTTATCTTCTAACTCTTCTTCTGAATTAAGAGCTCTTTTTGTTCTCTGAATATTCCTCTTTATGCATCCTGTTCATGTTTTAGAAATGCACAATCTTCTCTTCTCTCTCAAAGACATAAACGAGACTGATTTTTTAAAGTTATCATCTCCTTGCAGAAGAAGTTACTTTCATCTGTCTCTGTTTGGGTCTCTGTTATTCATATTCCCTTTGTTGTTGGGGATCCTCGTATATCTGCATATATTTAAGAGTGGAGTCCTAAAAGGTTGACTGGAAGTTCTGAGCCTGAGAGTGGATCTTGTTCTCTTTGGGCTCACTGTAACATGATATGCAGGAATGACCCAAAACCAAATTGCAGAGAACACATTTCACAGTGTAATCTTTAAATGGCACCATGATCTAGCTGGAGAGGCCCAAATTTAGCCATCTTTATGCTCTTCCTGACATCTTGTCACATTCTCCAGAAAAGGATCTTCCAGTCTCTTGCCTAGAGGGCGAAGGCCTGGTTGGAAGTATTTTGGAAGCTGAGTGGGAAAGTGAGCTGGAGGTTTTAGTGTTCAGAATGCACACATTAAATTATACCCCAGTGTTCAGTATGGTATCCCTGCTTCCAAATCTACCTGTTTTTAAAATTTATTTATTTATTTTACTTTAAGTTCCAGGATACATGTGGAGAATGTGCAGGTTTGTTACATAGGTATACATGTGCCATGGTGGTTTGCTGCACCTATCAACCCGTCATCTAGGTTTTAAGCCCCGTATGAATTAGGTATTGTCCTAATGCTCTCCTTCCCTTTGCCCCCCACCCCCCAACAGGCCCCAGTGTGTGTCATTCCCCTCCCTGTGTCCACGTGTTCTCACTGTTCAACTCCCACTTATGAGTGAGAACATGTGGTGTTTGGTTTTCTGTTCCTGTGTTAGTTTCCTGAGGATGATGGCTTCCAGCTTCATCATGTCCCTGCAAAGGACATGATCTCATTCTTTTTTATGGCTGCATATAGTATTCCATAGTGTAGATGTCCCACATTTTCTTTATCCTGTCTATCATTGATGGGCATTTGGGTTAGTTCCAAGTCTTTGCTATTGTAAATAGTGCCACAATAAACATACATGTTCATGTGTCTTGATACTAATTATTTATACTCCTTTGGGTATACACCCAGTAATGGGATTGCTGGGTCAAATGGTATTTCTGGTTCTAGATCCTTGAGGAATCGCCACACTGTCTTCCACAATGGTTGAACTAATTTGCACTCCCACCAACAGTGTAAAAGCGTTTGTATTTCTCTATAGCCTTGCCAGCATCTATTGTTTCCTGATTTTTTAATAATCGTCATTCTGACTGGTGTGAGATGATTTCTCATTGTTGTTTTGATTTGCGTTTCTCTAATGATCAGTGATAAACTTTTTTTCATATGTCTCTTGGCTGCATAAATGTCTTCCTTTGAGAAGTGTCTGTTCATATCCTTTGACCGCTTTTTGATAGGGTTGTTTTTTTCTTGTAAATTTGTTTAAGTTCCTTGTAGATTATGGATATTAGACCTTTGTTAGATGGGTAGATTGCAAAAAGTTTCTCCCATTCGGTAGGTTGCCTTTCACTCTGATGCTGGTTTCTTTTGCTGTGCAGAAGCTCTTTAGTTTAATTAGATCCCATTTGTCAATTTTGGCTTCTGTTGCCATTGCTTTTGGTGTTTTAGTCATGAAGTCTTTGCCCATGCCTATGTCCTGAATGGTATTGCCTAGGCTTTCTTCTAGGGTTTTTATGGTTTTTGGTTTTACATTTAAGTCTTCAATCCATCTTGAGTTAATTTTTGTAAAAGGTGTAAGGAAGGGGTCCAGTTTCAGTTTTCTGCATATGGCTAGCCTGTTTTCCCAGCACCATTTATTAAACAGGGAATCCTTTCCCCATTACTTGTTTTTGTCAGATTTGTCAAAGATCAGATGGTTATAGATGTGTGGTGTTATTTCTGAGGTCTCTATTCTGTTCCATTGGTCTATATGTCTGTTTTGGTACCAGTACCATGCTGTTTACTGTAGCCCTGTAGTATAGCTTGAAGTCAGGTAGCGTGATACCTCCAGCTTTGTTCTTTTTGCTTAGGATTGTCTTGGCTATATGGGTTCTTTTTTGATTCCATATGAAATTTAAACTGTTTTTTTTTTTAATTCTGCAAAGAAAGTCAATGGTAGCTGAATGGGAATAGCACTGAAACTATAAATTACTTTGGGTAGTGTGGCCATTTTCATGATATTAATTCTTTCTATCCATGAACATGGAATGCTTTTCCATTTGTTTGTGTCCTCTCTTATTTCCTTGAGTAGTGGTTTGTAGTTCTCCTTGAAGTGGTCCTTCATAAGTTGTATTCTTAGGTATTTTATTCTCTTTGTAGCAATTGTGAATGGAAATTCATTTATGATTAGGCTCTCTGCTTATCTATCGTTGGTGTATAGGAATGATTGTGATTTTTGCACATTGATTTTGTATGCTGAGACTTTACTGAAGTTGCTTGTCAGCTTAAGGAGTTTTGGGGCTGAGACAATGGGGTTTTCTAAATATAGAATCATGTCATCTGCAAATAGAGACAATTTGACTTCCTCTCTTCCTATATGAATACACTTTATTTCTTTCTCTTGCCTGATTGCCCTGGCCAGAACTTCCAATACTGTGTTGAATAGGAGTGGTGGGAGAAGGCATCCTTGTCTTGTGCCAGTTTTCAAAGGGAATGCTTCCAGCTTTTGCCCATTCAGTATGATATTGGCTATGGATTTAATAGCTCTTATTATTTTGAGATATGTTCCATCAATAACTAGTTTATTGAGAGTTTTTAACATGAACCAAATCTACCTGTTTTCTTGTGGACCAGAGACCCTGTATTTTGCCTTTTCCAGAGGATAAACACCTAGTCTTCTGCCAAGAAGGGAGGACTGTCACCTGGCTGGTGCTTAAAGAGGACTTTGAACTTGTTTTAGCTTCACATATATCCCACTTTAAGAATCAATTCCTTGGAATGTGTGTTTTTCAGAATATTGCCATCTACCTATTGCTAGCATAAGATTCTGCTTCTCCACGGCTGTTTAATCAGTTACCAATCTATATCTGCTTTTCAACTTCCAAAATTTTACTGTGATTGTCTCCTGCTCCATTCTCTTAATCCTTGTGATTTATGCTTCTAAAATACATTTTAATGTCAGTTTATTGGATTTTTAAGAGGGAGTGAGAGTGCAATCTGACATTTTTATCCAGAAGTCAATGTTTTTCTTAGTTTACAAGGAATTCAATGCATGTAAAGAACATTAAAACTTTGTCCTTATTGTCATAAACATTTTTAGTGTCTCTTTCATTTTAATTAAGATATTTTTCTATGCCAAAGATTTTATGTTTCTATGGTAAAATTTATCACTTCTGCTCTTTCAAACTTAATCTAATTTTAGGCTTAGAAATTCTTCCTACATCTAATAAATAATAAATATTGCCTTATTAAAAAGTACTGTGTAGCTAATAAATAAGATAAAATCATCTTATTAAAAAGTATTGTGTTACTAAGATTTTTAAAATTTAAGCATTGAATTCACCTGGAATTTATTTAGGTATATGTTGTAAAGTTAGGTTTTAAATTTATTTTTTTCTCCCTAACAGCCAATTTCCTCCACATCATTTGTTGATTAAATTCATTCCTCATTGCGAATCATGATTTTATTCATCACATATTAAGTTCTTTTATACCCTGGGATTTATCTTTTTCTGGGCTGCTATTTTTTCCATTAATCTCTTTGTTATGTCTTCAATTAATACTGCACTGTTTTAAAATTAATAACTTTGTAGTGGACTTCATCTGGTTGGGTATGATTTTCCTCATTATCCTTTCCTTTAAAATTTTTCTAAATTATTTTCATTTTCTATTCTTCTACATTAATTTGAAATGAATTTTATTAGATAAAACAATCTCATTGGGATTTTGATTGAAATTGTATTACAATTATAAATTAACGTGATAATTGGCACCTTCATAATACTGAATTTTTCTTTCATAGAACATGGTATATGTCTCATTTATTCAAGTTACCATTTTGTCTTCTATTTGAATTTTGTAAAAAAAATTATCCTAAGTTAATCTAGAATGCAGCTGTATCCTCATTAATATTTTATAAGCATACCCAATAGTTTTCATTTGCTTCTTACAGAAAATTCTTCCCCTAAGTCTTCAGAGCAGGGAAACCTTTCCCTTCTTGTTGCAGGATTTTATACGGCCCTGAATCCTGCAGGGTTTTCCATTTATTTATCATTTAACCAGGAGGGATCTATCTAGTCAACGGTGCCTAACATGCAAGGTGACTAGAATGTCCTTCATCCCCCAGCCATCTGGCTGATGCCCTATTCCAACTGCTGGTATTTCAGTCTATGCTAAAGAGTCATTAAAAAAAAAAAAAAAGAGTCATTTGCAGTTCCTCTTTGGGCAGTGTGATTTTGTAAAGACCACTCACTTCCTTCATCATGAACAGTTTTGACCACTTTTATCCTCTCCACTCATTTATATTTCTTGTTAAGTGATTAAAAAATTCAGAGTTCTGGAATTCTCCTCGTTTCTTGTCTTACAAGCCAAGACTGTCATCTCTGAAAGAATGTAGCCTGGTGTGGACCCTGGACCACCTGCCTTAGCATCATCTGAAGTGCTAGTTAGAAACACACCTTTTCAACTAATCACAACCAGCTATATATTTCTTTGTTCCTTCTCTGCTCCCACTGCTTCACTTGACTACAAAATAAATGCAAAAAACAAAAACACAGCTTTTGGCTAGCTGTGGTGGCTCGTGCCTATAATTCTAGTACTTTGGGAGGCCAAGGTGGGAGGATCACTTGAGCCCAGGAGTTCAAGACCAGCCTGAGCAACATAGTGAGATCCCACCTCTACAAAAATAAAAGTAAAAAAAAAAAAAACAAACAAACCTGGGCATGGTGTTTTGCACCTGTAGTCCCAGCTAGTTGGGGGGCTGAGGCAGGAGGATTGCTTGAGCTCAGAAGGTCGAGGCTGTAGTGAGCTATATGAAGTACAGCAAGGCTGTACTTCAGCTTGGGTGACAGAATGCAATCCTATCTCCAAAACAAAACAAAAACAAAAACCAAACCAAAGATGCATTTTTCTGGGTGCTCTTCCAGACCTACTAAAAGGTCAGAACCTCTCAGGGTTCTGGACATTTTAACAGAATCCCCAGATGATTCTTATGCACATTAATATTAGGGAATCAAGAGAGGCAATGATAGAGTGGGAAGGTGGGGAGTCAGATGATGGCCTACTGTTTTTCACAGCGATGTAGCCATGGACTTCGATGGATAATTGATAAGGTCACCTGGCAAGTTCTGGTTTAGAGGGTAAAGCATGTGGCAGATAATCAAGAATATTTTCCTCAATCAATCTCATCAATGAGATAATTAGTAGCAATTATGCCTGAACCTTGGTTTTTGCCTAAGAGTGCAGCTGTAAATTTTCATGCATTCCCCACGTGTTCTAATGAAATCTGGAGGAAGCATATCTGACATAATTAGTCACTCTCCAAGTTACCCTGAGAGCACCCCATCTCCTTCAGTTAATGCAACCCCCTGCTGTCCTTTATCAGGCCTTGGTGACCTCCTTGAGGCCTGCAGATCCAACCAGGGCAGTTGAATAGGCTTCACTCTGTGTCCTCCCAGAGGCCCTCCAGATCTAAGTGGGCTTATTTGCAGTTGATATCCTCATACCTCATTCCTGTAGAGTGGGGAGAAACAAGGGGAAACTGTTGCTGATAAAGTGGTGAAGAGGAAAATCTCAGGTCGACTCCATGATTCACTTTAAATGAGGTGGGGCAGCAGCCTGAACACAGGGGCCCAGCCCAATACCTCATCTGTTCCCCCTTCCTGTAAGATAATAACAGTACGGGTGATGCATGAATGAGCAACGTATGACTTACAAAACATGTAATGCTCACTACACCATTTGAGGCAGGTTTGATTATTCAGCTTATGGTACAGAGGAAGAAACTCAGGCGTAGACAGATTAAGTGACTCACCTGTTTCCCATTCCATCGTGTTTGCTAAGTGTCTCAGTCTGCTCAAAAGACAATAGACTGGGTAGCTGAAACAACAGAAATGTTATTACAGTTCTGGCGGGTGGAAGTCTGAGATCAGGGTGCCCGCATGGTCGGGCTCTGGTGAGGGCCCGCTATTGGCTTGCAGACAGCCACCTTCTGTGCTGTGTCCTTACATGGCAGGGGTGGGGAGGGGAAAAGAGTTTCTTCTTATAAGGGCACTGATCCCATCACGAGGGCGTCACCATCCTGACCTCATGTAAACTTAAATAGCTCCCAAAGGCCCCACTTCCAAATAACATCCTACTGGGGGTTAAGGCTTCAACATAAGAATTTTGGGGGGATACAGACATTTGGTCCATAGCATTAAGTGACTTATACTTCCCCCAGAGGTGAGCAGTTTTGGTGTATTTGAAAATGGAGGCAATGTTAGTATCGTATTCTGGGAGCAACCCAGGGCATCTGTCTTCTAGGAGAAGATTCCTTGTAGGTCAGGGAATCCCTGGATCTTTGTAACCGGAAGGCTTTGAATGCTGTCAGTTCCCTGTAGGCACGACCTCCACCCTTGATGCTGTAGCATTAGTGAGTCCTGAAACCGAGGTACTTGCAGCCTTTATCCTCATGCCACATGATTTCCTGCCACGCGTGGACACTGGGACTCCCCCATAGTTCTTGCATTCAAGGAGATGAGAGTCTTAAAAGGGGAATTAGAGAAGTGAATAAATAATTAAAACCAGCATGGTCATATTATTACATTCTAAGTGATGTGGTAGCAGGAGAAAGGGGTAGTTAACTTTCTTAGGAAGCCAGCAAGGCTGTGGCACTTGACAAATGATAACCAGCTGGAGGTGGAAGTCAGGGTTGGGAGGAGTCACTGAGAGCAGAGGCAGTCATGCTCACATTTATGGAATACCTGTTATGTTTCTGGCATGATGGATACTATGAGGGGCAAAGTCAGACATGGTCCCTTTGACATCTCAGGCCTGAAGCAGGATATTCTAAAGCAGGATATTTCCCTGACCCCTTCGCGGGACTCACAGCAGCGGTGCCTCAGTTACTCAGCCCACTGCTTTCAACTCCTCATGGGAGGAAGCATGCGAGCAAATGAGATGGGAACTGGAGTAATGAGTGGTGGAACCAGCTGGCTGCTTCAGTACCGGCAGGAACAAACTCCATGTGGGCCCCGCAGCAACATCTAGGTGGAGGTGCCTGTGACCCCCAAAGTCCCAGAGGGCATGGTACAGTGCTCTTTTAGCTGTGCCATCCACAGACAGCTTAAGTGTTAACAGCTCAGTGGACCCTCTGCCTTTTTGTGTGAGGCAGCTGCCCTCCACCTGTGAGGACAAAGGGTCGGTGTGACAGCCTTTTGTATCCACACTTGTGGCTCCTGAGCTCTTGTCCAGCTTCCAGGAAAAATGAGGTCGCACGAATGCATTGAAGGATAGTAAATGCAGGGGATTTTATTGCTGATGAAAATGGCTGCCAGCGGGAAGGGGAGCTGAAAAGGGGACTGGGGGTGGGGGTAGGTAATCTTCCCCTGAAGTCCAGCTGTCTCTGGCTGGATTCTTCTCTGAAGTTATGCCATCAGTTTGTCCCTCTGAAGTCAAGCCGTTTCTCTCCAACATCCAGCCACAGTCTCCGCTCCTCTCCGACTGAGTCTGGGGTTTTTATAGGCACAGGATGGGGTGGGGTGGGGCCATGGGTAGTTTAGGAAAAGGCAACATTCAAGCAGGAAAACGGGATAGAAGTTCTCACGTTGGGCCGCAGTTCCAGGTTTTTGGCTTGAGGGTGGGGTTTTCACCAGGGACCTGCCCTTTTCTGCCTAGAATTTCTCTGCCTCCTGTCCCCATCAGTTCCTTATCTCCATCATCCTAAACTGGGACAGTCTTTTCTGTTACATGATTGCAAAGCACTGTATAACTTCCTTTTACAGCACTTAATCAGAGTTTGTTATTAGTTATTGTTATTGTCCTTCCTCACTAGACAGGAAACCTCTGTCACAGGGATCGTGTCTGACTTTGCTCCTATACCTGAAATGTAGGGCACACCTCCCAGACAGCAGACAGATTCATAATTTTAAAATAAAAAATATACACACACGTATACACATTTATACACATATACATAGTGGCACCGTTGTGTTCCAACCCCATGTGCACAATGTAATGTTCTCCATTCTCTTGTGGAGACTTGTGGGTCTAGATTTGTGACTCTAGACCAGCTGTTCTCATGGATGGCTGTACATTAGATGTACCTGAGGAGCTTTAGGCAATCCCCATGCTGGGTCCATAACCAGACAAGCCCACGGACTTGCCTGGTCAATGCCCAGGCATCACTCATCCTAATGTTCACCAGGCCACAAAGTCCATTTCAGCAGCAAAACTCTTTCATAAACTATATTTTCTTCACATAAAATGTGCTCTTTCTCAAGAATCATCCTTTATGCTTTCTTCATGAAGCACTGATTCAAAAATACCCTTGTAGTATTCAGAAAAAGTACCTGGACTAGGTGGGCCACAGTGACAAATGCAGTCAAGATGCCACGGTCCCTCTGTCCCACCTTCCTACCCCCAAATTCTAATGTCCAAAGCTGGCAGGCTCGGGAAGCCTTGAGAGCCTCTGACCCTCTAGTAAGAGGGGTGGCTGGAGGTTGACTTACCAGGTTGCCTTGACCTCAGTGGGAAGGCAGGGAGGGCAGGCACTGCTAGATGTTCTCACAGAGGCCAAAGTGAGAAGCCCAGCAGGAGTGAGGAGGGCTGGGCTGGGAACATGCCCTGACGAAGGACATATCTTATTGTCCTGCGATAAGAAGGAGCCTGAAGGTCTTGGATTGCTCTTGGTTTCTGAAGACACAAAAGAATCTGACAATCCAGATTTTAAGCTGTGTAGCTCTTGATAGTGGGGTAATCGATTGCTGGGCATTGCACGTGTGGGAGCTCCGCTGTGGGCCTGGGACCTGGGAAGGGTTCTCTGGGGCTGAGGTAGAGAACGGCACCCACTAGGTATGTTCACTGAGCTCCATGCCATCCCCAGATTCTTTCTCAGGGCCTGACTCCTTCCTCCTGGGTTTGGATCTCCAGGCCCAGGTGTGGGTCTGGGTGCCTCCCTGCCTCCCTCTCCTCCCTGTCCAAAGTTTGATAGGGCTCATAGGTCTGCCTTGAACCTTGATAGGATCTCTCTGCAACTGAGAACAGAGGGGTCATGGTTTGCTTCTAAATTGGACTAGGCCGGGCACAGTGGCTCACACCTGTAATCCCAGCACTTTGGGAGGCCAAGACGGGTGGATCACCTGAGGTCAGGAGTTCGAGACTAGCCTGGCCAACATGGTGAAACCCCATCTCTACTAAAAATACAAAAAATAGCTGAGCCTGGTAGTGAGCGCCTGTAATCCCAGCTACTCAGTAGGCTGAGGCACGAGAATCGCTTGAACCCAGGAGGCGGAGGTGGCAGTGAGCTGAGACTGTGCCATTGGACTCCAGCCTGGGCAACAAGAGAAAAACTCCATCTAAAAAAAATAAACACATAATAAATAAATAAATAAATTGGACTAGGACTTGGGATTGAAGGCCCTCCTTGGGGCCACTGACAGGCCAGTGCTAGAGGACCTCATGGGTAACTGCATCCTTTCCCTCCCTCCAGGCTGCCCATTCCCCAGGGAGGTACGTTTGCTTTTGTGGTAATTTCTCTGGCCATGCTCTCCCTTCCCTCCTGGAATTGCCCTGAGTGGACACTCAGTGCCAGCCAGGTGAACACCAACTTTCCAGAATTCACTGAGAAATGGCAGAAGAGGATCCAAGAGGTAACAGAGCAAGGGGGATGGCTGGGAGCAGGAGAGGTGTCTGCAACAGGGACTCTGAGTGCATTCATTCATTCAACATTCATTATCCAACTTCCTGCCAGGCAAGATCCTGGACTTTAAGATACTGCGGTAGATGAGACAGAGAAGGATTCTGCCCTCACAGAGCTAACGTTCTAGTGGACATGTGTGGTAAGGTAGGGTGGAGAGAGAAAGACGCTAATAAGCAAATGGAAAAGGCAAATTTCAGTGAGTTATAAGTGCAATGAAGAAAATAAAACAGAATGATGAGCAAGAGAGGGACTGAGCTGCTCAATGGAAAGGATGGAGAGTGAAAATGGGTGTTCTTGGAAACACTCCTGCGTATATTAAGGAGGAAGAGCTCAAGCATTCCTCCAGCCAGTCCCAGGAAGTAGGGCAGTGAGTAGTACTCCTGCTTTATATTAATTCACTAAACATCATTAGTTGAACATCTGGCAGGTTCCAAGCATTGTGTTGGGACTATAAAGAGGAGAGAGACACATCACGGGGGTAGTGGTGATGACGATGGTGGTGGTGGTGGCGATGGTAGCAACAGATCGTGGTTACTGAGCACTTAGAGTTTTCCAGGCACTCTACTACAAGTTCTTCATAGATGCACAAGTGCCATATTGATAAATGTCCGCAGTGGGCTCAGATTAATGGGAGAACCAACATGCCAGACTAGAGCTCAGCACCACTCTGTTAGTGGGCACTGCCAGCTTAGCTTGCCCATTTTGGAGAGTTGTGCCCCTGTGTTTATCCCACCATGAAGCATGACCCTTGCTAAACTCAATTGTATCATCTGGGGAGAGGAAGTAGTGGCCTGGAGCAGGCTCTGAAAGTCAGCCATGTTCCAGGTTGGCTTATCTGAAGGACCGAGAAGAAAGTCAGCACACTCAGGATTGTTGGCAGAGAGATCACCACAGGCTTAGGGACAGACCCCAGCATCCTCACCCAAAGTGGGCAGGTGGAGGGGTGGCCTGTGGGTGGGGTGCAGCTGTAGGTGGCACACTGTGAGAGAGTGAAGGTCACTTGAGATCTTTAGGGAGGCTTAACCGTCTACTTCCCAGCTCAACCTGAAACACCTAGGGCCATGGCATCTGTGCATGGGCTGGCCTGGGGCTGTGCCCGGCACCACCCTGCTCTGGAGCAAGGGTAGCATTACACAGCACAACGTGATGATGGGGCCCAGTCCAGTGTAGTTTGCTCAGGCAAATACAGCCCCCATTTATTATCTTCTGTACCAACTCCCCATTATCACTGGGACTAGATCAAGGATGTTCCAGAACTTAGGCCTATGGACCTAGAGCACAGCGGGTTCCCTAGATACATCTGGGAGCCAAGCTAAGAAGCCTTAGACCAGGCAGCACCCATCCTACAGCCCACCTTGATCCATGTTGAGGGTCCTCATAGCCTCATTGCTTCAACAATTGCCATTCTCCCATATGGGAAATAAAAAGGACAAACATGGAAGACGGGAAACAACAGTAAGATTCCTATTCCTACCCATGTTTGACCAGTAAGAAGGAACAGAATCCACAAAACATCTCAGTGCCTAACAATGCTATTCTGTGCTTGATAATATTGCTGTAGTTTGTTTTTTCCCTCCTTGCTTCCAAAGTTCGAACTAGTACCTTTTAAAATAAACTTTTTTGTTTTTTGTTTTTGAGACAGAGTCTTGCTCTGTCACCCAGGCTGGAGTGCAGTGGTGCCATCTCAGCTCACTGTAACCTCCGCCTCCTGGGTTCAAACGATTTTCCTGCCTCAGCCTCCTGAGTAGCTGGGACTACAGGCATGTGCCACCAAGCCCAGCTAATTTTTTGTGTTTTTAGTAGAGACGAGGTTTTGCCATGTTGGCCAGGCTGGTCTCAAACTCCTGATCTCAGGTGATCCGCCCGCCTCGGCCTCCCAAAGTGCTAGGATTACAGGTGTGAGCCACTATGCCCAGCCATAAAATAAACTTTTAATTTAAGTCTTACAAGCATAAAGCAAAGAACACAATACATTTTCAAAGTTGAACTGATCTATATAACCTAGCTCAAGAAATAGGCATTACCAACACCCCTTAAGCCCTTTCACACCTACTTCCAGTCACCCCTCCCATAACGGTAACCACTATCCCAGCTTCTAACACCACAAATTAGTTTCATCTGTTTGTGAACTTTGTGGAACCACACAGTACATATTCATTTGTATCTGACTTCGTTTGTTCAATATTATGTTTGCAAGATTCTTCCATATTGTTATGTGCAGTGGTAGATTATTCATACTCATTGCTGAATAATGTTTCATTATATAATGTTCCATTATATAAACAGACAGCAGTTTATCAATTCTGTGTTATCCAAATTATGTGTTTAAGGGTGGTTTCCAGTTATTTGCTGTTGTAAATAGTGTTGCTATGAATATTTGTGTACTTGTGCTTAAGTAAACGTATATATGTACATCCCCTGAATGTGTACTTAGGAGGAGCATTGGTTGGGTCATAGAATGTGTATGTGTCCACCTTTAGTAAGCACTAATGAATACATTTCCAAAGCGGATCTTCCAGTTTACACTCCCACCAGCAGTGTGTGTGAGCTCCAGTTATTTTACATTCTCACAAACATTTTCTATCTTTTTTGTTTTAGCCGTCCTGGTGGTACATTTGTAGCATTTTAATGATGCTGTTGGGATGATTTAGAGTTAATTATAATTGTCCCTCCTCAACTGGTAGTTCTGTTTGACTTCCTTGGGTCACTTTTTCCCTATGCTTACCACATTAACTGGTGACTGGAGTTAAATATCCTGATATAGACTTTGTCAGATATCATCATTTCCATGATTTTCATTTCACTGAATGTCATGCAAATCTTAATCTAACATAAAAGTTCAAGCAACAGACCATGTCCTAATGTGCCAGCATCACATTAGGAATTGGCTGTGTTCACAACGGTCCCTCCTCCTTGCCCATCCAGCTCAGCCAAGTGTACTCTGGGCCCAGTTTTATCAAGACAATAACATTAAATGTGTTCCAGTTTGGTAGAATCAACTCTGATGCCATCGTCTCTCATCTAAGACTGAAGACATATCTAAAAATATTGCTAAGAAATAATTTTACTAGCAACTTATTTTAAAGGTAAAGGGCAAAAGTAGCATCATTTGGTACAGCAGTATTTCTGGTGGCTCCAGTTCTTTCTGCTACCATCTTTTCTCCCCCCACTGGGATGCCTGAGCCCATTCCCTTGCTCCTATTAAAGGAGGAGTATTGGATTCCTTCTCTGTTATCCTTCAAATACTGAGCAGCAAAAGTAACACCATTAAACCTACTTCATGTGTCCTTCCCAAGGTACCTTCAAATGACTTAATAAGTATATTGTAACTGGGTCCTCTCCACTGGGTTGGGTGCATCTTGAAAATACCAGATTTATCAGTACAACTCATAAATGCCTTCAGGGTTCCAACAAGTGAAATTAAATTAATTTGTATTATTCCTACTTTAGGGAACACAATCAAATCCCTAGTCCTGGAAAGATTTCCTTATCTCTCCATTTCTCAACCTATGCCTTAGACAATGCTCCGCTGTTGACTTGCTCTCGTGCTTCTCCTACCCTGGAAAGCCAGGCCTCTGTGTCTTTCTCACCATCATTTTGTTCCTTCAAGCACACATTGCAATTTTTTTCAAAACTGTGCTGCTTTGTAGAAGTGATGTGAAATATGAAGAGGTCATTTGAGATTGTATTTCTTGGTCTACTCTTGCCCCGTTCATGCTGTGAAAAGTGATCCTTGAGCTGTTGATGTGTAAGTTGATATCATGTTGGTGGGTGATCTGGGCTGCCAGTCTTTTTATAGTACTCTGGGTCAGATCTTTAGTTGCAGAATGGGCAAAGCTCAAACCAGAAACATTGTCAATACCAGTTTTTTAAGTCTTTAAATTTCCCTTGCTCTGCGATATGTCCAGGATAGGCAGCCTGCCAGCTCTGTGATGGGCCATAAACCCTCAAAATATATTCCCCCACCAAAGGCACATGAGCCCATTGCTGTTGGCAATCTGGACCGTCCTGGGTGACACAAGTGGCAACAGATGGAGGTGGGGATTATGTTGTTTGTGAGCGTGTGTGTGCATGGCTTGTGGCCCAAGGTGTCATCTTGTGGACTCTAGTGACTACATTCAAAGACATACTTCCCTCTTTTTAAGACTAAGGGGCATCAACATGAACAACCAGTCTCTAAAATTTAACCATGAAGTCCTGTCCCATGAAAGGGAAGAAATGTAAATAGCATTTTCTGTGATTCACTTGCCAGATCAGTTAGTTTATTAACTATGGCCCAGGAATCCATGGAATTACATATGGTATAATTGCTGGTAGGATTTGCATGTGCACAGTTACCACGTCATACACACCTTGGTCCTTTGGACCGACTTAGACTTGCCATACTTCTATCAGGGGCCTTCCGTTGGCTGGACAGAATGTTGCATTCTTCTAGTTCCAGCCTTTCCCAGTTAATTGAGTTCCACCTTCAGAAAGATGCCAACTAGTGCTTTTGAATTCAAAGATTTGTACAATGGGGCCCAAGTCTCTGTTGCTGGATTTAGATTATACTGTGAGGTTTGGCTGCCCTAGGGGATGGGGACTAAATCACTTGCTTGTGGATATTATGTATCTTTCCTGGGTAATTGTCTTTTTTTTTCCTGAATATGACTATTTCCCTGTAATCAACACATTTTGTTTATCAGGCCGTTCCTCATTAGAATGTCTTTCTGACATCACTCAAGACATGATTGACATCTCTGATTTACACTTATTTGCTTATTCATTAGTGGTCTAACCCCAAACAATGCCCAGTGGTGGACTGCTTGGTAATGGTCTTTCAAAGGCAGAGTGGTTGAGTAGCTGCCTTGGGCCACATCTGCACCAAAAGCCCCATGGCAGTGCTGGACACCTGTCTTTTGCAGGGTCAGTCCTCATTCAGCGTAGACTCCATCACCAACACTTCCCATAGCTCAGGAGCACTGTGCCTGTGAGGATGCAATAGACCAATCTGAGCCCTAACTTGTGAATTTCAGCTAGAACCTTCTGTTACTCTTCTCTACTTTCAACGACAGCCTTTTTGCATGTGCCTGTACTCTGACATATAGTCCAAAAGTACAGCCAGATGTAAGTAGACTCAATTGCCTCATCAAATTCCTGTCCTTCCTTTTTATCTCAGGGTGGACCCAGAGTTAACAAGGCATTTCAAGCTTTAAAGAACTGTTCCATGTAGCTCTAGACCAAGATATACCTAAGGCCTTCACCCGTCAAGCTGGTGGGGCCTGGAGTTTTGCCAGGTCGGTTGTCCAATCTCAGAGCGGTATGTGCTGCACTACCTTTTCCAAATCAAGAAGTTCTTCAGCGAAGTCTATTCATATCGTATCATCAATAGAATGAATCACAGCACACATGCAGTTTGTGGGTTTGTGGGGTTTCCTGTTTTTGTTGCTTTTTGCTGTCCCCCGGGGAGCCTATACTTGGCTTTGGTAAATCCAAATTAAAACTGGGCATCTGCTCTGCTAGATTCCAGGGCAGGGTTTCCCTACACTCAGCCCCGCTGAGAACTACGATTCCTTATGTAAGAATCTGTTGCCTTCCTACTTCCCAAGAAATAAGATCTGACAAGTTAATTCGTCTTTACTCCTAGTTAAGCCCTTCTGCTGCTCAAATCCTTCCTGTATTTTAATGCAATGTCTGCCTCTATCACTGCAATGGAACAACTGAAAAAACTTCAGTATGGCTGGGTGTGTTGGCTCATGCCTATAATTCCAGCACTTTGGGAGGCTGAGGCGGGCAGATCACCTGAGGTCAGCAGTTTGAGATCAGTCTGGCCAACATGATGAAACCCCATCTATATGAAAAATACAAAAATTAGCCGGGTGTGATGGTGCACGCCTGTAGTCCCAGCTACTCGGGAGGCTGAGACACGAGAATCTCTGGAACCTGAGAGGCAAAGGTTGCAGTGAGACGAGATTGTGCCATTGCCGTCCAGCCTGGGCAACAGAGCAAGACTCTGTCTAAAAATGCAAAAACAGAAAACTTCAGTGCATTTAGAAGCAGTTGCCTTGTGTTTTGAGGACGGTGGACAACAGTTATGGAAAGGAATGTTCCTGGGGGCCTGAACAGTATCAGTAGTGAGAGTGGATGTTTAGGGATTTGGGTCATGCCCTGCCAGCACTGAGGACTAGATTCCAAGTGACAGAGGCATTCTTATTTTCTTTAATACATTTGCTGTTTACTTTTGTGCTTGTGATATGTAGAATCCTCTAAAGCAGTTTGCAAAATATGGCTCTTGGACCAAATCCAGCCTGTGACCTCTTTTCCTTTAATGGCCCATGAACTAAGAATGCTTTTAAAGGTTGTTTTACAAAAAGATCGTGCATCAGAAACTACATGTGGCCTACAAATTCTAAAATATTTACTATCTGGCCTTTTACGGAAAAAGTTTGCCAATCGTTGCTCTGAAACAGAGGGCCCAGGTCTAAGGGAGCCATCTTCACCCACACTGCCCCCAAGTGTCCAACACAGTGTGTCACAAACCTGGGGTCTTAGCTGTGGTATTTTAGCTCCCTCTGCTGGGCCAATGTTTTTCACCAGTGCTGTAAACACGAGAAAGTTCTTGCTAATTGCAACTTCATCTTATTAATTGATGATTGATTGGTTTTATTCACCGAGTCAGCCTATTGGAAGGGAAGATAGATTCCTCATGTTTCACTAAGTTATACTGATCCACACACATCTCAAGGTTTGAAACCACTGACGGTCAGCCGACCAATTATACAGCACAATACTAGCCACAGATGAAAGTGACAGCAATATGGAACCAACAGGATTATCATTACTCATTGGGATGCAAGAAGTAGTGGAGAGGGAAAAGTGAAAGATGATTCTGTTTTGCGGGAATGGTGGTTGCAGAAAAAGTAGAAAACCGTGGGAAGAAACGGCAAATTCAGTTTTCAACACCTTAGACCAATTTAAACGTCATCCTCCAGTATCATGGTAGTTTGAGCTAACATAGAACCCACAAACATTACCAACACCTGAAAATGCTGGATGAACGGTTATTAAATCCAGAATCAAGTTCAAAACCAAGGAGGAAAACCTTACTTTCTAGAAACAAAGATGGGAATTATAGCCAGGATCATGTGGCTTATGATGGTTAGGTAAAGAATCAGACCCAGATATAGGACCGAAGGCTAGGAGCTTGGGTTGTAATGATCAACTGGGATCTGGAAGAGCACCCACTTCAGTGAGCGTGGGAAATAATAACGCTACCATTCCAGGGAATAAACAAGGAAACTTTTATTCTTCCTAGAGGTCTGTGGGAAGTGTTAGAATATGGAGTTGCATGAAAAATAAGGACTCCAACTCTACAACACGTGAACACATATGGGTGTGGTGGAAAGATTTGCAAGCTCAGAAATTAAAGCTAAAACTGGTCCTGCCAATAAAATACCTGTGGTTCTCACAGAAGAAAATGTACAATTATTCTTTAGGGATATTTCCACATTCTAAAGCACGTAAGACACAGGGAAGAAAAAGAATGCCCCTGAAGAAGAGTTCACAGACATAAATTTTGTCATTTCACACCAGGTAATAATGTATTATGAGAGAGAATCAGTAGAATCCAGAGCTAATAGAACAATTTAAAAGATAATAGTAAATCAATATGTTTAAAATAATTAAAGAGACTCAAGAAGCAATAGAAACCATAATCTAGAAGATAAAATGAAACAAGAACAAGGAAATTTGAACATAGAACCAAATAGAAGTTTAGTAATAAAAACAAATAAAGTCACTGCAATTAAAAAATGCATTTAATGAGTTAAACAGCATTTAGACACAGCTAAAGAGATATTCATGAATTGAAAGATTATCTAAGGAAATAATCCAGAATGCAGCACTGAGAGATAAAAAGATGGGAAATGTGAAATAGAGGATGAGAAATATGAAACAGAAGTTAAGAAATGTGAAGCTAGACTGAGAAGTCCAGCATGTTTCTAACAGGAATTCCTGAAAGTGATAATGAGAAAATGGAAAAGTGATAGTATTAGAAGTGATATAATGGCTAATACTATTTTGGAACAGATAAATATGAATATTCAGATTTTAAAAGCACATGTAGTCCCAAGTGTAATAAACAATTAAGTCTACAATTAGATATATCATAATGAAACTGCAATACAAATACAAAGAGAAAAATCTTAAAAGTAATAAGACAGAAAAAAATGCCTACAAAAGAATAGCAATTGGACAGTTAGCAGCCTTCTCACTAGCAACGGTAGAGGCTGGAAGACAATGGAATATTTTCAAAATGCTAAGAGAAAATATTATCATCCTAGAATTCTATCCCACTGTAGAACCCCACATCAGGCAACACTGATAGCAAAATAAAGACATTTTCAGGTAAACGAAGACTAAGAGTTTATCAGTCACAGACCCTTATTAAAATAATTATTAAAAGCTAAACTTCAGGAAAAAGGAAATGGAATCTCGAATGAAAGAGTGGTGGAAAAGAAGCTATAAGTGAGCAGAGGAACATATGGGTAGAAAACATAGGTGGGTTAGTCAGCTTGGGCTGCCACAACAAAATACTATAGCTGGGTGCAGTGCCTGTATATGTCTGTAGTCCCAGCTACTTCATAGGCTAAGGCCAGAAGATTGCTTGAGTCCAGGAGTTCGAGACCAGCCTGGGCAACATAGTGAGACCCTGTCTTTACAAAACAAAAACAAAAACCAACCATAGACTGGGTGGCTTGAACAACTGAAATTTATTTTTTCACAGTACTGGAGGCTGGAAGTCTGAGATCTGGATGCCAGCATGGTCAGCTTCTGAGGGGTGCTCCTTTCCTGGCTTGCAGATGGCCACCTTCTAGCTGTGTCCTCACAAAGACTTTCCTTGGTACATGCAGAGAGAGAGAGGAGAGAAGACAGAGAAAAATCTCTTCTCTTTATAAGGGTACTAAGCCCATCAAAGGGGCTTTTCCCTTATGTATTAGTCTGTTTTCATGCTGCTGATAAAGACATACCCAAGACTGGGTAATTTATCAAGAAAAAGAAGTTTAATGGACCAAACAGTTCCAGGTGGCTGGGGAAGCCTCACAATCATGGCGGAAGGTGAACGGCACGTCTTACATGGCAGCAGGCAAGAGAGAATGAGAGCTAAGTGAAAGGGGAAACCCCTTATAAAATCATCAGCTCTTGTGAGACTTATTTACTACCATGAGAACAGTATGGGGGAAACCACCCCCATGATTCGGTTCTCCCACTAGGTCCCTCCCACAACATGTGAGAATTATAGAAGCTATAATTCAAGATGAGATTTGGGTGGGGACACAGCCAAACCATATCACTTTATGACCTCATCTAAACCTAGTTTCTTCCCAAAGGCTCCATCTTCAAACACCATCATATGAATTTTGAGGGAACACAAACGTTTACTTCACAGTACTAGGTAAATCCAAATAAGCACTAATTGTAGGAAAATATAATAAAAACAATAATGAGCAATGGCAGTGGAAAAATAAACAAATATTTGACAACAATAGCAGAATGGTGGTAGAAGTTCAAGTTTTCTAAGGTCACTGTACTATTTGATGGGAGACTAGACATTTTATTTACCCATGGGCAGTGTTAAGTGAACAATTCACATTAAAAAGTTGTGAGCAACTTCTAAAAGAATAAAATAACAAGTCGAACATCCAAACAGTAAAATAAAATGGGGAAATAAAGCAAACTTAATCCAGCAGATAAGTTGGCAAATTGCAGCCCAGGAGCCAGATCTGGCCCATCACCTCCTTTAGAGCAGACAGCCCACGACCAAGCATGGTTTTACATTTTAAGTGGTTAAAAAAATCAAAAGAAGAACATTTCATGACACATCAGAATTATCTGAAATTCAAATGTCAGTGTCTATAAGTGAAGTTTTATTGGAACACAGCTACACTCATTTCTTCACATCTTGTCTGGAAAAGTTGTGACAGAGCCCGTATGGGCATAAAGCTGAAAATATTCACTTTTTTGGTCCTTTACAGAAAAAGTTTGCATAGCCGGGCGTGGTGACTCACGCCTGCAATCCCAGCACTTTGGGAGGCCCAGGCGGGCAGATCACGAGGTCAGGAGTTCAAGACCAGCCTGACCAACATAGTGAAACCCTGTCTCTACTAAAAATAAAAAAAAAAATTAGCCGGGCATGGTGGCGCGCACCTGTCATCCCAGTTATTCAGGGGGCTGAGGCAGGAGAATCGCTTGAACCCGGGAGGCGGAGGTTGCAGTGAGCTGAGATCGTGCCACTGCGCTTCATCCTGGGTGACAGAGTGAGATTCCGTCAAAACAAACAAACAAAACAAAACCAAACAAAACAAAGAAACCCAGAAAGTTTCCCGACCTCTGCAATAGAAACTAGGAAAACAGAAAAATGCTGCAGCAAGATGTTCAATACACGACCGAGTGTGCTAGTGTTGGGAGTCGCCAACATCATCATCATTGTGACTACAATCAATAATTAATTTTGAAGCCTATTTCCTGAAAAGCTTTGTTCAGCGAAAAAGTCCAACACGCAGTTGGAAATACAGACTGGAGGGAGGAGGGAAATCAGAGTTCTCCTTCTCTCAGTTCCTTTGGGGTCCAGCTTTGCCCCTGCACTGCCTAAGAACCGCCTAGGGGTCACCAGATTTCACCATGGGCTGCAGCATCCAGAACTGTCACGGTGGCCTGGGCCGCGCCTAGGGGCTGCAGCCTCCGGGACTGTTACGGTGGCCTGGGCCGCGCTGAGGCCCACAGTCCTGAGCACTTCTCCCCTTCGGCTGCAGGGTGCTATCATGGTCACTTCCTGTGTCCGGATGCTGGTGGGCTTCTCAGGCCTGACTGGCTTTCTCATGGGTTTCATCTGCTCCTTGGCCGTTGCTCCAACTAACTGCCTAGTGGCCCTGCCCCTCTTGGATTCTGCAGGCAATAATGCCGGGATCCAGTGGGGGATTTCTGCCATGTAAGTGCTCCCTGGGGAGGGAGTGCCATGTACGTTCTCTTTGGTGGAGAGTCACCCAGAAAGAATAATGGAGGGCCTGGATATTGGTAAACTCTTGTGGTTTACAAAGACTTTCATGAATGTTATCAAACCTTAAAAAGCATCAAAGTTGTTACCCATAATTCATCGTGACTGCTCATTATTATTATCCTATTTGTATTCACAATGAGGCGGAGGTTTCAGCGAGGAGAGATTGCGCCACTGCGCTCCAGCCTGGGCAACAAGAACAAAACTCCATCTCAAAAAAAAAAAAAAATAGAAAAGAAAGGAAAACAGATTCACAGGTGTTGGGAAAAGCTGAGTGTTGGGAGAAGCTGAGGCAGGGCTTGCATGTCTGACATAATGTAAAAGAGTCTCGGAACATGTCCGGGGTCCAGGGCCTAAAACCCCTTGTGGCCTTTGGAACACCAAGCTCTGTGCTAAATGGTGGAAGGCTGCCCTGCCGCACCATAATCTAATCCTAGGGCATAAAATCCCTCATGGCTTGGATAGAATCCAGGGCTTGTGGCTCTAGAATGTGTCTAGACTTGCTGGCTCCTTGATCTCCCAGGATCAATTGTATCTTGAGTTAAAAGAACCTGCTCTCCATTATCTCAAGTAGCAGAGCAAATGCTAAACCATCACAGCTGTAAATCATGGGCTTAATACAATGTGCCCTTTCAACCTCCACATTCTCACCACCTGTTTCTTTGTTGCATTACCAATAAATAGCATGGGCTCCCCAGAGCTCGGGGCCTTCACAGCTTCCACAATTGCGATAGCCCCTTGGTCCCACTTGTCTCTCTCAAACTGTCTTTTCTCAATCTTTTGACTCCGCCAGACTTTGTCGCCCTCATGACCTGGTGTTGGATCTGATCACCCCAACAACAGGTTTGGGGAGAAGGGCGCGGGCCTCTGTAAGGGGCTATGATTTTGTCTTCCACATCTGGCCTTCTTTGCTTGTGGTGATTCCACAGGCAGAAATTCAATACTGGCCCTGGCAGAGCTCTTTGGTGGCTTTCTGAAGTGTAGTGGGGAGTTTCATTACCTCCGACCCAGCCCTGCATCTGAGCTCCAACCCTGAATATTCACGTGTGTCCCAACCATCCCTGCCTGATGTCCTAAGGGCACCTCACCCTCAGTGGCCTCTGTGAAGCTCAGCCCGTGCCCCCTTCCTGACTTCTGCGATCCTTGTCTTACTGGGCCCACCCAGTCACCCACATTATCTGTAGCTTCTTGCTGTTCTGCACCCTCACTGGGGGGTTCTATTTTCTCAACACCCCCACTTGCTTCCTGTCCTCTTTTCTCCATTTCCGGGCCCATGGCTTCATCATTGCACTTGGACGTGCAGTGACCTCTTACATTCTTTCTTTCCAGAATCTTGCCCATGTCATTCTACCACCTGGCTACCCAAGGATCTTTCTAGAACCTAATTCTGATGAGATTAGTCTCTGCTTAAAATCTCTTCATGGCTCTCCATTTTTTCACAGGAAAGCTCCATAAGGTCAGCAGGAATTCTTCAGGATGGAGCTTTCTAAGGTGACATGGAAATGATGGTGTCTAATCACATTGCTTTCCACGTATCTCAGTGGACCTCTGCAGTTCCCAGCACAAGTCCTGTGAGCTTTGGAACAATACAGACCCTCCCTGCTGCCCACACTCCACCTTGCATTTTCTTTTTTCTTTCATTATTATTATTATTTTTGAGATGGAGTTTCCCTCTGTTCCCCAGGCTAGAGTGCAGTGGCACGATCCTGGCTCACTGCAACTTCCGCCTCCCAGATTCAAGTGATTCTCCTGCCTCAGCCTCCTGAGTAGCTGGGATTACAGGTGTCCACCACCACGCCTGAAAGATTTTTGTATTTTTAGTAGAGATGGGGTTTCACCATGTTGTCCAGGCTGGTCTCAAACTCCTGACCTCAGGTGATCCACCCACCTCGGCCTCCCAAAGAGCTGGGATTACAGGTGTGAGCCACCGTGCCCCCCTTGCATTTTCTCATAGCTCCATCAGTGGTTCTGACATGCAGCTTGGTAGCATCGTGTCTTTCTATTATCAGATCTGCCCACCTCTGTCCTCCTGCATGCCTCTGGCACACAGCTATAGTTGATATGTGAGCAAATAGCTGAGCCAGCATCTACCCCAAAAGCAGATTCTACATTCTGTGACATCATGGACTCTTTGATACTTGTCCAAGGTTTCAAAGCCTTTAGCGCAGGCGAGGGGAACGTTTTCCACAGGAGGACCACTGAACCACGCTGAAACATAGCTGGAGAGGAACAAATAAGTATAAAGCAGCAAATATTTTTTTTCCTGCTAAAGGGAGTGCATTTCATGCAGAACATAAAACTATATTCAATATACAGAACAAACATTTATTTGATGTATTATCTCTAAAATAAGGCCCTTAAAGGAGAGGAAAGAAAGAAAGATACATAGACACAGCAGGCTACGAATCAATTAGAAGGCTTAGATTAACCCTGAAAGAGGCACCAGTGCAAAGACCACTTCATTTATGGAATCACACCTCCCCCTCGTGGCCTTTTAAGGTATTGCTTCGTGTTGCGTCTTCGCAAGGATGAGCTCTGGCCATTTGGTTCTCCACGTGAGTAGGGGGACGTCAGGCCCAAGACCAGAGATCTCCTGCCACTTCTCTAGGGTACCACAGCTCCCTGCCCAAAAGTCAGTTCTGAGGCCAGAAGAGGCCCAGGGCTGCATGAGAAGTGGAATTGGCGGGTGACTGCAATCTTTATGAGACCATCCGCAGATCCAAAGGGCGTTGGTTGATCCTCACAAATTGTTCCCATAGTTAATTGTTAGGATTGTAAACAAAACAAAACAAAATGTTCTTTTGATGTGGTAAGAATTTTTTTTTTCTTTTAATCTGAGATGGAGTCTCACTTTTGCCACCCAGGTGGGAGTACGGTGGCGCTATCTTGGCTCACTGCAATCTCTGCCTCTTGGGTTGAAGCGATTCTCCTGCCTCAGCCTCCAAGTAGCTGGGAATACAGGCGTGTGCCACCACACCTAGCTAATTTTTGTATTTTTAGTAGAGATGGGGTTTCACCATGTTGGCCAGGCTGGTCTCGAACTCCTGAGCTCAGGCAATCCGTCTGCCTTGGCCTCCCAAAGTGCTGGGATTATAGGAGTGAGTCACCTTGCCCGGCTTAGAGTTTTTTTTTTTAATTTAATTGCCATAAAAGACATATAATATAAAACTTACCATCATAACCGTGTTAAAGTGTACAGCTCAGTACTGTCAAGTATGTTCACATTGTTGTACAACAGATCTCCAGAACTTTTCCATCTCACAAAGTTGAAACTGTATTAGAATGTCTTTGCAGGGGTCCCCAACGCCTAGGCTGCAGAGCAGTACTGGTCTGTGGCCTGTTAGAAACTGGGCTGCACAGCAGAAGGTGAGTGGTGGGTAAGCCAGCATGACCTCCTGAGCTCCACCTCCTGTCAGATCAGCGGCAGCATTTGATTCTCACAGGAGCGTGAACCCTTTTGTGAACTGCACATGCAAGGGATCTAGGTTACCTGCTCCTTATGAGAATCTAATGCCTGATGATCTGAGGTGGAACAGTTTCATCCTGAAACCATCCCCCACCCCAACCAGTCTGTGGAAAAATTGTCTTCCATGAAACCTGTCCCTGGTGCCAAAAAGGTTGGGGACCACTGTTTTAAATGCTGGGAGTAGACACAAATGGATGAGAAACAGATTCAAGAACTATCTAAATCATCTACTGTGGCCTGGCACTGTGGCTTACACCTGTAATCCCAGCACTTTGGGAGGCTGGGGCAGGAGGATTGCTTGAGGCTGAGCCCAGGAGTTCAAGACCAGCATGGGACCTTATCTCTACAATTTTTGTTTTTAATTAGCCAGGCATGGTGGTACATGCCTATAGTCCCAGCTACTCAGGAGGCTTAGGCAGGAGGATCACTTGAGCACTGGAGGTAGAGGCTGCAGTGAGCCATGATCATGTCTCTGCACTCCAGTCTGGATGACAGAGTGCGATCTTGCCTCAAAAAAAAAAAAAAAATCCATTGACAATAGAGTCATGATAAGATATTCAAACAAGAACATTTACAAATAGCCCTAACTTTGGAGAATGATACCAAGTGTCTTAAAGTCAGGAGTCTTTTTTTAAGACTTAAAATTTTAGAGCCACTGCACTCCAGCCTGGGCAACAGAGTGGGACTCCGTCTCAAAATAAATAAGTAAACAATAATAATAATAATGAAACATTTTACAGAGGGAGCTTTAGAAATGCAAATCTCATTATGTCACTAACTTGCTTAAAACTCCTCTACCAAGGGTTTCTCTCATCTTTGGATTTTTTATTTTTAATACACATAACATAAAATTTACCATCTTAACCATGTCTGAGTGTACAGTTGGGAAGTGTTAAGTACATGTATATTATTATGCAACCATCATCACCATATATCTTGTAAACTCTTTTCATCTTGAAAAATTAGAACTCTGTCCCCATTAAACAACAAGTTCCCATTTCTCCCTCCTCTGGCTTCTAGCAACCACCATTCTCCTTTTGGTGAATTTAACTACTATGGGTACCTCATATGAGTAGAACCTTACAGGATTTGTCTTTTTATGACTGGCTCATTTCACTCAGCGTAATGTCTTCAAGGTTCATCCATGCTGTAATGTGTACTAGAATTTCCCTCCTTTTTCTAGGCCGAATAATATTCCATGGTAGGAGTATGCCATGTTTTGCTTATGCCTTCCCTTTGGATTTTATTCTGACTCTTTTCCATGGCCCCCAAGGCCCTGCAGGACATCCCATCTCCTCCCCCTCTCCCTGTGTCACTGGGCCCCAGGCACGATGATTTTCCTTTTGCTCTCAAACCACCCAAGCTCCTCCCACCACAGAGTCTGCATTTGCTGTTTCCTCTCTAGAATTCTCTTCTACCAAATCTTCATGTCCGTGACTCCTTCTCTTCCTTTGGGTCTCAGCCAAACTCTCACCTCCTGGGCAGGCCTTTTCTGATTGCCCTCCAAAGAGCCTCCCATCCCAGCCACCCCCTGCCCTGTGACTTCATTATGGAAGACTGATTGCTATCAGAAATTGTCTTCCTTCTTTATTAGCCTGGCTGTTTGGTATCTGTCTCTTCCGAAGATAATAGTACCTCCATTGACAAAGTCACAGGCAACATGGATATGGAATAGATATGGTGTAAATCAAGCACCCTGTCTGTGAACTCATAATGCTGTTTACAAAACCCGGGGGGCTGGGTGCAGTGGCTCATGCCTGTAATCGCAGCACTTTGGGAGGCTGAGGTGGGCTGATCACGTGCGACCAGGAGTTCGAGACCAGCCTGGCCAACATGGTGAAACCCCATCTCTACTAAAAATACAAAAATTAGCCGGGCATGGTGGCACGTGACTGTCATCCCAGGTGCTCGGGAGGCTAAGGCATGAGTATCCCTTGAACCTGGGTGGTGGAGGTTGCAGTGAGCCAAGATGGTACCACTGCACTCCAGCCTGGGTGACAGATCAAGACTCTATCTCTGGAAAAGAAAAGAAAAGAAAAAAAAAAAAAAACCTCAGGGTACTAATTGCCAGGCTGGACACAGGAGACCTGGTGTTATGCAAGCGTGACTACCCTGTGGCCTTGGGCCCCTTGCTCCCTCTCTTTGGGCTTTGATTTTCTCTTCTGTAAAATGAGAGGTTTGAACAAGGCACCCTCCAGGTTTCCGTCCTGCTCTGGCCCTCTATGATATATTAAACATGTGCATATCAGGTGCGTATGGCCACAGGAGTGTTGTGGTCAAGGTGCGGCTACAGGAGGCAAAATGAGCGAGATTCCTGTCTTTGGGGAATAGATCTGGTGGGGAAATAGAAACACATGATCTGAGTGGATAACAGCACGGGCCGCCCGCAGAGACGTAGCATCATACACGAGAACTTTACACCTCTATCCCTTGCAAAAAACCTCTGCCCTTTATTGAGCACCGACTATGCTCAGTGCTTACTATTGTAAGCACTTCACCTACGTGACAGGACTTAGCCTTGTGAAGTAGGTGTTATCAATCCCCTGTGGCTCACGTGGAGGCTGACATTCGGAGAGATTAGGTAACGCACCCAAAGTCACAGAGCTAGTTAGAGGCGGAGCTGGGATTGGCTTTCAAACCTCCATTCTGAAGCGCTGGGCCGCTCTTCCTTGGTGAGCTTTCCCTGGCCTTGCTGTCCAGGCTTCCTGGGAGGGAAGCATCAGAGCCAGGACCTGAAGACATGAGAGAAGACAGAAGTGATGAGGTGAGGGCACAGGCCGTGTGCCCAGCGTACACCTTCATCCTTTCCCAAGCCCCGTTTGGGAGCAGAGGGAGTGGTATGGGATGAGGTGGTGCTGCTCCTGCAGTGGGCAGAGGCCTCCGGGGGCGCCTGGCCTGGCTGGTGCTCCTCACTCTCTGTCCCTGGCTGCTGCAGGTGGGGAGTAGGGCAGTGATTGTCACCGCGGGCCGTGTGCTGCTCCTGATGGGCGCATTTGGGAAGATCAGGGCTGCGTTTGCCACCATCCCCACCCCGTGATCGGAGGCATGTCCCCACCCCCGTGATCGGAGGCATGACCCTGTTTGGGGTCATCACTGCCGTGGGGATCTCCAATCTGCAGGTGAGGCGAGCGAGGTGCTCTTGGGAAGGCAGCAGCAGTGCCTCTCCTGAGAGGAGCTGGTGGGACTGAGATGGATGGGACTGAGATGGATGGGGCTGGGGCAGGGGAGGAGGAGAAGTCAGTCCTGGGTCCCAGATACCACACTGGCCCCTAAATGGAGCAAAGAAACAGCCAGAAGCATCCAGACCTCTGCAAACCAGCAGTGAAGGTGCTGATGGCCCCGCCTGCCTCTAGGTCCTGTCTCCCGCAGTACGTGGAGATGAACTTGTCCAGGAGCCTCTTCGCCTTTGGCTTCTCCATCTACTGTGGGCTCACCATTCCCAACCGGGTGAGCAAAAACCCCGAGATGCTCCAGACAGGTGACTGTTCCCTGCCCTCTTGACTGTCTCTGCTCCAGGGGCAGAGCCAGCGCAGCCCCCGGTCCCCATGGATGTGTCGCTTTTGTCTCCACTCCAGGGGTTCTCCAGCCGGCCCAGGTTGTTCAGATGCTGCTGACCATGGGCATGTTCATCAGTGGATTTCTGGGTTTTCTTCTAGACAACACCATCCCCGGTAGGACTCACCTCGCTCCTGAGGTAGGGCAGGGTAGGGCAGGCCTGAGGTAGGGCAGGGGTAAACATGGGGCCACTGGCTCTAAGGTGACAAGACCGGCTCTCTTCTTCTCTAAAGAGGCAGAGGGTCCTGCTGGCCTCTCCATCCCCTCCCCCTCTGGGCCCACTCCACCAGGCTGGTGTTCGGGAGCAGTAAGGGGCACCCCCACTCCTTCTGCCCCTCCTCTACATCCCTGCCGCTCCAGCCTCATCCAGCTCAGGGAACTGTGGCCCAGTGTTGTCTACCCAAGCAGAAGGAAAGCTGAACACATAGCCAGCAGTCCTCTGTGGTGTCACCACACACTGCTGTCCCCTGCTCTGTCCACACATGTCCCTTGGCCCTGCCTTCCCACTGCTCTTCAGCCTCCCCTTCAGGAGTCATGGGGTGGGGACTGAAGAGCCCTTCCAGGTAGACAAGGGGGTAGCGGGCCAAGGAGGCTAAGTCCAGGTGTGGCAGGACCGGATGTAGCCTGCTCAGACTCTAGACTACTTGTCTACCAGAGTAGACTGCAGGCTGCTGGGAAGTTGAGCTCACCATTGCTTTGGGCTTCTCCAGAATCTTCCATTGTTTCTGTAGGGGACTCAATCTGGATTTCTTTTTTTTTTTTTTTTTTTTTTGAGACAGGGTCTCACTCTGTCACCCAGGTTGGGGTGCAGTGATATGACCACAGCTCACTGCAGCCTCAGCCTCCCAGGCTCACTGACTAATTTTTGATGGACTCTGGGTCCTACTAGCAAGAAAAAATATCCATGCCCTCCTTCAACACCTCCTCTCCCACCAGGAGCTCTCTCCTGGCTTGGCCAAACCCTCTCCTTGGGGAAAAAGAGGGGGAGACATGTTGCTGTGGGGATGGGGGAAGGGGGAACATCTGCAATTGTTCCAGGAGCCCCTTCTAGCAGGGGCTCCTCTGCCCTCCATACTGGCCATTCACCCATTGCTGCTTGGCATTGGGTGGGGAAGTCAGTCCCTGTAACCTACTTTCCAAGGCTTGGTGATTTTCCGTCTCCCATCAGAATGGGCGGGAAGGGTGTGTGTGCTCGGAGAGGGGCAAGTGCGTGTATTCTTGTGTGTTAGCAGTGGGGGCCCACCAAGTGCAATGTCTGTAACTAAGCGGATCTAAAAGCTGCGCATCCCGGCTCTCAGGGAGGGAACACATCAGGAGTGCGGACCCCATGGAGATGGGTGTGTATGGGGAGGCAGGGCTATGAAGGGCACAGATGCTCTCACTGTGGTCTCAGACTTCTTCCTTTCCCTCCAGAGCTCCTTCAATAAAACCTTCAAATAGCCTTTCATGCCGAGTGACCTTGGAAATGGGAGGGGTCACCAGGTGGGGAGGAGGGGCTTACGACCTGGCTTTGGGATATGCTATGGGAGCATTTCTCCAGGTGGGAAAGTAAATCAGCGGGATTTCTTAAGGGAGGCGTCCTGAGACCGTGAGCCAGAGTTGGGAACGCACAGTGAGATCCACGTGATGCCAGATTCCCTTCAGTTCTGCAGGGTGGTGGTAACAGGAGCCAAAGGGGAGGAATTGACAAGGAAGAGGGAGATGACTTCGGCGTGTGCAGTTTCAAGCACACACATGCAGGGATGTTTATTCCGACCCTCTGTGTTGGGTGATGGGTTCAGAGTGGCCAACCCTGAAGACCAGTCCTGGGGTGCATTGGACCAATGCCCTGATGTCCCCACCACTGACTGTCAGGCACCTCAGTGAGAAGGGCAGACATTTTTTGTCTCCTGGAACAATTCTAGTTGCTGTCCTTCCGGAGACAGTGGACCCAGGAGGAAGGAGGAGTGTCACTGAGCATGAGGAATTTCAGTCTTTAAGGGGGCGAGAAGTGAAGCAGGGGAAGGAGTGTGATACAGCTGAATTCTAGAATATGATGGAGCAGAGTGATAATAATACTTCTAAGAACAATCCTGAATGATGCCCAGTGAGTGAATTTGCCCAGCGAGTCCTAGATCCTGGAATATTATAGGAGTAGTCATGCCTGCGTGCTTGGGAGTTGAGTGAGAAGTAAATAAAAGGAAACAGGAGCATGACAGATAATATCCCCAAAGATGATCCAGGCTGAAAATACCTTTAAAAACTTTGACTCACAGATGGATCCTAAAGGAAAGGGAGGATCTTGCAGGTCCTTGAAGCCTGGCATCCCTGTGACCTGGCAGGCTCTTGTAGAGTGCTGTACCTGCGGCACCCCCAGCTCTGCCCCAGCACAGCCATCAGAAGATGGTCACAGCCTCTAAATTCTCTGCTGAGCCACACAAGAGATCTCTGCATAATTAGTCAGAGTCCTTTTGGCTGCAAATGAGAAAAGTTTAACTAAAAAAATGGGAAGTGGGTGGGATTTGTTGGTTCTTGCAGCTGGGAAGGAAGGAAACTGGGAGAGGTAGAAGAACTAGGGCCTGAAGGATAAGAACCTAGGCTTCTCTCCTGCCTGTCTCTCTCTGCCTCCCTTTGCTGCTTCTCCTTGCTTGCTGACCTCATCCTCTCCTGCTGCAGCTGAGGATGATGCCCTCCTAGCCTTCCACTGTCATTGCAAAGGCAAAAGAAAAACACAGCCTTCCATTGGCTCTACCAGAAACATCCCAGGGAGGACAATGGTAGGTCAGAGTATTCTATGCAAGGAAGTTTTGTAAGTGCCGGGCTTGAAGACTTTATCTTTCTTGTCCCTGTCATCATTTCCTATGGCTGCTGTAACAAATGACCACAAACTGCGTGTCTTGAAAGAATACAAATGTATACATTCCTGGAAGAAATGCAGCTCAGAGGTCTAAAGTGAGTCTTACAGGGGCACCAAGGTGTGGGCAGGGCTGCTTCCTCCTGGAGGTTGTAGGGGACAATCCATTTCCCAGACTTTTCCAGTGTCTAGAGTCTAGAAGGGGCCCGCATTCCTTGGCTTGTGGCCCCTTCCCCGTCTTAAAAGCACAATACTCCCACCTCTGCTTCCCTTGTCCCATCTTCTGTTTCCTTTGACCTGTGTGCCTCTCTTTTATAAGGACACTTTGATTACATTTGGAACCCACACAGTTAACTTAGGATAATCGCCCCATCTCAAGATCCTTAATGTAGTGATTAATATATCTGCAAAAGTCCCTTTGCCATAGAAGGGACTTTGCCATAGAAGGTGACATTCACAGGTTTTGGTGTTTAGGACATAAATATCTCTGGGGGCCATTATTCAGCCTACTACAGTCCTTAATTAAAAATCTTATACAGGGCAAGGCACTGTGGCTCATGCCTGTAATCCCAGCACTTTGGGAAGCCATGGCAGGAAGATTGCTTGAGCTCAGGAGTTGGAGAGAAGTCCTGCCAACCTAGCAAGACCTCATCTCTACAAAGAATACAAAAATTAGCCGGGCATAGTGGTGTGTACTTGTAATCCCAGCTACTCAGGACACTGAGGCAGGAGGATCACTTGAGCCCGGGAGGTCAAGGTTGCAGTGAGCCATGGTCATACCACTGCACTCCAGCCTGGGTGACAGAGCAAGACCTTACCTCAAAAATAAAAATAAAAATAAAAATAAAAAATCCTATACAGTAGCCTCCCCTTATCCTTAGTTTCTCATTCCCTGGTTTAAGTTACCTGCAGTCAACTGAGATACAAAAATATTAAATACAAAATGCCAGAAATAAATAATATGTAAGTTTTAAATTGAGTAGCCTGATGAAATCTCTCACCATCCTGTTCTTTCCCACCCAAGACTCGAATCATTTCTTGGTCTAGCATCTCCATGCTGTGGAGGATACCCGCCCCCTTAGTAGCTGTCTTGGTGATCAGATTGACCGTCGAGGCACTGCAGTGCTTGTCCTCAGGTAACCCTTGAAAATATTACGATATTGTTATAATTGTTGCATTTTATTGCTGGGTATCTTGTTATTAGGGATGCCTAATTCATAAACTTTGTCATAGGTATGTATGTATAGGAAAAAACATAGTCTATATAGGGGTTTGGTACTATCCTTGATTTCAGGCATCTGCTGGGGGTCTTGGAATGTGGTCCCCAAGGATAAGGGGGAACTACTGTATTGGTTACTGTCTTAGTCTGTTTGGGCTGCTATAATAAAATACACTAAAAACTGAGTGGCTTAACAGAAATTTATTTCTTATGGTTCTGGAGGCTGTGAAGTCCAAGATCAAGGAAGGCACTGAGAGATCTGGTGAGAGTCTACTTCCTCACAGATTGCCACCTTCTCATTGTAACCTCACAAGGTGAGGGGGAGGAGGATCACTCTGGGGCCTTGATTGTAAGGGCACTAATTCCATTCACGTGGGCTCTGCCCATGACCTAATCACCTCTCAAAGACCCCCACCTCCTAATACCATCAGAGTTAGGATTTTAACATACAAATTTTGGGTGGACACAAATATTCAGATCATAGCATTTCCTTTATAGTATGGCAGCTCTTCCTTAAGAAAACAAGCCTGAAGATTTTCTACACTTTGGGAAATTGGTGGGCACAGAGATCAAAGCCTGGTTACATGGTCACTTTCACACTTTTATTAATTTACTATTTTTTTAAATAGAGAGATGGGGTCTTGCTATGTTGCCTAGGCTGGTCTCCAACTCCTGGGATCAAGCTACGCTCCTTCCCCTCCTAAAGTGTTGGGATTATAGGCATGAGCCACCATGCCCAGCCTTCAAAAAAAATTTTTTTTTAAATTTTAACTTCACATTTTTAAACACACTGCCCAGAGTCCACAGTACTCTTGCTTTTATGGAAGATATCTTCCTTATGTATACACTTAGTTGACGAAAAGTCATGTATTTTTTTTCACCGCTTGCTAGTGAAGTTTCTAAACAAATTCTGCTCTTTTGAAGAAGTTTTTCTTTCCTATTTTATGTTGATTACATAATGTATCCAATTTGTTCTTAGGAGACATTTTGCAGTCTTAGCCCATGCAAAAATCGACAATTATTTTTATGTAATCTGTGGTAAGCCATTCCTCTACACATTTTTCTTTTTGTTACATAGTTAGATAACATATTTATGTGAAATGTAACCTTTGCAAAACTCTACTGGAAGCTGACTAACAAAACTAGTACTTTACTTCAGGATAGTGAGGAATGGGGAAGAACTTTAATTCCAGATCCTACAGGACATCTCTACTGTGCTTTTGCTTTGAACCTCACACCATTGGATTTTCTACCTATGCACCTTTTTGTTGTTGGCATCTACAGACCAACCCTCCTTCTCTGAGGATGTTAGTGTGTTGGTCACTGTTCCTGTCTCCAAAATTCTTGTCTTCATAGTTGGAGACTTCATATCCACAGAGCTCATCCTTCCCACACCTTGGCTTCTAGTTCCTTGAGCTCCATGATCTGGCCCTTTTGATAGCAGCAGGAGGCAGACAAATTCCTAGACAGACAGGGGCAGATCCCTGGTGAAGCCTGACCTTCAAACCAAAGACAGCTTAAAGCTTGAAAACCAGGCCTCCAGTTCCAGGTAGAGTCTATGAGCCAGAGTGAGAACTTCCTTGTTTAAGCCTGAAAACTGGGCTGCCAGTTCCAGGTAGAGTCCACAAGCTGGAGTGAGAACTTCCTTGTTACTTTTTTTTTTTTCTTGAGACAGAATCTTGCTCTGTAGTCCAGTCTGGAGCGCAGTGGTGTGATCTCGGCTCATTGCAACCTCTGCCTCCTGGATTCAAGCAATTCTCCTCTCAGCCTCCCAAGTAGCTGGGACTATAGGTGCATGCCACCACACCCGGCTAATTTTTGTATTTTTAGTAGAGACAGCTATGTCACTATGTTGACCAGGCTGGTCTCAAACTCCTGACCTCAGGTGATCCGCCTGCCTCGGCCTCCCAAAGTGCTGGGATTACAGGCATGAGCCACCATGCCTAGCCCCTCGTTACCTTTTAGCCAATCCAATGGTGATTTTTCCAGGCCTGCCCATACACCAATCAGCACACATTCCCCCATTCTGAGCCCATAAAAACCCCAGACTCAGCCACACACTGGGACTACCTGCCTTTGGGTAGGGTCTACTCACTTTTGGTCCTCTCTCCTGTCAAGAGCTGTGTTGTCACTCAATAAAACTCTTCTCTGCCTTGCTCACTCTCTGGTTGTCTGCATAACCTTATTTTTCTTGGATGCAGAACAAGAACCCAGAGCCCACCAAAGGACTGGCGTGAAAGGAGCTGTAGCACTGTATCCGTCCCACCCTCCACTGGCACCGGATGGCTGCCCCACATGACAGGAAGTGTTGGTGTGACCAGACCAGCAGCCCAGGAGCCATGGGCTAGAGTGGGGCATTGGGACCGAATGAGCGGTAACATGAACAAGCTGAAACACATTCCTGCCCAGCCTGCCAAGCTGTGGGCAGTGACACGCTCTTATTTGCCAGACTACAAGAGAAGATCTGTGACCCTTCTGGGGGCCCATACCTTGGGGCTCCCCAAGCCAGAGCTGTGACATGCTGTAACACCCTCTTGCAGCTCCACGGTTGCTGGTGTCTTTGAGTTTTCAGGCACCACGGCGTTCCCCTTGTTGGGATGCCAGTGCCCAAGGTGGAAGCCACTTGAGGCATACCTGGTCCAGCCACAGCCTCACATGGTTCTGACACCTGGAGCTGCCTGCCCTTCTGCAGCAGCTGGTGCACCTGGCTCTGTGGTGTGGCTGGACCCTGTGCTCACTCACACACCTCCCACTACTCCGCGCCTGGCTCACCCATGATGGGAATGGGATCTGGGCCAGTAGTGCAAGCTGAGGACAGCCTGCTGGGCTGAGTAGGCAGAGCCAGCCCAGCAGTTGTGAGCAAAACTTGGTCAGAGGCGCCACTGGTCACAGAAGTTTCTGGCTGGTGAAGTGGCACTGAAAGAATCCTGTGTGACTTTGCTCATCTCAGTTACTCATTCTGTGGCCACATCTCAGACTAGCCTTGGGGATTCCCAGTAGCTGTGCCTGCAATCCTCAATTTCAAGCAGTTGTCTGACCACCACCTCCTATTTTTCCAGCTCACTACTTCTAGTCCCCCAAGTCTAATAACTCTTTAATTGGCCAGGATCTGAATCTACCGTCCTCCCACCTTCCGCTGGTCCCCTCTTCCCTCCTTGAGCAACCTCAATGCCACAGTCAGTCATAATAACCACCTTCTCGCATTTGCAACGCCCTTAGTCTGCTCTCTTCTTTACACTCTCTTGGCAAAACCTGAACGCTGATGAGAAATAACTCTTCACTCTGCACCTGCACTCGTGCAGTTGAGCATCTCTGGGGAAAACATACAGTTGAATGGAGTGGTTTTAGATTCAGACCCTGAACTTCACGGGATCCTCAGTGCCGCCTGGCAGGCAGGAACCCTTTCCCAAGCACACTGCTCTCTCTGCTAAAACTCTTTCCACCTCTGTCTTCTTCTTCTTTTTTTTTTTTTTTTTTTGAACTTCACGGGATCCTCAGTGCCGCCTGGCAGGAAGGAACCCTTTCCCAAGCACAAGGCTCTCTCTGCTAAAACTCTTTCCACCTCTGTCTTCTTCTTCTTCTTTTTTTTTTTTTTTTTTTTTGAGACGCTCACTGTCACTCTGGCTGGAGTGTAGTAGTGCGATTACAGATCACTGCAGTCTTGACCTCTGGGCTCAAGGGATCCTCCTGTCTCAGCCTTCCGTGTAGCTGGGGCTACAGGCATGTGCCACCGCACTCTGCTAATTTTTTAAAAAATACTTTGTGGAGACAGAGTCTTGTCATGTTGCCCAGGCTAGTCTTGAACCGCTCGGCTCGAGCAGTCCTCCAGCCTTGGCTTCCCAAAGTGCTAGGATTACAGACATGAGCCACCATACCCAACCTCAGCTTCTTATTTCAGAGAAATCTGTAAAGGAGTAATCAGATGAGAAACTGTGCAAACACCTGCATGTCTCCACTCCTAGCTTTGGTGCCCCTTGACTCTCCCTCCTGTTGGGTGAATGAGCTGCCTGGCTCCTCCCTGAAGCTGGTTCCTCCCCTTGTGCTCCAGAGCCCATTCCCTGATTTCTATTCAAGGGTTTCACTGCGACAAGTCTCCTATCTTGCATCAAGTTTTCTCTTTCTTTCAGTAACGCATGTCAGCATACACACCTGCTGTTATTTCTGCTATCTTAAAAAAAGATTTTTTTTCTTAAAAAGAGACTTTTGTGAGTGTGTGCCATGGTAGGCTTAAAGTAACAGGGTCCCGCCCATCTAACATGCTGTAATAAATGTGCTGGAGCTGAGGACCTGCGCTTAGCTGCTCCAGGAGTCCTGGATGCCTCTCATACCAGTCAAGAGCAGGCCCATCCTCTTTCCTTACCCTACTGCTTCTGTGCCCACAGAAGCCCTTCACATCCTGTCTCATTCTGCCCTTTGTTCCTTTTCCTTTGGTTGACAGCTCCAGGACTTCAGAACATTCCCTATGTTCTCACCAAACAGCTGCCAGGCAGCCAGGCTCAGTTTTCCAAGTGGGTTTTCCTGTACTTTATTTTCGTATCGTGCTGTCCCCAGGCAGCCAAAGCAGGATGAACAGCAGGAGAAGAGAGCCAGGCCCTCTCCTGGAACAGCCTCCTGGTCTTCCCTCAGCTGTACTTTTTTTTATTGTCAGAACACGTAGTTTCAGAGCTTCAGGAACAAGGCAGCTTTGTGAGAAGCATATGCAAGAAGGGACAGATTTCTGACATTTCCATAAAAGCACAAAGGCTTGTTTTGTTCAGAATCAAGGTTGGAGAAGTAGCTGGTGGATAAGAAGTAATTGACGAGATGGGCTTGGGGTAATTAGCTTGATTCAATTAGCATGAGGTGGAACTGAGTTACCCAAGCTAGATGTCAGCTCAGCCCAGCCACCACCCGCCCACACCATCTGCACTCAATAAGCATTTATCTGTTGGAGCTTTTTCTGCACATTCCAAGGTCGCTATCAGAATCTGAATCCCCTGTTCTGATAATGCAGTGCCTAGAGCCACGGCCTCGCAGCTTCCCTCCTTCACCTCCAATCTTGCTTCTTCCCGCCTCCACTTGACCTCCCATGATCCCCCTCCCAGTCATCACCTAGAGGTGATGCACAGAGTGGCCGACAGAGTGAACTCCAAGGGCTGGCTTCACATTCCTACATCCTAATTCTTTAGAGGCAGGGCTTTTTTGTGACTTTAAACAACAAAATTGTTCCCCATTCATTAACTTATTGGGGATAAAAAGAGTTAGAGGTGAGGTGATCTGAGATTCTTCTATTAAATGGTTTGGGGCTTCAGTTAAATCATTGTTTCTTCATCTGTCAAATGGCAGTAATAACAGAGGCCCAACCTCCACAGGGAGCTGCTATAACAACAACAACATAAAAATCCCCAAGGGGTACCCGTGATGTTGGTTTCATGTGTCAAGCTGGCCAAGCTATAGTATCCAGTTATCTAATCAGGCACTCCTTTAGGGGGTGTTGTGAAGGCATTTTATAGATGTGGTTAACAAACCAGTCCACTTTAAATTAAGAAGATTGCCCTTGCTGATGTGATTGGGGCTCACCATCCATTAGCTGAAGGCCGTAAGAACAGAACTGAGGTTTCTGGGAGGAGACATTCTTTCAAGACTGCACTGCCAACTCCAGCCTGAGTTTCCAGCCTCCTGGAAGCCCTACAGATTTCAGACATGCAGTCCCCACAAACAGATAAACCAATTTCTTAAAATAAATCTCGGTGTCTCTATATCGTATTGGCACTGTTTTTCTGCAGAACTCTGATTGCTACAGTACTGACTGATATAGGAAGATACCTTCCCGATACAAGTCCTTGGTGGGGAGGAAGGGAGATTGAGAACCACGTGAAGGTAGTTTTATGCAATAACTCCATCCCAGGCTATGCCAATACCCAAGGCTGCAGGAGAGAAGCAGAGGGCTGTTGGGCTCACAACCCAGCACAAGGTTGTGGGGGGAAGGGACACCTCCACATCCTGCTGAGGTCCTCTCTGACTAGGGGCTGCTGGCAGGTATGGCTCAAGGAATGAAGTCGCAGCCTTGGACTAAATAGGATCAGGGTGGAGCTTGGTACAAAGAGGGAGGGGCTGGCTAGCACTGGCATACATTGCTTGAGGGCCTACTATGTGCACGCCCCTCTGTAAAGCTGCATTTCTTCTTTCCCACACAGCTGGCTTGGTGAGCCTCTAGGGGTGGCCAACCTGAGCTCCTGCATTCCTGTCTTTCCAGCAGGAGTTCAAGCTGCCCCTGAGCACAAAGGCCCTTCCTGCCCAGCTCCTGGAGAGCCTCCCTCTGCCCACTCGGTGCGGTGATTTGTAAGCTGTGAAGGGCTTGCGAAGCTCCTATCCCTGCACACCCCGGGGGAAGTCCTTGAGTGCGGGCTCATGCATCTCAGGACTGCTTTGGAGTCACACAGGACTGGGTCTGGGTCCTAAGACTTAGCCGGTGTTTCAGACTCTCGCTAGGAGATAACACAGTCCAAGCCTTTGGGAGGGCCTCAGTGCAGGGGAGGGGCTGCTATGATGCCTTGAAAACTGTAAAGAGCCATGCAAGCCCATTCTCCCCGCACACCCTGCATTAGTCTGGGTTCTCCAGAGAAATAGAGCCAATAAGATGTGTATATACGTAGATACAGAGAAAGAGAGAGGTGAAATATTTATTTTAAGGAAGGGACCCATGCAGTTGTGGAGGTGCAAGTCTAAAATCTGCAAGGCGGGCCGGCAGGCTGGGAAGAGCCGCAGTTCAAGTCCAAAGTTGGACTGCTGGCAGGATTCCCTCTTTCTCCCGGGAGGTCGGTCTCTTTCGATTCAGGCCTTTAACCTATAGGAAGCATTCTGAGGATCATCTGCTTTACTGGAAGTCTCCTGACTTAAATGTTAATTTCATTAACAATACCTTCACAGAAACATCTAAAATAATGTTTGACCAAATTCCTGGGTATCACAGACTAGCCAGGTTGACACATAAAATTCACCCTCACCCCCAGTGTCCAAGCCCAGGTACACGTATGCACCCTTTGCCCAGAAGCCTCACCAGAAAGCCCTCGGAACCCTCGGACCTCACTGTAGCTCCTGTTCAGGTGACTTTATTACCAGGAGCAGCAGATGAATCTGGTTCCACCCAGCTGTCCTGTGGCACAGGGTTGAGGTCAGCACTGCCCCTGGCTCTCAGAGTGTGCAGGATGAGCAGGTGGGCTGTGGAACTCTCTAGAACCCATCAGGGCAATGCCCTGTGCCCAGGACATGCTGAAAGTACCTGGTGTTATGTCACCTCCGAGGACAGATCCTGCCTGTCCTCCTTGAAAGGCCCATGGCCTGGGCCCCAGCTGTACTTTCTACCCCCTTAATAGGAGCACAATAGCAGCAGGCCAGCCCTTTGTGCCAAACAGTCCCTAAAGACCAACACGAGGCCGTGCTTCTCTTATACTTTATAATAATCAGAAACTAAAATCATCAAAATGCTTCTGGAACAACCCACTCCAAAGAGTCCTGGAGGCCAAGGCAGGTGCAACCTTAGCTGCCAGCATTCAACCTTGGGAACTGCCCACCTCATTCAGTCCCTCCCCTCGCAGCTCCTCTTCTGCATTACAAATCTTCATCGTCAAAGGTCTCTGTGCACTGCAACATGATCATCTCTTCATCAACGGGAAAGGATGCTTCCTGCAAGACACAGGGTGGAAGAGGGTCACTTTTTATCTGTGGGTCTTGGGCCCGAGGCAGATAGGAAGGCTCCTGCATCTCCGGTGTGCCCAGCCCCCAGACTCTATCCTACGTCTCTTCCGCTGCATTTTCACCTCCAGCTTGGGCCAGGAAGCAAGGGCTCTAAGGGGGGAAGGTCCCATTTCCATTTCACTCAACTCAGCATTCTATGACCTCCAGAAAGGACACAGCAGAACTGGCTTCTTTTTTATCCTGGGGATTTCCAGGTTCCCACAAGAGAGACAGAGGACCTCATAAGGCTTTATCCAAATGCTCATCAATAGAAGACGGTGCACTGCACCACGGTGCTCCCACCAATGAAACACCATGCAGCTCATTTCCAACAAAAATAATGAGACAGCGTGCTCTCTGTGGGATACACTATTTACAAAGGGCAAAGTGCAAAGCAATGTGTACCGTAGGCTACTACTATTTGTGTTTGAAAGAATATATAATATCTGTAGAATATCTTTGGATGAGTGTACAAGAAACTGGTCACTGTAGTTGCCTCTGGGGGAGGGTATGGGGTAGGAAGCAAGGAAGAGAGAGAGACTAAGTGTCCATTGTATATCTTTTGGTAACTTGTAAATTTTATGCCATGTATATGGGTTACCTATTAGGAGATGATATTTTTTTAAGCAGCAGCACTGCAGCTGGTCATGATGGCTCAATGCCTGTAATCCCAGCACTTTGGGAGGCCAAGGCAGGCGGATCACCTGAGGTTAGGAGTTCGAGACCAGCCTGGCCAACATGGCGAAATGCTGTCTCTACTAAAAATACAAAAAAATTAGCTGGGCATGGTGGTGTGCGCCTGTAATCCCAGCTACTCGGGAGGCCATGGCATGAGAATCACTTGAACCTGGGAGGCAGAGGTTGCAGTGATCCAAGATCACACCATGACTACACACCATCCTGGGTGAAAAAAAAAAGCAGCAGCACTGTTTGCTTAGCAAGGGTTTCTCAGTCCCTAAAGGGACACTGTAAACAGTGATCCCAGCCAACACCTCAGGACTCTCCATGACTTCTTCCTCTAAAAATATGTTCCTGAGGCTTTGCTCCTTCTGTCTGTCTCCATCCTAGCAGAAAATGACCCCTGTAACTTGTCAGCCCTGCAGATCAGAGTTGATCCCCATGGAACCAGGTGGCATCCCTGACCCCAGTCAACCATCTAATGAATGTGGGACCTGGTCCCAAGGGTGATATCCTCATAGTGGGGACGACCTCCACAAACTGAGCCTTTCCTGCCCTGGAGAAGCAGTTCCCATTCACCATGCTCTCCTGATAGGGGCAGGGAAATAGGGATCAAGAGTGTCAGGGAGGTGGGACCACAGTCTCCAGGCAAATCTTGTGGGCCCCTTGTTCAGCAGGAAGACAGTGGCAGAGGTTGGGAGGAGAATGCAACTTTTCTGTTTACACCAGAGTCTATCAAAGCCTGAGTCCTCCTGCCCCAGAGCCACTTGGACAGCTCATTCCAAATGCAGATTTCTGGGGCCCGTTCTTGCAGCACTGAGGCATCGGGAATCTAGGAGTGCTGAAGTTTGGCATCTTTGCTTTGTTCTGTTGTTGTTGTTGTCTGGAGAGAGTCTCACTCTGTTGCCCAGGCTGGAGTACAGTGGCTTGATCTCAGCTCACTGTAACCTCTGCCTTGTAGGCTCAAACAATCCTCCCAACTCAGCCTCCTGAGTAGCTGGGACTACAGGCATGTACCACCACACCCAGCTAATTTTTATATTTTTTGTAGTGGTGAGGCTCTGCCATGTTGTCCAGACTGGTCTTGAAATCCTGGGATCAAGTGATCTGCCCACCTCAGCCTCCCAAAGTGCTGGGATTCCAGGTGTGAGCCACTGCACCCGGCCATACCTTTGCTTTGTATGGATACAAGAATCCCTGCTTGTTATCTTTTCTGCCATATATGGAGAAGGAGGGGAGGCAAAGATTGTCCTTTTCGTCTATTCTCAAAGTCTTGATAAAGTGGGCTAATTTAACTGTATCTGAGAGAAAGAGGGGACAACTGGTCCAGGGGACTGTCACCCAAGGATTGGTGGGAAGGGGAGAGCAAACTGCAAGGAAGGGCTCCACATAAGGATTCACTGTGGTCCCAGAAGAAGGAAATGAAGACTTAGTTGGAAAAGGGCAAGTTATACCTTAGCCTATTGAACAGGTGTCTTGACTATTTTTAGACAAACATTTGCTATTATTATAACTTACCTTTTAAATAAACAGTTGTATTATTGCTAAACTAGTAAAGAAAAATCCATGGCTATGAATTTGAAAGGACCTGTCCCCTTGTGGCTCAGGTATAACCCCCCTTCTCTGACAAAAGCTTCCAGGAATGGCCCTCCTAACCAAGAGTCCCACTGCTCATATCACTGTAAGTGGAACAATTTGGAAGCAGACATTAATATCCTTCAAAAGCTGACAGCAAATATTACCGAAGGTGATGAAGACTGTAGAAGATGATGAAATAGCCCAGCGTTTTGGGAAGGTGTCAAAGGTTCACACAACATTTATGAATGCCTGCTGAGAGTCAGGCCCCTGGGATCGGGTTCCTGCTTCAAAGGGCTCCCAGTCAAGGTCTGCCTTAGAGCAGTGGTTCCCAACCTTTATGGCACCAGGGACCAGTTTCACGGAAGACAATTTTCCCACAGACCTGGGGGGCAAGGGTGGTTTCAGGATGAAACTCTTCCACCTCAGATCATCAGGCATTAGTCAGATTCTCATAAGGAGAGAGCAACCTAGACCCCTTGCATGAGCAGTTCATAATAGGGTCTGCACGCCTATGAGAATCTAACGCTGCCACTGATCTGACAGCAGGCAAAGCTCAGGCTGTCATGCTCACCCTCTGCTGTGCAGCTGTGTTCCTAGCAGGCCATAGATCTGTACTGGTCTGTGGCCTAGGAGTTGGGGACCCCTGCCCTAGAGGACACTTCTCTGTCTTTCCTGTTTCCCTGGCTATCTTCCATTCATTCTACAGGATGCATCAGGCTGAAGGTGACCATTCATGGAGCAAGCCAGAGAGAATGGAGAGTGTCCCTGCCCAGTGGCTCCTCATGGTATGATTGGGGTGAGTTCTGGTTAGGGCTGCCCTTAAGAGCCCTTTTTGCTATCTAAGCAAGGTGGGCAGAGGTACCACGGCCCTCTACTCCATCCTACCTGCTTTACTTGAGTGTTTGCACAGCTAAGGCCTTTAAAAAAGTTGATGATCTGCATATAGAGCTGAAACTTCTCCTCTGGGTTTTCTGGGTTGCAGCTGGCAAGCACTGAACTGACAACAGAAAGGAAGAAAAGGCAACAAATATTCAGGATCCTGATCTTTCAACTCTGCTTCCCCCTCCCCTGAAAGATTTGGGTTACAGTATGAACCAAGCACATGTAAATTCTCAGACAGCCCAGACCTCTCCTTGAAAGGTTTGTGTTACCTCTGCTCACATATCATGTCTGGAATCCCCTGGAAAATCGAGACTGTGGTGAGACTGGCTCCTGTGCCCTAATTTAGTGTTCTGAGCTGTGGCCACTGGAACAAGGGAACGAGAGTTCCTCTATCCCTCAATCTTCTGCAGAATGCCCCCACAGTTCTGGTTCCACTGTGGCTGCTGAGGCAGCTCTGGAGCACGCCGCACATCTTGAGTTCAGTTCACTGAGTTGCCACTGCTCAGTGGGTCTAACGTGGAACTCAAGCCCTGGTGCAGAAAGGAGGCCTGTTGTGCAGGCTCTTTTCCTCCTGCCTGCCTGGGACAAGGGGAGAAGCCCTGTGTGACTCGAGCTTATGTCACCATAAGCAGCACAGTTTGGAAGCAGACATGAAAATCCTTCAAAAGCTGACAGCAACTGTTATTGCAGGGCCTCAGAAGATGATGAGTTAGCTCAGCCTTTAGGAAAGGTGGCAGGGGCTCGTGCAACATTTAGGAATGCCCGCTAAGAGCCAGGCCCTGCAATGTGGACCCTGCTTCAAAGGGCTTCTTAGAGCACAGAGGCTGTGTGTCTGTAGGACAGCTGGCACTCACTCACTGTGAGTCAGCAGGCAGCCCTCACTTCCTCCCGGGATGAGGAACCCTCTGGCAGCAACCCCTGACTTTTCTAGGGGAAGTGGAACATTTTTAATAGGTTGTTTTTCTGTTCCATCAGCAGGGCAGGGAGTTCTGAATATTGCCTGGCAAGGACAGGCTGGCAGCTTCTCGATGGTTGTCTTTGCAGTCCAAGCTCAGCACAGAAACAGGAATGTGTCTTCCAGCCAATTGCAGCAAAATGAAACTCCACTCACAGCTGAGAAGCACTTGAGTCACTCTGTAAGGTCGATTTGGAGAGGACAAAGCCCTCCTCTGACAATCCCACTTCTCCCCAAGTCCATCTAGGCCTGGGTGGAACAGGGAGAATGGAGGGAAAATGTTGATGTGTGGTTTCCCTGAAGCTCTGCTGAAAGGCCAGCTGGGTTACTAGGGACAGCTGTGGCCCCAAGGCCTCACAGGCACCCATAGGCCAGGCTCCCCTTGAGAGGACAATGAGATATTCATTGGGATCACAAGGATATGTCCCTCTCACCCCCAAAGCAGAAAAATAAATGTCCAGGATTCTTTTTAGCCATGATAGCAGCACAGGTATCTGAAGAACCTGTGCCTTCAGGCTCTAAGACCACAGGTTTTTCAAGCAAAGCAGCAAGGGAATTTCAGTCCTAAAGGATTTCTCTCAGAAAACACACCTTTGGGACATTGTTAGTCACGCTGCTTCTTGTTTTAAAATCTTTTCACATCCTATTTTGTGTCTTCCCACTTCATGGGGTCAGCTATCCTTTTCTCCCCTCCTTCCATATCCGTTCCCATCAGCACCATGAAAAGCAGCAACCCCCCTTTGCAGAACTCAGAGAGTCCCCTAAACTCAGGGCCCATGCCTATTTGCATGTTGGCCCTTATTCTCTGTGCCCCAGAGCCCCCTCCCCGCCTTCTCCTTCCAGGTCAGCTGGGAGAACCTGCCCGCAAGCTGCCCTGGGTGCTAGAGACCGATGGATTGTGTTCTTCCGAAATTCATATGCTGAAGCCTAATCCCCAGGGTGATGGTGTTAGGAGGTGGGGGACTCCGGGAGATCATAGACTAGGGCATGAAGATGGGCCCCTCATGATGGGATTAGTGCCCTTATAAAACAGGCCCCAGAGCCAGGCGCTGTGGCTCACGCCTGTAATCCTAGCATTTTGGGAGCCGAGGTGGGTGGATCATCTGAGGTCAGGGGTTCGAGACCAGCCTGGCCAACATGGCAAAACCCTGTCTCTGCTAAAAATACAAAAATTAGCTGAGCATAGTGGCATGCACCTGTAATCCCAGCCACTCGGCAGGCTGAGGCAGGAGAATCACTTGAACCCAGGAGGCGGAGGTTGCAGTGAGCCAAGATCACACCACTGCACTCCAGCCTGGGTGACAGAGTGAGACTCTGTCTTAGAAAAAAAAAAAATTTTTTTAAAGAAAGAGGTTCCAGAGAGATTCCTTGCCCCTACACCATGTGAATTTTATCCAGAAGGTGCCGTCTGTGAAAAACCGAGCCTCTGACTCTGCTGGCACCTTGGTCGTAGACTCCCCAACCTCCAGAACTGTAAGAAATACATTTCTGTTGTTTATAAGCCATCCAGCCTATGGCATTTAGTATATAATGGACTTAAGGCAGGGATACAGCAGCCCTCAGTGGAGGTTAGCAGGACTAACACACACTGGGAATGGGGTGCAAAGTGAACAGATGAGTTTCCACAACCTACAGCTGATAACCTGGTATGTCCCAGCCCTGCGCCAGGATGGAAGAATTTTCTACTCTGAAGATGCCACAGATAGTGTCATCCCCAGGGCAATGACACAATCCTAGGACCAGCTCACTTCCAATCACAGAAAAAAGGTGGATCCCCAAGAATACCCACTGAATTAGGCACCAGATCTGATTTGGCTCTGTGTCCCCACCCAAATCTCCTGTTGAATTATAATCCCCATGTGTTGAAGGAGGGGCCTGGTGAGGGGGTGTGTGATTGAATCATGGAAGTGGATGTCCCCCTTGCTGTTCTCATGACAAGAGTTCTCACAAGATCTGGTTATTTGAAAAGTGTGTAGCACTTCCCCCTTCACTCTCTCTCCTGTCACCATGTGAGGATATACAGGTTTCCCCTTTGCCTTCCACCATGATTGTAAGTTTCCCCAGCCATGCCTCTTTTACAGCCTGTGGAACTGTGAGTCACTTAAACCTCTTTTCTTTATAAATTACCCAGTCTCAGGTAGTTCTTTGTAGCAGTGTGAGAATGGACTAATACAACACCCATCTAGGGACTGCAGAGGAGAGGCCCCTGAACACCCCAGCAGGGGTGCACACACACACACACACACACACACACACACACTCTCTCTCTCTCCCTCTGTCTCCTCTCTCTGTCTCTGACTTACCACATTCATGCACATGCAAACTCACACATACACACCTGCGCACACACAATCTCACATCCACCCACACAGGGGCACATGCTATCTCACACCCTCTTCCTCACCTGGAGCTAGATGTACTCGGAACCTCACTTTTGTCCAGGAAGCTTGCCACATCAAAGGCATCCTCAAAAAGGATCTGAAAGAAAGCACAACACTTCATGTGTTGGAAATAACTTGACAATTTCATGCTTGCCCTGGGCTGCTGGGGAGAGATGAGTGGAAAGGCTCTCTCTTTACACATACCCCAGAGGGCATGCATGTCAGAGCTGGGGCCCACACCCAGGGGCTCTGCTTGCTGTTCTTCCTAGGGGGTAAATGCTAAACTCTAGAGTGCCCAGGACAAACTGCCAACCCTGGAGGTGGCTGTGAGGGACAGGAAGAAATGGGGATTGTGATTCCTCTTGCCGACGAAGGTGGGAGCTCAGGTGTGAGATGCAATTACCAGAGCCTCAGTTTACCACTGAGAAAAACCTCATCAAAACTTCCCAAGGCGCACAGATTATTGGAGCCCAGGGTCCCCAGTCTAGCTGTCTCATGCCAGGACAGCTGAATCCAGAGGGTCAGGAAGGCTCTGGGTTAGGCTGCAGGCAGGCCAACTCCCAGGCCTGTGTCCCTTGCTAGCTGTGTGACCTGGGACAAGTTACTTCATCTCACAAATCCTCCTCTATAAAACAGGAATCACATTAGTGTCTACTCATAGGGCTATTCCAAGAATTAAGTAAGATAATGTATGTGAAGTATCTAGTTACATTTGAACATTATCCACTTTATAACAGACATACCTGGCACATAATTGAACATTATCTGCTTTATAAGAGACATACATGTTCATTGTGGAAATTTTGGAAAATAGAAACAGATCAAGAAAATAAGAATTACTGAGAAACAATCCCACCCAGATATCCATTGTTGACACATTGATCTAATTCTCTCCAGTCACTTCCCTAGGTCTATAATATATATTTCCAATTTGGAATCTTGCTATTTAGACAGTTTTTCATCCTGCTTCCCCCTAATGTGTTAGAGAATATTAAATATGTTACAGAAACATGATTTACACTTACATGACTGCCAGATTTAGCAAATACAAATACGGGATGCCTAGTTACATTTTGAATTTCAGATAAAGAATGAATAATTTTTAGTATAAGAATGTTTTGAATCATGCATGGGACGTTTTTGTATTAAAAATTGAACTGGGCATGCTTTACTTTAACTGACATCTCCTTTGCACTGGCAATCACGCCTAGGAGAGGAGAGGAAGTTCTCTGACCCTGAGTTGGCAGGTACTGGCAGGTTCCGCCAGGGTCTCTCCTCTCCTCTTCCCTTCCTGCAACACACAGCTCTTCCAAGAGGATTGGTGTCTGCCCTTTCTGTCTTCCTTCAATTGACTTCCTGGAACTGAATCCCTTGGGACTCTGGCCCCTCTCTTAGTTTTCCGGACATTTTCTGTTGTCCTTCTACTTGATATCTCTGTGGTCATTTCAAAGAGGATCTGGAAAGGGGCCACAGAAAGACCTGTGCTTCAGTGTCCATCAGCTCTGAAGCCTATCAGCTACATGTTGCTCCCTGGCAGGCCTGAAACAGGGACCCAGAACTGAAATCCCTGTCCTTAAGCAATCAGCCCACCAAAGTCGCAGGCCACACATTGTGCTCACCTGTGCAAATCCCCCTCACAAGCCAGCCTGAGAGGGGACCCCAGACCAGGCTCCACAGCCTTTCCAGAGTGCCACCACACTCACAGGGAAGCTCATGTCTGAACTGAAATGGAGCATTCCAGAGCCTCCTGGGCCCATCTGACCGTGCTGCTGGCCTCTAACACAACAGTTCTGCAGCAGAACCTCTCCAGGTGGACCAGGGGCTGCAGTGGTGTCACTGCTCAGCAGGAGTAACTGTGGCTTTGTCCCTGCCTCGGGCATGGGAGTTCTCTGTTCTGCCTACCTTATCGCCCAGCCCTGGCCTGGCCTAAACCTGGGCACAGCAGTGCAGGCAGAGCCCTGCTTCTGGCCACAGCTGAGGGAATCTGCTGCCAGCTTCCCTTAATACCCAACAAACATCAGCCCATAGGCCTCCCTGAAAAACCCAGAAAAGCTGTTTCCATGATTTGGAGACATTAGATTCTGGTTGTTTTCTCTTTGGATGTGTTCTTCCTGGGGAAGTGTTCGTGCTGGCACAGTCAAATTTGGCAGAATTGCTCAGGCATTTGGTAGATACTGTCATGCATCACTTACTGATGGGGATAAGTTCTGAGAAATGTGTCCTTAGGCAACTTTGTCATGTGAACATCACAGAGTGTATTTATGCAAACCTAGATGGCATATATACATATATTTATCTTTTCTTTTTTGAGACAGAGTTTTACTCTTGTCACCCAGGCTGGAGTGCAATGGTGTGATCTCGGCTCACTGCAACCTCCACCTCCCAGGTTCAAGCGATTATCCTGCCTCAGCCTCCAGAGTAGCTGGGGTTACAGGCACTCGCCACCACGCCCAGCTAATTTTTGTATTTTTAGTAAAGATGGTGTTTCACCATTTTGGCCAGGCTGGTCTTGAACTCCTGACCTCAGATGATCCACCCACCTTGGCCTCCCAAAATGCTGGAATTACAGACTGGCATCACCACGCCCAGCCCATATATTTATTTATATATATTTTTTCATATGGAAAACCAAAAATCCAAGTTCCATTACTGAATATCAATTATTTACCCTACTTGATGTGCAATGCCAATATCGAGTGCCATATATCAGGTTTCCATATATGCTCCATTATCATCTTATGTGACCACCATTGTATAGGTGGTCTGTTGTTGCCCAAAACATCTTTATGTAGCCCATGACTGTATTTTCCTTTCGTTTTCTTCATGTGAGACTCCAGGGCTTGGCACTTTGGGGCTGTAAACACATCTGTTTGGCTGCCCTTTCATACAAGCCTTGGGTATGAGGTCCTAATCTTCTGGCTTTTTTTGAGCCATCATGGAACAGAACGCATGTCTTCTCATGGTGGACCCAACATCAGAGGAAAACCAGATCAGAAGCCACAGTCTGGTGGACCCATGTTCGGGGGTCGGGGAAAGGACCAAGGCAGTAGCTGGTAGGCCATTGAACATCTGCACTGGGAGTTCCCTCCAATAGGACCTACTGCACTAGCCACGAGGGAAGCTTGTTAAAAATGCAATTCCTGAGGCCCCACCCTCAGAGGCTCTGATTCAGTGTGTCTGGGATAGATAGAGTCTTGCTGTGTTGCCAGGCTGGAGTGCAGTGACACAATCATAGCTCACTGCAGCCTTGACCTCCTGGGGTCAAAGGATCCTCCTGCCTCAGCCTCCTGAGTACCTGGGACTACAGGTGTACCACCACCACACCTTTTTATTTTTTTTTAGTTTTTAGTAGAGACGCAGTCTCACTGTGTTGCCCAGGCTGGTCTCAAACTCCTGGGCTCAAGCATTGCTCCCACCTTGCTCGGCCTCCCCAAGTGCTGGGATTACAGGTGTGAGCCACTGCGCCCAGCCAGGCACCTGACTTTAAAAAAAAACTCCACAGGTGATTCAGTTGAGAAGCATCAGGGGAGATAATGGAGGGTTGACCATCAACAGGTGACCAAAGGGCAGAGTAATGTGAAAAAATGTGTGATGACAGAGACACAGTCACTGAAGCAGGAGCTGGGAGTTCTGGGCAAGTCACACTGCTGGTTAGGCCTGCAAACTGGAAGGACAGGAATGGGTGACATCTCTGTCGTTCTCCAGGCTTGGGCCTGATAGCTGAGGAACCTTCTAAAAAACGGAGGCATTCCAGGGCTGTAACTCCAGGGTCAGAGACAATCGGACGCTCTCTGGCCCTAAGGCTCCACAGAGAGACTCTGGGAAACTAGCATGTCGTCTCCTCAAAGGCGCCCCGACTGAGGAGCATTTGGAAAGTCAGGGCAAGGGGGTGGCCTGTATCAGGCGGAAGCCATGGATGCTAAATGTCCACGAAGCACAGGGCATGTGCAGAATGCGAATCGGCTGCGCCTGGGCTAGAGGAGCGAGCGTGGGCCGTGTGGTAGAGCAGTGTTCTGAGGCCGTCCTCATACTGGAAGAGCAGCTGTGGGCCCACTTTTATCTCCGTGCAGGGCGACCTCAAATGCTACCTGATGCTCTGCTTTGCAGACTATGGCCACGGCCATTCTGACTAGCGTTCTGAAAGCTGAGAAATGCATTTACGGTAGCAGTTGTGGTAACCTCCCCTTCACAGAGCGATCCCAGTGCTCTTTGGGGTGGGAACTGACGGCCTTTCAAGGGCTGGACCTGATTGGTCCAAGTGTGATTCCCTCTATGGCCAGTCATTGGCTCAGCAGGCTGGCAATTTGGCCAGTTCCAACCAATGAGAGGGGAGGAGCGGTTCCGGAAAAGTTCTTCCTTAACTCTTAAGAAAGAGCTTTCGTAGGAAATCTTTGTCTTACCTGATGTAGAGTAGGAAGAAAGACAGTTCGATTGCTCTAGCTGCCATTCCATAGCCACAGGAGCCGGAGGAGGTGGGGAGGGCAGGGAAAGATAAGAAACTGAGCAGAGCCAAGAGAGGCCTGAATCCACGCGGACATGGTGAGCTCCTCTGCCTGCCTCGGACCTCCCCGGGTGTGAGGAGTGCATTTCTTCGTGGTTTAATAATCCAGGCCCTGGCAGCCCAAAGAATCCCAACTGAGACAACCTCTCAAGACTTGTCTTCTGCCATCCCCAGGGAAAGGCCAGGAAACTAACCGCAGAAAAACAAATACTGTTCCGTGACCCCAGGGATTAGAAAATCAGAAACCGGCCGGGCGCGGTGGCTCACGCCTGTAATCCCAGCACTTCGGAAGGCCGAGGCGGGTGGATCACGAGGTAAGGAGATCGAGACCATCCTGGCTAACACAGTGAAACCCCGTCTCTACTAAAAATACAAAAAAATTAGCCGGGCGTGGTGGCGGGCGCCTGTAGTCCCAGCTATTCGGGAGGCTGAGGCAGGAGAATGAGGTGAACCCGGGAGCCAGAGCTTGCAGTGAGCCGAGATCGCGCCACTGCACTCCAGCCTGGGCGACAGAGCGAGACTCCGTCTCAAAAAAAAAAAAAAGAGAAAAAAGAAAATCAGAAACCGACCTTGGGAGCCAGAAGGCAAACTGCACCTCCAACCTGCTAAATGCAAAGCCCTGGTGTCCCCAGGCGAGGGCGAGGGTGGTTCCCGTGCCCCATCCACGCCACCCCGGTGGGCCTGCTCACCTCCTCGGGCGTGGAGACCAGCGAGCAGCTGGCCCCCTGGCTGTCCACGCCGCTGTCCTTCACGCTGCCCTCGGCACAGGCCGGCTCTCGGCAGGCCTCCGCCAGGGTCGCAGGGCCGCGGTGCTTCTGCGCCCAGGCCTGCCGGAGGCTGGCCTTCCTCTCCTCCGAGAGGTTCTGCCACAGGTGGGAGATGGCCGCGGAGACGATGGGCAGCGCCGCCTCCTGCGGGGTAATGATCCCGCTGCCAGTCAGAAGGTCCATCGTCTGTTTGTAAAAGTTGAGATACCTGGAACAGAAGCGGCGCCGTCTCGCACCCCTAAAGCTCCCTCTCGAAGCGATTCGGGATTCGGTTCATGGTGTGGACCCCAGCACGCAGGCCCGGCCACGGCGCCACGGCTCACCAGGGCTGAGACTTCTCAGACTCTGCACGCCCCTGGCCCTTGGAGAGCAGCAGCCTTCCTGGGGGCCATGAAGGACATAGACTTGGGCTTTGGGGCCCCTCCCCAAGTTCTCCCAGTCCCTGCCCCATGAAGCCTTCTGTGTTAGACAGAAGCAGATAAGAGGCGTAGCTGCCTCAGCTCTCATCCTAAGGGAATATTCTTGAAAATTCTGAGCCCATGAATGTGCTGGCATGATAGGACTCCAACTTTAACCTGCAGCCCGAAAGTCAGGCTCGGCTGTGGAGAGAGCCTCCTGCTATTGAGCCAACTCCTCTGGAAGCCAACATGGCTGCTGAGGGGCTTTGAGTCTATGGAGGAGGCAGTGGCAAGGGACGTCTGAGCCAGCCATTCGCCATCTTTCCTACTGTAAGAGCAGTGCGGACTTGTGGGGGTATGTGTTTTGGGGGAGAGAGGGGTTAGCCCTCATAATCACCATCAGCTGTGCCCCCCACAAGGCACCCCAAATAAACACCCAGTCTCAGTAAAAACACTGTATGAGTGTATGTGCTATGCTAATGTAGCTTTGAGACTATTTCTCTAGCCTCTCTGCCAGTCCTGTCCCTCAGCCCCTCCCATATGAAAATCCTGGAGATTTCGTGATTCAGGGCCTAGTCTGAACCATGCACTCCAGCTGGGGCACACAGCTGCAGCATACCCCAGCCAGAGCCTCTGTCCCCTTCCCCATGGGAGGGAGCTCCATGGGTGCACAGAGCCACCCCACCCAACTGTTCACACCGTTCAAATTCCATGAGGTCAGGCGACAAAGTTCCTGGGGAGTATAAGATCACTTTTTTCTCCTCTTCCTCCTCCTCCTCTTCCTCTTCCTCCTCTTCCTCCTCCTCCTCTTCTTCTTCCTCCTCCTCTTCTTCTTGATCTTCCTCTTCCTCATCTTCCTCCTCCTCAGCATCCTTCCTGACTGCCTCAGTTGGGCACCAAGGGGAGGAACCATTCTGAGGAAAACTGTTTGAAAGCAGGCTGGGAAAGAAAACAGAAACAAGACAACTATAGATTAATATCCCTCATGAACATGGACAAGAAATTCTTAGCAACTTTAGCAAGTATACATGTATATGTATGTGTGTGTGTGTAGGTGTACACATCATGACCAAATGAGCTTTTTCCTAGGAATGCAAGAGAACTGGTTCAACATTTGAAAATCAATCAATGCAATTCACCATATCAACAGACTACAGAAGAAAAACCTCAATAGATGCAGAAAAAGCATCTGACAAAATCAACATCCATGCATGATAAAAACTCTCAGCAAACTAGGAATAAAAAGGAGCTTTGTTAACCTGATAAAGGGTATCTCCAAAAAACCTACCGCTAACATCGTGCTTAATGGCAAAAGACAGTTTCCCCTCTTGATCAGGAATAAAATGAGACTGTCCACTCTTACTACTTCTATTCAAAATTGTTCTGGAGGTTCTAGACAGTCCAGTAAGGCAAGCAAAAAAAGGAATATACATTGGAGCAGAAGAGACAAATCTGTCTTTATTTGCAGACAGTGTGATTATCTGTGTAGAAAAATCTCAAATAATCTACACACATGTCATTAGAACCAAGAAGGGAATTTAGCAAGGTTGCAGAAGACAATATCAGAATATAAAAATGAATAATATTGCTACATAGTAGCAATGAACAGTTGGAAATTGAAATTTTAAAAAGCATCATTTACAATAGCATGAAAAAATGACATACTTAGTTTTAAACAAAAAGCTCAATCTATTAAAAACAGGATAAATTGGACTCATCAAAATTTGCAAATTCTGCTCTTCAAAAGACACCTTGAAGAGAATGAAACAATAGGATATAATTTGGAAAAGTCAGGACCTGCACCCAGGATCTCTTTATACTTAGAGGAATAATCCCCAAGGTAACATGTTGAGTCAAAAAAGCAAGCTCAGCTGGGCGTGGTAGCTCACACCTGTAATCCCAACACTTTGGGAGGCCAAGGCAGGTAGATACCTTGAGGTCAGAGTTTGAGACCAGCTTGGGCAACATGTTGAAACCCCGTGTCTACTAAAAATACAAAAACTAGCCAGGCGTGGTGGCAGGCGCCTGTAATCCCAGCTACTTGGGAGTCTGAGGCAGGAGAAGTTCTTGAACCTGGGAGGCAAAGGTGGCAGTGAACTGAGATCATGCCACTGCACTCCAGCCTGGGTGACAGAGTGAGACTCCGTCTCAAAAAACAAACCAAACCAAACCAAAAACAAAAACAAAAAACCATGAGATCATAAAAGTACATTTCTCAAATCAGTTTCTCCTTCAAAGTATGAATGTGACATTAATAATGTTCCCCTTTCAGCATTTGTGACACCTGGGTGTACCATGGTTCCTTTTCGTTGCTGAAGTTTAATTTAGCTTTTCTTAGGAGGCTTGGAATATAGACTGAGATTTGCATTTTCCTGATTGTCATATGTATCCTCCAAGAAAGACATTAGTTGTGGCTTTAAAAAATACATATAGAAAAAGCTATAATATAATGTAAACACTATGGGCTCATTTCTCTAAAGAATAATGTGCAACATTTTTTAAAAACTTGATGGATTTTCTTGAAAATTAACATTGATTTTCTTTGAGTTCTGGGACAATATATATTTTCTGGCTTTTGTGTATTTTCTGCATCTTCTGTGATAAGCATGTATCTTTTTATAATTGGGAAAAAATTGATGCATGTTGCTAGAATAAAAGAGAAACGAATGGTCTCCAGCATATGGCTGTTTTGAATGGTGAGCAGCAGCCCTGATGGTCCTGCAGGCTGGAGAGGAAGGGTGAGTTGCCACCAGACAGTACTGATGGCTGTGAGGACACAGCAGGTCCCCAGCTTCCTGGGGTTTGTGGTGTCTTACCTGTCATTTCCAGAATACATGCTGGCATATTCTTTCTTGACCTCCTCTAAGCTGCTTGCATGCCCATCTTCCAGGTTGAAGGATGCTATTGGGGAGTTGAAGACCAGGAACACAAAGAGAAAAGTCAGGCCTCTGTTGAGTCTCTCCCACCCTTCTGGCCCAGGTGGGCTGTGGGTGGGACCCTGAACCCTCCAGGGTCAGCATTAGGGAGACCAGGGTCCAGTTTTTCCTTCTAGGTGTGAAGGGAGAGCCTTAGACAAGCAGGAGCCCACTTTTCCTCTGGCCTCTGAAGATGAGATCAGGTGCCTTTGGCAGCACTCCAGTAGGGAACTCATCAGAGTCTCATGGCCTGGTGACTCTGGCCAGTCTTGCTGGACTGCAGGCTCACTAAGGACAGGGACCCTCAACATTGGCCCAAGCACAGTTCCTGGCACACAGTAGGCCCTCAATAAATATTTGTTGATTCATTGTAACCCAACTTCTGTTTTCAATAGAAAAACAGATCCAGTTTTCTCCAGGGAGGGAGATGGGGTTGGCAAGTAGTGCTCCATTACCTTTCAGCTTCAGCAAATTATCCAGGGTTTGCTCCAGTTCTGGAATATGACTCTTTGCCTTATTCAGAACCTGCCACTGAGGATAGACAGAGACAATGCTGAAAGCCAGCCTCTCACTGCAGAGACTGATTTTGTGGACCCAGGAATCCCTTCCCAGGGCTGAGGCCACGCTCCCTCAGATGCAAAGTCACATCCCTTAACCTTGTCAGTAAAAAGAATAGGAAGTTTGTTCTGATGCACAGGAGGCAGGAAGTTTTGTTTGTAGCCTAGAAGTGGGTTCTCACCGAAATGCCAAAGGATTTGGAAAGAGTTAAGCTTTGTTCAGCAAATTGCTAGTGCTGTAGAAAGGCAAATGACTACAGAGGCGGCTTGAAGGTGGAATAAGGAGTGATGGAAGAGGCGCATTCTGCATGAACGTCAACCCCAGGCTTGCACAAAGCAGAGCTAGACTTCAGCTCAGTGGTAACCCTGTGCAAAGGGCTAGTTAATATTAAATGTCCTATTCTCCCACTATTTTTATTTGCTAACTGCATACGCTCCAGATGATCTAAAAACTTATCAAATGCTGTCAACCTGAACTCTAAATTTCCCTCTTTCCCTTTTTCCCTCCCTCCCTCTCTCCCTCCCTCCCCTCCCTTCTGCTCCCCTCCCTCCCTCCCCCTTCCTTCCTTCCAACTTCCTTCCTTTTTTCCCTCCCTCCTTCCCTCCTTCCTTCCTCCCTTCCTCCCTTCCAACTTCCTTTTTTCCCTCCCTCCCTCCCTCCCTTCCTTTCCTTCCTTCCTTTTTCTTTCCTTCCTCCTCTTCTCTTCCTTCCTTCTTCCCTCCTTACTTCCTGTATGTAACATTATTAAAGTCAAAATGGTAACAGCAAGATTATTCAAAAACGAGCAATGCTAAAATGGTAACAGCAAGATTATTCAAAAACGAGCAATGCTAAATGTTGTTTGTTAGGCTGACCACCTATATCTGTCAGGGGCTGCATGCATCCCTTGGGCATGTACAAGGGCAAAACTATGTGGTAAGTCCCAGGGATACAGAGTACATAAGACAGTCCCCTCTCTCAGGGTGCTGACCTCTGACAGGGAAGACAAGCATGGAAACAACCCCTTATAACACAATATAGAATTAAGTAGGTACTAACAAGGGGTAGAAGCAAAGGGCTGTGAAAATGTACAAGGAGGAGGGAATAGTCCAACTGGAGGGGTCCAGAAGATTCCATGGAGCAGGGCAGCTGAGCAGAGTGAGCCAAGCCCAGCTTTGAAGTGTGCACAGAATCCCAAAGGCAGAGCTAACTGCATGAGCAGAGACACAGAGGCCATGAGAGGCAGGCCTGGCTCAGGGAACTGCTGCAGTGAGATGTGGCCAGAGTGTGGGGTGGGCATGGAGGGGGGACCCCAAAGCAGCTGGGGGCAGAGTAGCCTGGGATTTGACATTCTAGATTCCAAGGATTCTAGTGGTGCCTAAAAAGGAGACTTGAGGGGGCTGGAGTCACAGTGCTCTGCCAGGCCAAAGAGGAGGTGAAGGGAACCGCAGCTGCATGATGATACAGTGGATTGCAAGCTCCCTGAGCACTCCTATGTGTTTTGCTCTCCCCAGTCCCAGAGCTCATGTTGATGCTGTTGGGTCAGCAAAGACTTGGAACCAGGGGCTGACTGATTTCCAGCATCTTGGGCTTGTTCGTAGGGTGGAAAGATGATTGTCCACCTGCTGTGGTCTGAATGTTTGTGTCCCCCCAAAATTTAGTATGTTGAGACCCAATCCCCAATATGATAGTATTAAGAGGTGGGGGCTTTTGGAAGGTGATTAAGGTGATTGGTGCCCTTATAAAAGAGTCCTGAGGGAACCTGTTTGTCTTTCCCCCATGTGAGAACACAGCAAGATAGCCCTGTCTATGAACCAGAGAGCATGCCCTCACCAGACACCCAATCTGATGGCACCTTTGTCTTGGACTTCACAGGCTTCAGAACCTGGAGCAATAAACTTCTGTTGTTTATAAATTACCCTGTCTAGGGCATTTGTCGCTACCCCAGCAGAAGTGGCAGCTCCAGGCCAGTCCCTGCCTTGCAACACAGTCCCTCCACCTGTGAAAACGTCTCCTTCCCCGTGGAGATGTCCCCTCTCCTCCTCCAGGTCCCCATACCTTTGAGGCTATGAGATCAGACTGAGAGTACACTGTCTTCCTGAGGTTGTTGAAGAGCGCTGCCAGGGTGGCTCGGTGGCGGGCCTGGGACAGCCGTCTCCGGGCCACCCGATGCTCAAGCTCCTGCAGCTGTGCTGGCAGCTGGGGTGTTGCTCTGTCATGGGGATTGCTGTTTTCTTCAGGGGTTGCCATTATAAGCTGTAATGTAATAGTATGCTTTTTTTTTTGCCCTAGATAATAAAAATACAATATTAAAGGAAAAGGAAGGCAAATTGAGGCAGGCAGAAAGGAGGTACCCTTCCCAAGTAAAGGCCCCAAATTCACTCCCTCATGAATTCAGTTATTGGCAAGATTTACAGTGAGAGAAATTTGAGAAGTTTACAAAAGCCCTTTGAAGGTGATGTTGGTCAATTGCTAATTAAGAAAAGCAGATGGAGATTATACAGGGTCAACACAAATTCTGTTTTTGAAATTCAACTCCTAAAACTGCAAACCACCCATATAGGACTTAAGAGTTGAGGGGCCCTGGAACTTACCTGGAAAGGTTCCAACACATTGCAGATACTCACCAGACACTTGTTAATTTCAGGGGTTAATTTTACGCGTGGCCAAGGAGAGCAGCTGTACCCTGAGATCTCAGGCTTTACTTTAGTCTGTTCAAAGCTGAACAGGTACTTGTCCCCACTGTGAGGTCTTTTCTACCTCAAGAATGCCCCCTCTTTGATGTGGATAGTAGTTACACAGGTGTATGCATATGAAAAAAAAATCCCTCAAGGGGTACACTTTAGACTCGAGAATTTTTCTGTGATATACCTCAAGGAAAAACATAAAAAAGAAAATAAGAAAATTCACTTTACCACCTGTGCAAGCAAAAGTCACCTGACGACAGAGAACTGAAACCCATTTTGCCTTATCTTGCCTCTAGTGGGTTCTGGAGATGATCACTGTGTCCTTCTTTGTTACATCTGAGCTTACAAGCCAGAAGCCCTTCCCTAGGAGAGGCGATTCTGGGACTGACATGTAATTGTTTTAATAAGATACAGGGGCCAGGGCCTTTTACCTGAGCCATAGACCCTTCCATCAGGCCTCACCCCACTACTCAGAGATCTACTCCCCACTAGCCTGTCTGCTCTTTGGACAGGGAGGCTGCGACTTCGTCACTTCTGTACCCTCAGTGCGTAACACAGAGCCTGGCCCCCATTAGGTGCTCAGTACTGGAGTTTCTGGTGAATTACAGTGAGCGGTTTCTGCTAGGTCTACTCCCTGCTGAGCTCAGTCCATACAGAGACAATGCATGACCTCCGCCAGGGGTTTGTTAATTTTGAGGTATGTTAGTGTCACCTGCAGAGACTGTTGAAAATACACATGCCCAGGCCCTGCCTTGAAAACATCGGATCTGAACCCAGCGTGCAGCTCCCAGGGTGATTCCTATACTTTCACACTTTGAGAGCCACCGCTAACTCTTGATTTGTGTGTCAAGCATCACCCCAGCTGGCAGCAGCTGGAAACAATCTTCATTAAGGGGTTATGAGGAAGGGAGATGGAAGACACCTTTCCCACTATGCTATAGTATGGAAAATAGGCCAATGAGATGGTAAACCCAATCAGGCAGTGTGGGATGTTGAAACACTTTTTAGCTCAGAAAACAACTTCTCATCAATAATCTGGTCTTCCCCAGTGTATCAACTTTCCCTTGTTTTGCTTTTTGGAACAGGGCAGGAAGATGGGAACAGTGATGCTGTGGTTGCCCATGCTGGTCCGTGCATGTCTCTGTCACATCTGTTACCAGGAATTACACTGTGGTATCTTCCAAGGGAAAACAGCACCAATCTGCAGAGGCCCCTCAAGCCCAGCTCCAGGGTTATGTTAGATTAGAGCCTATGCCTTCATGGTCTTCAATTCCAGATACCAACTAATCTTTAATAGGAAGCAAAGTGAAACTGTGAAGATTTTGAACTGCCCAGGGAAAATGAGAACCTTTTGAACAGAAGAATATAGGTTTTTTTTGTTTTTTGTTTTTACTTGTTTAAATTAAGGAGCAACAGATGTGTCTGGACACCAGGGGATTTAGGTTAACATACAGAAAAAGGGAAGCGGGTGGGAAGCACTGTTCTAGATGAACAGAGATATAAAAATAACAGGGTCCTCCCAGGACCTCAAGTTCTCTAACAGTCTCAGGATACTAACACCAAAGGCCTCTGGGCTTGTAGGGAATCTGGAGTTCTCCCAATGCCAGTGCTGGGTGTCCTCCCTTCTGCCCAAACACGCTCAGCCTGAAATTCCTGGATGGCTGTGTGGACAGTTTCAGCCCTGGACAAGAGTGCAGTCCTCTGCCTCCCCCATAGGGGGCAGACTTCCCACCAGTCGCCTCTAGGAGCCGCCAGGGCTGCTCGCCCCTAGGGGCGGGGACAGCCCCAGAGCATGCTGGCCAAGCTGCCTGGAGCCGTGGCCTCCATCTTGCCTGCCCCCAGGCGCCCCCTGGTCAGGAGCTGGGGGAAATTTACACCCCCGCCCCCCCTTGGCTCAGGGAGGGGGCACACCGCAGGAAAGATGGGAGATGACCCTCCTACTCTGCTTTAAGGGCAGAATCAAGCGCTGGAGATGTTACTCTTAATTAGACCTTGAGCGATTTTCAATGTCTTCCCTCTAGATCCTGCCTCCTGTTCACTACTAGGAACCACTGTGCTATGTATGATCCGCACAAGGCATTCTTTCCTAGTTATTTCGATTGACTTGGAATTTTTTCCGTCTCTGTGGCCCTGACAGGGTCTTAGGTAGATCTTTGTTAGACTGAGCTCTTTTTTTTTTGTTTTGTTTTTTGTTTTGAGATGGAGTCTGGCTCTGTCGCCTGGGTTGGAGTGCAGTGGCGTGATCTCGGCTCACTGCAACCTCTGCCTCCCGGGTTCAAGCGATTCTCCTGCCTCAGCCTCCTGAGTAGCTGGGATTACAGGCGCCCACCACCACGACTGGCTAATTTTTGTATTTTTAGTAGAGACGGGGTTTCACCGTGTTGGTCAGGCTGGTCTCGAACTCCTGACCTCCTGATCCGCCTGCCTCGGCCTCCCAAAGTGCAAGGTTTACAGGTGTGAGCCACCACGCCCGGTGGACAGAGCTCTTTTTATCTAATAATACACTTGGGTCTGTCCCGTCAGCACCTGTGATTTGTGTGAAGGGCTGGCTCGCCTGGAAGAAGTGCCTCAGAAGTTACTGTCTAGGATGGGGAGAGGAGGGCAGGACCCTCCGCCTTATTCCAAGATTAGCCGTTTGGCTAGGAAGGGGGAATGAAACATACTGTGAAAGGGGGAGCTAACTATTGTAAAAATGAGATCAAGAAGTGATCTGTTACTTAAAAACAAAACTCGGCTCTCCTAAAAGCCCTCTGCAGTTGCAAAGTATGTCAAAGAAACTGCTCCCAGCAGTGTAAGGAATTATAGCAGTGTAGAGAAAACAGTCTGGAACTCTCCTCCCTAGGGCCTGGAACTGCATTTTAATAGCCTTGAAAACTCAGAATCTCCCAATTACCCCTTTGGTTTGCTCCCCTGCTCACCAATATTTATTCCATGACCCACTGCCCCTTCTTCCATCTATAATACCATCTCTCTCTGCCCCTGTCTTCAGTTTCTATGGATCTAGAGCCAACTTGCCCTTCCCAGTTTAAGTCCCAATTCCTTTAATGAGCTTCCCAGTCCCAGGCCACACTGGTTTCTAACTCAATCATGTTCTGGCAACAACTAAGAAAAATCTTTGATCGGCACCTGTGTGTCAAGCATCAGTTGTGTCCCTCCCAGGAAGTGGTACCATGCATAGACATAGATGATTAACTCAAGCTTCCCTTTCTTGGCTGCCTCTCCCACACTAAAACCACTAAGAATTCTATTGCCTGGACTACTAAGACAAAAATCTCCCAAGCGTGGGGATGGGCAGAGACACTGGGTTGAATGAGCTAAAGGAAAATAAAGATTAAGAGAAAATCTTGGTGGGTGGAGGGGAAATAACATCTTAGTTCCACCCTAACCCGAAAGACCTCTCTGTATCTCATTGAGAAGCCTTCAAAAATCTCTTTCAAGGTGATGTTGGTCAATTGCTAATTAAGAAAGGTAGTGAAGATTATATAGGGTGAAGAAGCTGGATATCCTATCCAGACTTGGAAAACTGGGCATGCTTGGAGAGGTGAATGTGAATGTTTGGGCATCTAAAATGAGCAAGAATTGAGGGAACTCAGTACAGAGATAGTAGTTTGAAGGAAGCTAATCTTAAGGATGATGCAGAGACACAGTCAAAGATGGGATGAGCTGGTAAAGGGAAAGGCAAGTTGGGTTATGGATTGGCTTGATACCTGGGTCATAACCACATCTTCAGGCTAACCAACCTTGTGACTTTGTGATTTTGGATGAGGCAAGAAATCTCTCTAGTTCACACACACACACACACACACACATACACACACACATATATATATATAAAGATGGGGTCTCACTATGTTGCCCAGGCTGGTCTTAAATGCCTGGGTTCAAGTGAACCTCCCGCGTCAGCCTCCTAAAGTGTTGGCATTACAAACATGAGCCACCACCTCTGGGCTCTAGTTCTTAAGGTTTTTTTTTTTCCTATTTCTTTTGAGATAGGGTCTCGCTCCATTGACCAAGCTGGAGGGCAGTGGCAAGCTCATGGCTCATTGCAGCCTCAAACTCCTAGGCTCAAGTAATCCTTCCACCACATCCTCCTGAGTAGCTAGGACTACAGACGTGCACCACTGGGCCTGGTTAATTTTTCTGTAGAGACAGGGTCTCACTATGTTGCCCGGGTTGGTCTTGAACTCCTAGGCTCAAATGATCCTCCTATCTTGGCCTCCCAAAGTGCTGGCTTTACAGGCATGAGCCACCATGTTTGGCCTTAATTTCTTTATCTGCATAAAGGAGGTAAAAATTCTTTAACTAGATTATAGTCTGAACGTTTTTATTTTTAAAAGGTCATGATCAGCTGGGCGCGGTGGCTCACACCTGTAATCCCAGCATGTTGGGGGGCCAAGGCGGGTGAATCACCTGAGGTAAGGAGTTCAAGACCAGCCTGGCCAACATGGTGAAACCCCGTCTCTTACTAAAAATAGAAAAATTAGCTGGCGTGGTGGCAAGCAACTGTAATCTCAGTTACTCAGGAAGCTGAGGCAGGAGAATCACTTGAACCCAGGAGTTGGAGGTTGCAGTGAGCTGAGATCGTGCCACTGGACTCCAACCTGGGCCACAAGAGTGAAACTCTGTCTTAAAAAAAAAAAAAAAGTCATGCTCATGATTCTATGAGTATCTGGAGCAATAAAAAAAAAAAAGCCACTCATAACCAATAGAAGTGGGGTATGGAGCACATAGCAGTATGAGAAGCTTCATCTTAAGGAATTTTGGAGACTTCCTTATGTTTATGAACAAATGTTTACTGAACACTCTCTCTGTGCAAAGCCCATTTATTCTGCAGGAAACTGGAGCCCAAAATAATACTAGGCCTTTCAGAATGGCCATAGCTCTAACATATTTTCCCCTTTAAAAAACGTATTGCTGCCCAGGCACAGTGGCTCTTGCCTGTAATCCTAGCACTTTGGGAGGCTGAGGCAGGAGGATCACTTGAGCTCAGGAGTTTGAGACCAGACTGGGCAACGTGGCCAAACCCCATTTCTACAAAAAATACAAAAATTATCTGGGCGTCATGTGCCTGTAGTCCCAGCCACCCAGGAGGCTGAGTTGGGAGGATCACTTGAGCCTAGGAAGCAGAGGTTGCAGTGAGCTGAGATCATGCTACTGCACTCCAGTCTGGGTGACAGAGTGAGATTCTGTCTAAAAGCAAACAAGTGAACAAAGAAAACCAAAACTTATTGCTGTGTTCGACCTTGTTCATGAGATCAGCTTGCCAAACATAACCTTTCAGTCTAACAAAGTTAGGAGGCAGCTTCGTTGATACCTTCTTCTAAAAGGGCATTTTGTGAGGATTAACACTGTCACATGACATATTTTTATTAATTGTCCTCTATAAAGCAGAGCATACTTTCATTACCACATATTTTCCTATTAAAACACTTTTTAATATCCACTCAGAGCTGACGTTTAAAAAACTCCCTAGACTAAACTTTAAAAAAAATGCCCTCACCTTCTCCAAATTTCAGAGAAATGTTCATTTTTAAGCATCAGTCCACAAAATATTTGAGTGTGATCCATTCTCATTAGCAAGCCCCAGACAGTATAATACACTGCATAATGTACTACAACCCACAGACAGCTTCCTTTGATTTTCTATCTATATCAAATTATGTAAAAATAATCCAGAATTGGCTGGGTGCCGTGGCTCCTGCCTGTAATCCCACACTTTGGGAAGCCGAGGTGGACGGATCACCTGAGGTCAGGAGTTCGAGACCAGCCCAGCCAACACGGTGAAACCCCTGTCTCTACTAGAAATACAAACAATTAGCCGGGCGTGGTGGCCCACACCTGTAGTTCCAGCTACTCGGGAAGCTGAGGCAGGAGAATCGCTTGAACCCGGGAGGCGGAGGTTGCAGTGAGCTGAGATCTCGCCATTGCACTCCAGCCTGGGTGACAAGAGCGAAACTCCGTCTCAAAATGATAATAATAATAATCATCATCATCATCATCATCATCATCCAGAATCACTCTCAAAAATGTAGGTAGCCACAGTGACGGATACAAAAGGCTCCTGTGAACCCCGCGCTAAAAGTTCACCTGTTAGGCTCCGCTGCACTGAATTCTTTCAAGTCTACACAAACACTCATATGCCCAAGGGCACCTTTCTGGAGAGGAGCGTTCAAAGGATACTTACTCGCCAACGGTGCACGCGACGTCCCCACTCCCGGGACAGCAGTCACCCGGCTTCGTGCGCCGGAGTGGGGATCGCGGTTCCTGTCTGGGTCAGAAAACAGACCTGGCACCTCGTTACAGGGGTGGGGACCAATCGCGGCCCTGTCCCTGGCCGCCACAGCCAATGGGGATGCGTGGTGACGGGCCAATGGGCGTGTGGGCAGTGGAAGAAACAGTGTTACAAGTTGTCCGAAGGCGACAGAAAAGGGAGGAGAGAGAAGAGGGAGGGGCGGGGCTGACTCACCTCGCAGGGTCGCGAGGGGTCAGGGAGGGGACCCTCGCGTCAGTAATCAGCTCGGGGGCTCCACACAGCCTTCATGTGTCCTCAGAGGACTAAGTAGATGCCCTCCAGCTGGTTCCACTCACCTGGCACTGGGCCCCAGTTTTCTCATCTCTCAAATGGGGCAATGCCACCAGCTTACAGGGTTGTCCTGAGGGTTACGGAAAACCCCTTAGATAAAGGAATCAAAATACCAGGCTCGCTGCCTCAAGCGAAAACATGAGAAAACGGCATGAAGGAAATAAACGCATAAAAGGGAGAAAGGGAAATAGCATTTTAAATAAGGCAGGAAGAAATAGAGGATGGGGGGAGAAAATGGGGTGGAGAGAAGGGACCTTTAATAGCTCAGATTAAAATATCAAGAATAAGAGAGAAAAGGGGTTCACTCTGGGTAGTAGGAAGTAGGTATTCTTTCAGTTTGGAAAAAAAATTCATTTTTCCTTCCCAAATATAGATGTACTCTCGTTTAGGCTTCTTTTTGCTTGTATGCTTATATCCTGCAATATTTCGTGATGCTCATGATCCCACTATATCTGGTTGACACTGGTGGGGGTACTAGCGAGGCCCTACACATTTGGTAGCAGATGCAGGACAAAGCCCCTTGAAGTGCCCGGCTCAGGGCCAGTGCACGGTGCAAGAAGCATGGCTCCGCCCAGGCGCCCCCTTGCTGCCATCTGATGGGTGAGCTCCTTCACTCCTGAGGCAGGGGTGAAACAGGGGTCACAGGCTTAGCAGGCGTAGCAGGGGATTCTGGATTAGAATCCACCTCGCAGGGACTGAGAGGACTATCAACGAGCCGCTACGGAAAGCACGCAGTAGGGTACCTGGGAGGCTTAGACACTCATGAAGTTTGACGTCAGTGAGATGATGTCCCACATATAAAGAAACCGTCACATAAAAACAGAAAAACCTTCCAGTAAGGGTCAATTCTCATTCTCCCCTTCTAGCATTTTTTTTTTCCTGAGACAGGTTCTCGTTCTGTCGCCCAGGTTGGAGTGCACTGCAGCCTCGAATTCCCGGGCTCAAGCGATTCTCCTGCCTCAGCCTCCTGAGTAGCCGGGACTACAGCCCCGCACCACCACACCATGCTAATTTTTAATTTTTTTGTAGAGACAGGCCTTTCTAGGAAAATTTAAAATGTTCATTTCACTCCAAAATTCTGCTTGGGTCGCTGCCCCATTTCTGGCTGTCACGCAGCCCTTGACCTAGGGTCGCTCAGGGCTTTAAGGAAATTGTCACCACCCCACTCCACCCCCACTCCCTGACTTTTCTCTCCTGGGCCTGCCCACACCTCCCACCACCAACCTCCCACCACCAGCCCTACCTGCCGTGTTGCTGGGGACCTAGGGGTTTGTGAAGCTCTGTCTTGGGGAGCCTTATCCTCGCACCAAGATGACACAGAGTGGTTTGGAAACTGACCTCTGACCTGCCTCAACCTTTCATGTAGTCACCCCACCTCCCGCCCCAACCACTGCCACACACACAAGCAGATGTGCACCCAGAAAAAATGTAGTCCTGGGGGGAAAGTTACTAAGAAGCTTATTTACCTGCCACAGCCTGATTTCTTGATTGAAAAAGAGGATCTTGTCCACATCAATCTTCCCCATAGCTGCAAGGCAGAAGGCTCTGCCATGAACACTGGGGGCCTCCTGGTGGCCTCTCACTAGCTCTGGATATGAAGAGTTATCCCTGGTAACACCCACACACACCACCACCCTCTGACCTTGACCCCTTCCTCCCAGTAGCAAAACTTTTGCCCTAAAATACACTCCCTCCCCACCACAGGAACATAGATCCTGTCCAGAAATGCCCTCCCCCTACAATAACATAGATCCTTCTCTGAAATATTCCTCCAGCAACATAGATTCTGCCCTGAAATTCCTCCAGCACAGTGGCATAGATCCTGTCTTGAAATACTCCACCCCAGCAGAGATCCTGCCGGGAAATATTCTCCTTCTCTCCCAGTTGGAGAACATGCCCTCCTTGCAGATCCAGCTCAACACCCAGGAAGCCTTCCAAGATCCCTGCATTCATACCAACTCGGGATGGCCACCCCTTTTTGCGCCCCTTGGCCTAACTTTCTGGTAGAAGGAATAACCCTCTGAATTTATTCTCCTTGTTAGTGTCCATCCATTTCATGAAATAAAAGGCCGGGACTTCAGGCTGTATTATCTTTTTATCCCCCAATTAAAATGAGAGTGATGGATCCTATACTGAGACTTTACTGTGCTCAGCATCCTCAGGGACAACTCTGTGAAGAGTCTTCTCCCCAGGCTCAGAGAGGGCCAGGGACTTGCTCAAGATCTTCTCTCTGGTCCTCTGCACTCCATGCCCCCTTGGGGGGCATTTGGTCCCTTAAATATCAACTACCTTAGGACAGAGAGATATATGCAAGATTTTGTAACTTTTAGAACAAAAAACCCTCAGCTTTGAGCTGAGGTCTGCAGATGGTGGCTCCCAGGAAAGAATGAAAAAGGCAGAGACACAATGGAGGGATGCACTCTCTGACTGCAGTCAGGGGCTCCCAGCACTTCTGCCAAGATGAGCCTGAGACACAATCCTAGATAGGCTTTTGCTCACCGTGTCCTTTGCATGGGGCTAGACATTGGCTTCCAAGGGACCCTGCAGATACAGTAAACTCCTTTATGGGGAGCATTGCTGGGTCAGTATGGCTGGGCACTTCCTGCTATAGGAGGGCAGATGTATGACCCCATCAAGACATGTCCCAGGGTGAGAGTCCCCACCCTCCCCAGACCTCCATAGTGAAAATTCCCAAAGACTCATACTGTCATCACAACTCAGCAGCAACTTCCAAGGGACTGCTTTTGGAGTTTCTATTTTAAGGGTTTAATGTATAAGTGAAAGTGCTTCAAAATGTAGAAAGAGCTGTAGAAATACTGATAAAGAAGGTTGAAACTTGTGAATAAAAGTACATTCTTTGTGTTAGCTTCTCAGTGGTTTGACAGGGAACTTCTGCTATAGGGAGTCACAATTTATTTCACTATAAAGATTAAAGCCTGCTTTCATTCACTCAGTTAATAGACCTAACCTATTGTGCTTGAGATTCACTGAGAAAATACATGGGCCTCTTAATGTTTCACCATCAAAATGGGCAAACTATTGCTGTGAAAGATTGTTTCTTTTGTGGATAAAATTGATTGTAGATCCTCAAACGGGCTCAATTTAGATGGCACTTTAAGCTAGAGATACTAAGTCAATAGGTATTTCAGTGCACTATCGTCATCTGTTTCATTATATTTTTCTCTAATTCATGTTAGAATTTATTTTGTTTCCTTTTAGGGAATGACCTTTACAGTTTTTATACCACTCAGTTTAGTTATTTTTCAGAAGGACAGGGGATTTGCAGATGTGATAAGATTCACTTCTTTTTTGATTATATGAGAATATTGGGCCATCCCAATGTTGGGCTACTTTGGGATGGAAGGGAGAGTTTAGTTTCTTGGGTGGGGTTGTGTGTGGAGTAGGAACGAATCCTTGGAACCAGAGGGTTTAATAGTTCAAGGACGTAGGATCAGGAACATGGAAACTGCATGGTCCGATGATGAGGCAGCTCCTTAGCAACTCCAAGAGCCTGCTGGGGCAGTCTTGGCCGCCACATGGGCAGTCAAATGGGGGTGAGAAATGAGGCTTGTTTGCTTCATGTCTGAGAGACTGATCCATTAGGTTTCTTTTTCACCTGTTCCAAACTAATATCTTGGTTTCCAGCATATACTATAGCAGGGTTTGAATAACCACCACAGCTGCAAGACAGGTGAAGGTCACCCTTCTCAGCAAAAATTAGGGTAGATCAGTCACTGTGAGCATCCAGGGCACTGGGGACTTCATGTATTTTCTCAGAGGGTGAGAGATGGTAGGCAGCCCAAGCGCAGCTAAAGATTTTCATGAGAGGGCAGTGGTTACCCCAGGCCTCAGCCCACGTTGATGGCTATCCAAGAGGGACAGTCTTATCTAATTCCACTGTGCATTACACCTTGGGTTCAGTGGCCCCACTTCATTATAAATAGACGAGTCAGAGGGATCGCCCCTTTTCGCCTCCGTATTATTTTCTCTTCTGTCTCCTACCATCAGGACTAATGTGGGTTCTCTCAGTTCTGGTCCATGGGAGCTTGGGCTCTCTTTCTTCACCACAACATTCCAGGTGGTGGATATGAGAAATAAACAGCCCAACTTCACATAGCCTGACTCAGGAGTTGGGGTGAGGTCAAGGGTTCTCTCTTTTGATGGAGGGGGCCATTTAACTGGTTAAGAGGATGAAGACAGCTTTTTAAACTCTGGCCACTCCCCTTGAAAGGGAGGGATTGATAAAACTGCAAATGGTTAAGAAGATGCAAAATGGAGACATGTCCTTTGAAACAGACAGTGATGGTAAATATAGACCTTGAAGTAGAAAGACAGGATGCTAGGCTGGTGTGATGAGGAGAGAGATGGCTGCCTGAGAGAAGGAAATCATGACCTCCATGGCCAGAGAGCACTAACACTTTCTCTACTTTTTTTTTTTTGGAACATTGATATAGCTGTTTGATATGGTTTGGCTCTGTGTCCCCACCCAAATCTCGTGTTGAATTGTAATCCTCAATGTTGGGGGAGGGACCTGGTAGGAGGTGATTGGATCATGGGGGCGGACTTCCCCCCTTGCTGTTCTCATGATAGTGAGTTCTCATGAGATCTGGTTGTTTGAAAAGTGTGTAGCACTTTCTTCTTCTCTCTCTCGCTCGCTGCCGTGTGAAGATGTGCTTGCTTCCCCTTCACCCTTCTGCCATGATTGAAATTTCCTGAGGCCTCCCCAGCCATGCCTCCTGTGCAATGTGTGCAACTGTGAGTCAATTAAACCTCTTTTCTTTATAAATTACCAATCTCAAGTAGTTCTTTTTAGCAGTGTGAGAATGGACTAATACACTGTTTTTAATGGAAAAAGCAATACACACACATGGTTATAAAAAAGTTCAAGCAGAATAAGATAGTGCACTGTAACTTTTAAGTCCTGGTGATAGGCAGTTTTATGTATCAATTGGCTAAGCTATGGTACCCAGTTATTCATCAAACACTGATCTAGGTGTTGCTGTGAAGGTAATTTGTAGTTGTGATTAATGTCTACTATCAGGTGATTTAAACTAAAGTGGGTTACCCTAGATAATCTGGGTAGGCTTGATCTAATTGGTTGAAATGCCTTAAAAACAAAGCTGAGAAAAAAGAAATTCGGCCTGTGGACTGCAGCATCAGCTCCTGTCTGAGAGTTTTCAGCCTACCCCTCCTGATCACCCTCCCCATGGATTTCAGACTTGCCTAGTGAGTGCCCCTTGAATCATGTAAGCCAATTTCTTGTAACAAATCTCTCTCTCTCCTACTGGCTCTGTTTCTCTGGTGGAACCCTGAATGATAAAGGATCCCTTCTACTCCAGTCTTCCTGTCACCACAGAGGCAACCACTCTTTTTTTTTTTTTTTTTTTTTTTTTTTTGAGACAGAGTCTTGCTCTGTAGCCCAGGCTGGAGCACATTGGTATGATCTCTGCTGACTGCAACCTCCGCCTCCTGGGTTCAAGCGATTCTCCTGTCTCAGTCCCCCAAGCAGCTGGGATTACAAGTGCACACCACCACGCCTGGCTAATTTTTGTATTTTTAGTAGAGACAGAGTTTCGCCATGTTGGCCAGGCTGGTCTTGAACTCCTGACCTCAGGTGATCCACCCGCCTCGGCCTCCCAAAGTGCTGGGGTTACAGGCATGAACCGCTGCACCCAGCCAGTGGCAACCACATTTAAAAACTTATCACTTAAGAAATAGTCTATGCCAATACAAATGAATATATGTTTATGTACCTCATTACTTTTACTCAAATGGCACACTGAATACACACTGTTCTTCACCTTGCATTTTCACCTAATAATATATCTTCTTTTTTATGACTTTTTATTTTGCAATAATTTCAAATTAGGAAAAAAAGTGCAAAAATATTAGAGTGCCTATATACCCTTTACCCAGCTTTCCTTAATATTCACTTATCTAACTATGATATAATTATTGTAATCAAGAAATTAACATTGGTGCAATATTACTAACTAAACAGACCTTATAAGATCATTCTTACAGATCTGCCTGTAAATCTACCAAATCTTTTATGTACCTATCTGAATATACCAATATTTCATATTGCTAAAATTGAAAATGCTAAATCAAAGGGTAGATGCATTGTAAATATTGGTAGAAGCTGTACAATTACTCCTGAAAGAAGCTGTACCAATTTGTACTACCACCCTCAGCATACATAGTACCTACTTAACCATACCCTCATCAGTACTATGTATTGTCATAATTTTAGGACTGGTCCATCTGATAGGTGAAAGATGCTACAACATTTCAATAACGGCTTTATTGAGAAAGAATTGACACCATAAAATTCACCCTTTTAAACTGCACAATTCAGTAACTGTTAGTATGTTCAATGGAGTTTTGCAACTATCACCACTGTCTAATTTTAGAACATTTTCATCACACCAAGAAGAGAGCCCACCCCCATTAGCAGTCCCTCCACATCCCCGCCCTGCCACTGCCCTACCATTCAGTCATTTGCAACCTCTAGTCTACTTTGTGTTTCTGTGGCTACACCTATTCTGGGCATTTTATAAAAATGGGATCATACATATAAACGAGACTATACAATCTGTGGCCTCTTGAGTCTAGCTGCTTTGCTTAGCATAAGGTTTTCAAGGTTCCATGTTGTAGCATGTATCAGTGCCTCATTTTTTTAGTGTGTGTGTGCCCAAATAATGGTTCTTTGTATGGACTTTGTTTATCCATTCTTGGGTTATTTCTACTTTTTGGCTATTATAAATAATGTTTCTACAATTATTCATGTGCGTATTTTTGTGAGAACGTGTTTTCAATTTTCTTGGTTATATACATATAAATGGAATTGCTAGGTCACTTTGAAACTTCATGTTTAATTGTTTAAGGAACCACCAAACTGTTTGCCAAAGCAGCTGATCATTTCACCTTCCTACCAGCAATGTACAAGTGTTCCAATGTCTCCATATTAATGCTGACACTTGTTACTGTCCTTTTTATTATAACCATTGTAGTATGTTTAAAGTGGTATCTCATTGTGGTTTTGATTTGCATTTGTCTAGTGATGAATGATGTTGAGCACCTTTTCATGTGCATGTTGGCCATTTGTACCTTCCTTGGAGAAATATTTATTTAAATCCTGTGTTCATTTTTAAATTGGTTTGTCATTGAAAATCAATAAAATTGTTGTGTTAAGAGTTCTTTATATATTCTGAATACAAGTCACTTATTAGATGTAAAATCTGCAAATATTTTCTTCCATTCTGTGGGTTGTTTTTTCACTTTATTGATGGTGCCCTTTGAGGCACAAAAATTTTTAATTTTGATGAAGTCCAATTTATCTATTTTTTTCTTATGTTGTTCATGCTTTGATTTACTTCTGTATTTTTTGTTGAAGAGTTTAATAATTTTAGCTCTTATATTTATTTCTACAGTCTATTTTGAGTTAATTTTTGTATATGGTGTGAGCTAGGGTCCAACTTTATTCTTTTGCATGTGGATATCCAGTTGTTCCAGTGCTCCAGTGTTCCAATGGAGAAGAGACAATTCTTTCTCCATTAAATGGTCTTGGCACCTGTGTCTGAAATCGACTGGTCATAGATTAATAGGTTTATTTCTGAATCCTCAATTCAATTTCATAGTCCTGTGCATCTATCTACAATGTTTGTACCACAGTGTCTTGATTACTGTAGCTTTGTAGTAAATTTTGATATTGGCATGTGTAAGTCCTGCAACTTTGTTCTTTTTCAGGATTATTTTGGCATTTGGAGCCCCCACAATCACACATGAATTTGAGGACTGGGTTCTTCATTACTGAAGAAGGCATTGGAAATTGTTAGGGATTGTCTTGAATCTTTTGGCCAATTTGTACAGTGTTGCCATCTTAACAACAGGAAGTCTCCTGGTCTATGAACCTGGGCTATTCTATTTATTTAGGCCTTGTTTAATTTATTTCAGCAATGTTGCATAGTTTTCAGTGTACGTATCATTATCTTGGTTAAATTCATTCCTGGGTATTTTATTCTTTTAAATACTATTGTAAATGGAGTTCTTTTTCATGTTGTTTATTGCTGGTATATAGAAACACAACTGATGTTTGCATGTTGATCTTACACTTTGCAACTCTACTGAATTCATTATTAACTCTAGTAGTTTATTTTGTGGATTCTTTCATATTTTCTATATATAGGATCATGTCATCTGTGAATAGAAATAATTTTACTTCTTTCTTTCCAATTTGGATGCTTCATTTCTTTTTCTTGCCTAATTGCTCCAGCTAGAACTTACAGCACAATGTTCAATAACAGCCATAAAATTAGGCATTCTTGTTTTGTTCCTGATCTTAAGAAGAAAGCTTTCAGTCTTTAATTATTGAATATGTTAACTGTGGGTTTTCCACAGGGGTTCTTTATTATGTAGAAGGTATTCCTTTTATTCCTAGTTTTTTTTAGTGTTTTTATCATGAGAGTGTGTTGGATTTTGTCAAAATTTTCTTCTGCCCTAACTGAGAATTTTTTTCATAAATTGAAGATTTTTTTGGTTCTGTTAATATGGTGTCTTACATTGATTGATTTTCTTATGTTGAACCACTCTTGCATTCCTGGGATAAATCCCAATTGGTCATAGTGTATAACCCTTATAATATGCTGTTGGATTCAATTTGATAATACTTTGTTGAGGATTTTTGCATTCTATGTTCATCATGGGATTTTGATCTATAGTTTTCTCTTTTTGTGTTTTCTTTGTCTGGATTTTGTATCAGGCTAATTCTGGCCTCATAGAATTAGCTAGAAAGCTGTAGCTCTTCCATTTTGTGGAAGAGTTTGAGAAGGATTGGTTTTAATTCTTTTTTAAATATTTAGTAGAATTCATTAGTGAAGCCATCTGGTCCTGGCTTTGGTTGCTGATTCAATCTCTTTACTTTTTACAGGTCTATTTAGAGTTTTTATTTCTTCTTCAATCACTTTTGGTAATTTGTGTTTTTAGGAATTTATTCATATCATTGTGGTTATCTAATTTGTCAGTGTACAATTGTTTATAGTATCTCTTATAATCCTTTTTCTATAGGGTTAGTAGAAATGCCCCCACTTTCTAATTTTAGTCATTTACCTCTCTCCATTTTATAATCAGTCTAGCTAAAGATTTGTCAATTTTGTTGATCTTTTCAAAAAAACCGTCTTTTGGTTTCATTGGTTTTCTCTATTGTTTTTCTGTTCTCTATTTCATTTATCTCTGTTCTAATCTTTATTATTTCCTTCCTTCTTCTAGTTTTGGGTTTAGTTTGCTCTTGCTTTTCTAGTTCCTTAAAGTGTGAAGTTAGGTTGCTAATTTTAGATCTTTCTTCTTTCTCAGTATAGTTATTTATAGCTATAAATTTTCCTCTGTGCATTGCTTTCTCTGTATCCCATAACTTTTGGTATGTTGTATTTTTATTTGCATTCATCTGAAAGTTTTTTTCTAAGTTTGCTTGTAATTTTCTTTTTGACTTATTGGTTGTTTATCAATGTTTTGTTTAATTTCCACATATTTTGTGAATTTACCAATTTTCCTTCTGTTACTGATTTCTAGCTTTATTCCTCTGTGGTTAGAGAAGAAATACTTTGTATGATTTTGGTTCTGTTAAAATTTATTGGAACTTGTTTTGTGGCCTAATACATGATCTATCCTGGTGAATGTGCCGTCTGCACTTGGGAATAATGTATATTCTGCTGCCATTGGGTAGAGTGTTGTACAGAAATACGTTAAGCCTAGTTGATTTATAATGTTCTGCTCCTCAGTTTTCTATGTTTATCTTTTGCCTCTTTGTTCTGTCTATTGTTAAATTATACAATTCTTGAATTGCCAATTTCTCCATTCTATTTGGTCAGTTTTTGCCCGATATATTTTTGATGCATGTATGCTTATAATTGTTATATCTTCCTTATGAGTTGACCCTTTTATCATGATAAAATGTCCTTTTTTTTTTCTCTAATAACAATTTTTGTTTGTTTGTGTGTGTGTGTGTGCGTGTGTGTTGTTAGTATAGCCACTACACCTCTACTTTGGTTAATGTTTGTATGGTATATTTCTCCACACTCTTTTATCTTCAACTCCTTTATGTCTGAATGTAAAACATGTCTCTTGTAGACAGCATATAGTTGGATCAGGTTTTTTAAAGTTATTCATTTTACTGATCTTTGCCTTTATATTGGAATACTGAGTTTATTTCCATTTAACACTATTACTGAGAAGGTATGATTTACATGTATGATTTGAGTATCTGGTTTATGTTTGTCTTATGTCTTTTTTGTTTCTTTATATCTCCATTACTGCTTTCTTGTGTGTTAAATATACATTTTGTATTATACCATTATAACTCCTTTGTTTCCTTTATCAAATATTTTAAAATTATTGTTATTATTATTTTTGAGACAGAGTCTTGCTCTCTCACCCAGGCTGGAGTACAGTGGCGTGATCTTGGCTCACTGCAAGCTCCACCTCCCAGGTTCATGCCATTCTCCTGCCTCAGCCTCCCAAGTAGCTGGGACTACAGGTGACTGCCACCACTCCAGGCTAATTTTTTTGTTTTTTTTTTAGTGGAGACGGGGTTTCACTGTGTTAGCCAGGATGGTCTCGATCTCCTGACCTCGTGATCTGCCCGCCTCAGCCTCCCAAAGTGCTGGGATTACAGGTGTGAGCCACCGCGCCTGGCCTAAAATTATTTTTAACTTGTTTTCCTGGGGATTACAATTAACATCTTAACTTAAAACACTCTACTTTGCAATAATATTAACTTAGTTTAAATAGTATGCAAAAACTTTGTTCCAATATAGGTCTGTTCTTTCCCACCTCTTTTTGCTACTAGTGTCATAAAAATTACATATTTATACATTATGAGCCCATTACATATGTCTATAATTATTGGTTTATGCAATAAGCTGATTTCAATATGAAGAAAAGAGTTACAAACCACATTTTTACTGTCTTTTGTATTTACCTATGTAATTACCTTTACTAGCGCTTATTTCTTTGTGTGAATTCAAATGATTGTCTAGTGCCCTTTCTTTTCAGTTTAAAGGAATCTCTTTGGTATTTCCTATAGGGCAGGTCTGCCAGCAACAAATCCTCTCAATTTTTGTTTAGATGGAAGTATCTTTTTCCTTTATCTTGGAAGTATAGTTTTGCCGGATATAGAATCGTTAGTTCACAGCCTTTACGTTTCAGTCCTTTGACTATGTCATCTCACTGCCTTCTAAACTCCATTATTTCTGCTGATAAGTTCATTGTTAATCTTACTGAGGCTCCGTTCTATATGATAAGTTCTTTTCTCTTGCTGCTTTTAAGATTTTCACTTCATCTTTGGCTTTCAACATTTAATTATGCTGTTTTTAGGTCTAGATCTTTTTGAGTTAATCTATTTGGAGTTTGTTGAATTCTTTTGTGTTCAGACTAATGTTTTTCATCAAATTTGAGAAGTTTATGGCCATTATTTCTTCATATATACTTCCTGTTGCATTCTTTCCTTTGTTTTGGAAAAGAGTTTGGCTGGATGTAGAATTCTTAGTTGATAGCCTTTAACTTTCCTTTTGGTATTACCATTATGCACATGTTGCTATGCTTGGTGATGTCTCACAAGTCTCTGAGGCTCTATACCCTCTTTTTAATTATTTTGTCTTTATTTCCTTCAAACTGCATATTCTTAGTTGACGTATCTTCAAGTTCACTGACTCTTTCTCCTGCCAGTTCTAATCTGCTGTTTCATCTCTCTGATGAAATGTTTCACTTCAGTTATTGTATTTTTCAACTACAGATTTCCCATTTGATTTTTTTAAAAAAGAATATTTCTATCTCTTTGTTGATATTCTCTATTTGATAAGCCATTGTTATTGTACTTTCTTTTAATTCTTTAGATATGCTTCCTTTAGTCCTTTGAACATAATAGCTAATTTAAAGTCCTTGTGTGTTAAGCCCAACACCTGTGCTTCTTCAAACACTGTTTCTATGGACAGTTTGTTTTCCTGCATACAGACCATATTTCCCTTCTCTTTGTGATAATTTTTTTGTTGTTAAAAATGGATTTGTTTTTTGAGATAGAGTCTCGCTTCGTCACCCAGGCTGGAGCGCAATGGTGCAATCTCAGCTCACTGCAACCTCCACCTCATGGGTTCAAGTGATTCTCCTGCCTCAGCCATCCCAGTAGCTGAGATTACAGGCATATGCCACCACACCCAGCTAATTTTTGTATTTTCCTAGAGACAGGGTTTCACCATGTTGGCCAGGCTGGTCTCAAACTCCTGACTCCAAATGATCCACCCGCCTCGGCCTCCCAAAGCACTGGGATTACAGGCATGAGCCACTGCACCTGGCCAAGAATGGATATTTTATATAATATAATGTGATACCTCTGAAAATCAGATTCTGCCCCTCCTTGGGGTTTATTGTTGCTTTTTGTTTGCTTACTGATATGGTTTGGCTGGGACCCCACCCAAATGTCATCTTTAATTGTAGCTCCAATAATTCCCATGTGTCATGGGAGGGACCTTGTGGGAGGTAATTGAATCATGGGGTCGGGTCTTTCCCATGCTGTTATTGTGATAATGAATAAGTCTCATGAGATCTGATGGTTTTATAAAGGGGAGTTACCCTTCACAACTCTCTTGTCTGCTGCTATGTAAGATGTGACTTTGCTCCTCATTTGCCTTCAGCCATGATTGTGAGGCCTCTCCAGCCATGTGGAACTGTGAGTCAATTAAACTTCTTTCCTTTATTAATTACCCAGTCTCTGTTATGTCTTTATTAGCAGCGTGAGAACAGACTAATACACTTACTGTTATTCCAGTGACTTCCCTGGACTAACTTTGTAAAATCTTTAGTCTTTGTCATATGTAGCCACAGACACCTAAGCTTGGTTAACTCAGTGGTCATCTAGTGATTGGACAGAGATGTCCCTAAATACGTTGAACCAATAAGCCTCCCAGCCTTTGCCAAGGCAACCACTTGTGTAGGGCATGACTTCAACACTCTTTCACTTTATAATTCTGCCTCAGTCTTCACTTGCCACTTGCACAGAGGGTTAAAGTCAGCCACAGGTAGGAGAAAAGGGCCTTCTTAGTTCTTTTCTGGGCATGCACACATGTATGAAGCACAGGTATTGCAGAAGGCAGAAATGGTTTTGGATTTTAGGAATATGTTGGAGATTTATGAATGTCCAGATGTCCCCTGTGGAGATCTAATTTCACTTTTTTTTTTCTGGTTAAGTTTTTTTAGCCAGTCTCTTGTAAACCTCAACTGATAGCACTGCCTCAGGCAGCTGTGATGTTAAACAATTGCTAATGATTATCTCTGACAAATTCCCTAGCCATAGGCTGTTCTATACAGGCCAACCTTAGGCCAAATAAAGATGAGCCCTGAGAATGGAGCTTTTAAAGGAGCTGCCACAAAGATCAAATAGTGATAATTCTCTGGAGATGAGGCTTTTGGGAATTCCAATCCCATTTTATTTCCTTCTGGGAATTCTTGGATGCTGTTTTTCATAGCTACTGTTACTGTCAGGTTCTTGGTTTTCAAGGCTATTGCAGAGCTACAGAGAGGGAGATGGGAATAGGGTACATTAAAATGACAAAAATATGCCATTCTTACCAAGATGCAGCTGTTTTCTTGAATAAATAGTCCTCAGATTGTTGCATGCCTTTGATTAATTTTGGGAGTTTTGCAGAAGTTGATTTTGAGCATTTTTGACAGTGTTCTTATCATTTTAATGGAGGTCTTTGCTATGCTAGAAGTGCTTTCCCGTCCTCATTTGTTGCTTTAATTTTGAATTTAAAGTATTATTGGAAGGAGAGATATTGACTCAGATATTTCCTCAAACAAAAACAAAACAACAGAAGGCCAGGCAAGTGGTCCAAGATGATGAATTGAGAAGGTTTGGACTGTTAATCCTGGCTGTACCTTTGAACTACTTGGGGAGCTTTTAAAAAATACCCACCCTGGGAGATTCTGATTTAATTGATTCAGAGTATGGCCTCTATAACTGTATTTTAAAAGCTCCCTTCGCCAGGCGCCATGGCACATGCCTGCAATCCCAGCACTTTGGGAGGCGAGGTGGAAGGATTGATTGAGCCCAGGAGTTCAAGACCAGCATGGGCAGCATGGTGAGACCCTGTCTCCACAAAAAATAAAAAAATAGCTGGGCTTAGTGGCACGCACTTGTGGTCTCAGCTACTTGGGAGACTGAGACTGTGGGTCGCTTGAGCCAGGAGGTTAAGGCTGCAGTGGGCTGTGTTTGTACCACTGCACTCTAGCCTTGGCAAAGAGAGACCCTGTTTAAAAAAACCCAGCAACCATAAAAACAAAATAAGAAAAGACAAAATAAAAGCTTTCTAGTGATTTTCATGTGCTGCCAGAGGGAAAGCCAATGGTCTAGAGTGGGTTTCAAGACAGAGGTTGACTTTTTGAGCCAGGGATGCGGTATGATGATATGACCCTGGACAGTAATGTTTGTCAAAGTGTGTGCTGTAGGTTAATTCCCTCCAAGTCTCCCAGACCGGCAATTCCCAAATTTTTGTGTTGAAGGACCAAGTTTTCAAAAATTCTTTTTTATTTCTAATATGTATTGACTGAAACTTTCATAAAATGCAACAAAAATGAATTACCAGAAAAACAGAGTAAAAAGTGATGCACAAAATATGTCCAAATATTTTATTATTATATCCAACAGACATATGGTGTAAAATAGATACAAAAATGTCTGCGTAAGCTCAGTGGACCTTGGTGTGGACTGGCAACTAAGTATGTGAACCAGTACAGAGACCAGGTAAACTTGACTTTGGGTTCTTTGTTGAAGAGGCCCATCTTAGGGAAGCATTTCTGCTGTACTGGCAAAGCCAGCCAAAGGAAGGGACCCACAGATAAGGCTCAAAAGGGAGCCCTTCTTTACCCTGTTGGGCTAGCAAAAAGGCAACTGTTGATGTGTGTGTCTCGCAAGCACACATCAATCTGGGGTGGATACTGGGAATTTTGAGGATGGACAGCTAGCTTATATGCCATCTGCACAGGAAAGTGGAATCCACCAGATGTGGTCATTGACTCAGATCCTGATACAAGGAGACATAGAAGGTTTCCCTAAGAGAAGTGCTGGGTGACCCCTCACAGACAGTAGAAAGTGATATGAAGAGAAGCCCTGAGGAGGACGACAATGATGTGTCGGAAGAGGGAGAATTCATACCAGCATGCACCATGACAGAGAAGCACAGGTATTGCAGAAGCAGAAATGGTTTTGGATTTTAGGAAATGTGGCAACAGAGTTGGAATTCTCCCACGCTGTGCTCCAGTTGATGTTTGTGAAGGCCATGTTACTTATTAACCTAGGAGACTTGCATCATTCCAGCAGTGAAAGTGAATGATTTTATAGGCCCATAAATCTGCAAATTCCTACCACTGACCATCTAGCAGTATTATGAGTGGTTTGATACCCTGAGCTAATGGGGACTTTGCTGAGGTGGAAGGTGGTGGGGTAGGCAAGTGGCAGGTTCTCACAATAATTTGAGCTGCTTCTCAAGGAGATATGATCATAGTCTGAGACCTGAGAGAAAGTGGTTCATTTTCTCTCTTTAGAATTCATTATCTCTAAGTAGACAGACCAAAGTTCCCAGAAGGTTCTTGGTAGTAGCATGACGCCCAGGACTATAAGGGTGAAAGAAGCTCAGGGTCCTTCTGGCCCAAAGTCTTTAAATTGCACATGATTGCTGGGAGCCAGAGAAATGACATGGTTTGGCAATCAGAGTTCAGCTGTGAGGTCCTATATTTGGTTCCAAAAATTTAATTGTAGAAGTACAGGATTGGAAATTCTTAGTTTTGCAGCAATTTATGCCGAAAAGTTTTGGGGGTACTAGCTGATAAAAAGCTTTGTATGAGTTATCACGAAGATATGGTTGTTATTACAAATGATCGTGCTGTGATTAAAGATTACATTCATTATATTTATAAATTATAAAATGAATATATGTTCATGGTAAGGAATTTAAAAAATATTAAAAAGCCTAAACTCAGAAATCACTTATAAAATCCAACACCTCTACTACCTAGAGCTAATAATTGTTAAGATTTTTTGTGTGTACATATGATCAAGAATATGCAAAGCAATGGTATTGCACCTACAGTTTTGTATCAACTTTTAAAAATTAAACTTATTATTCTGATATAACTATAGATTAATTAACTATAGATTAATAAGCAGTTATAAGAAATAATATAGAGAAAGAAAGGATTTTGAACGTTCACAATATGAAGAAATGATAAATGTTTGAGGTGATGGATATGCTAATTACTCTGATTTGATGATTACACATTGTATATGTGTATTGAAATATCACTCTGGGCCAGGCACGGTGGCTCATGCCTGTAATCCCAGCACTTTGGGAGGCTGAGGTGGGTGGATCTCTTGAGGCCAGGAGTTGGAGACCAGCCTGGCCAACATGGTGAAACCCTGTCTCTACTAAAAATACAAAAATTAGCTGGGCGTGGTGGCTCATGCCTGTAATCCCAGCTACTCGGGAGGCTGAGGCAGAAGAATCACTTGAACCCGGGAGGCAGAGGTTGCAATGAGCCAAGATTGCACCATTGCACTTCAGTCTGGGAAACAGAGTGAGACTGTTTCCCAGTCTCAAACAAAAAAAAAAAAAAAAAAAAAAAAAAAAGAAAAGTCTGTCTCAAAAAGAAAAAGTCTGTCTCTCAAAAAAAAAGTCTGTCTCAAAAAAAGTCTGTCTCAAAAAAAAGAAAAAAGAAAAGAAATATCACTCTGTATCCCATAAATATGTACAATTATTACATGCCAACTAAAAATAAAAGGAAAAAAAGAAAGAAATAATTCAGAGAGATCCCGTTGTACCCTTTATTCAGTTTTCTCCAATAGTAACATCTTGTACAATATCATAACCAGGATACTGACATTTACTGATCTTATTCAAAATTCCCTATTTTACTTGTACGTGTGTGTGTATTTACTTCTATACAATTTATCATGTTAGGCTTGTGCGTCTATAACCACAGTCAAGATGCAGAACAATTCCATTGCCACAAGGATCCTTTGTGTTGCCCTTTTAAAAATCACAACCCTTCCTTCCTCACCCTCCTCCCACGTGCCCATCCGTCTTCATGGCCTTCACTAATCTGTTTTCCATGTCTACATTTTGGCTTTTCAAAAATGTTCTATACATGGAATCATGCTGTTGAAGGACATCTGGGTTGTTTCCAGTTTTGGCTATTATGAATAAAGCTTTGTGTACAGGTTTTTATGTAAAAATCTATGTTTTCCTTTCTCTGGGACAAATACCTGAGTGTCATTACTGGGTTGTATGGTATTTGCATGCTTAATCTTGTAAGAAACTGCCAAATTGGTTTCTAGAGTGTGAATCATAATTTTAAACACATTGTATTATAACTATTTCTCCAAATAATTAAATTATCTTAAAAAACAAAAACTTTGACAATTGCATAATATTACATGGGATAGAGGTAGCATGATGTATAAGATTTCCTCTAATGTTGAACATTTGGTTGTTTGAGATTTCTTTCTCCTTGTAGAAATCAGTAATAAGACTCCTGCATGTGGAACTGGTGTGTACAGACCCGCTGGAACTGGTTCCTGTAGTCCCCAGGAGTGACTAAGTTCTGAAAGGCTGATTTGTGCTAACCTCATTGCACAGGGGCCTGAAGAATATATCACGATGTCACTTTGTAAATCTGAATGAGACATATAACTGTCACACAGGGACTATTCGTGGTAACACTGGCATAAATGATATCCTTTCCACCTATGTTGGAAGACTATTGTAATCAAAAACTGCCTTTTAGTTTACCAGGAGGAAGACACTGGAATGCTATGTTTCCATGTAGTCAAATGCTGAGGACACAAATGGTCTTTTTGTGAGCTTTGTACCAGGAAAAGCGGAGTGGGATGCCTATCGGGGCCCAATTTTGGGATGGTCTAGTGCCACCTTCTCATTTTGGGGATGGCCTTGCCATAGGTCAGAACATAGGACAAGTGCCGGCTGTGTTGCAAATGAGCATGGGCCCTGCCCATGGCACTCTCTGGTTTCTGGGTGCCTGTGTTTAAAACCTCTTCCGACTGACATAATATTTATTTTGGAAGTGAATGTCCTCAACCAAGGCCAGTGAGCCTAATATCTTTTCTCTCTCTTTCCACTGATTTTGCATCCTTGGACTCTAAACCATCTTAGGTTGATTTTGCCGTTTAACTCTCAGTGGGAAGTACAATTTCTTCATTCCCAAGATCTTGGAGGGTAACTCACTGTAGCCTCTAAATACTTATACCTTTCACTATTGTAAATAACTTCCATTATTAAAGATAAGTTGCACTTTTATTAAAAAAAACCCCATTCTGCATAAATCTTATTTTTAATGTTTAAATTAATTTACTTTCTTTTTTAAAAAAATAGAGACGGGGTCTCCCTATGTTGCTCAGGCTGGTCATAACTTCTGGCCTCAATCGATTCTGCCACTTGGGCCTCCCAAAGTGCTAGGATTACAGGTGTGAGTCACTGTGCCCAGCCTTTTTTTTTTTCTTTCAGCTTATTTTTAAAATTATTTTTTTAAGGGAAATTAAAGAAATTAAGTGGGATCACTGGGCTAAAGAGTAGAAACATTTTGGAAGCTTTGATAATCTATAAATTGACTCCTAGAAAAGTAGCTCCTTCTGAAGCTTAATGACAATGCCCCTTTCATTTTATGTTCACCAACAGTGGGCAATACATTTTAAAAATTACTAATTTGAGAAGTGAAAAAGGGTATCTATTGTGTGTCACTGATTTTCAGTGAACGAAAGATTAACATATACATAGGCTGCCTCCTACAACAAGCATGAGGGCTACCAATAGGAAACCTGTGAATTACTGGATGGATCATTGTGGGCCATTTCCAGTTTTCAGAGGTGCTCATGACTTTTTAAGGAACTGACTACAGTAAGAAAAGATTTATCTACCAAAGGCTATGGCGATGGATGCTCTCTACTGAGCATGTAACTTGGCACTATCTATGAACCAGACAGTGGGCATCCAGCAGACAATGAATCTGCTAGTGTCTTGATTTTGGACTTTCCACCCTCCAGAACTATGAGAAATAAGTTTCTGTTGCTTATAAGCCACCCAGTTTATGGCATTTCTAAAAAAAAAAAAAATTGCAGCCCCAAAGGACTAAGACAGTGACATTTGAGCAAATGCGTGAAGGAGGAAAGGCAGCTATCCCTGTGGGTATCTTGGAGAAGACATTCCTGTAGAACAAACGGCTTGTACTTAAGCTCTGAGGAGCTGCCTTTCATTGATCAGAAAACTAATCTTAGCTGGTTTTACAGGCTCTGGTCTGGGAAGTGTCAGGGCAGATGGAGGTGGGGGAGGTGAGAACTATGGTTGCAGACTTCAGGTGCCCTTAGGGAAATCTACTTCACAACTTTCCTGTAGGTGGAAGCTTTGGTGGTTGCAACTTGTCCAAATTTTCCAAGTTCACTTTGATGATCTGAGATCTCAAAGTAGGAGTTGGTCTCCCAGTAGTCACAGTGGTGACTCTCCTTTCCTGCCCTTGAGGCAAGTTTAGCTGCCTGGAGGGTACACTTGTGGAGACAGGTAGGGCAAACAAAGAGGGCAGAACAAGGTCTGTCTCGTCCTGCTGTGGCTTGCCCTGTGCTATCTTTTTGGCTTTCTCTAGTGTAGATCAGAGCCCTTTTGGAGCTGAATTTCCATAGAGTAGGAGTGGAGGGTCTGAGCAGAGGGGCAGCAATGATTCTGAGTTGTATTTTGACAAACACGAAAAGTCATACCATTCGAGGGAAGGAGAAGGGAACACTCCATGCATTTTACCAATAGGCCATTCACTGTGCTAAGCGTTTTACATACACTGTCTTATTAAATCTTCATTACTACTGTGCAAGGTGGGTGTTATTGTCACCATTTTTTTTTTTTTGAGACGGAGTCTCGCTCTGTCGACCAGGCTGGAGTGAAGTGGCGCGATCTCGGCTCACTGCAAGCTCCGCCTCCCGGGCTTACGCCATTCTCCTGCCTCAGCCCCCCCGAGTAGCTGGGACTACAGGCGCCCGCCACCACGCCCGGCTAATTTTTTGTATTTTTAGTAGAGACGGGATTTCACCGTGTTAGCCAGGATGGTCTCGATCTCCTGACCTTGTGATCCGCCTGCCTCCGCCTCCCAAAGTGCTGGGATTACAGGCGTGAGCCACCGCGCCCGGCCTATTGTCACCATTCTGCAGAAGCAAGTCTCAAAGATATTGGCTATTTTCCTACTTACAAAAATACGTGCACCTTGTAAAAACTTCAACAATAAAAAGAAAGTAAAAAACAAGAAGTCCTTCATAGTCTCACCTCTCAGATAAAACCACTCCAATTGTCACTTGGTATCTGCAGGGGGTTGGTTTTAGGACCCTCCCTAGAAGACCAAAATCCATGGATGCCCTGATGTAAAAAGGCCTAGTATTTGCATCTAACCTATACACTTCCTCCTGTATACTTTAAATAATCTCTACATTGCTTATAATACTGAATACATTGTACATGTTATGTAAATTGTTGTTATGCTATATTTAATTTGTGTTTTTAAAAATTGTATTCTTTTTTAAACTGAGACGGTGTCCTGCTCTGTCACCCAGGCTGGAGTGCAGTGGTACAATCACAGCTCACTGCAGCCTCGACCTCCTGGGCTCAAGTGATCCTCCTGCCTCAGCCTCCCAAGTAGCTGGGACCACAGGCAGCACCACCACGCCCGGCTAATTTTTTTTTTTTTTTTTTTTTGAGACAGAGTTTCGCTCTTGTTGCCCAGGCTGGTATGCAATGGCGCGATTTCGGCTCACTGCAACCTCCACCTTCTGGGTTCAAGCGATTCTCCTGCTTCAGCCTCCCGAGTAGCTGGGATTACAGGCATGCGCCACAACGCCCGGCTAATCTTGTATTTTTAGTAGAGACGGGGTTTCTCCATGTTGGTCAGGCTGGTCTCAAACTCCCGACCTCAGGTGATCCGCCCACCTCGGCCTCCCAAAGTGCTGGGATTGCAGGCGTGAGCCACTGCGCTCCGCATTTTTTTTTTTTTTTTTTTTTTGTGGAGATGTGGTTTCGTCATGTTGTCCAGGCTGGTCTCCAACTCCTGGGGCCAAGAGATCCGCCTACCCTGGCCTCCCAAAATGTTAGGATTACAAGTGTGAGCCACTGCGCCCGGCTATTTTTTATTTTTAAAACTTTGGAAAAAATATTTTCAATCCTCGTTGGTTGAATCCGTGAATGCGGAACCCGAGGATGCAGAGACCCGACTGCATAGGAACTTGGTGTATAATCTTCCTGAATTTAAAAAATGTACACACATACATACCTAATTTTTTTTTCACAAGAAACCAGGACTATAGCGTACATACACTGCTATGAAATTTGCCTATCCTAGCAGTGCATCTTGGTTATCTTGCTGTGTAGCCAATTCGTCTTACTAATGAAAGCAGAGATTTGGGGGAGTTAGCGCTCTCTGAGGACACGCGTGTTGTGGCTTCACGCAGGTCACTCTGCTCTTAGGGCTCCAGCTTCCTCCGTGTAGGAGGAGGGCAGGGGACCGGGAGCTCTGCGATGTAACGCCAACCAACAGGGCGCCGCACCCCCTGCCCGCCTCGGGACTACCTGGGATGTTCTTAAGATCCAGTCTTGTTTGACGTGGGTGGCAGCCGCCACTTTCAGTAATTCAGACAAAGCCGCCGCCGGCGCCGCCAGGACCTCCCCTCGCCACTCCTCGGGAGGGGTAAGGGTGACTCGAGCGGCCAGGCGGGCTGGGGCTGGCTCAGGGGCGGGGCCTCGGGCGGGGAGCCGGCCGAGGGGCGGGGCCTCAGGCTGGTCGCCCAGTGCGTGCGGGCTGGTAGGCCTGTCGCGGCGTGACGTGCTCGGCGCCCGCGTCCGGCCCCGCCCCATTTCTCCCAGGCCCCGCCCCTCCGTCCCTCACCGCACCACCCCTAAAGACGCTAGCGCTGCGATGGCGGAGGCCGTGGAGCGCACTGACGAGCTGGTCCGGGAGTACCTGCTCTTCCGCGGGTTCACGCACACACTGCGGCAGCTGGACGCCGAGATCAAGGCGGACAAGGAGAAGGGGTTCCGGGTGAGAGGCCGGCGGGAGCGGCGCGGGCAGAGGCGGCCCGAGGGAGCCGGGGAGCGGGCTTCCCCCCAGCACTGCCTCCGGGGCGAGAGCGGCGCTGTCACTCGCGCCGGGGCGCCGGAGACCTCAGCGCGTCCGACCCCAGCTTGACGGATGAGGAACTGAGACCCTCAGACGGACAGGACCTGCCTGAAGCCGCCCCCCGAGTCAGGAGCATCGCCGAGGCTGGAGCCCCGATGCCCCGGCTCCTGGTCTAGGGTTCTGTCTCCACTCCAGCCTCCTTGGCCAGGATGGCGATGAGGTTTTAGGAGCCGAGGTTAGGTAGATGGTTGCGTTTTGGCAACAGATATTCGTGTTGGCTTCCAGTGGCAGTGGAAGCAAAGAAGTCTGCAGTCCAAAACGTTAGCTGCGTTCAAGTATCTGCGGTGTTTGTTTAAAATGGCCTCGTCAGGGACTCATCGGCAATTTTGCTTCTGCAGTTGTGGAAGACCTCATGGCACATTAGAGAAACCCAAACTTCCCCTGCTCTAAAATGATTTTCCATTGCGAGGTTCTTGGAATGTATATGTGTGTGATTTGTATGTTTGTGTGTACTGACTTCAATGAGAGGCAGTGAGCTAACAGCAAGAGCACTGGAGGGGAGTTAGGAGATCTGGTTTCCTGCCTGGCCAAAGTTAGTGGCTACTTAGTGGCAAAAGCAAATCATTTCACCCCTCTGGGCTTCAGTGGCCTGATCTATAAACTAGGGGCATTGGATTGGTATTGATATCCAAACCCTTTTCCAGATTCTGTACTCTGCTGTAATTGCTCCTCACAAGAAGGTGACTTCCTTGGCTGACACTCTGAGCAGCTACCACGGCTTCGTGGAACTTTGATGACTTGAAGGAGTCAGTCCATGCACCTCCTCATGATCCTTGGGATCTGGGAATTGTGGAGATTGTCTCATAGCTCTTCTTCACCCCACCCCCTTTTTTAAAAATGTGAGGTAACTGAAACTACAGTTAAGCAACACTGCCATTTTTTTTTCTTTTTTGACAGAAAGTCTCACTCTGTCGCTTAGGCTGGAGTGCAGTGGCACGATCTCAGCTCACTGCAACCTCTGCCTTCTGGGTTCAAGCGATTCTCCTGCCTCAGCCTCCCGAGTAGCTGGGATTACAGGCGCGTGCCACCACGTCCAGCTAATTTTTGTATTTTTAGTAGAGTCGGGGTTTCACCATGTTGGCAAGGCTGGTCTCGAACTCCTGACCTCAGGTGATCCATCCACCTCAGCCTCCCAAAATGCTGGGATTACAGGCGTGAGCCACGGTGCCTGGCCTGATGACACTGCCAAATTGATCAAGTAAGTCAGAGGCAGATCCAAGATCTGGAGCCAGATCTCTTAGGTTCTGGGCCAGAGCCCTTTTACACCTGAAATTTCCGTGCTTGCTAGAGGGTCAAACCACTTCTCTAACATCAGAAAATTACTGAAAAACCGTTGCATTAGTATGTTTTGAAAATTTTATAGATTGCTAACTTACAAATTTTTTTTTACACCCAGAAGCCATGACAAGAGGAAAAAGCTTTATTCCATGGAGGGGAGAATTCCCTTCTGTCCCTTACCACCTTCTCCATCCATGTTTCTCGCCAGGTGGATAAGATTGTGGACCAGCTGCAGCAGTTAATGCAGGTGTATGACTTGGCTGCCCTTCGGGATTATTGGAGCTACTTGGAGCGTCGGCTCTTCAGCCGCTTGGAGGATATATACAGACCCACAATCCACAAGCTGAAAACCAGCCTGTTTCGATTTTATCTTGTCTACACAATCCAGGTGCCTGTTGATTCAGGGGTTCTGCTTCCCTTGGTGGAAGGAGCTCTTTGATCCCAAAATAGATTTTCTTCCAGTTCCTAGGGAGGAATCTGTATGTGACTATGGGAAAGAGTGCAGCAGTTACAGTGCAATTATTTTTGACTGTTTTTCTTCTTTTTTTTCCTTGTCGTCATCTGTAGATCATCTGACTTGTCTTCCCCATTCCTATTTCCTTTTTTATGTTAAGCATGTAAGCTTAAAACAAAGGTGGTATTTTAAAGAATATAAGTAGCTGGGTTAAAGTTTGAGTAATAAAGATGATAGCTGACCTGGAGGAATGAGTCACTTAGTTATTTGAACATCAGCTAGGGATTAATTTTTAGGATGGGATTTATCATTAGAACTTCAGCTTAAACCAGCTTTGAAATGACAAGTTCCTTGAGAAAAGAGTGATGATTTCCTTTATATTATGGAATTTTATTTTGCCACTTACCTGGCAGGCTGATAGTCAAAGGTTGTCTGCTGTGCAATGATGAAGAGTCTTACCTCTGGATTTCTGTCTCTCCTCCCTCCTTGCTACCTCCTTGTGTCTTGGCAGACAAACAGAAATGACAAGGCTCAGGAGTTCTTTGCAAAGCAGGCCACGGAACTCCAGAACCAGGCTGAGTGGAAGGATTGGTTTGTCCTGCCCTTCCTGCCATCCCCGGACACCAACCCCACCTTTGCTACCTACTTTTCTCGACAGTGGGCTGACACCTTCATTGTGTCCCTGCACAACTTCCTGAGCGTCCTGTTTCAGTGCATGCATATCCTTTCAGTTGCCTGGGGCTGAAGGCCCAGCCTGAGGCACCCAGACCTCAGGATCAGTAGCCCGCTGGTCTCCATACAGGCATTTCTTCTACAAAAATGCCCAGGGACCATTTTTATGGGTCACATGAGGGGGCTGGACAAATTGTGGTTGTTTTTGTCAGTAAGCCAGGGAATCATAAATCTTAGTTCTGACACTGTGCTGCTGAAGTATTAGCTGACGTGTGGGCAGTGACAGTGGCAGCAGTGGGGTGCTAGTACTGGCTTTGTCAGCAGGCACTGGGGTTGGAAGGCAGCTGCTGCTTGGAGAAACCGGGCAGCCTTGAGAGTACCCTCTCTGTGCATGAAACGTGTTCCCGGGGATATACCTTTGCTGGGATTAGGTACAGATGAGAAGACTTCTTGGGTTGGAACTTCTGTCTGTGTTAGTGTTTGGGTTATTGTCTCTAATAGTAACTTCAGTGTTCCTCAAGTTGCCAGAGAACACAGTAGCTTTAAGAATATATATGCGGGTATTGGAGAGGGGGAATGAATGAGAATGCAGGTAAATAATTTACAGCCTACCAAGTGTACAAGCCAGAGCTCCCAAGGCCATTGTTCATGCTCCCTAGGCTGGAAATTTAGAGGAGGAGAAGGGAGTCTGGCTTGAATGGGGCTGGCTGGTGAGGCACTGATAAACTTGGGTGTTTAGAGGCCCACCCATGGGCAGGCGTTTTGGCCTCTGGGAGGAACACTTTCTGGTGGAGGTGGGAAGGGCACCTTTCCTGCCTTCACCCTTTCTGTGCCCCAGATGAGTGTGAATTCCACCCTTGCCAGAACTGCCTTGTTTCTTCCCCGTTGTTCCCTCTCTTCATCCTGAGGGCTCTCCAGTTAACTTTGTGGGCCCTCCAGTGAAATCGAAACTGTCACTCAAGATCTTTTCAGTGCTTCTCAAACTAGCTTACACACATATGGGCTCTAGTCCCCTCTCCAGTTCTGAGGCCCTGTCTGCTCTGTGCTCCTCCTAACTGAAGCTGCCTGAGGCAGTGGAGAAGGACCAGTATCCCAAGCTATAGACTGTCGTTGTTCTTGGGGTGGCCACGCAATCTGCAGAAAGCTTTCTCTTCTCAGTCCAAACCTTTGCCAGGGAGAGGCTCAACCTGGGGAGGCGAAGCCAACTGACTGGTCTTTTCTGCCTCATTGGCTGTATTACTGCAGAGCCACTGGCCTCCAGGGCTGCTTTTAGCTGAATGTAGTGACCTCACTAAAGCTCAGACTGGCTGTGAAGTCCACTGGATGCTAGCTCTTTGCTTCTGGTATTTGAGAGAAAATGCTTAGGTTTGGATTTATGTCCCCTCTGTGGGCTGGCCAGGCAGATGGTCATGCGTCTGTGAATCTGTCCGAATGAAATGAGGCCAGACCTAGAGAAAGTCTTAGAGACAAGACTGTAGGGAGCGACTATTTCATTAAGCCCGCAAGAGCCCACAGCACCGCTCCTATACTCTGTTCTCTGTGTCCCTGTGTCTCATGTGTTTTACTGGTGTGTCAAGGGTTTGGGAAGGACGTTTAAACATTTCAGGGGCTGGCTTATTCTTTAACTTCGTGCACCAGTCCCTGTGATCCTGAACTTTGATGCGGAGTGTCAGAGGACTAACCAGGTTCAAGAAGAAAATGAAGTTCTGCGTCAGAAGGTTTGTTCTGAACAGGCTTGCTCCTGAGGAAGTACTTCTGCTTTTTGTGTGTGAAATTAGGTAGTGGCAGTGGAACACTATATTAATCAGGTTTCCACTGCCACTACCTAATTTCTCAGATGGAAATGAGTCACCAGAAAGTCAGTATTGGGGATTTGGAGAGTAACAGTCTCTGAAAACCAGAGGCGAGATTCATATTTTAAGTCAGATATGTAGCATGAACAATATAGTAACAGTAATTAACTTTTAAGGAGAAAAAGACTATATGCATCCATGCCACCTTATAACTAACCTGTTTTCATGTGTCTGTTTTGTCTTTCCACGTATAGCTATATATGTGTGTATATATATATACACATATATATGTAAACTATATGTATATATATAAACTATATATACACACACACACATATATATAGTTTATAACCCATATATAATTTAGTTGTTCCTACTCAGCTATATGCTTCTCTAGTTTGATAAAACAATAGAGCCAGGGGACCCACATTTGCCTGTACATGTTGCCTGAGGAACATTTCTCTTTCCTGAAATTAAGATCTCCTTAGGTGATATTGTTAGGAAAAGGAAGATTATAGGCTGTTTAGGTTATGGGGTTTAAGATTCTTGGGATTTGGGGTGTGTGTATATGTAATTTTCTTCAGGCAAAAGGTTAAAAACGCTGTAGTTCATTAACAGGTTTTTTTTTTTTTTCCATTCCAGAGTCAGGCTTTGAGAGTTCTAAAGCCTGATTTTGTAGATTCTAAAAAGCAAAACAGGTTGGGTGGAGCTATTTTTCTCAGTGAATCTAGGAGGAAGCAAGTCAAATGATTAAAAAGAAAATGGGTTTTGGATTTCTAATGGTTTTTGGTTTTCTCACCTCATTGTTGTCCAGTGACAGCAGTCACTTTTCCCAGTCTGCAGTGAGCAGAGTGAGATGGGCCCCTTGACGCTGAGGCGAGTGGCACTCAGACCAGTGGGCTTGGATGCGATGTGTCTAGAAATCTTCCTCCGCAGAGGGAAGGTTAGGTGAGATCATTGGCTAACTCAGTCCCACCCCTGTATAGCTTTTTGCATTGCAAGCTGAAATCCACCGACTGAAGAAAGAGGAGCAACAGCCAGAAGAGGAAGAGGCCTTGGTCCAACACAAATTGCCTCCTTATGTCTCCAACATGGACCGCCTGGGGGACTCGGAACTGTGAGTGTGTGTGACGGCCCTTTCCTTTTCTTTGCCCTCTGTGCTCTCAGCCCCACAGTTCCCTCTGATCTTGCCTTGCCTGCAGTCCTCTGTGCCTGCTGAAGGAGAATTGCGGAAGAGCCTCCTGGCACACACTGCTCTTGCTTGAGAGCTTTATTTTTATTTTTAGAGATGGAGTCTCGCTCTGTCGCCCAGGCTAGAGTGCCGTGGCACAATCTTGGCTCAAAGCAACTTCTGCCTCCTGGGTTCAAGAGACTCTCCTGCCTCAGCCTCCCAAGTAGCTGGGATTACAAGTGCATGCCACCATGCCTGGCTAATTTTTTTTGTATTTTTAGTAGAGATGGGATTTCATCGTATTGGCCAGGCTAGTCCCAACTCCTGACATCAAGTGATCCACCTGCCTTGGCCTCCCAAAGTGCTGGGATTACAGGCGTGAGCCACCGTGTCCAGCCTTGCTTCAGAGCTTTATGAGTAAGGTCCCCATGGCCTCAGAAGTCCTCTAGGAGTTCTGAGCCTCCGAGCCTGTGGCTCTGCCTAGAGGTGGGGAACTGCACAGCTCTGCCAGCTCTACATCCAGATATGTGTAGTCAGGATAAATAAAAACGCAACCACTGTGGTAAAGTCTTGGGAAGGTTTTGTGCATTGGAAGGAGCATCTCATGTATGGAAAGATTGGTAACCACAGGTTGGATGCATTCCTCAGTAGAAGCATGCACCTCTCTGACGGTTTAAAGAGGAAGGCAGATTAGAGAGAGGTATTTGACCTTCAGAAACAGCCAGTTAAAGCAGAAGCCCCAGCTGGTGATAATAATAGTAGTGGTTGAAGAAACAGAGGTACACACAGGTGAGGAAGACAGTGATTGGTGAGTCACGATGCAAACCCAGGCAGCCGGATTCCAGACCTCCACATAGCCAAGTATTGCACCAGATGAAATAGCTCTAGTGGTGGTGCCAGTTCTTTCTGATGGAAATAAAATGCGAGCCAAATACGTAATTTAATTTTTTTAGTAGCTATGTTAAAAAAAAAACAAGATGAAGTTAATTTTAATGATATATTTTATTTGGCCTAGTATATTCAAAACATCATTTCAATATGTAATGGATATAAACAAAATGTTAATGAGCTATTTTATTCTTTTCATGCCAAGTCTTTGAATTCCAGTGTCAATTTTACATCTCTAGCACATCTTGATTTGGACTAACCACATTTCATTTGCTCAGTAGCACACGTGACCAGTGGCTATTGGACAAGACAGCTCTGAGTTTACTGTGACCCTCAAAGAAGAGCCGCAGACTTCACCCTTGTAACAGATAAGCTGCTGGCTCCCTTTGTGCAAAAAAATGATGCCAAGGATAATACCACCTTAAAGCCCAGGCTCTTGGACCTGACCCAGGCCTGGTCACTTAACGTCATCCATAGCCCGGGAGGTCTATGTTCTTGGTTTTTCCACATCCTGTTTCAGCCCTCTGACCCTGTGGTGTGTTTGCTGACCAGTGCCATGGTGTGCAGCCAAAGGAATGCCTCCCTCTCCCAGTCACCTCGTGTGGGCTTCCTGTCCTCGCTGCTGCCTCAGAGTAAGAAGAGCCCCTCAAGGTTGTCGCCTGCTCAGGGCCCTCCTCAACCTCAGAGCTCGGCCAAGAAAGAGTCCTTCGGTGGTCAGGTAAGCACAAGTCCTGCCTCTCTAACTCTGGCCAAGAAGGCCGTGACAGCTCCCTGTGCTTCCAGACCTCCTGGTCAAGTGTAGACTTGTTTGCCCTCCTTTTAGGACTGATTTCTTGGGCATGTTGATGAGATTCTGAATTGAAATCTCATTCCCTTTCTTCCCCCTTTCCTGGCTTTCCTCTCAGAAAGTGATGGTTCTGCAGGATGAGAATCTAGATTAGACTGTAGCAGACGATTTGAGAGGAGGAGGAGGAAAATCCACCGAATGCATTCTGGCTCCCCGCTTCATCTTCACCTCTGGCTAGACTGCAGGCACTGTGGTGTTTGATTGCTGGGTAGATCTTGTGCACTGATCAAGGCAGTGCCAGACCTCACACCCAGGTCTCCTGACCCAAGGGGCTGCCTTCCCTTGCCTGCACTCCTGTGCCAGTTCTCTGAAGTCTGTGATGCTTTCTGGTTGAAGTAGTAGATAGCTGATGACAGGAAGTAGGCTTTGAAGAGTCTCCCCTCTTTTCTCATAAATTTCCTATGAACTCATAAGGGCTTATGACTGTTTTGGTGGCTCAAGTGTGAGTTCAGGCAATTAGAATTTTGAATTTTTGGTGATATAAAAATAGTGTTTGGCTAAAGACTAAATCAAGAATTACCTCTGAATCCATGCATTTTGCCTACAAGTTGGTATTTGCTGATTCTGCAAAGGATTTTCACTATTTCTCACTTTTATGGAAGACTGCAAGCGGATCTTTTTTTGATGTCAGCTTATATCCAAAACAGCCAAGGGTCCCACTGACTAGTTTAACTAGCAGACATTGTCAGAATTCATTGCTTTCAGAAATGCCTGCAGACTGTTTATTGCTTGCGTAGGGACACTTTGAGTGTATTATTAGTTACAGATAAAATAAATAGTCATAGTCTGTGGCTTCTTCTCCTACCAGCCTCGGTGTGAGACCAGTTGCAAGTGGCACAGCAGTTTGGGGCTGCTCGCTGTACCCAGGGAGGTAGGGGTCTGCCTCAGGCTGCCACTGGAATACAGCACTTGGGCTGAGTATTGTTGAACTGAAACACTGAGCAGGACACTGGATCAGAAAGAGCATGGGCTTTGGGGCCAGGCACCTTAACTTTCAGCTCTGGCTCCTCGTTTGTCATTGGTGCTCAGGTTGGGTAAACCCACCCCAGTTTGCTCGGGATGATAATAATAGTATTTACTCCCCAGGGAAGGATGAATTGAGCTGCTAGAAGAAGAGTGCTTGACAGAGGGTCAGCACTCAGTAAATGTTGGTAGTAGAAGTTGTATTCCTGCAGGCCCTGGCCCACGTGGGTACCTGAGTTAGTTCTGAGACCTAAAGTGCCGTTAATGCAAAAAAACTGTAATTTAGCTGCCATGAGGGTTCAGGCAGTTAAAACTCAAACATGGTTACTCCTATGAATATTTTTCTGAAATTCAAATCTTAAAGTTAGAATTCCAGTTCTGTGGAGTGTGGCCGAGTAAGTTGTACTGCTTGCTTTCTGGATCTCTCACTGTGCAACATTTTATAAGTTTAATAGGTGATGTGTGGAATGTTGAGTCCTTTGAAATGAGCTTGAAATTATGGAATTCAATTTCATTAACTTGAAAGAAAACATAGAGACAGCTTCTGTGGGAGTAAGCTGTGGCCCTACTCTATGTGGTTAGGAACTGTGTGTCACATGGTGAGGTTGAAATGAGATTGGAAATTATTTGTGCAGTTTACAGCTAAGCAATGGGGATAAGAATGTGTGATTTGCAGTAAAACATGCCTTACCTTTCCTCTAAAATATAATGGAACAAAGATTTGGTCACTGTGTGGTGTGTTAACAGAGCAGTTTGTAGTTCCTCAGTGAAGACGAAAGATATCTCTAATCTAAAAAACCCAATAGTCAGGTCACTTGTTTTTTATTAATGGTAGATGATTTAGATTCAGCATTAATGTTTCACGTCTAAAAATAACTAGTAGATTTGAGGTTCAAGAAAATCACAGAATTTTAGAGGGAAGCTTGAAGGTCGTCTGGCCTACCTCCTGCTGAGTATAGGAGTACAGTGTCTGGATTGATTGCCTCCTAAGATGCAGAGCTCATTGCTTGTCAAAGCGGGAACATATGCATGTTAGAAAGCTATTAGAAGAAACTTCTTTATGACTTTTCCTCACAGATCTTAGCTTAGCCCTCTGGAGCTACATAGAATAATAAGGCTTATTGTGTAGAATGACTCTTCCTACCTTTTCCATGCTAAGCACTCTTGTTCACCCTCCCTCCAACCCCCACCTCAACTGTTTGTCCCTATGGCATGATTTCCCCTCACATCCTGGGCCCCCTGCTTTGGGGGACATTCTAATGTTTCAATCCCGCTATTACAATTAACACCTAAATTTGAGTGTACAATTCCAGATGCTCTCTCAAAGATACTAAATGCAGGGCATGGAAAGATCACTTCCTGCCATTTTCATAATGTACTGCTTTAAACTCAGTATACAATGGCATTGGTTTTTAAATAAGCCACATTGCTTTGTAAGTGCATATTAAGCATGTCATCTTTTTTCCTCGCTGCTACCACACCAGAGCCCTTCTTTCTTTTTTACTGTTAAAGAATAAGCACACACAAAAAATAGGCTGTATTTTGTTGTTAAATTAGCAATATGTAAAAATGATTAGACTTTCCTATCTTAAATATAATTTATAGAAAGCATTATAAATTTTGCTCACATCAGCACTTTGCCTCCTTGTAATTGGTTGCTGTACCTGTTGTCATTATTACTGAAACGTTCATAGCATTATTCCTGTAAAATAGATGGCAAAACAGATGCAAAATAGATTGCTTTTGTATTGAAAGCCTGGCAGATACTCTCCAGGCTTTCAATATGAGTCTGGAGGCAATTTTTTTTTTTTTTTTTTTTTTAGTGGAAATAACTGCGAAACCACACTTCCCAAGCCCTTCTAGGATCTCTAATTACAATAGCCGGGAGGGCACATCCATAGCAGGCTTGCCTGGGCTGCTGCTTGGCTCACACAGCCTGTAGTTTGTACTCCATCCTTCCCACCAGCAAGAATTCTGCTCCTTTCACACCCACTTGGTGAGCCATGGAAATTACCTCATTATAGAGATAACTTTTAATCGGCTGTAATGTAAGGCACCAAAGCATCCACAAACTTCTGTGCTTGTGACTGTTATTAGTGTCAAATTACCTCCCAGTTACTGAGAAGTAAGTGGTCACAACCACTGCCCTGAAGGTTTTCCCCAAGGATCTTGGCAGTAAGGAGAAAGCCTGTCTTTCATTCTGGGATTTCTGTGTTATGAGGGCGTGTTTTCTGGGTAGCTTTGTTTAGCTTCAGGTGAGACCAAATTACTGGAAGTTGTTTGCTGCTCCATTTGGATGGCTGCCATCCTGGTAAGCTCTGTGAGGCTCTGGAATCCCTCATGACCTACTCATTCCACCGGAAATTAATGGGTATCAACTTATGTCTGTCTCCAGAGTGAGAAGGTCAAATGATAAGACAGAGGTTACCGTGTCTCTCCTGAACTGTAGCAGTCAGGTAGATTATGATAGAATATACTTTAGACTATTGGGATATTCTGTTATTTGAAGCCAGCAGTTAAAGACTATTATGAGGGTTGCACTTAAAATGAAATAAAACTTTCAATGAACAGTTATTTCATCTGTCCATCAGTCCATCCATTTGTTATTTAGCCAGTCATGAATGAGTGCCCAGCTTATGCGAGGCGTGGTGCTGGGTGCTAAGGTTACAAAGATGTGTAAGGTAGGGTCACAGTAGAAGAAGCTTCCAGAAGGGTGCAAGCTTCTCTGTGTGCAAGTGTCATTGTCTAGAGAGTACACAGTTCTGCCGGCATCTTTCACTCTCTCCAGCTCTTTACCCATACACAAGTGCTTGGCCAGAGTTTTATGGATTTGTTTGAAGGTAATTACTTACATAGCATTGTGACTTTACCCCTTTTTCCTTTGTTTTTATTTTTTAGCCTTTTATTTCTAAAAAATTAACAGTTGCCAGTAAGCATTCACTTGTTTTGTACATTTGTGGCTAGACACAAATTGGCCTTCACCTACTTATTAAAAAGTTTTGTGGACAACCGCATTCACCAGCTTTTAATATATTATTATCTTTTGTTATTCAGTGATTAACATAGATTTAAGGAGAAAGGAGAACCTATCCTCTTCTTTAAAGCAAAATCTGATAGGTCATGCTTAGGTCCATCACTGTCTTGGCGTAAACTGCCCTATCATTGTAAAGGTAGTTCTTCTCTGTACCAGATGCCTTCCTTGCTATCTTGACTTGTGAGGGAAGTATTACCTTTGTACTTCTCAGTGTTTTATTGTTTGCTCCTGCTGGGGAAGTGTTACAAGTGGCTTTCAAATAAGCCAGAGGAATTCGAAGCCTCCTCCTTCCATCAATATTCACCAATTGATTGAGCACTCTTTACTGTTGCTGAAAAAGGAAAAGACACCATTATCCAGTGGAGGGGCTGAATAAGGCAGGAAGGGGCCCATAAAGTGCCTGTCTCCCTCTGTAACAGTTCCCACCTTTGCTTCCAAGGCAGAATCCCCCTGTGACCCATGTAGAGCACGGCATACATGTAGCAGCACAAAATGTGGAAGCGGCACCTCCTGGACTGTGATGTGGCTGCTCAGTGTTTGCATTTTCAGTGATTTCTTCTTACGGGGGTTTCAGAGCCTTGTCTTGAAACAGGACACGACACAACTGCCTACCACCTCCCCAGATCTTAGCCTTGACAGCCAACTCCAACAGGCCACCTCCCCACTCCATCTCTCTGAAACTCTGAGGAGTGGACATTACCTCTCCGTGGCTTTTGTCCTCCCAGGACCCATACACAATTGTTATTGACACAATTCTGATACTTGGAATTAAATGTGTTTGTGGCTGATTGAGACAGGTTTACCATCCTTTCTTTGTTCACGGAAGTACTTGAAGTTTATAAACAGGCCAAAAATAGTAAATACCCTGCAGGTTAGTCATGGTTTGGTTCCAGGTAAGCTAATAGTCCTTTAAAATTTTCTTTTAACTGTTCACATGGCTGCAGGATTCCAAGGAATCCATGTTAATCATTTTAAATTATTTACTGTTGACATAAAAAATAACAAGTAGAAGAACTGGAAAGCAGCAGGTAGACTTTGGTTGAGTTTCTTCTCTTCACTTAGGGCTTGTGTAGAAATGGTTTCTTGAGAAGATTGGTCTCAAACCTGAGTAGCTGTTTGCATTCATATCTCTTTGCTAAGAGTGTAAAAAATGAGGGTGAGGGTGTTTGGCCATCACAATTTGTGGGTAAAAAGCTGGAAAAAGAGAGCCCTGCCCAGCAATCTGGAAAGATGTGGGGGTGGCAGCTCCTTTTAAGAGTTTCTAGATTAAGAATGGAGACTTCTTCTCTCTATACAGGTGGGGTGGGGATGATCAAATTCATCCCCTCTTGCTATAACTTAGCTGACCCTATCACTGTTGTTATGAAAAGGAGCCAGAAAATACCGGTTTATTTCCTGTCCGATTTATCTTTCTTAACATTCCTTGGGTTTTCAACAATTTCTGTTAAAAATTTCTGGTTTTCTAGTAATCATTTTCAAACACCTCAGTATTTGTTAATATTAGCTGGTTTAGTCCACACTTGGCCCAAAACAAGAGAGGGTACTGTGTTCCTTTTCCTTTTCCCTCCAGAGGTGATTGCTTGTTGCATAAATAATTTTTAGATTGCCCAAACATATTGTTGCTTGTAAATGTGTATAACACCAAGCGTAGGCCCCGGCCTGCCTTAGTCATCACTTAGTAAGTGCTGGCTCCTTCCCCTCAACTAGACTAAATTGTTCCGATTAGATCAAGATGACATCTTCCTCCAGATGAGAGATACCGCAGGATGAGGATTGCAGGTGACCTGTCCTCTTAACGGGTAGAGGACAGAAAGGAGGAGGTCATAGCAGGGGCTGACTATGACCTCACCTACATAGCTGAGCCAACACCATTTTAACCACCTGCCCCCAACCCACCACGCCCCCCCGCCCAGGGCTGACCACTCCTGGCATGCTTATCATGGCCTGGGCAGATGGGAAGAGACTTCACAGCCAGCTTCTTTTCCTCTAGGGCACCAAGGGAAAGGACCCGACGTCCGGAGCCAAGGATGGGAAGAGCCTCCTCAGCGGGCTGGCCACTGGGGAGTCCGGTTGGTCACAGCACCGGCAGCGGCGCCTGCAGGACCATGGCAAGGAGAGGAAGGAGCTTTTCTCCACAACCACTTCCCAGGTATGGGGTTGTCCTGAACACCCCTGGGGACACTCATGCAGCTACTGAGGAACACTGTGGGGGGTCTTCTCTTCTCTCTCTTCTGAGTTCTGCAGCTGTGCAGAGTGTGCTTTTGCTTAATTGGTTTCAATGGCTTGTATTTTGGTTATTTGGGTTCATCATTTGCCTGGCTTTTCTGTGGTCCATTTCTCCCATGCAGCATTTCCCTAAGTAGGGGCCAGAAAATGCAGGCCTCTAGAAGTGCTCTCAGAAGATGACTTCTGTGATTAAGCTGGCTTGGGAACCTTTGCATACTCATCCTTCCCTTAGGTTAATTGTGCTAAGCAGCCTGTGGTGGGCTCCTGGAGACCTGGTTCCCTCGGTTTCACCCAGTCACCCAGACTTGCTTGGTCACAGGATTCCTTTCTCCTGTGCTGCCTGAGGCCCAGCTGCCTGTATTGCTGCACTGAGGGCCATGTGCCCACACAGTGGGAGGCTGTGGCCCAGGCCCTTCTGTACTGAGCCCTGGGCTCTGGGGACTCCCCTCACTGGCCAGTGTGGGCCACAGCCTGCTCTTTGTGGCATTACAGCTGCTTCTGTTTCTGCCAGATACTCCCGACTGATGGCAAAGTCTAAGGTATTTACTGGTTCTCTTGCCCAAGTCACTGTCTTCACCATTTATCTCATAATTGGGGCTATTTGCCTGTTTTAAAGGTATTTCCTCATTAACAGCCTGGTACTGTGGTGACAACAGACCCCTAAGGCTCAGATCATAAGTTCTGGCATTTCAGGATTCAAGATGCACTTGGGGGCCACCCAGAGCCCCATAATGTCTGAAGTTCCTCTGTTATTTTTTTTTATTGTTGAACTCCTCCTCCTGCCTCTCTGAGGAAGCACTTGCAGGAGCATCCGGACCCCAGGGCTGGTAGAGAGTGCCCTGGCCGATGCCCCCAGCCTGGATTGTGTCTAGGTGAGCACCAGATGGTAGCCAACACCTGCTGTCCCAGGGACGTAGAGATGGGGCAGCCTTGGACCCCCAGTGGCCCTTGGGTCTCTGTCTTTCTTCCTGGCCAGTTGTGTCTGTTTCTTAGTTTCTCAGTGCCCACCTCCCAGGAGGGCTGGTGGGCCTAGGGGTGCACTGGAAAGGGGCCGGGCTTACCTCTTACCCACCCAGCTTCACATCCAATTTCTCCCCCTTGCCAGCCATATGACTTTGGGCAAGGGATTTGGCTTCTCTTTCAGTCTTTTAGTTTCCACAGCTGTAAAATGGGGAAGATAATAGCATCTCATTGTTTGAGGAGGACTAAATGAGAGAAATCTGTAAAATACTCAGCGCGGTGTGTGGCCTGCACCACGCATCCTCCGCCTGGCCTGTTGTCAAGGCAGATGTGTGTCCTGGGTCCCATCAGCTGTGTCACAGAGAGGCCACAGCCCCCTCTCCTTCAGCAGGGCCTGTGTGGAGCAAAGTCTCCAGGAAGGGGCTGTCAGGAGGGCAGGCCCTGCACTCTCCCAGGGTGAGCTGAGCACTACCCTCGCAGGTCAGAGCTCTCCTCTCCACTCTGTAATTACCGAGAACCCCGCAAAATGCTGCAGCCTAGGCCTAGACCCCCTGCGGTGTACACCCTGGTGTGGGGGACCCTTTCCTGGCTGACTTGTCCCCACCCTGCTTGTGACAGTGTGCAGAGAAGAAACCAGAAGCCAGTGGCCCAGAGGCTGAGCCCTGCCCAGAGCTCCACACGGAGCCAGTGGAGCCACTGACTCGGGCATCCTCGGCAGGCCCTGAGGGTGGAGGAGTCCGCCCCGAGCAGCCCTTTATTGTGCTGGGACAGGAGGAGTACGGGGAACACCACTCATCCATCATGCACTGCAGGTGGGTTGGGCCTGGGGCCAAGGAAACCCTGGGAAGCTCAGATTTTCAGGCAGTACACGTGGAGGTGTGGCCAGCAGGAGATGGCGGAGAATGGGGGCTTGGACGAGGGCCACAGTCATGGCAGTAGAGTCATGGGAGTCGGTTGGAGCTGCCAGTGGACTGGTCAGCCTGTCTGCCCTTTTTTTTTTTTCCTTATTGAGACAGAGTCTTGCTCTGTCACCTAGGCTGGAGTGCAGTGGCACGATCTTGGCTCACTGCAACCTTGCCCTCCCAGGCTCAAGCGATTCTCGTGCCTCAGCCTCCCAAGTAGCTGGAATTACAGATGCCTGCCACCACACCCATCTGATTTTTATATTTGTAGTAGAGACGGGGTTTCACCATGTTGGCCAGGCTGGTCTTGAACTCCTGGCTTCAAGTGATCTGCCCATCTCAGCCTCCCACAGTGCTGGGATTACAGGCGTAAGCCACCGCACCGGGCCTCTCTGCCCTTTCTAATTGTGTTTCTCTCAGTTTTAGGAACAAGTTACACTTTATTTTAGCCCCCCAAACTCACTCAATTTTAATTTGCTTTATGATGGTACTTTTAGGTAAATACCTGATTTGTAATTTACCATTTGTAAGTTTTTACTTAAGCACAGTATAAACCTTTCAAGAACAAACCCTGGTGGGGCATAATTTTCAGCTGTAGATGGGTTTCTCGTTTTGACAGCCCTGATGGCTCTTGGGGCCCTTGGGCTGTTCTGGAGTGTGAGTTGGAGGCTCTAAATCTCCAGAGACTGCAAATGGCCTCAGGGCAGGGCCCTGCAACTCTTGCTCACGGCTCTTTGCCCAGAATTGACCAAAAGCTCCGCACATGGTTGGCACTTAATAAGTATTTCTTAGACAAACGAATGAATGAATATTTCTAGAAATAGTCTATACCAGTCCTTTGAATGTAGACCTCTAGGGATTGTTTTTTTAAAACAGTAAGGAAGTCAGGAAAGTGATCATCTTGGCATTAGCAGAAGAGGATGGGGACTGAGAGGCCAGCTGACAGGCCTCCCTTTTCTCTCATCTCAGAGTGGACTGCTCTGGGAGGAGAGTCGCCAGCTTAGACGTAGATGGGGTCATCAAAGTGTGGTCCTTCAACCCCATCATGCAGACCAAAGCATCCTCCATTTCCAAATCACCGCTGCTGTCTTTGGAATGGGCCACCAAACGGGACAGACTGGTGAGTAATGGTGGCCTGTGGGGCCCGCTTTGCTGGCTCAGTGGAGGAATTCCCCAGGGTTCTCCACCGGCTGAGTCAAGACAGCCAAGCCAGTTCCCCTCCCTTCTCTCCATTATTGGGGATTCAGGGACACACATCCAGGACTGGCCCAGAAGGCTCCTGTTGTGGGAAGACAGGGAGGTTACCAGATTGACAGATGGAAATGAGCTGCAGGGGGCCTGGAACACACGGCTTCTTCCTGTTTGTGGTGGTCCGCCCTGGGGACCACCTGCCTGACTGCTGTCCCTCCATTTGTCTGTGTTTCCAGCTGCAGTTTCAGTGGGCGCCCTCCCGTGCCAGGCCCCACGGGAAGTGGCTTCCGCTGGTGAGGGGCTGGTGTTCTATTTTGTGGTTCCCATGGGTCTTATTGTCCCCAGGAATAGTACAGTGTTCTTCCCTCTGGATTTGATATTTGAGATAGGACTTGTAGTTAAGGAGGTAAAATTGCCTTGCTGTTTTTTCTTTTACTTCATTTGTGGGGATCATACCACATAGCCCAAGATGCAAACCCTGTTTTTCTATAATTTTTGGCAGCTGAAGGGATTATCCTCATGGATGAGGACCTCAGGGCTTGCCCTGTGCCAGCGCCAGTTTGCCAAGTGAATGCCGAGGTCACACTCTACCTAATATTCCTGTGAGACACCCTCAGACCTGGGCTGCTTCTGGCACTTTCCTCTGGCACTATTATTATCTTTGAAGCTTTTCACCAAATAAGTCACAAGTTCCTGAAGGCAAGGATAGCCCCTTTTATTTTTTTTTCTGGAGGTCTTTACAGACCCAGAGCCAGAGCTGTCCCCTGAAAAGGCAAATGGGAGTCACCCAGGCCCTGTGGCAGCCGAAGCGAGTACGCTGGGAGGGGTGCTGGGCAGACCAAGAGTGGGAAGGAAGGGTTCCAACAGCTGGGGTTTCAAACTGAAGAAAGGGAGGATCAGAGGGCCTCATTCACCAGCCAGAACATTTCCATATGTGTCCAAGGTGACGCGTCTCTCCCATTCCACAGATACTTTTTGTGGTTTTGCTTAGAAGTTCAAGGTCAGCTCTCACGTCTTTGTTTAATTTTAAAGTGAGGCTCATTGTAGCCAGATTTCCCCTGAACTGCCTGGATGCGTAGAGGAGGGGCCTCACCCCCACAGCCTGCCCAGCCTCACCCCCTCTGGAGATCCTCCCTGACTCAGCCTCACTCCATGCTATCCTTCCCACCTCCCGCCCCTTGTCATTCCAGCTCTTGCTGGGCAGTGGTGTGGGAACAGTGCGTCTCTATGACACGGAAGCCAAGAAGAATCTCTGTGAAATCAATATCAACGACAACATGCCCAGGTGAACTGGAACCTACCCCCCACCATCAAGGCCGCAGGCTGCCAAGTGTGGTCCGCGGGGCTGGTCCTTTCCCAAGCCTAATGCCCCATCTCCTGTGCAGGATCCAGCCTCAGGACCAAAGTGCACCCTCCCTCTGTGGGCAGGCAGAGGGTCTGACCCAGGCCCATGTGTGTTGCAGAATCCTGTCTCTTGCGTGCAGCCCCAACGGGGCCTCTTTCGTCTGTTCGGCAGCAGCTCCGAGCCTCACTTCCCAGGTGGACTTCTCAGCACCAGACATCGGCAGCAAGGGCATGAACCAGGTTCCTGGCAGGCTGCTGCTGTGGGACACGAAAACCATGAAGCAGCAGGTACGGGCCTGCCCTGTGGCTCTCTCTGGGGCCAGGCACACACTCTGTATTCCCCTGGGTTTCTGAAGAGCCTCTTCCCTCTTTTTGCTTTGGTCTCCTCAGATTTTTAATAAAGTTTTGAGTGTTGAAAAGTAGTGTACTCCAACTGGGCAGATTGTTAGTGACATGTCATTCAGAATTGTGCCACAAACTTAGAAGACACCCAGAACCTACCAGAGGGCCCCTGTGGTTGATTATTTAGGAGAGGACTCGTGCCTCCCTCTGACATACTGTTACCTTAAAATTGTATGAGAATTATAGCAGCAGCAGCCAGCAGTAGCAAGGACACATACAGATTCGTAAGAAGCGAGGTGACCAGACAGCCTGTGAACTTGCTCCCAGGGGACCTGGGCACCACCTCAGAGCCAAGGACCCCTTCCTTCAAGACAGTAATAGATGCTGCAGCTGCCACCCTGAGCCCCAGAGAGATTGAATGATGCTAAACTCACCTTCCAAGGCAGTGCTACTTCTTATTAAAATGATTCGTTTCACTGCTTACAAGTCATATGGCCTTTATGTTGAACACATTGTTTCCTGATGCTGCTGGAAGCTCAAGGCTCCTGCTTTCAGTGGGTTCCTGTTCCAGATGTTCAGTTTGTTCTGTTCTGCATCTGCCTGTAGAAGTGGTCTGTGTTCCCTTTGGGTCTGTCAGACCTCTCAGGCCCGTCAGGGTCACACTCGAATTCTTGACCTCCACCCCTTGCCACATCCATCCCTCCCCTCATAATTTTCCTCACTTTGGCAAATGTGCCTCACTTAGAAATTGGGGATCTTGGCCAGGAGCAGTTGCTCATGCCTGTAATCCCAGCACTTTGGGAAGCTGAGGCAGATGGATTGCTTGAGGCCAGGAGTTCAAGTCCAGCCTGGGCAATGTAGTGAGCCCTTGTCTCTACAAAAAACTTAAAAATTAGCCAGGTGTGGTGGTGCTCACTTGTAGTCCCAGCTACTTGGGAGGCTGAGGCAAGAGAATTGCTTGAGCCTGGGAGGTGGAGGCTGCAGTGAGCTGATGTGGTGCCACTGTATTCCAGCCTGGGTGACAGAGTGAGACCCTGTCTCAAAAAAAAAAAAAAAAAAAAAAAAAAACACAACAGAAATTGGGGTTCTTCCCAGACCTGTCTTTTTCCCTCTGCTCACACAGTCAGTCCATAAGCAAATGCTGCCAGTGTGTTTCCAGTCTGACCACTTCTCTGCATTTCCAGGGACATACTCTAGACCTATCTCTCGTGCCCCTCCCTGCCCACTGTCCTCTCCACCAGTTTAATTCAATTCCTCTTAGTTCATAGCATCTTGTATTTTCCTCCAAAGTTCTTATTACAATTTGTAATTATATGTTTACTTGTGATTTTCAAGTTTTTAATTAGACATTGAATACATACAAAAGCATATTGAAATCATAGGTGTATAGTATAATGAGAAGAAAAGCAGTACAGTGAGCACCCACAGACCCATCACAGTTTATACAGAACATCACCAATACTTTTTAGCTCTTGTGTAGCCCTTCCCAGTCTTGGTCTTTTTCCCTTCCAGAGAGAACCTGTCTTGAATTTTGTCATACTGTTGCCTTACTTTTTTTTTTTTTTTTTTTTTGAGATGGAGTCTTGCTCTGTCACCCAGGCTGGAGTGCAGCGGCACAATCTCTGCTCAGCACAACATCCGCCTTCTGAGTTCAAGCAATTCTTCTGCCTCAACCTCCTGAGTAGCTGGGATTACAGGTGCCCACCACCACACCCAGCTAATTTTTTGTATTTTTAGTAGAAATGGGGTTTCACCATGTTGGCCAGGTCTCGAACTCCTGACCTCAGGTGATCCACCCACCTGGGCTTCCCAAAGTACTAGGATTACAGGCATGAGCCACTGCACCCGGCCTGCCTTACATTTAAAAAATTACTTTATCATGTCAATTACTATATATCCCTAAACAACCGAATTTTTGTTTTGCAGGTTTTCTGACTCCATATGAATAAACCACAGTATATGTGTTTTTCTAGAATAGCTTCTTGTATTCCAGGCTGAACACTGCTTCCCTAACCTTGTGACTTGGTCCATCCTCTGGCTGCCTTTGCTGAGACCGGGACATTAGCTCTCCATGTAATTGGCATTCCTTTGTTGTCTTTTCTCTCTGGCTGCTTTTAAAATCTTACCTGGTTCTCTGGATGTGGATTTTCTGGTTCTTAACTTTTGAAATTAATTTTTTTGAAGTTTTGCTTGGGATTTGTTTTCTGAATCAGAGGATTTGTGTCTGTTCAATTCTGGAAAATTCTCAGTCATCATTTTTTCCAGTATTGCTGTTCTCTGATCATCTCTTGCCTTCTGGAACTCCCATTCCATATGTGTTAGAACTTGCCTCTTCCTCTTTTTTGTTTCACTTTGCTGCATTCTTGATAATAGTTTCTTCAGATCCATCAGTTTGCTAATCTCTCCTCTACTATATCTAATCTTCTGTTTCATCTATTTATTAGGATGGTAATTTCAGTTATTGTGTTTCTCATTTTTAGAAGCTCACCTTCATTTTTTAAAACCTGCTTTGTCGTGTTTATAGTCTCTCATTTTTACCCATATTTTCAATTCCTTATTTTATTTTGTTGAACAATTGAATGTGCTTGTATGTTCTCATTATAAATCTAATGTCTGAAGTCTTTGTGGGTCTGATTCTGCTCTGTTGTCTCTGTGGGTGCTGGCTCCTTTTGCCTTATTTTCCTGTTTCTTATGAATTGTGATCATGGTGTTTTTTGGGCCAGTATCTCTGAGAATATTTTGAGGCCTGGGTTGGAGGTGCATTTCTTTGGATTTGCATTAATTTTTGCCAGGTTCCTCCCACGTCAGGGCTAGTTTGTGGTTATGAATTTGCAGGGAGGTAAGTTTTCTTGTTATCCCTTTCTGTGAAGTAGGTTTGTTTCTAGTTCATTCCTGCACTGAAGGTATAGCTCTTTGGAGTCTCAGCTCCATGTGACGGTTTCTTATCGCCTGACCTTGGGCAGATCACACATGGTTGTCTCCAGGCTCCTGAGCTCCTCATGGGTAGCAGAATGGGAACTTGAGTCATCTGGATCTGATTAATTCCCCATAGTGAAAGCCGGCTTTGGAGTGCACTGGTTCTCTGCGTTCTTGCTTTCTCTTAGTTGTGGCCCTAGAGGATTCTTTTATTTGCTAGCTCAGTACTCTGTGTGTATTTTAAATAACATTCTATCTTGCATTTTTAATTTCAGGAGGATTATTTAGTGTTCCCAGGGTTTCATATTGTTTGAAATGATAGTGTTCATTAATTATGTAATTAATAGACATTATGTTCTATGAGGTGGTTTTGTTTGCTACTATATTTCTGAGTGTTTCTGTGGGGAGCCATAGGGCAGGTTTATTAGTGTTGTCTGTCATCAAAGGCAGTTGATGAAGTGTTATTTTCTGAGGGCATAAGACTTTTCAATGAGAATTTGCTTGGAATGCATTCTGGGTGAAGTGTAGGTTGCTAAGATATGTATTATTTCTTTTATAATGGAGCAAGCATGGATTATCATTTCTCTATGGAAACCAGAATGTATTTAGGCACAGAGAACTTGTTCTCAAAAGAGCACAGAAGGTCACTGGCACAGCACTTTGGCAAAGGCTCAGATCTACATTTCCAGATTACATAAGGGAGGAGCTGGTGGAAAACCCAGTCTGGGGCACCTGTCTGCATTGGAATAAGCAGCGTGCCTGGGCTGAGTGAAGATCTGCTACTGACATTTTTGTTTTATTTCAATAGCTCCAGTTCTCCCTGGATCCAGAACCCATTGCTATCAACTGTACAGCCTTCAATCACAACGGGAACCTGCTGGTCACAGGGGCAGCTGATGGCGTCATCCGGCTGTTTGGTATGCAAGTGTGCTCATAGCAATCCTTGATCTCCTTAGATTTCCCAGGCAATTTTTTTTGCCGACGTTGGATTTTTTTGCCAGCTGGGCTAGAGGCTTTTGCAAAACCCTGACTTCAGATGCATGTACTACAGCTTAACTTTGGTCAACGTTTTCAAAACACCCACCGTAATAAACTCGCCCATAGTTAGTGTCAATAGACATGGGAGGGGGTGGAGCTCAGCGGTCCTTGAGTCTTGAGTTGTTCCATCTGAGTCCTTGTCACCCATGTGAAATACAGGAGGGCATACAAGAGTACTGCTGTCCTACCTACTTGCTGTGGGTAGTTGATTCTCAAAAGCATCAGAACAGTGCTCCTTAACCAGAGGCATACATCAGAATCACCTGGCATGCTGTGTAGAAATCCCCAGGTTGGGCTCTGTCCCCAGGAGACATCCCCAGAGCCTGGGCTGGGGCAAGGCAACTGTATCTTTAGGGGATTCCCAGGGCACATGGGGAAGTTACAGAGGGGAGTTTCTCAGGTGTCTTCCTAGACTTAGGGCTCCCCAGGTGAGCTCCCCCCAGGGACTCCTGAGCCTCACTTCTGACCTGGTGAAAGAAGCTGCCTCTGAGGCTTAGAAGCAGCCTGACCTCTTGGGCAGGGGCAGCTTTATGGCGCTCATTGGGTCCTGGGTGCCTGCCCTTGGCTTCCAGAACAGCTGTCAGCCTGAGTAGAGGGTGAGGGGGCCTCCTGCTGCAGGCAGATTCCTTCTGCAGAGCCCTGGCCAGGATGTGAGTGGCCGTGTCTCATTGCCTCAGACATGCAGCAGCATGAGTGCGCGATGAGCTGGAGGGCCCACTACGGGGAGGTCTACTCTGTGGAGTTCAGCTATGATGAGAACACCGTGTACAGCATCGGCGAGGACGGGAAGGTAGGCGGCTGCAGGATTCAGATAAGAGAGCACCGGGATGACATGTGGGCCGGCTGCAGGTTGTGGCCATACCTGTTACTAGCTCTGCAACCTGGGGCCTCTTTTTGCAGCTTTGTTATCTGTAGAATAGGGATAAACTAGTAATTCGTCTTACAATCTTTGCGAGGTTTTAGTGAATTCAGTGGGAGTTGGCTATCCTTATGAAAGGAAGTACCAAAAATTACTCATCTTACCATAGATGTATCTGTGGGGTCTGGATTTAGGGCTGAGTTTGCTTTGCTGGGCTTGGTAGTGAGTGGTCCCAGGACCACTCATGGATGTGTAGTTTGCTGAGTGGCTGGGTACAGCTTCTTAGATGTGTACAGACCCCAGCAGAGCCCAGAGATGTAAACAAGAAGCCAGAAAAAAAGGAAAAGTACATGCCCCTGGTAGATTCCCTCTGTGGAGGGTTAGGAACTAGGAATAGTGACTGCCTCAGAGGGGGAGCTGGCAGGGGCAGAGATGGGAGAAGGATGCCCTTTCCATGTGTGCCTGCCTGGACTTTTGGGATTGGACACTGTCTATCTTTTTATCCCTTGAAAGGAGTAACTACAAAATAAATTCTTCATTTGAAAAGTTTGGGAAGGGACTTTTACATTAAAGCTCGACTTCCTTGTTATGTGGGATGCTCAGTGAAGAGGTGGTCACAGCCAAGTATCCTGTCCGTAGGGTAGGCTAAGGGATGATGTCTGCTATGATAAGAAGCTGAGTTTATAATGGCATCGCCCAGTGTTCAATTGATTATATGCCTGAAACACTGGAAATATATGTGGACTTTGTCCTCTGTACCTTGTTCCTAGGATAGAAAAATCTAGTTGGGGTCTAACTCTGATAATAATAATAATAATATGTCACTTGAAGCATTCCTCCTGCTTGAGAGACCAGGAATCCAGGCAAAGCCACTTGCTGTCCCTTTTCCTCTCCTAGGGTCAGGCCAGAGAGAAAGAGAAGGGTTGGACTTTAATGTGAGGTTGCTGCCTCTTTTTCTAGATTTTCTTCCCTAAAAAATGCTTAAATCATGTTGACCAGAGATAGGACCTGTAGACCTCTCACCCACTTTTCTGCCTCTGGCACTTGAAAGGCTTTTCAAGGATGTCAGCACTGTGGCTGGGGGAGGCGGGTCGCCCTCGCCAGCCTCTGCTGTGGGGTGGGTCCTGGCTCTTCCTTGAGGCCTGCATTGGCCAGCTCCGCTGCGAGCACCCTGCTTGTGCCCTGTGACTGCAGTTCATCCAGTGGAACATCCACAAGAGTGGCCTCAAGGTATCCGAGTACAGCCTCCCCTCAGATGCCACGGGCCCCTTTGTGCTGTCTGGATACAGCGGCTACAAGCAGGTTCAAGTCCCCAGGGGCCGACTCTTCGCTTTTGACTCGGAGGGAAATTACATGCTGACATGTTCTGCCACAGGCGGCGTCATCTACAAGGTAACTGATGGTTGGGGGTGGGAGGTAGTGGTATTGTGGTGGGCAGGGGTTCCTCCCTGGAGGTCTGGGCCATGGCTACTGAGCGAGGCCCTCTACCCCGAGCTGCATGGCTGTGGAGATGCCTTTGACAAAGGATCGCTGGCTAGCTAGTGCTGGGGTTCAGAGGAGAGCCATGTTTCTGCACTAACTGAAGGCTCCCCTGTGGCCAGCACTGTTCTGGGTGTGGCAGGCTGGCCCCCCGGCAGGAGAGAGCTGCCCGAGGCCCTGCTCTCCTGCAGCTTGCATTCCCCAGTATGGGACATGAACCTTCAACAAATAAGCAGATTCATGAGCACCTGCCAGGTAGTGAGAAGTGATGCTGTAGTGAGAACAACCAGTGTGCGTGCAAGAGGCACCAGCCCACAGCAAGTTCAAGGCAGCTGAGAAAATGCCTTTTTTTAAGGAGCCGCTCAGGGACTTGTTTTCCACTTCAGATGGACCAGCTGTAGTTGGGAAAGTGCAAGCATTTCCTGGTTCAAAAAGTTAAACAGACTTTCTGGAAAGGTGGGCATGTGTGTCTGGCCTCAGGCACATCCTCAGGTAGGCCACTGAAAGTGGATCAAGTGTGTGTAACTGGTGTTTGCTGACACCTCCTCCTCTTTCCTGTCCTCTTGCAGCTGGGTGGCGATGAGAAGGTTCTGGAGAGCTGCTTGAGCCTAGGTGGCCACCGAGCCCCTGTGGTCACCGTGGACTGGAGCACTGCCATGGACTGTGGGACCTGCCTCACCGCCTCCATGGATGGCAAGATCAAGCTGACCACCCTCCTGGCCCATAAAGCCTGATGACTTGCCCCAAGGGCCACCCGAGGAAGCAGTATTATCTGCGGTGGGGGGAGGAGATATAGGACAGGAAAACCACGTGCTCCACTCCAGCTCCCTGCCAGTGCAGTGACTCTGCAGGGAAAGACTGGCAAGGAGGCTCAGGTGCTTCCATCTGTGGTGACTGGAATGGGACCCACGTGGAGTAGGTGACATATGCTTCCCAGAGACTGGTATTGTGGCTGTGCCAGGAGTACATGTGAGACTATGGGAGGAAAGCTCCGGAAGAAGGAGAAACATTGCAGTGGCTACTGTGTTGGCCCAGTAGAAATTGACAGTATTTTGTATATATGTGCCCATTTATCTTTTTCTTTTTTAAAAAAAGAGAATACTCTTGTGGTCCCCTGATGTCTCTTTCTAGGATGTGTGTCACTTTGCTTCAGTGACAGCCCTCCCACCCAGCCTGGCTCTGCTGGCCCTGAACTGAACCTCTCCAGGCTCTCCTGTTGCTTTGCCATGGAGCCAGGTCAGCTCTCTGTCTGTTCTGCTGGGTAACAAGGTTTGGCAGTTCCTGTTTCTCTGGGCTTAAGTCAAGGCCACAGAATTCTTTTTCTTCCCTGAAAGCTGGCAGCTTTTGTTACAGAAGATTCTCAGGATGAAGGCAGGGGCTGAGGCCTCTGCTACTGGCTGCCCCTTTCCATCCAGTGGCTGCTGTTTCCCAAGACAGGCTAAGCGTTTCTTATCTGAAATGCTTGGGACAGGAGTGTTACAGATTTTGGATTTTTTCAGACTTTGGAATATTTGCATATATACATAATGAGGTATCTTGGTAGGTCTCATGTCTAAACATGAAATTCATTCATGTTTTATATATACCTTATACATGTAGCCTGAAGGTAACTCTATACAGTATTTTAAATAATTTTGTACATGAAACAAAGTATTGATTGTGGTCAGGTGTGGTATTTTCCACTTGTGGTGTCATGTTGGTGCTCACAGTTTTGGGGCTGGGCACGGTGGCTCACGTCTGTAATCCCAGCACTTTGGGAGGCCAAGGTGGGTGGATCACTTAAGGTCAGGAGCTTGAGACCAGCCTGGCCAACATGGTGAAACCCCATCTCTACTAAAAATACCAAAATTAGCCAGGCATGGTGGCAGGTGCCTATAATCCCAGCTACTCTGGAGGCTGGGGCAGGAGAATCACTTGAGCCCAGGAGGCGGAGGTTGCAGTGAGCCGAGATCACGCCACTGGGAGAACCCAACTCAAAAAAAAAAAAAGTTTTGGGTTATGGAGCATTTTTGATTTTGGATCTTTGGGTTAAGGACGCTCAACCTGTACCTTTTTCATTTGGTGGCTCCTCTCATTCCTCCAACTGAACATCTTTGTGGAAAGATGATGGCTGCCTGCACCCACTGCTGGCGAATGGTGAGAAGGTAGAGCAAGGGGGCCAAGTTGCTGCTGGTGGGCACCTGGGGTTCAGGCCGGCCCAACTGTGGCTGAGCCGATCTGTAGCTGAGCTGAGTGTCAACCAGCTGTGTCCACACCCTGCCTGAGGCCTGCCCTCTCCTCCCTGGCTGGGGTGGGACCTTGAAGAGGCATATCTTCCCACTAGGTGAGGAGGAACAAGAGCCTCACTCCCCTTCTCCCTCTTGCCTTTCACAGCTGAGGCAGAGCTTATGGGAGGAGTCACTATGGGAGTGATGGACCTGGGCTTTGGTCTCCAGTGTTTGGCAGGGGCGACCTTATCACTGAGCTGGGGAAGGCAGCTGCCATGAGTCATTTTAAGTCTCTGAGCTCCAGCCCAGTTCTAGGGGCACAAGGCTGGAGTAGGGATACTCCTAGTTACCTGCTTGAGGAAAAGCACGAAGAAATTGGTACCAAAGTCTTGGCTTTGTTCTGGGAGTTGAGGGAAAAGTAGGGAGGTATTTAAGTGGCTTGATTATGAGAAAACACCAGAGACAGTAGTAAATAGTTATTTACCGATTTTTACCCATTTCTACCCTGGTAATCCTCCCTGCAAATGAAGAAAACCAAGACTTCTTTATTTATTATCTTTCCCCATCTGTATTGAAACAGTGATCTTACTTATCTCACCCAGTGATTCTGTAGGACATTTAAAAAGTGGTCATGGGTTTCATTGGAGTGAGAATGGTATTAACGTTTCCTCTTGTCATCTCAAAGTTTTCTCTCCCCTTAATACCATCTCTACAGCTTGCTGAGATGCTTTAAGGATCACAGAGACACAAAGAAAATTTGAACCCTACGCTTCTCCCATCCCACTTCTTACTCCATCCCGGGTGAGCGCTCGTCCTCAAATAAAGCATGTTGGAACTTCCGCTTATCTCTCCTTCCATAGACCTGCTTGGCGTCTGCTTAAGAACCCAAGCAAGACTCTTCCATTCTCTTGGTTGAGGGTGGCATAGAAGAAAACCTCTTTCCCAGTCCCAGCCTCAGTTCCCAGCCCAGGTGTGGACCCTCAGCTCTGGGGAGGGCTGCACCGAGAGCCTTGCAGGTGCACTTCCCCATTTCCTCCCTCTCTTCAGATACCTGCCGGTATTTGCCTCTTCTGCTCCATGGCCTCAGGCCTTGGCTGTGTTCTGCGAGTTGAGGGAAGCATTTGAATGGGGAGGGCCTCATAGCCAGTCCCCATTTAAATGCTTTAGGAGTTCAATGTAATCTTTTGAAGTATGTATACATTGTGGAATACAGACAATGTAGAATGATTAAATCTAGCTAACTGACACGTGCATTACCTCACATGATAAACAGCAGTTTAGCTGTCAGTTAAAAAAAATCCCCCAAACCCCCAAATGCTTTGGGTGCTGACTCTAATCTGTGCAAATCACACAGTTCAGATTCCTGACCCCTGCCTGGGGCAGGGAGCATCTCTCCCTTCAAATAGCTCTTTTCAGCTGGCTATGGAAAGAGGTTTTAAGGAGAGAAATGTGCAAGGGGTGGTTCTGTTAAAGAAAAACTTAGTCAATGATACTCGTTAAAGTACAGTAAAGACTACTATCTTGATAGGTATAGGGACCACTGCAATGGAGTCTTGCATGTGGGAGAGAGATTGGGCTCAATTCCGAATACAGCGTGCACAGTGGGAATTCATAGCCAAGGAGCAGGGTGGAGGTCTGTGAATAGAAAATTACTAAGAGGAGCCATCAGGGTAAGAGAGATTCTGGTGAAACTGACCTAACAGGACTCTTGCTGAATACAGGCTAGGGTGATAGGCCACTCGGGGATGGTGGAGGGTGAGGAGCCTGATAAGGCTTGGAGGGTGATCAGATACCGAGGGGAAAGGGGTTTTTGCTAAGACTGGATTTTACAAGGAAGTGCACAGACGGGCCTTGCAGAACACTCAGAAGCCTGACCGAAGCTTGGACTAGTAAAGCCTCTTTGTCAGTTCCAATTGCCAAGGATTTTTTTTTTGTTTCCATAAGTGGCAAGGCAGAATAGCCAAGTATTTTCTGTTCCTTTATTCACAAGGAAAAGATGCTTTTCCACCCCAGCCCATGAGACCTGGGCTTGTCCTGGCTCACAGCCGGTGAGAGCGGGGACCCTGGAGGTCAGTGACCCTAACCCCTCAAGGTGACGGTGGCGGGGAAGCAAGTCCTGCCTGAGACTGCCCTCCTGAAGAGCTACATGGACCCCAGTGTGGCAGTTCGGTTTGTGACCTGAAGGCACTGGGGCCGCCCCTTCAGCCTTGCTGTCTGGACACTGTCCCACGCAGCCAGGGGCTGAGGGCAGAGATCCAGCTGCGTGGGTGTCGCTGCTGTGGAGGAGCCACAGGCGCCGCACAGGGAGGGAGCGTGGTGTCCGAGCTCGCTGCGCCCGGGTGTGGGTAGCACCCATTCTAGCTGCTGATTTTTTGCGAACCACGTTTCAGATCACTGTCCTGAGTTCCCATTTTAGGGCCAGATCTTGTCAGATCATCCTTTCAACCTGAAAACGCTGCTGGGGAAAGCCTCACTGGCCACTGCTTGCGCAGGCATTTCCAGTCTGGGCTCTGGCGTCCTGTGGGCTGTGTGAAGCCAGGAGTGTGGTTTTCAACTAAAACTCGGCGCTGACGCCACGTGACCGCGGCGGAGCCCAGCATCCAGCAGGACATGTGGGCAGAGGGGACCCCTGGGGCCGCCACCAGAATATTAAGCATTAGCAAGGCCTCCTGTCTTGAAATGTTGCGAAAATTAAGGGACAAGAGAGACCGAAGAATTGGATGCAGGAAAGTTTTTATTTTTAGGTGTACATTGGCTCAGTGGAATTGCATCCAGAAAATCTAAGCATAGATCAAAGAAAACGAATGTCTTTTAAGCATTTTGAGGCAGGAATTACGTGAAGCAGGAAGCAGGCTTACAGAAGCAAGAACAAAGTCCATTAATTATCTTGTGACACTTTTGCAACATGTCTTACATCTCTGGGAAAACTTAGTATGCAGCTTATGCTTATCTGTCTTGTGACCTTGCAGCTGTACAAGGAGGGAAGAAAACACAAGCTTACAGAGCCTACAAAATACCTGAAGGGCAGATATGGTTAATGTTTCTTGGGACTGGCAGTTAATATCCTTCTTTAACTCTAACTTCAGGGGGGCTACTTAAATTCTTTTTAGCCTTGGTTGGTACAGCAATTCATTCTATGAGCTATTATTTCTGTTACTATAATTTTACTATTATTACTTATGCTATTATCCTATTTTAATTTTCCACTTCATTCCCCCCTTTGGTGCTCTATATAAATGTTGGTTAATAGCACCACAGTTGTTTATTTTTTCTTGAGTCGGTACATATTATTCTTGGGGCAATACTTAGTCAATGCCATTATTTGAGTAGTAGTGTATTTGGCCACAACTGCCTCTATAGTTGACTGAACACTTCTGATGAGAAGAGGTAGGAGACAAGGGAGAATTAGGCAGGCACCTGTGATAAGCAGGAACCCACCTATTAAGGTTTTGAACCCACTAAAGGTTGAAAACCATCCTTCAAAGAGAGAATCTGGAGACCAACCTGACCAGGTTTGAACTGGAACTTGGGCTAACTTCCACATCCTGGCAGTAATTCCCATGACAGCTCGCCTATTGTCTATGTCTAAACAGCAGTTTGTTAGATTAAACTTCCCACATACTCCTCCTTCTGAGGCTAGGAGGTAATCTAGTGCCAGCCTGTTTTGATATATGGCATTCCTTATCTGTGTAGCTTGTACAGCTAGTAAATCTTGATGTTCATAGGTTCATCAAAAAGCTCTTGATGTTTCATAGGTTATTATTTCAAGAACAGCCTGTAACCTTATGATACAGTTGAGCATATAAATTGGGGTGTGGTATCCCCATTACCTATTTTGTGCCTAGGTAGCTGGCCCATAGTATTTAATGATTTTTTCAGGAGGCCATTGATTATTTTTCTAGTCTCCTATGTCTATGTCTTTTTTGATATTTATATTTATTTTTGAGATCATGCTCCTTTTAGTTCTTTTATTCTCATTATAGACTGGATATCCTAAGAGTTCCCCTTGCTTTAGAGGAATTAGAAAGAAGGATGGCTTGATTGTTCCTAATACACATGCTCTTGTCCATTTAGCTGGCAGTTGCTGATATGCCTGTGCTCCACAGATCCAATATAGGCCTTTTCCTGAACAAAAACAGTAACATAATAATAAGATAATCAGTATTACTAAGATCACTACTAGGCTTATAAGTTCTATCCACATTTACTTATCTAGTGAAGACTCCTCAAGCTTTGGCCATGCGTAGACTAGTCAGCTTCCAGTGTGTGACTACAGCAGGGTTTGACTTCTCAAGCTTCAGTTGTGCGTAGACTGACCAGCCTCCAGAGTGATCACAGCAGGGTGGTTGACTTTCTCAGTGGTGTCGTGGTTTTGCCACAGGATTAGTCATGTTGGATGGTCTGAGTCTTGTTGACTGGTTCACTGGTCCTGCGCAGCCAGCTTCAGTCGACTGTGATGAATCCAAGGTGTGATACCTGCAACTTTAACAGCAGTGGGAGTAGACAAGATTACAGTGTGGGCCCATCCCATATGGGCCCTAGTGTGGTTGGGTTCCATTTCTTAACCCAAACCAAGTCCCCAGGTGTAAAGGGGTGAACTGGGTCTGTTAGGCTTATAGGCAATTTTTCTCGTACCCAGCCATGAATCTTTTGCATAGCTAATCCTAAAGCTTGCATTTGCCTTTTTAAAGTTAGTTCCCCTAGTTCCCACAGATCACCTTTTACCTGATTTATAATCGGGGGTGGTCGGCCGAACACAATTTCACAGGGTGAAAGCCCAGTCAATTTGGTAAGGGTACACCTGACTTGGAGAAAGGCCATGGGCAAGACCTGATCCCACCTAAGATGAGGTTCTTGACAAAACTTCAGCAGATGTTTTAGTGTCTGGTTCATCCATTCTACCTTTCCTGAGCTCTGTGGGTGGTAGACTATGTGCAATTTCCACTTTATCTTTAGCAGCTGCGACAGCTGCTGAACTACTTCAGCCATGAATGCTGGGCCATTATCTGATCCTAAAGTTAGAGGCAGTCCAAACCTAGGAATAATGTCTTTTAGCAACACTCTGGTTACTTCTTGGGCTTTCTCTATCCTGGTAGGGAATGCCTTGACCCACCCTGAGAAAGTGCAAACAAACACTAGCATGTACTGATAACCCCGTGCTCGGGGCAGTTCGGTAAAGTCCACAAGCAAGTTTTCACAGGGTGTAGCTCCGGTCTCTTGAATCCCTGGGGGCTGAGTTGGCACTTGCCATGGATTGTTCTGGGCGCAGGTTAAACATTGCTCACAAACGGCTCGAGTGATGGCAGTAAGGCATGGCACATAGAAATGCCATCCTACAAGAGTTTCTAATGCAGTCTTTCCCATGTGTGTTCCCTGATGAAACTGCTTCATAAATTGGGGGGCTATTGCTTCCGGAATAGCTAGCCTCCCATCTGAGAACTTCCACCTGCCTCCTTGTATGTAACTTCCGCTCTCTTGTTCAAACCAAGCTTTTTCATTGGGAGAGTAGCTTGGGGTTTCAGGTAAGGAAGGTTCTAGTAGAAGCAGCAGGGTTGGGGTTTTCTTTTTAGTACTTGAGTTGGACATAGCTGCTTGTCTGGCTTCTCTGTCTGCCTTCCTATTTCCTTTTGCTTCTATGCCGCCTCTTGTCTGATGTCCTTTACAGTGAATAACGGCCACCTTGTCTGGGGCCCACACAGCTTCTAAGAGTTGTAAGATTTCTTCTTTAATTTCTTTCCCTCCAGCAGTTAAGAGTCCCCTTTCTTTGTAAATGGCTCCATGGGCATGTAATGTAGCAAAAGCATACTTTGAATCAGTATAGATATTAACTGTCCTTCCTTTGGCTACTAGTAGTGCTCTATTTAGAGCTATTCTGCTTTTTGTGCTGAGGTCCTGGTAGGGAGGGCCTGTGCCTTGGCTACTGAATTTAGAGTCACCCTGCGTACCCGGCTCTGCAGACCCCTTCTGATACAAACCTGCTTCCCTCTGTGAAATATTCAGCGTCTGGGTCCTTAAAGGGTTGGTCTCTTAAGTCTTTCCGGCTTGAGAACACCTCATCTACTACGTCTACGCAATAGCGTTGGGGAAACTGGTCTTGCAACTTCGACATTTCTACAGGCAACAGGGTAGCCGGGTTGAGGGTATTCGCGGTTTTTAAAGTTACGTATGGATTTCCACATAAGAGCCCCTGATATCTTAACATTCTTGGATTAGATAGCCAGTGATATATCCTCTTTGCTCCATTAAGGTGATCACTGTGTGTGGCACCCGTATTATTAGCTTTTGTCCTGGTGTCAGCTTCCAGCATTTTCTGCCAGCATGGCAGTGGCAGCTAATGCTTTTAAGCAGGGGGGCCACCCCAGGGCCACAAGGTCTAACCGCTTTGATAAATAGGCTACTGGTCAATACCATGATCCTACTGTTTGAACTGAAACTCCTGTAGTCATTCCTTTTCTTTCATGGACATAGAAAAAGAAAGGCTTAGTCAGGTCTGGCAATCCCAGGGCTCGAGCTTGGCTTAAGGCCTTTTTGATCTCATTAAAGGCCTTCTTCTGCTCATTACCCCAGAGGAGGGGCTCTTTTTCTCCCCCACTTTGTGGCTTCATACAATGGCTTTGCCGTGAGTGAAAGGTTTGGCATTGAAGTACAGCAAAAGCCTGCTGCCCCTAAAAACTCCCTTACTTGTCGCCGGGTGACAGGAGTGGGGAGCGCACATATGGCTTCCTTCTGCCCACTGCCGAGTTCACGCTGCCCTTGGGCTACTAGGAAACCTAGATATCTTACTCTTTTTGCACAGACCTGAGCTTTTTCCTTAGACATCTTGTAACCTGCCTTCCATAGAAGGCAAAGGAGATCTTTGGTGCCCTGGAAGCAATCTTCCTCGGTAGGTGCCGCAAACAAAAGATCACCAATGTATTGTAACAATACACACTTGTCATTTGGTGGGACAAAAGCCTTGAGGTCTGATGCTAGTGCCTCTTCAAAGATAGTGGGGGAGTTTTTGAACCCTTGTGGGAGCCTGGTCCAGGTGAATTGTGTTCCTCCCCATTGGAATGCAAAAATAGGCTGACTCATTGGAGCTAGCCTGAGGCAGAAAAAGGCACCTTTTAAGTCCAAACAGGAAAACCAGGCAGCATGAGCAGGAATGTGGCTCGTCATTGTATACGGGTTTGGCAACACCGCATGTAAGGTAACAGTAACTTTATTTATGTCCCATAGGTCTTGCACAGGCCTGAACCCACCAGACGGTTTTTGCACTGGTTAAGAGTAGAGTATTCCAGGGTGACTTGCATTTCTTTATGATCCCATGTTCTAATAGCCGATTTATGTGCTTGGTCATTCCTCGCACTGCCTCTGTAGACACCTGGTACTGGGGAATACGCACTGGAGTTGCACCTGGAACTAACTTGACTACCACTGGTGCCCGGTTTATGACCAATCCTGGAGGACTGTCTTCTGCCCACACCTCAGGTATTTCAGTGACTAGTTTGTCAAATATTCTGTCCATAAATTCAGACAGCCTGTACACCTCTTTTACATATAGCCTCCATTCCTCAGTCTCGTGGAGGGTAAGAGTTAACATCATAGCTTTTGGTCAGCTTAGATCCAGAGTCATGTTTCCTTCTGGCCTGAAAGAAATTTGTGCTTGTAGTTTCTGAAGCAAGTCTCTCCCTAACAGGGGCACAATAAAGTCCATCTTTTGGCCTCCCACTTTCATAGAGACCAGGGGCTCCTGGAGGCCTAGAGAGATGGAGCCCAGTCTGTCTCAGTCCTTATATTCCTCAACTCCTGCTAAGCTGACCAGATCGGCATCCAGCTTTAGAACAACGGCTAGTGGCTGCAGGCCTTGGGCGGGCATCAGGTCCCTGGCTGCTACTTTCTTCCTTTTCTCTTTCTGGACATTCAACCTTCCAATGCCCTTTCTGTTTGCATTCTTGCACACTGATCCCTCTCAAGCCTAGGCTGGCCTTCAAACCCTGGCCTAGCTTGTCCTCTACTGTGACCACGACCAAGTCCGCGTCCTCTCACAAAACCAGTCTCTCAACCAGAGCAGCAGCCAACAAATCAGCCTTTTCCTTGGCTTTGTGCTTTGCCTCTTTCTTGGCTTCCTCCTCTGGATTAACAAACACCTTAGTAGCTACTTGAATGAGCTGGGTAATATACATAGCCTCAAAACCTTCCAACTTCTGAAGCTTCTGTCTAATGTCACCTTGTGCCTGGCCCATAAATGCCACGTTAACCATGCATTGATTCCCTACATCCTCCAGATCAAACGATGTATAAAGCCGGTATGCTTCACAGAGTGTTTCATAAAATTCACTGGGACTCTAATCAACCTTTTGGCATACCTCTGAGACCTCTCCCAAATTCGCTGCCTTTTTCCTTCTGGCCTTTATTCCATTAAGGGGTGCCTCCCGATACCTATGCAGGTTTTGCAATTCTCCTGCCTGGTTTGGATCCCAATTTGGATCTGCTTCTGGGAACCTCTTCTGTGCCTACCGCTTAACATCATTTGTGCCTTCAGGCGCATTGCTTTCTAACCACTGTAAGGCTGCCTGAGTAATTCTCCTGCGCTTTTCTGTATTGAACAATATTAAAAGTAGCTACTGACAATCAGGCCAGGTAGGGTTATGAGTCAGAAAGATGGACTGCCTGAAGTCTATGAGGGCCTGGGGCTTCTCCGTGTAGGAGGGTGTAAGCTGTTTCCAGTTTAGGAGGTCAGTCTTCTTCTGTCAATGCCTAATGTTACATATTTTCCTTTATTCCACTTTGAGTCTGAGGGGTTTGTGATTATCAATTCTAAAGGATCACAGCTCCCACTCGTGCAGGAGGGGCTGCCTTTCCTTTTTGGAGCCAAACAGGATATTTTTTTTATCTTCTTTCCAAGTAGCCTAAATGACACAAGACCAGTACTGACACATCTCACATAAATATGATTTTTGACAGATGTACTTATTTTCTGCTGTGTAACTTTTTTCTCAATCTAGAGAACCGCATTCTATCCCATGCTGTTTACTATTAATAGCGGCACAAGCATCAAATTTTAAGGTTACATTTTTGGGGACCCCTCTTTCTTCTGTTCTAGCTATTACCTTACTTGTGTCACCTAGAAAAGGACCAGTCCTTAATTTTATTTTAAAAACTGTGATCATGGGAGGCTTAAAATGGGTCATAACGCGCATCAGGTTGGTTATTTCCTGGGCTACATACCTTGGATAGAATAGCATTATACAAACAAGTTTCTTTTAGAGTCCTGGTACACTTATAATAACCATAAAATAATAGGACTGTAGCAATCTTTTGTCCTACCTTAGTGACTTGATGTATATACTGGAAACAGTTCTCAGTCTGAGGAAGGTCAGTTGAAGTCCTTACCGTTCAAGTCCAAATTTTAAGGAAAATGAGTCTGTGATGAGTTTCCTCATGTTTCAGCCGTGCGTGGACCAGTCAGCTTCCAGGTGTGACTGGAGCAGGGCTTGTCGTCTTCTTCAGAGTCACTTTGCAGGGGTTGGCGAAGCTGCTCCCATCCATGTACAGCTCCCAGCCTACTGATGTTTAAGGGTGGTCTCGGTGGTTGGGCCTACTAGAATAAACTGAGTCCAGATATGGTTAACTGGGCTCTCTGATACCAGGAGGAAGGTGGCAGGGTTTAGGGTGTGCAAACGTCAATGGTTATGTGGGGATTTTCACAGAGCTAGCTTTGGCATCTAGTTAGTCTAGCATTCATCTAGCATGGTGTCCTTTGGTATTTATTAAAATCACCACAGCATGGGGGGAGTTTATGTTTAGGTTTTGTGTAAGAGTTAGCTTATCTGCTTCTTGTGACAGGGCCGTTGCTACCAGGGCCCTTGGACATGGGGGCCAGCCTTTGGAAACCCCATCTAGTTGTTTTGAGAGATAGGCCACTGGCCTTGGCCAGGGCCCTACAGTCTGGGTTAAAACTCTAACTGCCATTTTTTTTGTTTCTGACACATAGAGCGTAAAGAGTTTTGTCAGGTCAGGTAGCCTCAGGGCTGGGGCCGACATGAGTTTTTCTTTTTAACTCATGAAAAGCTCGTTGCTGTTGGTTGTAATAGATGTAGTTTATCTAATCTACATTTTTATTGACTGTCATCTACCAAAATATTGACTTAAATCCTGTAACTATTTGATTTCAAGCTTTAAATTGATCTGGGACTCCTTGCGGGGCTTCAATTGCATCTAAATAGATGTGAGAGTTGAAAGACCTATAAGGAGCTTTTCTCGCTTTATGATGTCTTCTTCTTATTATTATTTTTTCCTCTTGTTGATGAAATGTCAGGGTGAAAGGGATAGCCAAATGGACTAAAGCACAAGTGCCACTCTAGTTACTCGGCAGAGTCCCCAATAAAGGTCTACCACAATACCACCACACATCCGCTTTGGGATGAACAAGGGCTGACTGATTGATAAGCTCTTGAAAATTCTTAAGCTCACTGCATCCCTTCAGGTCTCCAAGGAATGCTAAGTCTCCTCCCTGCCATGAGAGACACGTAGTGAACTTAGTGTTGGGAGATGGAAGCTGGATGGCCCTCGGGGGCTGACCTGCAGGGACTTTGGGATATAGCAGAGAGAGCTTGGCATGACTTATTACTCCAGGCTATAGAATCCTGGAAAAGAGCTACCATGCAGCCCATGCCTGGCCGACTGGAGGACCACCTTAGTGGAAGGGGGACAATCAGGGCCTCTGGCCTGCCATGTGCACAAGCATGCTAATTGCTTTTGTTTAACCTGCAGATGGAATATTTGATCCATTTCAACCAGGCATTTGCATCTTGGTATGCTGTCTTAATTGCCAAAGTTTGTTTTAAGTCTTTAACTTTTATGATCCTCTAGTAAAATGAATGCTTCCTTTAGCACCAATTTTTATTAGTTTTTAGACAAAAGAAAGCTAAACACTATTTTATATTTACTAATGCTTCCTGTATGACTTTTATACCAGATAAGCTAAATTTTACCTTTATATTAGTGTGTTATTAATGTTAAACTTAATTTTAATAAAACCTTGTAGACATATTTATCCAATTTTTTATGTTTGACCATAAGGTAAGATTTTATAGACTCTTTTTAACCTTTTATAATTTTTGTTAAAGAGCAGGTTGATGCTTTAAGAAAAACCTCTTGCATTTTTACTTTAATGTCCAGTTCACAGAAAAACTGGATGATACCTTTTTAACCTTAGCTAATATGTTTACACACAGAATTTTTTTTATAATTAACGTTTTAAAGCTTGCTTAAACTTTTAAAACAATAATTTTTTTAACCTTTTAATGTAGGTAAAAATCCACGTTTATGCCCCTTTATAATTTTTTTTTTTACCAAAGGTATATTTTACTTTTCTTATACATCTTGCACATGAACTGGTTTTTTTTTTTTAAATAGTACTCAGGAGGCCTCATTACTTTTAAATTATACAATATTTTTTGCATAAAAATTTTTTTTTATAATTTTTTTCTCACGACTTTCCCAGACAATTTTTTAACATGTCTCAATTTTTTGACTGATTAACAAACTTTTTTTTCTTTAAACAACCAGTTAATTTATTTCAGGACAAGAATTTACCATATAACTTTTTTTTAATATAAATTCTGCCTCCCCCCTTTTCTTTCCTTTTTAAAAAAGCGAACTTTCTTTATGTCTTTGGACTAGACTGTCTAAGGCCACAAGATTAGAAGTTACCAAAATACATGTTACACTGTTAACTTTTAGCAAACTTCACTTTTGTTGAAAACCTTGTAAGTTTGAGATTTCAATTATCCTTTGCTATTAATAAGAACTTGTTTAGTCTAAACTCTTAGAATTGGTACAGATGGCCTCTTTTTCTCTTTTCTGGTCGTTCCTTGGCTCTGCCAGCCGCTTATGCTGCTGTTCTCTTAACTACTGTGGTGGGGGAAAGGGGGTCTAAAACCAGCTGTAACTGTCTATGTACAGAAACCGGTCTGGGTGCTTTGGCTTACAGGTTACCTTGTGCCATACCTTTGAAACAAGGGACCTGTCCAGGCTTCCTTCTGGTGGCCAACCTACCTCTAATGCTAGCCAGTCTATTTCACACAAAGTTCTAAGTTTTCCTGGTGTCATACTAACACCGTAATCTCCTTTAAATTCTCTCTTGAAAAAAAATTTTTTTAACATAGGTCCCAGTGGGGTGGGCTTACTTTGCACCTGACCCATGTTTTTTTTTTTTTTTTTCCAGACAAAATACCACGCTCACACCACACATACCACAAGACAAAGAACAGGTAAAGAGGGCACACACACTTTTACCGTTTATACCAAACCAAAATCACGAAATTCAAAATCCGAGTACCAAAAAATTCAAGCCAAGTCAAAACCAAAACCAAAGTATCCAGCAATTCAAGTCAAGTCAAAACCAGAACAAGAGTGCCCATGCAGGCATGCTGTGGGTGATCAGGCCACGTTTCCACTCAGATGGAGTGGGGCAAGTTCCAAAGACTAGTCTTACCAAGTCAAGCCAAGTCAAAACCAGAACAAAAGTGCCAATACAGGCACACCGTGGGTGATCAGGCCACGCTTCCACTCACGTGGAGTGGGGCAAGTTCCAAAGACTAGTCTTACCAAGTCAAGCCAAGTCAAAACCAGAACAAAGATGTCAATACAGGCACACCGTGGGTGATCAGGCCATGCTTCCACTCACATGGAGTGGGGCAAGTTCCAAAAACTAGTCTTGACAAGCTTCAGATGTCTGGACTTCAAGTGCCAGTTCCTTCCCGGTGTTCAGCCAGTGTTAATCCTTCTCGGGAGCCTGCTATGCGCTGCTCTGGCAAGGCATTCCACCGGGGCCATTTCCTACCCGGGAGCGCTCTTTGGATTGCGTCAGTCAGGCTGGCCGGAGTCCTCTGCAGGGACGCTCCACAGGGCTTGTCAGTCACCTCGCTTCCTGGTCAGGGAACCAAGGACTGTAGCAGGACAAGCCACAGACAAAACCTCTCAGACACGGAGCTGTAGAAGAAAGGGCTTTATTCAGCTGGGAGCATTGGCAAGCTACTGCCTTAAAATCCGAGCTCCCCGAGTGCACAATTTCTGTCGCTTTTAAGAGCTCACAACACTAAAATTTCACATGAAAGGGTCGTGATTGATTTGAGCAAGCAAGGGGTACGTGACAGGGGCTGCATGCACCGATGGTCAGGGAGAAACAGAACAGGGCAGGGAGTTTCACAATGTTCTTCTATAGAATGTCTGGAATCTATGAATAACATCGGTTTCTAAGTCATGAGTTGATTTTTAACTACTAGGTTTAGGCCAGGCAGGCCCAGGTCCAGTTTTGGGCCTGGCGCTGGGCTGCCTGTCTTTGATTTCACTTCCTTTTTTTTTTAAAAAAAAAAAAAAAAACAGGTACTGAGTATAAAACAATATGAGAGGGTCTCTCTCTTCCCTCGCTTTAACTTTCGGAGGGCTGAAATTCTTTCTAGCCTTGGTTAATACAGCAATTCATTCCATTCTAGCTATTGTTATTTCTCTTACTATAATTTTACTATTAGTACTTACGCTATTCTATTATTTTCTTAATTTTCCACTTAATTAGGATAACAAACCGAGGCCGGGCTCCCATCCTCCTCAAGCACACGAGGGGGGCCTGGCCCAGCAGGGAGCTTCGCCTGGTTTCTGAGGGAATTCCCGGCGGGCCTTTCCAAAACATGCCCGTTCCCTTCCGCTAACTTCAGGGGCCAAGAATTGAACTTTCACCCTCCTCAAGCCGGTGGCGCTGCCTCGCTGGCGTTCCCAGCGCGCAGCCAACCGGATGCCAGCCGGCGGCATTACCACTGCCAGCATGGGGCGCCCGCGGACCTCCGACTGAGGCAGCTGCCGGGAGCCGGAAGTGTCCCGGGCGCCGGGACTGCGAGGGGGCCGGGAGTTCCCCAAGACCGGAAGTGTCCCGAGGCCGGGAGCCCGCGGGACCCCGGAGCGCGCGGGGCCGGAAGAGGCGGGCGGCCAGTGGAGGTCCGCAGAGTTTGGGCGCCAGGCGAGACGGCAGGGCTTAAAGTTCCGGGTGAGGCGTGGGTCCCACAACCGCTTGGAATTTGCCTCCCGGCTCCGCTCTGGAAGCTAAGAAGGGGCACGAGAGCCGGAGACGGGAACCTGAGAGCAGGGAAGCCAGTAGCCGGCCGGAGGAGCGCGCGGCCGCTCCAGTCGGAAGGAGCCGTTGCAGCCCTGCCCGGCGTGTGGCGGGGTCAGCGAGGCCCCTGCGGTGCTTCGCCCGCGCCTTCCGCTCCGCACTCACCCGCCCTCTGGGCCTCCCACAGGTCGGCGCCGCCAGCGGCGGGTACCGGCCCGCAGAGGGAGGGCGGGCTGTGAACTGGCAGCACATCGCGTTCCCGCGGGGCCCCCATTCTGCCCAGGCAGGGAGCGGCTGGGATGGGACTGAGGTCGGTCCGCGAGCGCGGTGCCCCAGAGACCCGGCTTCTGGAAGTTGCCGCGGCCTGCTCTTGGGGCCCAGAAGTAGGGCGGGGAGGCGCGGGGTCTGGAGTCTGCAGGACCTGGCTGCGAATCCAACCAGCTGATTTCAAACTTTTCTGTGATCTTCTGCAAGTTAACTAAGTCTCAGTTCCTCGTTTGCGAAATGTACTTAATAGGCACCCCAGGGTGAACTAAATTTGTCCGCACAGACTGCAGCATTGCGCTTGGGAGGCGCCTTAGGGGGTAGGAGTCACTAATATCACTGAGTTTTGACAGAAATGAAGGTGCATTGGCAAAGGTGTGCCCCATGGCCGGGCAGGTTAGGAGGAGGGCCTGGTAATATTTTTTCTTAAATTGTAAACAGCCATCTGGATGAGCAATGCATTATCAAATTATGATTCAGAGAGGACTATCGCTGACTACTCTTTTTTTTGGGCAAACCTCCGCTTCAGGAGCTTCTGGCTTGATTCCTAAGTGGAAGGTAGAGACCTAGGCCCTCTGAGTCACAACTCCATCTCTCTGGGTGAGGACTGAGCTCCAGGACTGCTGAGTGGAGGCAGAACAATTGGGATAGGGAAAAGAGAGGCCAAACTAGATCAGAGGCTGGCGTGGGCTTCAGAATCTACAGACTGGCACAGTTAATGCCTCCGGGCCCCTATTGCTGCTTCAAGTTTGACCAATCAGAAGTATCTTTAGCTTAAGGGCGGCGTGTTGGCCAATGAGACTTTATTGTGAAATAAAATGCCCTCAGTTTCATTTAACTGAGCCACCATAGAAGAGTAGAGAAATCGAGTTGGCCAGATGAGGGAGAGGCCATTAAGAGGTATTTTAGGGATTGAATGGGCTGGGCACCCAGAGGACAGTGGCATTTGGGGTGGTAATGAGAAGGAACATTAGGGGCCTCCGCCTCCTTCCGTTCCTCCTGTGCTGAGTCAGTCAGCACAGAGGCTGCAGGAGGTATCTCTGGTTGGCTTTGGCTGCCTGTAGGGGGCACCAGCTTTGGGGAGGTCAGAGGGCTCTCTCCTGAGCTGCTGTCCTGCCCACAATCACACCTGCCTGATGCCTGTGAATGGCCGTCTGAGTCTCTTGGGCCTTGGTCACTTCTGGCCTGCCCTGCACCGACCAGTAACTGTGCCTGATGACTGGAGGTATGGGAATTCACCGGACTTTATTGTTCTTTGTAGGAATCAAAGATCAACTCCCACTGAGGACAAATGGACCTGTAATTCCGGGTGTGACGAGAGAACGAGATTTACCTTCCTGAATTAAAAAACAGGTCATTAAGCTTGGGCCCTGACTCTTCTTTGTGAGAAGGTACAGAGATGGAAACCTTACAATCCGAGACTAAAACGAGGGTCCTTCCCTCATGGCTGACAGCCCAGGTGGCTACAAAGAATGTGGCACCAATGAAGGCCCCCAAGAGGATGAGAATGGCAGCAGTGCCAGTGGCAGCAGCAAGGTGCGACAGCTCTGGTCAGAAGACTCCTGCGAATCTGGCAAGTGGAGCAGGGGCCTCCATGACCTGGGCCAGGTCTTCCAGCCTAGGCAGAACAGCAAGATGGGCGGGTGTTTCAGTCTGATCATCTCTTGAGCTTTTAGAAGGTGGAGGGGCTGTGGGCGGGAGGCAAAGCGGGTTAACCCTCGAGGACAGGCACCCACTTCTGCCTCTGCACTGGTGAGTGCCCTGCCCTCAGCACACACAGAGTGGGTTCTCCATGTCAGCCAGTCTCTGATGCCAGTTGTCCAGAATGCCAGTCTCTTCCTTTACAACAAACATGGTAACATCAGATGGGCAAGATCAGTGGAAGGGTCTGTTCTGAGTGGTGCCTGCCCCTGTGGACAGACCTTTAGGGATGGACAGATGAGCAGCAGCTGCAGGGCCAGCAAGAGCTAAGGAGCTGGGGAGTGAGTTAGTTGAATGACGGTAATTGCCGGGGGGGGGCGGGGGGGGGGTGGTGAGTCTCCAGGCTGCACTGTGAAGTGGGCGGGGCCCCAGCACTCGGTGTTTCCCTCTCTGGCTCCTCCTCCTCTAAGGTTTCCTGACTGACAGCCTTCCCTTGTGACTGCTGCCGTCTTTCCCTAAGTCTGGTCCTGCTTTCAGGTTCCTCTCAGTACAGCCTCAGCCCGAGGTTCCCTTCCTCTTGCATCCATGTGTGTGTTTCAGAGGCGGCCATCCTTCCCTACTTCCAGATCCTTGTAGGGCAGTTGGTGGAGGGTGGGAGGCACCCCGGTGTTGCCTCCATGAAGCCCTGTGCCAGTCACTGGGCTGCAAGGCTGAGGAAATTGTGTCCGTGTCAGAAAGCTCCTCAGCTCAGAGGTGCTGGTACCTCCTGCGTGGTAGGAAGGCAGGGGGAAGAGGCCCTGCTTCTCCTGTTCTCTTTGCCCTTATGAGACTTGAGAGTCTGTGTCATCTGTGCCTTGCATGTCTTTTTTTCAGACTCCCTGCGACAAGGACTGTGTACTGCATGAATGAGGCTGAGATAGTTGATGTTGCTCTGGGAATCCTGATTGAGGTAAAGTCAGACAAGCCTCTTACTCATGACCAGAAACTCTGCATGGGCAGAGGCTAGACCCTTGGTCACCGTCAGTAAGAGAGACGCCCTCTGCCGTAGGCTACCTCTTCTTCCTCCTGCCACTTCCCTTGCTCTTATCTCGGCCATGCTGCCCAGGCCTCTCCCCATGTGGGTGTGCGCTCGTGGGGTGTCTTTGAGGCTAGAAGCCTGGGAGGGCATGCGTGTGTTAGGGAGGGCGTGTGTGTGTTAGGGAGAGCGTGACTGTGCACTGGTGTGTATGTGGATGGGACATGAAGCGTTTACCTGTTTGTGTTCTTGGAAAGGTTCCCAGTTGGGTAGATGACTTCTTAGCCATTGCCCCTCTCCTGAGCAGAGGATGCTGAGCTTCCTAGCTTCCTGCAGTAATAATTGCAGTGCCTCAGAGTTGCACAGCATTCTACAGTTTACCAGGTGCCTTGAAAGCATGCGTTATGTCATTTTAGCCTTGCAATAACCCTGTGGTGTGGGACTTTTCCTAGTGCTAAGGCATGGGCCCACACCCAGGTTTTGTATCCTGGGTTCTGTCACCGGCCTTTCTAGACATGTTTCTTCCATTTCTTTTTCCTTTCCCCTCAGCTAATCCTCATGCCTTTGCTTGCTTCTCTCCCGAGTGGGTTCTGGTTTCTTCAAGAGCTGTGAAGAGGGGGTCAGGGGAAGGAGTGGGGTGAAGAGAGGGTGGGTGCTCAGGATATGGGTACATTGCCTGGCCTGGTCACATTGGCTTTGTAGTTGCTTCTAGATACATCCTGTGTTACTGACAGATCAGCATGTTAGGGAAATAAAACACGTATGTTGAGCCTGCGTTTTCCCGTACTCCACAGAGCCGCAAACAGGAAAAGGCCTGCGAGCAGCCGGCCCTGGCGGGGGCTGATAACCCAGAGCACTCCCCTCCCTGCTCCGTGTCGCCTCACACAAGTTCTGGGAGCAGCAGTGAGGAAGAGGACAGTGGGAAACAGGCACTGGCTCCAGGCCTCAGCCCTTCCCAGAGGCCGGGGGGTTCCAGCTCTGCCTGTAGCAGGAGCCCTGAGGAGGAGGAGGAAGAGGATGTGCTGAAATACGTCCGGGAGATCTTTTTCAGCTAGGGCATAAACTGTGCACTGAACTGTCTGCCGAGAGCAGCTGGAGGACAGCTGAGCTTCCACTGGTGCTGCTGGGCCGCCCGCCTGTGGGAATGGGGCTCTCTGTGCTCCTACCTTTGTGCCTTCTTGGGCCTGGCAGATTCACCTCAGGCCAGAAGCCCCTGGACACTCCGGGCCTTGGGGCTGCCGTTCTGAGTGTGCGGAAGGCAGGACTCAAAATGAGATCCCATTTGACTCCCTCTGTATGTACTGTGCCCTCTCCTGGCTCTTGAGGCTCTGGAGTCCCAATTGTCTGTGTTAGTCAGTGACCAGGTTCCAGGGAAAATGATGTCATGTGGTGGTCCAACTTACTGGAACCAAAGAGACAGTACTTTGCAAAGAAAAGGATCACTGCCAGGTGCACTGGAATTGCTACAGTTTAGTCCGCATGATCTCTCCTGAAGGAGGAAGCCTGTTTCAAAAATAGTTTCCATCATGAGTCTATCAATGAGCTCCCACCTCTCCAGCCAGCCTAGAAAGCAAACGAGCTGCCCACAGTTCTCTGCCCTGTCTGGGAGGTTGAGGCCACAGTGTATAGACTGGTAAGCCAGACAGGCCTCCTCCCGCAAGCTGCTACCTTGCTTTCACCTGTACCTTGGTCCCCGGGCAGCTAGCTATAAAGCAAGAGGGACAGGAGCCCAGAAGAGACACTGAGGACAAGAGATCACACCAGAGTACATGTCTCTGCCTCTGTTTTCAGTGTGGCTTTGGACAGGAATATATGAATAAATCACTGCCATACAGGTTTTCCAATACACAAGTGCTAGAAAATACACACAATTCCCCAATGCGTAAGTTGTGCTAATGTCTTTCCAAGTTCTGGGTTGGGAAGTGGAGGGTGGCAGCGTTTGTTTGTGTGCAGCCGTCCAGTCCTGTTCACAGCGAGGATTTGGAGTCCTCCAGGGTCTCATCATGGGAGTGATTTGTCAGCGGACGCCTCTGCCCTGTCTGGCTTCAGGTCCAGGGAAGCTTTGAAGCAGTCAAGCCTTGTCTTTGTACCCCATGTGTCCTGTCTTTGTTGAGTCACTCAGAGATCACTCCTGGACCTCTGGGGTTGGAGTTCCAGTGATGGCTTATGGCGGCCCACTCACTATGGTGGGCTGAGTGGAAGCTCCTTAACCATGTCCCCAGAGACACTGAGGTGCTCGCTCTTTTAATGTCCTCGTTTGTTGCCGTAAGTTCTTTGCTAGGTTTCATTTTGGCATTTGGCAAATCAGCCTGGAAGTCTGGCCCCATGACAGCAATCACTCCCTCCCCACCCTCCTGAAGCTAGAGGAAGATTTGCTCAGATCCATTAATTAAAGCAGGAATTGGTGTGACAATGAGCTGCATGGTTTAGGGAGTCTTTGGGAGCCTTGGAAGTCCTGAAGGACAGACAATCTTGTACTAAGAAGTCACAGGTGCCCTGGCTGCCCTTGCTGCCCCTCGGCCTCTTTGACACAGGGGCCCCACCTCCTCTGTAGTGGGTTCCATCGCTGGAGCTGGAGATCAGCGTTAGCTGTAAAATGAGATGGCTGAGCAGATGTGCCACCTCTGACCATGGTTGGAACTGAACCCTTGCAATCACGTAAGCCTTTAGCAGCTCTCAAGCTTGCTCTCAGCCCTCTCAGCCCTCAGAGGGAACACAGCCATGGCTATAAGCAAGAGGATGAGTAAGGCCTGGGCGCTGCCCAGAGCTAGAAACCCAGGCCCCGGGAGGGAGAGCCTGACCCACTTCCACACATAGGAGAGGAAGAGGCCCAGGCCGCCTGCCAGCAGCACAGAGGACACAGCCAGGAAGCCCACTGCCAGCCGCCACGCTCTCTCATCACTGTTGCACTGGGCTAGGAGGAGAGGCTGGGGGGCAAAGAGGGTGAGGACCAGGGACCCGTACACGCCAAGCCTGGCCAGGCCCAGGCCAACCCGAGGCACCCCCAGGGCTTCCAGCTCAGGGAACTGGTGACACTGTAGGGTGCTGGTGTCCTCATTCCACAGGCAGAAGTTATAGAAGCCGATTCTCAGGTTGGGCAGGTCAGTGAGGTTGCCAGCCTCCCAGAGAAGAGCGTAAAACATCAGGCAGATGACCACAATCACGAGGACTATGATGCTCATGAACAGCAGCTGGTCGCGCCACCGAGGCCTTGGGCCGGCCATCTCTACTGCCCTCTGCCGGGGGACCTGCGGGGAAGTCACAGCAGTCAGTCCATCTCTCCCTTGCTTGTTCCCTGTGTCCAGACAAGCTCATGTTCTCCCTTTGGCATTTCTTACAAACTCATGGCAAGTTTCCCTCCTACCCTGCCCTCCACCAAGGACCAGAAGTCTGAGGTAACCTCCTGCCAGGACCTATTTGCAAATAAGTCATTAGCTGCCCTCTGATTTGAGGTCAGGAGGAAAAGTCTCTCCCAAGCAGCTTTGAAAGTGTGAAACATCTTAAACTGAGTGAAGTGCTCTTTAGCCAAAGGCTTTGCTCCAGTCCAAATACAACAAGCCATTGGAAACATTAGTGAGGGGATTTCTCAGATCTTTTTTGAAGGTGGGTTTTGACTGAGGTGAAGGGCAAGGCCCACCCTTAATGGAGACCTGAAGGTGGAGGAAGCTATTGGTTTTCACCACAGCTGCCAAGACAACCACCTGGGGAGCTGTAAGAACTACCCATTGCTGGGCCACAGATCAATCAGAGCTCAACTTATGTGCTTCGGGCTGGGCACTGGTGTGTTTCTGAAGCTCTGAAGCTCATTCGAAGGTGAGCCTGGGTCAAGGACCACTGACACACCCACTCTGATTTTACCTGCAGTGCTCTGGGAACTCATTACTGGGTCAAGACAAGATGTCACCTGGTGATGAAATCCCATCATATACTCATTACTTTAAAAACTAATACATATTTTTTCCTGACAATGGTAGTATGAATTATAGAAAACTTAGACGTTTTTGTTTGTTTGTTTGTTTTTGAGATGGAGCCTCACTCTGTCACCCAGGCTGGAGTGCAGTGGTGCGATCTTGGCTCACTGCAATCTCTGCCTCCCGGGGTCAAGCAAGTCTCCTGCCTCAGCCTCCCGAGTAGCTGGGACTACAGGCACCCGCCACCATGCCTGGCTAATTTTTGTATTTTTGGTAGAGATGGGTTTCACCATGTTGGCCAGGCTGGTCTTGATTGAACTCCTGACCTCAAATGATCCACCCACCTTGGCCTCCCAAAGTGCTGGGATTACAGGCATGAGCCACCATGCCTGGCCAGAAGATATTTTAAAAATAATAATAAAAAAGATAACCTTTTATCCCATCATACACATAAAACCACTGTTAATATTCTACCAATATTTTCTTCCTGTACTGATGTATTTTTACATAATCATGATGTTGAATGTAATGTTTTTTCACTAGATTTAGTAAACATTTTTCAAAGCTGTTAAATATTCTTCAAAAACATGATCAATGGCTGTGCAATAGTTCATGTGGGATCATCCATTACACTATTACTAGACAAATTGTTTCCACTTTTCACCATTATAAGTGAAGACGCTGTGTGAATCGTGTTTGGAATCTGATTTTTCTCAGGTGATCTACCTATAAGTGCAATCATTGGATCAAGGGTAGAAATATCTTTTAGTGATCTTGCTAAATACTGCCTAACTGGCCTACAGAAAATTTGCTAATCATAGTCCCTCTAATTGTATATAAAAGTGCCCACTTTGTTATACTCTTTTAAAAAATTCTTTTCACTCCGTTTTAAATCAGAAGGGCTTTGTCCAGTTGGTCTCTGAAACAGTGGTCTGCACACTGTATTTTACATATGTGTATTTTCCAGTATGGGATAAGTTTCGGCTGATATGGTTTGGCTGTGTCCCTACCCAAATCTCATCTTGAATTATAGCTCCCATAATCCCCACATTGTGGGAGGGACCCAGTGGGAGGTAATTGGATCATGGGGGTGGGTTTCCCCCATACTGTACTCATGGTAGTGAGTCTCATGATATCTGATGGTTTTATAAAGGGCATTTCCCCTGCACATGTTCTCTTGCCTGCTGCCATGTAAGATGTGCTTTTGCTCTTCCTTTGCCTTTCACCATGATTGTGAGGCCTCCCTAACCATGTGGAACTATGAGTCCATTAAACCTCTTTTTCTTTTCAAATTACTGGGTATCTCTTCATAGCAGTATGAAAATGGACTAATACAACAGCATTCACCAGGAAGTGACTAGGAACACAGAGCTTCAAGCTTTGTGAGGCACAAGGTACTGGGGCCATGATACCAAATGGCCTCCTGGAAGCCCCAGCAGGGAGTCCCAGGTGGTGTTCAGCAGCAAAATGAGTCGTGGCCCTGGGAAGGGACCTGAAGGCTACACAGCCCTGATGATCAGTTTCTGAGGGGACCCCTCTGGGGGAACAGCTCCCTCCTCTTTCCCAGAGCTGACTGGAAGGTCTGTCTCATTCTACACACTGCATTTGTTACAGAAAGGGACCAAGTGGGGAAAATAAAGAACATGGAACAGGCTGAGAGAGAGGGCAGCTCCATTCAAAGGACCTAGGTGTATGCCAAAAATGAGAATGAAGATTGACCAGCGACTTCTTTGGCAGAGACCTGGGCAGGCTGGCTGATGGAGAGCTGGGGCCTGTGAATACAGTAAGGGTGGGGTCCACACTGCCACCGCCTCCCCTCAGATGCCGCTTCTCTGGACTCAGCAGCACTGGGCAGTCTGCCCAGTTCTGCCCGTGGCTTCTGCTCCAGAGAAGCCCAGTGGGGACAGTCAGAGTGGAGGAGTGAGGGGCTGTCCCAGCAGAAGCCCTGGCTGCTGCCTTGGGTGGCACTGTCAAAGGCTCTGGAGGTCCCAGAGGGCCAAGGGTCTGAAGACTCGGGTTTGAATGTAGTTGAGAGATTCTTGGAGCAATGATGCTTGTTACGGAAGGAATTATTGGGAATTGAAAAGGTGGCATTAGTCTGGGATGATAAGGAGTTTTAACCATTTGAGTCCATGGTATGGGAAAAATTGCCGACGGGAACATATTTTGTATGGTTTTGCTTATTTAGTAAATGTTTGTAAAAGCCTATATCTGTGCTTTTAATGGGTTTGGGTATTTTAGGGTGTGGAATAGATTTCCAGGACTTCCCTGATTTATACCATCATGCTGTGGAAAAGAAGGTTTGACCTCCTCCATTGTTCAGGACCAACTGGGAAGGGACTTGGGGATGCCTTTGTTTAAACACTCCCTCTCACTTTTCCCATTTGAATTCTGTTACACTGGGGTTCCAAAAAAAATTATTAAACGTTTTGCTTTGAAAACAGCTGCCTTTTTAAAAATTAATGTGGCTCCTCGGGGAGATTGCATCAGCCACCTTGCGGCAGCTCCTGCCAGACGCCAGGAGCCTTTGTTTTGACTTCCTCATTTTCTCTCAACTGACCTTTTAATGTAGAGCAAAACAAAACGAGCCAAGAAGCCCAGGACCAGGCATGTGGAGAAGGTGGTGGCCTCTCACCTTTTTATATTCAGTCCCAGCTCTTATGAGGCTCGCCATCATCTGGTGCGACTTGGAACTTGAACTTGGAATTCTCTGGTGAGGCCCAGCTTCCCCTCTTGCCTTGTGCAGTCCAGCACCTGCTCAGCTGCTCAGGCTGTGTATGAATACATTCCCATCTGCCCATCCTCAGCCACCCCCCAGCTCCTAGAGTCCTACTCTACTTTCTGCTTCTCTAAATCTGATCCATGCAGCAAGAGCATTCCTGGGCTCCTTCAGCCCACACTCTGGTTTAGCTATAAATTAGGATTTATTCTCCACTCTAGTGTCATGTCTCTGAGGAACAGTCTTCAGTTTTGTTATTTTGATACACAGTAGGGGCTCTTTTTTTTGTTTTTTTTTTTTAAATGAGCGAATGAAAATGCTACATAGGCTCCCTGAGTTCTTTCATGTACGAATCCTGGTTACACATCTTAGGACAGCAGAGCTGCCTGAGGGAGGGTTGTGTTTAATGTCGTATGCATGCTCAGCACAGTGCTGGCATGGCCCATCCATGCTTTCTGTTGAACTATGGACAGAATTCAGGAACTTGTGTATGGAGAGGGTGGAAGTCAGTCCTCGCTTCTTTCCCTAAACATTTTGCAGTGACAGCATATGGATCTTTGGTTGGAAACCCCATGACACTCTTCTCTACTTCCCCATGGGCCTTCCCTGGTTTTTGTTTTTCTTTTCTTAAACAATCCTGGTAATGACACTTCCACCACAATGAGCTTTTAAATGTCCTTTAATGATAAGCCAGTGTTTCCTTCAGAGGGCAAAGGGGAGACTGCTGAGTCACTGTGGCCATTTTTAGATAAACCTTTTCCTGTTTATAATAACACATGCTGATTGTAGGAAACTAGAAAATACATGAAAGTGCAGAGAAAAGACTAAAAGTCATCTATACTTCAGGTCGTAGAAATAACCACTCTGAACAGCACACTTCTTTTTACACTATTGTTTTACACTGTTGGGATTACATAAATATATATGTTTGTATCCCACTTTGTGAACATCATTCTATGTGAACTAGAAATGGTTCCTAAACATTAAGGGCTGCATATAGCTGTATCATAGTTTATAGTTTATACATAGATGCTTTGTAACATTATTTTATAATGCTATGAATGCTATGGTGAATATTTTTGTGAATCAACTTATGTTTCCACCAGCAGTTTCAGAGAGTGCCTGTCTCATCCCATCCTCCCCAGTATTGCATATTCTTGAGTCTTTTATTCTTTGATAATGACAAATGATGAATCATTGATAGTTTTTCTTCATAATAAGTAAAGTTTAACATTTTCAAGTGTTTGTTGACCATCTGTATTTCTTCTTTTGTGAAGTGCTGTCAGTTCTTTTGCTATTTTAAAAATAATTTTGAGTTTCAGTTTTTGTTTGTTGGTCTGTATGAACCCTTTAAAAATAAAGGCTGTTAGCCTTTTGCCATCTTAGTTGTGACAGTAAAGTATAATGCTTTGCTGCACTAGGTCCTCTGGAACAAGATGCAGATTTAGATTCCAGGTCAGCATGTAACTTGACCACTGTCACTCAAGAGTTACAGCCTGAGCAGGGCCTTAGGAGGGAGATGATTTCTGCTTAAAGGCGATACAAATTCCTAGTTAGGGAAATAGAAGGAAAGTATTCTCAGGAGATTAATTTAAGGCAGCTTTTTTGTTGGTTTAAGCACCTCTAACATTTTCATACTAATAAGGGAGAATGGGATGGCGGCTGAAAGAGACACAAATATTGTATCATTTAATTCTAAATTATGTATTTGTCAGGTTCTTATTGAAAGAGTAAATTTTCGAAAGGATCAAGATGGCTATCTAAACACAGGTAGTATGTGCCTCCACCATGGTGAGAAACCAGAATAGTAAGTGGATCCATTTTGAACAGATTGTCTAGGAGAGAATGCTAGGATAAACCAGAAAAGATATGGGAAACATGAGAAGTAAGGAGAGGATTCGAGGCAGCTTGCCCAGCTGGGAACCGACTGAGAGTCGGGAGAGGCTCCTGATGTGGGGAAACAGTAAGAGAGAACCCCCTAGGGCTCCAAAACAAACTTTTATAATCTTGGCCACGGAAGGAAACCTCGACCCACTGGGCCAGGGCCTGGGCCTGACATTCGGAGCTGCCTAAACATTGCACAGAGGCATTGCTCCAGAAAGGAAACCAATACAAAATCTCACATGCATCTGAACCTGGAGCAGCCTCAGCAGGGTGCCATTTTGAGAGCCTAGATACTGGGACTCTACAGACATGGCTCTTGCTGCCGAGCTGCTTCAAGGAGGGAGACGGGAGAGCAGGTGCTCCCATGCACCCCTGGGAGGGTCTGCTGCCCTGCTGTGGGCTGCTATTGAGACAGATGTGAGTAGACACCCCTCCCCACAGCTTCTTTTCCACACTGCTTGTCTGGGAGGGACACTCTCTGATCCCAGGCCCAAGGTAGCATTTTGAGAGTTTAATGCTGGGCTGCATTCCCCTCCCAGCCTGAGTTTGGGCTGATGAGGCTGTAGCTGCCTCTTGGCTAAGGAAGGATAGGGAAATCAGGCCATCCTACACATATCTAGGACAAGACCCCCTGCCCTGCCATGGGCTGCTGTGAGACCGAGATGTGGCCATCCTGTGTGTTCCACAGCTTGTTGCCAATGCTGCTTACTTGTGAGGTGCTCCTCCCTCTCTGGTCTCAGGCTCCAGGTGCTATTTTGAGAGTTTAATGTTGGGCAGCACCCCTCCCTGGAACTGAGATTGGGCTGGTGCAGCTGTAGCTGCCACCCAGCCAAGGATTAACAGGGAAATCAGGCTGTCCTATGCACATCTAGGTCAATACCCACTGCTCTGCAACATGCTGCTGTTGAGACTGAAATGTGAGCAGACTGCCTTCCCTACAGCTTCTTGCCCATGCTGCCTGCCTGGAGGGACCCCTGCCCTCCTGGTCACAGGCCCAAGGTGCCATTTTGAGAGTTTAATGCTGGGCTGTGCCCCACCTTCTTGCTGAGTTCAACTTGATGTGGCTGAAGCTGCTGCCCAGTCAAGGAGAAACAAGGAATCTATGCTCTCCCGCACATACCTAGGACAATACCCAGTGCCTGCTACGGGTTGCTGTGAGACCGAGACTCAAGTAGACCACCCTCCCTACAGCTTCTTGACCATGCTGCTCACCTGATAGGGGCCCCACCTTCTCTGTTCACAAGCCCACAGCTGGCACCATTTTGAGAGTTTAATGCTGATTCATAACCAGTCTGAATTAACAATCAGGCAATGTGGCTGCAGCTGCCACCCTGGTAGGAAAGGGACAGGGAAGACCAAGCTCTCCTAAGCACACTTAGAACAGTGCCCACCACCCTGCTACAGGTGGCTGTGAGACTGGGGAGTAGCTCACCCAACCCATCACAGCTTCCAGCAACACCAACATGGACTGCTTGGATCCCAGTTGGCTGCTTCAACAGTGCTACTGCCATCACTCACATGACACCACCTGCTCAGGGGCTAGAGATCATGCCCACACACTGGGCTCACCACTCCCACTACTAGCTTCTAAGCAAGCCATGTGGAGGCCCAAGAATCAGCCCTCCAAGACCCACTAACCACCAGAGCAGCGTAAGCTGCTGTGGGGCCTAAAAAGGGCACACTTACCCCACTGTTGCCACCACTGGGGTCCAAAGGCTGCTCAGTTGGCATCCAAGTCCCAGCTAAACTTCTGGGGACTTAGTCTCAGCTAATTACCATACTCTATCCCACTGAGGAAATCACAGAGAACACTGACCCTATGCCGAAGAAGTCATAGAAAGATCACACGACTGCAGGCATCCAAAATCAAAGTCAAAGCATCTTAACAACATGCATATATCCTCAGGAAAAAATTCTCCCTTATAAAAGCAATTTCAAAAAATTGGAACAAGCAACTGCTACACCAGACGCAAAGAAATCAATGGAAGGATACAGGAAACATGTAAAAGCAGAGAAACATGACACCATTGTATTAGTCCATTTTCACACTGCTGATAAAGACATACCTGAGACTGGGAAGAAAAAGAGGTTTAATTGGACTTACAGTTCCACATGGCTAGGGAGGCCTCAGAATCCTGGCAGGAGGTGAAACACACTTCTTATATGGTGGTGGCAAGAGAAAATGAGGAGGAAGCAAAAGCAGAAACCCTGATGAACCCATCGGTTCTCATGAGACTTATTCACTATCACGAGAATAGCATGGGAAAGACCAGCCCCCATGATTCAGTTACCTCCCCTGGCGTCCCCTCTCACAACATGTGGGAATTATGGGAGCTACAATTCAAGTTGAGATTTGGGTGGGGACACAGTCAAACCGTAACAATCATCAAAGAACCACAACAGCTGTCCAGCAGCAGCAGATCCCAATCAAAGAGAATTCTTCAAAATGCTAGATAAAGAATTCAAAATATTGATTTTAAAGAAGCTCAATGAAGTGCAAGAGAAATCTGAAAACTAATACAAAGAAATCAGAAAATTAATCCAGGATATAAATGAGAAATTTATCAAGGAGATAGACATCTTAAATAAAAACAAGCAGAAATTCTGGAACTAAAAAATTCATTGAAGGAAATACACCATATGCTCAAAAACTTCAACAGTAGACTACACCAAGCAGAAGAAAGAATCTCAGAACTCGAAGACAGGACTTTTGAAATAATCCAGTCAGACAAAAATGAGGAAAAAAGGATAAAAAAGAATGAATAAAGCCTTTGAGATGTCTGGGACTGCAAGAAGCAACTGAACTTATGAATTATTGGTATTTCTGAGGGGGAAGAGAGATTAGAAAGTTTAGAAAACATATTTAAAGAAATAGACATCCAGATACAGGAGGCCCAGTGATCCCCAGGAAAATACATTGCAAAAGGACCTCACCATGGCATATTCAAAATGTCTGAAGTCAAGTGAAAGAAAGAATTTTAAAATTAGCAAAAGTGACTAGTCACCTATAAAGGAAATCCCAAATCTCATCAGACCAATTGAGGACTTTTCAGCAGAATTCTTACATGCCAGAAAACAATGGGATGGCATTTTCAAAGTGCTAAAGGGAAAAAAAAAAACAGTGTGTCTGTCAGCCAAGAATTTTGTATCCTGCCAGAATAAGCTTTATAAAAGGAGAAATAAAGTCCTTCCCATACAAGCAAATGCTGAGGGAATTTGTCACCACTAGACTGGTACTACAGGAAATGCTCAAAAGGATCTTAAACACTGAAATGAATGGTGTTTTTAATTAATTATTTTTGATAGAGGGTCTTGCTTTGTCACTCAACCTGGAATACAGTAGTGCAATCACAGTTCATTGCAGCCTTGACCTCGTGGGCTCAAGCAATCTTCCTGCCTCAGCCTTTTGAGTAGCTAGAAATACAGACATGTGCCACCATGCCCGGTTAATTTTTAATTTTTTTGTAGAGACAAGATCTTGCTATTTTGCCCCGGTTGGTCTTGACCACCTTCCATCAATTAATGCCCCTGCCTGGCATCAATTAATCCCCCTGCCTAGCATCCCAAAGCACTGGGATTAAAGGCATGAGCCACGATGCCCAGCCAAAAGGTTGATATTCACCATCACAAAAACATACAGAAGTATAAAACTCATAGTTTGTATAAAACAATCATACAAAGGAAGAGAAAGGAATCAAATGGCAACATGACAGAGTTTCATCAAAACACAAAGTCAAAAAGGCAAAGACAAAGAGTCTATAAAACAACCTGAAAACAATAAACAATATAACAGAAACAAAGTCTCACAGATCCATATTAACCTTGAATGTAAATGGATTAAATGCTCCACTTAAAAGATACAGATTGGCAGAGTGGATGAAAAAACATGATCCATGCTGCTTACAAGAAACTAACCTTACCCATAAAGACATATAGACTGAAAACAAAGGGGTGGAAAAAGATATTCCATGTAATTATAAACCAAAAGCAAGCAGGCATAGCTATACTTATATCTGATAAAACAGATGACTTTAAATTAAAAATAGTAAGAAAAAAGATAAGGTCATTGTATAATGATGTAGGGATAAATTCAGCAAGACGATATAATAGTCCTAAATATATATGTACCCAACATTGAAGCACCCAGATTAACAAAACAAATATCACTAAAGAAAGAGGTAGACAGCAATACAATAACTGTAGGGGACTTTTAACACTCCACTCACAACACTAGACAGATCATTGGGACAGAAAATTAACAAAGAAACATTGTACTTAAATTGAACTTTAGACCAAATGGACTTATAAAACATTCTACCCAACAACTACAGAATATACATTATTTTTGTCAGCACATGGAACATTCTCCAAGATAGATCACATGTAAGGCCACAAAAGAAGTTTTAACAAACTTTTTAAAAATTGAAATTATATCAAGTATCTTCTCAGACCACAGTGGAATAAAACTAGAAATCAATACCAAGAGGAACTTTGGAAACTATACAGATAATGGAAATTAAACAGCATGCTCCTGAACAACTACTGGGTCAATGAAGAAATTAAGACAAATTAAAAACATCTTTGAAATGAATGCAAAAACACATTGTACTAAATCCTGCAGGTTACAGCAAAAGAAGTGCTAAGAGGGAAGTTTATAGCATTAAATGCCTACATCAAAAAAGTAGAAAGATCACAAATTAACAACCTAACATTGCACCTCAAGGAATTAGAAAAGGAACAAACCAAATCCAAAGTTAGCAGAAAAGAAAAAATAAAGATCAGAGCAGAACTAAATGAAACAGGGACAAAAAATTTACAAAGGATCAATGAAACTAAAAGTTCATATATTAGTTCTTGGGATCAATGAAAGTAAAAGCTGATTATTTGAAAAGATAGACAAAATTGATAAACCACTAGCTAGATTAACCAAGAAGAAAGAAGATCCAAATAAACACAATCAGAAATGAAAAAGACATTACAACTGATACCATAGAAATGCAAAAGATCATCAAGGACTATTATGAACAACTGCATGCTCACAAACTAGAAAAACTAGAGGAAATAGATACATCCCTGGAAACACAAAATCCCCCAAGATTGAACCAGGAAGAAATAGAACTTCTAAACAGACCAATAATGAGTAGTGAGATTGAATCAATAATAAAAAACTCCCAAGAAAGCTTAAGACTAGATGTATTCACAGCCAAATTCTACCAAACATACAAAGAAAAACTAATACCAATAATCCTGAAACTATTAAAAAATCAAGGAGAAAGGAATTCTCCCTAACTGATTCTCCGAGGCCAGGGTCACCCTGATACTAAAAACCAGACAAGGACACAGCAGAAAATGAAAACACAGACCAATATCCCTGTGAACGTAGATGCAAAAATCCTCAACAAAATACTAGTAAATCAAATCCAATGGCACATCAAAAAGATAATACACTATGATCAGATGGGATTTATTGCAGGGATGCAAGGATGGTTCAACATATGCAAATCAATAAATATGATACCCCAGGTTGCTGGATTGCGTGGTTTTTCAGTTCTTTGAGAAATCTCCATACTGTTTTCCCTAAAAGTTGTATTAATTTACATTCCCACCAACAATGTATAAGCATTCCCTTTTCTCCACATCCTTGACGACATCTGCTGTTTTTAGAGTTTTTAGACTTTTTTTTTTTTTTTTTTTTGTGGAGATGGAGTCTTGCTGTGTTGCCCAGGCTGGAGTGCAGTGGCATGATCTCAGCTCACTGCAACCTCTGCCTCCCAGGTTCAAGCAATTCTTCTGCCTCAGCCTCCCGAGTAGCTAGGACTACAGGTGCGTGACACCATGCCCAGCTAATTTTTGTATTTTTAGTAGAGACAGGGTTTCACCATGTTGGCCAGGATGGTCTCGATCTCCTGATCTCGTGATCTGCCCACCTTGGCCTCTGAAGGTGCTGAGATTACAGGCATGAGCCACCATGCCCTGCCTAGACTTTTTAATAATGGTCATTCTGACTGGTGTAAGATAGTATCTCATTGTGGTTTTAATTTGCATTTATCTGGTGATTAGTGATGTTGAGCATTTTTCATATGTTTCTTGGCCACTTGTATGTCTTCCTTTGGAAAATGTCTGTTTATGTCCTTTACCCACTTTTTAATGGGATTGTTTTTTCTTGTTGAGTTGTTTGTGTTCTTGTAGATTCTGGATATTAGTCCTTGGTCAGATGCATAGTTTGGCAGCCCCTTCCCCATCGGGCACCACCAGCAGCAGTTGCTATCATGGCCTTGAGGACTGCCGCATGGAACTTACATGTTTTAATTTTGCTGCTGTTAAACATTACACACTTTGCAAATTTTGCGGAGTAGAATATTAAAAGAAAAAACAGGTAAGCCATTAGGTTCCTAGGGCCTTTCTTTTAATTAATGATTTCAGAAAGCCAAAGGGGACCAGGGAGGGAAGAACTTGCTTTGATGAGACTCTTTGATCAGTGGAAGGTGTCTGAGAAGGAATCTAACTTTAGTGAGAACTTATTAATAATTAAAAACAGACCTCAAAATCTCTTGAGAATTTACTATATGCCAGGCCCTGTGCTAAGCACTTAACAGGTATTGTCTTATTAATTTCTTACAACCATGTAGGGTAGAGTTACTGTTTTCATCTTCATTTTCCAGAGAAGAAGACAGGCCTAGTAAGGGTCAGTAACTTGCCCAAGTTCACACAGCCAGTGAATGATGGAGCCTGTCAGGCTGCATTGTTAATCACCATGAGGATCTACCTCTAACTGGGGGCCTGGCCCTTTACGTGCATTAACTCATTTAATCTTCACAACACCCTTGTGTGGATGTTATTATCACTGTTCCCATTTGACGTAGTGAAGACAGTGTGGAATACTGGTTCTGAGCATGGACCTTGAAGCTATGGCTTCTGGGTTCAAGACTCTGCTCTTCCATTCACCAGCTGTGTGACCTTAGTTACTTAACATCCTTCTGCCTAGATTTTTCATCTGTAAAATGGCTTTAATTATATAACTTATTTTGTAGATGTTATGGAAATTAAATGAAGTAATTTGTGCATGGCATTTAGAACATGACCTGGTAAGTATTATTTAAATTATTACTACGATAGAGAGAAAACTGAGGCTCAGAGAAGTTAAGCCCAGGCTACCAGCCTGACAGTGGTGAGATTCTAGGAAGACAAATAGTGCCAGGGTTCATTCCCAGAGATGAACTCTAGGAAGCTGGTCTCATTTATGTTTGGTTGTGATGACTCCAGGATGCAGCTGCCTGTTGAGAGGTAGCACAGTGTGGTGGTAAGGAGCATGGGTTTTAGAGCCAGATGACCTGGGAGCATGTCGTCGTTCTGTCACTCACTAGTCATATGACCTTGGGCAAGTTACATAGCCAGCCTGAGCCTCACATCCTCATCTGTAATGCATCAGTTGTCACGTTCCTCATGGGCTGTTGTGAGACTGAAGGAAGTTCACTCACATATAGAGGGCTTGGGGCCTGACACAAACTGGGTCAATGTGTCTGCTCTGGTCATGATGCTGAAGCAATAGCTCAGTGGGAGAAACGGGAATTGACGGAGAGTCAGGTAGACATGGTTGGGTGTGTCGCCTGAATGGAGAGAGGAGAACTGGGAAGAAAATGTTAGCAGAATAAAGCCGGGGCAACAGAGCTTGCCAGGGCATAGAACAAGGGCGCAGGTTTACTTGTCAGAGGCCACCAGTCCTGGCTAAAATATTTCTGGTGGAACACATTGAAGATCAGTGTGCTCATGGTTTAGGTGTGGCTGTCACAAAAATAAAAAGGGAAGAAGAAAGGGAAATGTGTCATATTTCCTTTGGTAGAAACATGAGTCCAGGTTCTAATTCTTTTCAAAACAGGGCTACTGCAGTGTTTTTCAACAGTGTGTAGGTGGTGGCAGCTCCTGGATTTCACCAGTGTTTTCTGTGGACAGCCATCCCAACCACCAAGTTTTTAATGAATGCTGTGATGTTTTGATTTACTTAATTATTCCATGTAAATAAAACAGCTTTATCAGACAAAATAGGACTATACCATGAGATTATAACATAAAGTCAGAAGCATGAGTCCAGGCACCCAGATGACAAGCCATTGAGATAGCTGTTTAAATGGTTCCATTAATATTAACTTGCTATTTGTGCAATTGTTTTGTTGACTATTAGCTCTCACTAGCAGATAATCCAAGTGGGAACAAAGATTACAAAAAGTTTAGAGGGAGAAGAAAATCCTTAAAAATGAGAAAATGTCTACAAATGAGCCATCTTAATTTGTTTGTTTGTTTGAGACAGTCTTGCTCTGTCACCCAGGGTGGAATGCAGTGGCACCATCTTGGCTCACTGCAATCTCTGCCTCCCGGGTTCAAGAAATTCACCTGCCTCAGCCTCCTGCCACCACGTCCAGCTAATCTCATTTGGTTTCTGTTGGCAGGACTCCACGGTCCAGTTTGTGGGCGGCCAAGATTCACAAGATTCAGAGTTTGAGAATCAGTAGTACCAGAAACTGGTGACTGCCTTTGGCTGTCAATGGTTAGTTTTCCCGCACCAGCCCTCTCTTCCGCAATTACAAAGGCAATTTGCCACCCACTTCGACTCGTGGGGTCAGCATTTCATCTTGTAACTCTGTTAGTGACACATTTTGGATGACTCCCTGAATCAGAGGCCCTGGGGAATCAGTGCCACACAGGACAAACCAGGTGCCTGCTCTCATTGAGCTTGTACTCTAGTTGGGAAGGCAAACACCAAATGTATTTTTTAAAAGGTAATTATAATTTTTGAAAAGGTTTGGGAAAGAAATAAACAGGGTGAGTGAGAGAGAGAAACTGGCAGGAGGAAGTGATGACTAGATTATAGGGTCAGGGAAAGCCTCTCTTCAGAAGAGATATTTGTTTTGAGTCCTGAAAGGGTTCTTCATTAACTAATACTGAAGCAATTGATCAGCTAACTAGAAAAGAGAAACAAAACTATTTTAGGTCCTCATCTCACTCCACATACCCAAATAAATTTCACATGGATCCAAGAGTGAAAGGTAAAACCAGATAAAAAAATCAATGATCTGGAAAAAAGGATATATTTGATTTATGAGTGAAAAATAAAATTTGGAACTTAAGAGCAAATGGAAACTACAAATAAAGAATTGCACAGGTTTAACTATTCTAAAATAAAGATTTCTATTCACCAAAAACAACATAAATATAATTAAAAGTCAATGAGCATGGAAAATATCTACCACAACTATGAAATGATTAATGTACTTAATGTTTAAAATGTTTACGCAAACTGTCAAAAAACATTACACCTCATTAAAAATGGACAAATATGAAGAGATAATTCACAAAGAATGCAAAGTAGTTAACTAACATGAAAAAAAATTCTGTAACTTTTCTAATGTAATTAAAGATACGCCAAGTAAAAAACCAGAGTTTCCCTATCAACACTGTAGGTAAAAACACTTGATGATACCAAAAATATGGTTAAACTGGCATTCTCACACAATGATGGTGGATGTGAACATTTGTACAAACTTTCAGGGAGGCAGATTGGCAATAAACATTAAAAACCCTAAAAATAGTCATATCTCTTTGGCCCACTTTTATAAATCTATCCTAAGACAGCAATCAGAAATCCAGTCAATAATTTATACATAGGAATGTTCAGCACAGCATTACTTTTGGCACAAAATGGGAAGCAGCTTGAAAGTCCAATATCAGAAGTAAACTATGATGTATCAAGGATAAAATACTATGCATCTTTTAGAAAAAGCAGGTATAAAATCACTCTACATAGTGTGACTACATCCATATAAAGAGGCATAGGAGAAAGAGACTAAAGAAGTATTTGAAAATGTTAATGTTAGCTGTGGTAGCTCTGGGTGGTGACATTACAGGCAATTGTTCTCTATTTGCAGTAAAATATTTTTAGAATTATGTGCTACATTTATGAAAAAAAAAGAAATTTATAAAACAGGCATTCAAAACAGCCTTAGTAATTAGATAAAGCAGGGACTAAGCTGGAAAGAAAGTTGAGAAAGGGGAATATGTGCAAGATTGAAAAAATATCTCATGGACTGAGTCTCAGACCTGAGATTTTGGGGAATGGGGTATGGTAAGTGGATACTGAAAAATGCTCTTCAGTTATCATGAGGGAAGAAGGAAATATGTGTCTTTTCCCTCTTTCAAAGGAGCCTTTGATTTTATAGGCGAAGAAGCATAGTGGAAGTTATTAGTGAAACTAAGCCCACATTAAAAAAAATCTCTTAAAATATGCATCAAGAGAACTAAAATACCACCATGGATTTCCACTGGGGCATGAGGAGCAATCTGGTCTAATGACTAACATAAGATCTAAACATCTCTTAGGTCCCATTCTTTGAGGCAAGAACACAAGTTTTTCTGTTGATATTAATCTTCAGTGTGTATTTTAAAGTTTTATGATGTGTTCGTAACTACCATTGAATAGTGGTTTAGTTAGTGTTGGTCGGTGACCTGCTTTTGTTTACCTATTTCTGATGAACAGTGTATTGCACAAGCCACAGCCATGTCCTTGTACACACTGCGTGCAAGACTCTGCTGTGTGCAGTCAGCCCTGCATCGTTTCTAACCAGTTATACTGGCCTTACTTTCATCATCTTTGAGGCCAGAGCTACACATGTTGATGCCGAAGAGTGGAAGGAAGGAGAGCAGAGAGTAAAGGGGGTAGATTATGTAGATTATACAGACATGAGCGAGGGAGGGTCACAGATACTGAACAACCAGTGAGTTCCCCTATGTGGATTGCCAGAACATGAAATATCTGAGAAGAAAACAAAATTGTCTTACAAGGTAGTAGACGTCTGGGTAAGCTGTGATGCTTGCAGGATCGGTACTTACAGAAAGGAGGTGCAGAGACCACAGGAACACTCATGAAAAGGAGAAGCAGGAAATCAGGGTTGGTTGTTTGAATCTTCCTTCTCGCTGGCTTTCTAATGTCAGACTCCAGAAAGGAGGAGTGGAAGGGAAATGGCAGGCAGATGCAGTCCTGAGCTGGTGCCCCCTTGCCTTCGCAGTCGTGCCTAGTAAACAGCTCTCTGAACTTTGGTACATTTGTTCTGACTGATGTCACTATCAGCTGATTTCACTTTCGTTTCCTAACTTGCCAGTGGCCCATGACTTTTCAGAAATGAGGTATGTAAACAACTTTTTATTGTCCATTATGACATACTCTTTACCTACACTGTAGCCGGCAAACCAACTGATTTAAAGAGCCAGGTAAATGTCTTGATTATATCACACAATAATTCCAGAAAGGGAAGGAGCCAAAGAACTCTCGAAGCTCCCAGTGATTTAAACTGCAAGATAAACACAACCCGGAATTTTATTCAGAAGAAACCCATCAGGATCATCTGGTCCAAGCTCCCAGCCAGTGTGGCAGTCAGGACCCAGGTCACCTCCTACTCATTTCCTTGGGAAGCAGCTATGCCGTCTGTCCCCCAACCCCTTTTAGAGATCAATTTTGTAATGATGACTGGGCTTCTCTGGACACAAAACTTTGTGTCCTGAGCATTCTCACTGCAGTGTTTAGGCCCATGTTGGAGCAGCTGGAACATCTATTTTATTTCAAAATAAGAGCCGAACAAAGCTTTTATTTTTGTAAGCATTGGGGCTCCTGGCCAGAGTTTAAAAATTGCTTCCGTTGCTCACATGACCAACTGGAAATTTCAACTGTGGGTTAAACTTGGTTACATGAGACTGCTACCTAGTGCTATTGCTGAATCCTTCAGCGGTTCTCTTCTGCTTCCTTGCCCTTCCTCCAAAGGAGGAGTTATTTGAACTGCTACATTGCCCTCCCCCTGCCCCTAGTTCTTTTAAACGCAAACTCTAGAAAGAGGTGATGGGATCCAGGAGGAAGGAAGAACAGAGGCTTTGAGATCAGAGAGTTCTGCTACATACTAGCAAATTATTTAATCTCTTTGAGCATCAATTTCTTATCTGTAAAATGGAAACAGTACCTACTTTGCATGGTTGCTCTGGGGACTGGAGATAATATAAGTGCTTAGTACAATACTGGGACCATAGTAATGGTAGCTATTATTATGAAAAGTGGAATTTCTGTATATTTAGTCTAGCATCCATATTAATGCCTTTAAGACAGAAAATTAACTTTTAGATACTAATATACAGTAGTTACTCTGAAAACTCAATACTGGTGAGTGAAGTGATATAGAAGAGATAGAAACATATTTATATTTATGAAATTTATTCAAGGTTATCATGTACCTAGTTTTCAAAGAGTCAGTTTTTCAAAACTTACGAAAATCGGCAGTCCCACACTCTCCCTTTCTTCCTCTTCAGAGGCAAGCACTTTCACCTGTGCTCATTCTTTAGGCATTTACCTCAGTTCTCTAAATAACATGCTTGGATTGGTACTTCTTGATTTTTCAGTTTCAGGCATAATCTACTGACTCCCAACCATAAAAGGTGAAGATTTAGCTTTCTTCTTCCCCACTGCATGTTCCAGAAGTATGCTTCCTCTCTTCCTCCTCTATCCAAATTGGTTATAGTTTTGTTTAAATCAATATTCAGTGTTTACAATATTGGAATATGCACAGGTATACTTTATTTTATTGTGCATCTCTCTTTGTGGATCCTGCATCTTTTACAAATTGAGGATTTGTGGCATTTTTGCATCGAGCAAGTCTATTGGCACCATTTTTTCAATAGCCTTTGCTCACTTCATGTCTCTGTGTCACATTTTGGTAACTTTTGCAACATTTCAAGCTTTTTCATTATTATTATGTTGGTTATGGTGATCTTTGATGTTACTATTGTGATTGTTTTGGGGTGCCATGAACCGCACCCATATGACGGTGAACTTAATTGATAATTCAGTTCTGACCGCTCCACCAACTCTGTGTTGGTGTTCTGACCGTGTGTTCTGACCACTCCACCAACTGGACGTTCCTCCATTTCTCTCTCACGTTAGGTCTCCCTATTCCTGAGACACAATAATACTGAAATTAGGCCAATTAATGTCCCTACAATGGCCTGTAAGTGTTTAAGTGAAAGGAAGTGTCACATGTCTTTCATTTAAAATTGGAAACTAGAAATGATTAAGCTTAGTGAGGAAGGCATTGTGAAAGCAAAGATAAGCCAAATGTTAGGCCTTATGTTGTGAAGGCAAAGGTTCAGATGATTGTTAGCATTATTTAGCAACAAAGTATTTCTAAATTAAGGTATGTCCGTTAGGTTTTTTTAGACATAACAGTATCACACACTAAATAGGCTACCTTATAGTATAAACATGACTTTTATATGCACTGGGAAACCAGAAATTCGTGTGATTTGCTTTACTGTAATACTTGCTTTATTGCAGTGGTCAGGAACAGAACCTGCAACATATCTCCGAGGTGTGCCTGTAAATACCATTTACAGCAGCTGAGCCATGTAGAAAATTAAGATTACTTTTCCTATCCTGCATAACTTTTGATCTTCTCTGAAGATAATTGCTTTTTTTAAAAAGTTTGTTTGCTTGCTTGGTTTTCTATTGCTTAACACTAATCCAACCCTCAAATCTTTATCAAATCTTCTATGAATAAATTTCTATGCATCAAGTATTCTATATCTTCCTGAGAAAGGCTTTTCAGACCCTTCCAACCTGCCCCAGTCTGGGGCTTGACACCACACACAGCTGTTGTCCTGGCTTCTCACATCACCACCATGCTGGGGATTCCCTTTACTTCTGTCCTAGGTTGGATCTCCTGCTTCCTGCATCAAAGGCATTTCTCTTTCTCCATTTATTCAGTTCTGGGAGAGTAAATCTCCAGTAACTTCCTGAGAAATGGGTACACTGAAGAGAATTTTTTGAGAACTTACAAAACTGAAAATATCTTCATTCTAACTTGATCTATTCAAATGTGATCAAATTTAGACTGAATATAAAATTTTAGGTTAAAAATAATTTTCATTTATAATTTTGAAGGCTTTGTCCCATTATGTCTGGCTTTCTTGTTTTGTTGAGAAGTTTAAATTTGTTCTGCTTCCTGGCTTCCAAAATGGTCTCCTCTTGTCATCCTTTCAGCTTTATGCCTTAAAAAATAAATTATTTTGGTGGTTTTGAGAGGGAGCAAAATTGAATGTGTATCCAGTTTGCCATTTTTAACTGGAGGTCTAAAATATTTCTTTGTTCCTCTTCTTTTTTTTTTTTTTTTTTTTTTTTTTTTTTTACTCTTTTGAGACAGGGTCTCTCTGTCACCTAGGCTGGAGTGCAGTGGCACGATCACAGCTTATTGCAGCCTTGACCTCTTGTGCTCAGGTGATCCTCCCACCTCAGCCTCCTAAGTAGCTAGGACTACAGGTGCGTGCCACTATGCCTGGCTAATTTTTATATTATTATTATTATTAATTTTTTGGTACAGATAGGGTTTTGCCATGTTGCCCAGGCTGGTCTAACACTCCTGGGCTCAAGGGATTCACCTGCCTTGGCCTCCCAGAATGCTGGGATTACAGGCATGAGCCACTGTGCCTGGCCTCTTTCTTATTCTTTATCTTCCCTTTTTCTTTTTTTTGTTTTTACTCCAAGAGGGTTATTTCTTACTGTCTCTTTCACTGGTTCTCTGGCAACCTAGCTGGCCTATGGTTGAGCTTGTTGCTTTTATCAAGCTACTCATTTCCTCTTAATTGCTTACTGTCAAAATCTCCATTGTTTTTGGCAGTACTCTTAACCTTGAACTTCCCCACACTCTGTTCCAAACAAGTCAGTTTACTTGAGGACAGCTTCAGAGCTCTCTGTTCTTAAGGCATGCCTCTCCTCTGGGCAACATATCTGAGCCACTGCTCTGGACCTGGGGTTGGTGACAGTGGCTTGCATCTTCTAGAGTGACCCATCTACTTTTTGAGCATGGTCCTGAGTGGCGTAGTAGCCTCTGGTCTTTTCAACTTCAGCTTGACTCTCCTGGCATGGAAACTCCACACTATGAAGTAGCTGGAGAAAAGGTGACCAGGAATCCAGTATTCCCAGCCCACTGAACCTTTGCCTTATGGTTGAGTGGAGGAAGGGAGTCCCTGACCTCTTGGCCTCATTAGCCTCAAATGTTGTTTCTGCTTCACAGCGGTAGGGAGATGAGAAACGCTGGCAGCCTTCTCCTCCTAGGGGAGATACCATAGCCCTTGACTGGGAGCTGGAGTGACTGTGATCCCAGTGTTCTTGGCCATATCCTCCCACAGTGGAGTTTCCCTTCTGCTGAACATGGGGGAAGGGAAGGAGTGGGCCATGGCTAAGTACCAGAGACCCTCACTTTTCTTACAGGAATTTAGTAAATTTTCTGAATAAATATGTCTTTATTTGATGTATGTCCTTAGGACAATTTTCCTAATGGTTTTTAAAACTTTAAATGGGTTTTTCTAAAAAATATTTCTACCAGGTTCCCCTCCCTGCCCACCACTGGGGAGTGGGTGAGAAGCTTCTCAGGGTGCTGTTTTAGAGCTGGATCTCTGCCCATTTTTTTTTTAAATTCAATATTAAACACTTCATTTCTTAGATTGGTTTTAGGTTCACAGGAAAATTGAGAGGAAGGTACAGAGATATCTCATGTAATTCCTACACATACCCTCAGCCGTCTAGTTTTTTTTCCTGTGTTATCTTCCAGATTTATAGTATTGCATTTTACATTTAGGTCTGTGATCCATTTTCAGTTAATTTTTGTGAAGGCAATAAGGTCTGCATCTGGATTTGTTTGTTTGTTTTTGCAGTATGTGGATGTCCAGTTGTTCCAGCACCATTTGTTGAAAGGACTATCTTTGTTTCATTGTATTGCCTTTGCTCCTTTGTTAAAGATGAGTTGACTATATTTATGTGGATCTTTTTCTTGTCTCTCTATTCTGTTCATTGATCTGTCTGTTATTTTGCCAATAACATACTGTATTGATTATTGTACCTCTATAGTAAGTCCGTTTTTAGAATTTTCTTTTTATTTATTTTTGTAGAAACAGGGTCTTGCTATGTTGCCCAGGCTGGTTTTAAGTTCCTGGCTTCAAGTGAACATCCCACCTTGGCCTCCCAAAGTGCTGGGATTACAGGCATGAGCCACCGCACTCAGTCTATAGTAAGTCTTAAAGGCATGTAGTGTCAGTCTTCTGACTTTGTTCTTCTTCAATACTGTGTTGGCTATTCTGGGTCTTTTGCCTCTCCATATGAACTTTAGAAACAGTTTGTTGATATCTACAAAATAACTGGCTGGGATTTTAATTGGGATCTATAGATCAAGTTGGAAAGAACTGACATCTTGACAATATTGAGTTTTCCTGTCTATGAACACAGACTGTCTTTCCATTTATTTAGTTATTCTTTAGTAGTTTTTTTTTCATCAGAGTTTTATAGTTTTCCTCATATAGCTCTTGACACATACTTAAGTATTTCGTTTTTATTTTTTGGTGCTAATGTCAATGGTAATGTGTTTTTAATTTCAAACTCCAATTGTTCATTGCTGGCATATAAGGAGGCAATTGACTTTTGTATATTAACCTAGTGTCTTGCAGTCTTGCTATTATCACTTATTACTCCCAGTTTTTGTTGTTGTTATTGATTTCCTTGCATTTTCTACAAAGACAGTCATGATATCTGTGAACAAATACAGTTGACCCTTGAGCTACACAGGAATTAGAGGCACCAACCCCCTCATACAGAAGAAAACTGATGTATAACTTTTGCAACCCCAACACTTAATAGCCTATTGTTGATCAGAAGCCTTACTGAAAACAAACAGCTGATAACACATATTTTGTATATGTATTACGTACTGTATTACAATAAAGTAACTAAAGAAACTATTAAGAAAATCATAAGGAAGGGCAAATATATGGAAAGAAATGTATCTCCCATGTACTTGATGTATTTATTGATACCATTAAGTTTACATTATCTGTTTATGAAATAAATTGTCTGAAATAGTGGGCAAATGCAGCTGCAGATCTCAATCTATGGTGCATATCAAGCAATTCAACTTTTTCTTTTACTGTCATGACACATTACAGTATTAGACATATCACTGAGGCAGAAAACTAACAAAGATATTCTGGAACTAAACTTGACACTTGACCAAATGGACCTAACAGACATCTACAGAACACCCCACCCAACAACAACAGAATATACATTCTTCTCATTTGCATATGGCACATACTCTAAGATCAACCGCATGCTTGGCCATAAAGCAATTCTCAGAAATTAAAGAAAAAATGAAATCATACCAACCACTCTTTCAGAATAAAGCACAATAAAAGTAGAAATCAACACCAAGATTTCTCTAAACCATACAATTACATAGAAATTAAACAATTTGCTCCTGAATTACTTATGGGTAAACAATGAAATTAAGGCAGAAATCAAGAAATTCTTTGAAACTAATGAAAACAAATATACAACATATGAGAATGTCTGGGACACAGCTAAAGCAGGATTGAGGGTAAAGTTTGTAGCACTAAATGCCAACATCCAAAAGAAAGATCTCACATTTACAATCTAACACCACACCTAGAAGAACTAGAAAAACAGGAGTGAACCGACCCCAAAGCTAGAAGAAGAAAATAAATAAGCACAATCAGAGCTGAACTGAATGAAACTGAGACACAAAAAAACATACGAAAGATCAACAAAACCAAAAGTTGGTTTTTTGAAAGAATAAATAGAATTGATAGACCACTAGCTAGACTAATGAAGAAACAGAGAAGATCCAAATAAACACAATCAGAAATAACAAAGGGGACATTACCACTGACCCCACAAAAGTATAAGAAACCCTCAGAGACAATTATGAATGACTGTATGCATACAAACTAGAAAACCTAGAAGAAATGGATAAATTCCTAGAAACATACCACCTCCCAAGATTGAACCAGGAAGAAATTGAAATCCTGAACATACTATAACAAGTTCTGAAATTGAATCAGTAATAAAAACCTACCAACCAGAAAAGGCCCTGGACCATACAGATTCATGGCTGAATTCTACCAGACATACAAAGAAAAACAGGTAGCAAACCTACTGAAACTATCCCAAAAAATCAAGGAGTGGGGACTCCTCTCTAACTCAGTCTATAAGGTCAGCATCAGCCTGATACCAAAACCTGGCAGAGGCACAATGAAAAAAAGAAAACTTCAGGTCAATATCCTTGATGAACATAGAGGAAAAAATCCTCAACAAAATACTAGCAAACCGAATCCGGCAGCACATCAAAAAGCTAATCCACCATGTTCAAGGTGGATGGAAGGTTGGTTCAACATATGCAAATCAATAAATGTGATTCATCACATAAACAGAACTATAAACAATCTTTCCTGCATCTATTGATCATCTTAATAGATGCAGAAAAGGCTTTTGATAAAATTCAGCATCCCTTCATGTTAAAAACTCTCAACAAACTAGGGATCAAGGCAACATACCTCAAAATAATAAGAGCCACCTATGATAAACCTACAGCCAACAGCATACTAAATGGGCAAAAGCTGGAAGCATTCCCTTTGAAAATGGGCACAAAACAAGGATGTCCACTTGCACCACTGCTACTCAACATAGTATTGGGAGTCCTAGCCAGAGCAACTAGGCAAGAGAAAGAAATAAAAGGCGTCCAAATAAAAAGAGATGAAGTCAAACTATCTCTCTGCAGATTATATGACTCTATACCTAGAAAACCCCATAGTCTCTGCCCAAAGGCTCCTAGATCTGCTAAGCAACTTCAGCAAAGTTTCAGGATACAAAATCAATGTACAAAAATCAATAGCATTCTTATACACCAATAATGTCCAAGCTGAGAACCAAATCAGGAATGCAATCCCATTCATAATAACCACAAGTAGATAAAAATACCTACGAATACAACTAACCAGGGACGTGAAAGATGTCTACAATGAGAATTACAAAGCACTGCTGAAAAAAATAAGAAATGACACAAATAAATGGAAAAACATTCCATGCTCATGGATAGGAAGAATCGATATTGTTAAAATGGACTTACTGCCCAAAACAATGTACAGATTCAATGTATTCTTTATCAAACTACAATATTTTTTACAGAATTAGAAAAAAAAAACTATTCTAAAATTCATGTGGATCCAAAAAAGAGCCTGAATTGCCAAAGCAATCCTAAGCAAAAAGAACAAAGCTGGAAGCATCACACTGCTTGACTTCAAACTATACTACAAGGCTATGTAACCAAAACAACATGGTACTGGTACAAAAACAGACTAATGAAACAGGTTAAAGAACCCATATATAATGTTGTACCCTACAACCATCTGATCTTTGACAAAGTCAACAATAACAAGCAATGGGGAAAGAGCACCCTATTCAATAAATGGTGCTGGAATAACTGGCTAGTCATATGCAGAAAATTGAAATTGGACCCCTTCCTTTCACCATATACAAAAATCAACTCAAGATGGATTAAAGACTTAAATGTAAAACCTAAAACTATAAAAAGCATAGAAGAAAACCTGGAAAATACCATTTTGGACATAGGCCCTGGCAAATATTTCACGTTAAAGACTACAAAAGCAATTGCAACAAAAACAAAAATTACAAGTGGGACCTAATTAAACTAAAGAGCTTCTGCACAGCAGAAGAAACTTTGAGCACAGTAAACAGCCTATAGAAGGGGAGAAAATATTTGTAAACTATGCATCTAAGAAAGGTCAAATATTAAGAATCTATAAAAAACGTAACAAGCAAAAAACAACCTCATTAAAAAAAAAAGGGCAAAGGACACGAATAGACACTTCTCAAGAGAAGACATACACATGGCCAACAAGCATATGAAAAAATTCTCAACATCACTAATGATTAGATAAATGCAAATCAAAATCACAATGAGATACCATCTCACAACAGTCAGAATGGCTATTGTTAAAGTAAAAAAAAACTAGTGAGGTTGCAGAGGAAAGGGAATGCTTACACACTGTTGGCAGGAATGTACATTAGTTCAGTCACTTTGGAAAGTGGTTTGGGGATTTATCAAAGAACTTAAAACACAACTATCATCTGACCCAGCAATCCCATTATGCAGTATATATCCAAAGGAATATAAATTGTTCTACCATAAAGACACATGCATGTGTATGTTCACTGTAGCACTATTCACAGTAGCAAAGACATAGAATTAACCTAGATGACCATCAATGGTGGACTGAATAAAGAAAATGTGGTACACATATACCATAGAATACTATGCAGCCATATAAAAGAATGAAATAGTGTCCTTTACAGCAACATGGGTGAAGCTGGAGGTCATTATCCTAAGCAAATTAATGCAGGAACAGAAAACCAAATGCCACAAGTTCTCACTTATAAGTGGGAACTAAACATTAGGTACACATGGACACAATGAAGGGAACAATAGACACTAGGGCCTACTTGAGGGTGAAGGGTGGGAGGAGGGTGAGGATCGAAAATCTACCTATTGTGTATTATGCTTATTACATGAATGATGAAATAATCTGTACACCAAATGCCCACAACATGCAATTTACCCATGTAACAAACCTTTATTATTTTGTCTTCCACTTGTTTTCTACCTCCTTCTATTTTAATTGAATATTTTGTATGATTTGATTTTTTTCCTATTTTAGTATATCAATTCTACCTCTTTTTTACCCTTGAATTTACAGGATACATTTACAATGAATCCAATCCTTTCTCAAATAACCCTATACCACTTGCTTCTTTGGTAGTACAAGTATTTTGTAACAGGGTATTCCCAATTCCTCCCTCCGATTCCTTACAACATTGCTGCTATTCATTTCACTTATCAATAAGCTATAATTTCTGAATACACTGTTATTGTTTTGAACAAACTATTATCTGTTAGGTAATTAAGAAAAATAAAAGATTTTATTTTACCTTCATTTATTCCTTTTCTATTGCTTTCCCTTTGTTTACGTAGGCCAGAATTTCTGACCTGTATAATTTTCATCCTTTCTAAAGAATTTCTTTTAACATTAAAAAAAAGAGCAGCTCTAGAGATGACAAATTCCCACAATTTTTGTTTGTCTGAAAAAGTCCATTTCTCTTTCACTTTTGGAGGACAATTTCACTGGATACAGAACTGTAGTCAGCGGTTGTTATGGTCTGATGTTGCATCCCCCAAATTTCATATGTTGCAATCCTAACCCCTAGTGTGATCGTATTAGAAGACAGGACCTTTGGGTGGTAATTAGGTCATGAGGGTGAAGCCCTCATGAATGAGATTAGTGATCATAAGAAGAGACGTGGGATGATCTCTCCCTACCATGCGAGGATACAACAAGAAGGCCACCTGCAAACCAAGATGACTGCCCTCACTGGACACTGGATCTGTTGACATCTTGATCTTGGACTTCCCAGCCTCAGAACTGAGATAAATTTCTATTGTTTCATTAAGCAGCCTAGTTTATGGTATTTTGTTACAGCAGCCTGAGCTGAGACAGTGGTTCTTTAAACCCTTTAAATGTTTCACTCCACTCTCTTCTTTCTTGCATGGTTTCTGAAGAGATGTCTGATGTAATTCTTATCCCTGCTTATCTATACATAAGGTGTTTTTTTCAAGATTTTTTCTTGGTCTTTGATTTTTTTGGTATTTATCATTCCTGGTATTCTGTGAGCTTTCTGGATCTGTGGTTTGGTGTCGTTCATTTTGAGAAATTCTCCGTCATTACTGCTTCAATATTTCTTGTGTTCCTTTTTTTCCTTTACTTCCAGTAGTCCCATTACACGTTACATACCTTTTAAAATTGTCCTGCAGTTTTTGGATATTCTGAATTTTTCATTCTTTTTTGCTCTGCATTTAAGTTTTGCTAGTTTCTATTGACATTGTTTTAAGCATACTGACTCTTTCCTCAGTTGTGTCTTACCTGTTGGGTAGTCCATCATCATTCATTCTGTTACAGTGTTTTTGATTTCTAGCATTTTTTTTTTGTTTCTTAGTTCCCATCTCTCTGCTTATATTACCCATCTGTTCTTGCATTGTCCAATTTTCCCATTAGAACTGTCAGCATATTCATCGTAGTTGTTTTAAATTTCTATGGAAATATATGGAAGGTTTGCCAGAGAAGGCAGCAGTTGAGTTGAATCTTAAAGAAGTAGGGGCTGCCAGGTGGAGGAGATGCTGGGCTGAGAGAATAAATAGCTTTTATGAGAGAGTGGCATGCTCAGAAAACTGAAAGTATTGTAGCATAGTGAGGAAGTGGACTGCCAATCCTCTTACTTTGGGTAAAGCATCTTATATTTGTATCAAATACAAGGAGTGCAATTATGGACCAAGGTAAAATTGTTTAGGTAATATCTGTGCATCCCTAAATCTTCCAGGAAACTGGTTTATCACCTTTTTTGGTCATCCACAAAGACAATACATTCCAGAGTTTACAATTTCAAACTCTTAGGCAGTCGAAGATTCAAATGACATTTCACTGAATTAAAAATATTTTCCCAGAGTTTAGGCTTTTGTCCTGATCTTTGTGGAGAAGGGCCAATGGAATTTTGAGAACTCTTACTCCATCCTGAAGTCAGCTACAATAAATGCTATGATCCGGAACATTAACCTCTGGCTTTCCCAAGCCCGAGCACCTACCTGGCAGAGGGCATCCCAAAAGCAAGTAGACTTCTGCTCTTGCCCAAGATAATCACTAAGGATGAGAATTTTATACCAAAAGTTGGGGTACTCTTTGAGAACCAGGATACTTGCCTTCAAAGCACCATCTAATGTATTTAGAAGATAGCTATTTCCCACCAGACATTAAAGATTCCTGAGGAAATCTATGGTCATGGTCCTTTAAAACATAATAGTTACTCTTTTAACAGTGCAGTGGGCTCTCCTTGGAAACTCTTTAGCTACTAGAAATACTGTTGAGAGTAGACCACTCAACCCCAGATCTTCATAGTTCCACCCAGCTGTAATTAGGCTGTGGCCTGTATTTTTAATGTACCTCTCCTACCTGACCCTTCTTATGCTTAGCCTCATCCTCTAATGGATGCCATTGTTGACCTATGACTCAAGGCTGCTTGATTCTGTTTTCTGACTTACTACATGCATCTTGACTCTTCTGCCTGACATACTTGCTCCTCTGTGTGTCCTTCACAAATCCCTCCCAGTGCTCACTGCCTTATGAATGACAAACTGAGGTGCTGGACTTATTCCAGTGTTCACATGAATAAATGGCTGGAGATGTAAACCAATTCGCTGTAAAGGAAACTGTACATCTTTACACCTTTGCTACATTTTGAGAAATAAAATGATTATTTTAAACCACAGTCTATGCATTTCAGTGCCATGTTGTGCCACACTTTTGCTTTGTGCAACTGGCAACTTTTAATATACAGTATTTTTTCTAATCATTGGAAGTGCACAACTTAACACTTTATCTTATTCTGTAATCATTTTATTCAGGTATGTTTTATCTGTACAATTATGTGGTAATCTCCTAGTAGAGAGAAATGGTTCCTAGCACACTAATGATATAACAGAAAATCAGGAAATGATGTTTGTTGACTAATTGATTAAAGTGTCTAGTAGGGAGGTTAAAATCAGTGACATATTATATGTCATTCCTACTTTGAGTTCTTAAGTTTTTTTGGTGTCGAATGTGTAAGTAGTTTTGGAAGAAATCAAAACTTCAGAGATTTTTTTCCATGCTGATAAAAACTAAATATAAATATCTGCTTTAATATTTTTCCATATTTTCTCTGGATTTCTTTTTAAATCTCTGAAAGATGTTCCCACTACAGAAGATGGGATATCTAAAATTTTTAGTTTATGCATATGCATGTGTAAGGGGAGAGATAGGGAAAGGGGAAGGGGAGGGCTTTCCTTTTTTTCTTTTTACTACATAAGCATATGTTATCCTTCATTCACAGTTCTCAGAGCAGTATAAAGCTAGATTAACTCTCCCTTTGGAACTTCAGATATAAGGTGGGTTGTCCATCATTCTTATTGGCCTGCTCATCCTTATTTTTAGTTAGATGGAGGGCTGTATGCTTAGAGCTTTGCTGGTTAGTTTCTTCAGCTTGAAGACTCTTATATTTTAGAACATTTGCATCCATTCCAAAGCTTGAAGAAGCAGTCTCCCACTTGCTGCTGAGAGGTTTTATGTCTTCATTCTTTATGGCCCAGATTTGAGAATGTTTATTCTTCTTGGGGCCTTTGAGAGGTGATAAACTTTCCAATGACCTGTGGGGCTTAGACTGGACCCATTCTGAAGAGTTTGCCATAACATCCCCTTGGATTACAAAAGGGTGATTTCTGGGTGCTGTCCAAGATGTGCTGTATTTCTTTATATTTCTGCAAGTAGCCGGATTTAGTCTAGAAAAGAAATGAAATACGTGAATTTTTGTCCATCATGGACCTACTTTGTAGTCCTAGGTATGTTGTCATAGTATAAATAATATTTTTCCTTTTAGTAAGTTCATAACTTCTTAAAGTTTAAGAATTTTACCATCATTTAGAAGTCTTCATCTCTGATCATGATTTTTTTTTTAGCACTATTCCAATCCTGTATTTCTAAATGCCTAGAGGATATGTTTATTTGGATACCTACTCTAACCTCAGCCTTCCTAATATAATAGCCACTCTGGGCCCCAGCTCCTTACCTATATATCTAGTTAAAGTAGATGGTCACTAAAAAGTAAAGTAGTTGTTTGCTCTAAAAATCTATTCTGTTTATTCTATTAGAATGGATTCAGTATATATGCTATGAGATTTTTTTCTATAACCAGTAAAAAAATCAACGTGAGTCTAAGAGAGGGAAGTTTTCCTCGGGGGAGCTTTTGTAAACTAATAATTGCAGCCACTTAAAATCTCTGTTTTTTTAGCATTCCATTTTTTAACCATAGAATTTCAGCTATACTTTCAATTAAACTTTTAAATTTTGAGATAACTGTAGACTTAACTGCATTTGAGAGAAGTAATACAGAGAGATCCCATGAACTCTTCACCCAATTTCCCCAAAATAGCTTGCAAAACCATAGAACAATATCACAATCAGGATATTGACATTGATGTAGTCAAGATAGAGAACACTGCCCCCATGTTGCCCTCTTGTAGTACCTGCTTCCCTCCTTTCCCATCCCCTCCTTAATTCCTGGCAACCATTATTAATCTATTATCAAGTTATATTATTTTGTTATTTTAAGAATGTTGCATAAAGGAATCATACTGTATGTAACCTTCTAGGATCAGCTTTTTTTTTTCTCAGAGTAATTGTCTGGAGATTCATCTATGTTGTTTTGTGCATCAGCAGTTCATTCCTTATTATAATTGCTGAGTCTGTGACATGAATGTACCATAGTTGGTTTAATAATTCATCCATTCAATGACATATAGATTATTTCCAGTTTATGGCTCTTATAAATAGTTATACACACAGGTTTTTTTGTGAGTTAATTTTTGTATAAGATGTAAGTTTAAAGTTCATTTTTTTAGCCTATGGATATCCAATTGTTCCAGCACCATTTGTTGAAAAGTCTCTTTTTTCTCCATTGAATTGCTTTTGAATTCCCTATCAAAATCAGTGGAGCAAATTTATGTGGTCTATTTCTTGGTTTTTGCCTCAGTTCCACTGATGTGTATGTTTATTTCTCCTCTAATACTACTGTCTTGATTACTCTAGCTATATAAAAGTTCTTGAAATCAGATAGACTGATCTCTCCCATTTTATCCTTGTTTGTCAAAATTGTTTTTGCTATTTTAATGCATCGGCAGATAAATTCTGGAATAATCTTGTCTATATATACAAAAGATCTTGCTGGGATTTTGATAGGCATCGTGTTAAACTTGTATATTAAGCTGGGAAGAACTGACATCTTTATTGAGGCTTTCAATTTATGAACATGCTACATCTTTCCACTCATTTAGATATTTTAAAATTTCTCTTATTCATGTTGTATACTTTTCAGCATAGAAACCCTGTAAAACCAAGTATTTTTTTTGAGATATTTTGTAATTTTGGTGTTCACATGTTCATTGCTTATTTATAGAAGAGCAATTAATTTTGTACATTTATCTTGTATTCTGAGGCCTAGCATAACTTATTAATTCTAAAGGTTGTGTGTGTGTGTGTGTGTGTGTGTGTGTGTGCACGCATGCGTGCGTGTGTGTTTTGGTAAATTTATTAGGATTTTCTACATAGAGAATAACATCTTTCACAGTAGGGATCATTTTATTTTTTCCTTTCTGATTTGTATGCTTTTTATTTTTTTATTGCCTTATTGCAGTGGCTAGAACTTCTAGCACAATGTTCAATAGAGTGGTGTATTATTCTATTCTCACGCTGCTAATAAAAACATACCCAATGCTGGGTAATTTATAAAGGAAAAAGGTTTAATTGACTCACAGTTCCACATGGCTGGGGAGGCCTCGCAATCTTGGCGGAAGGCAAAGGAGGAGCAAAGTCATGTCTTACATGGTGGCACGCAAGACAGCTTATGCAGGGGAACTCCTATTTATAAAACCATCGGATCTCCTGAGACTTGTTCAGTACCACGAGAAGAGTATGGGGAAACTGTTCCCGTGATTCAATTATCTCCACCTGACCCTGCCTTGACACGTGGGGATTATTACAATTAAAGGTGAGATTTGGGTGGGGACACAGCCAAACTATATCAAGTGGTAAGAATGGACTTTATTGAGTAAGATCCCCTTTATTCCTATGTTTTTCTGAGACTTTTTATCATGGATGGGTACTGAATTCTGTCGAATACCAATTTCTGTGCCAATTAATAGGATCTTGTGATTTTTCTTCTTAAGCTTGCTAATATGAAGGATTTCATCAATTACTTTTTGAATATTAAACTAACCTTGAATTCCTGAAATAGACTTCACTTGGTCATGGTGTATAATTCTTTTTATTTAGAGCTGAATTCTATTTGCTAATATTTTGTTAGATTTAGCTTGTTAAATCTATATTTATGCAAAATCTTATTCTGTCATTTCCTTTTTTGTTTTGCCCTTGTCTGGTTTTGATATCACACTAACAGTGGCTTCATAAAATGAACTGAGAACTCCTATTTTCTGGAAGAAATTGTATAGAATTGGTATTAATTCTTCCTTTATTAGTAAAATTCTCTTCTAAAACCACCTAGGCCAGGTGATTTCTTTTTTAGGGTTTTAAAATTATGAAATCAATTTCCTTATTAGTTACAGGGGTATTCAAATATTCTATTTCATATTGAATGAGTTGGGGTAGTTCATATTTTATTGAGGAAATAATCCATTTTCTGTAAGTTGTCAAATTTGTGTGTAGTGTTTTCTATTAACTCTTTGATGTATGCAGGATTTTTAGTGATATCCTGTTTCATTCCTCATGTTAGTAATTTATGTCTTTTTTTCTTTATTTGTCAGTATTAATAGAAGTTTGTCAATTTTATTGATCTGTTCAAACAACCAGTTGTTTCACTGATTTTCTGTGTCATTTTTCTGTTTTTAATTTTATTAATTTCTGCTCTTATCTTTATTATCTTCTTTCTGCTTGCTTTGAGTTTATTTGCTTTTCTTTTTATAGGTCCCTGAGGTGGGAGCTTAGATTATTGATTTCAGATGTTTTCTCATTTTTTAGCATATGCAGTTAGTTCTATAAATTTCTGTATCAGTACTGCTTTAGCTATATCTCACTTATTTTAATATATTATAGTTTCATTTCCATTAATTTAAATACATATTTTTACTTCCTTTGAGAATTTTTTTTTTAATTTTTGTTTCCTTTATTTCTTCTAAAAAAAGCCAGGATACATGTGCAGAACGTGCAGGTTTGTTACATAGGTATATGTGTGCTATGGTGGTTTGCTGCACCTATTGACACATCCTCTATGTTCCCTCCCCTCACCCCTCACCCCGCAACAGGCCCTGGTGTGTGATTTTCCCCTCTATGTGTCCATGTGTTCTCACTGTTCAACTCCCACTTATGAGTGAAAACATGTGGTGTTTGGTTTTCTGTTCCTGTATTAAGTTTGCTGAAGATGATGGCTTCCAGCTTCATCCACGTCCCTGGAAAAGACATGATCTCATTCCTTTTTTTTCTAATTACAAGATGATTTTTAAATTTATTTTTATTTTTAAGATTAAGCATCCTCTTTGACAATCCAAAAACATAGTCCTTGCTCACTCTGGACACACACACCTAAAACAGTTAAAAGCAATTCTTCAATTTTCAATGACAAAGTAGGAAAAAAACAATATGTTCTCAAGCTGCAGTTCAATTTTCTGTTCTCTTTTCCAAAAAATTTTACTTTGCTTCTAAGCCACCCACCAACGATAACGAAAGACAATTTTTCAAAAGGCCAACAAAACCCAGAAAAAGGAACAGTTATCAATTCAAAATTATCACCCAAAACACTGCTGTTGCAAAAAAAGAGTATGAAGCCAAATTCCCATAGCTTGTTAGAGAAGACCTTTAAAAATAATTCAGAAAATTAGGACTGGAACTACAGTGGTATAGACAGGTTATACTGTCACTATATGCATATACAGTGGTAAATGCAGATAATTCAAGAACATTCAGCTTGGGATGAATATATGAATAATATGATTATATTATATTAAATTAATATATTATTAAGCTTTCTCCTATTCCAGCAGAGGAAATAAAAACATGTGTTGCTGGAATTAATATTAAGACTGTCCTTACAAACAGAAGGTAGGGCAAAGGTAAAGAGAGAGAATGTGGAACAAAAGTAGCGAAGACAAGTCATTTTGAATCTAGGCTCTAACACCCAGGAAAGTTGAATAGAACTTAAATTCTTCTGAGCCAGTATCACTAAATTCTAGATTTGCCCTGAAACCAGTGGAGCATATACACCATTAATAAATATCAAGTGCCCCATAGCGTTTGTGGTATTAAAACATATTTTTAAATTATTATAAATTTCCATTCTGAAAAGCAGGTCAAAATGACACTGGACCATCCAGTCAGTTACAGAGTAAAGGGCTTCCTCCAGAGAGAACTGACTTGGCAGAAATTTAGGTTGGTAAGAATGTGATTAACATGGAGTAAATGAGATCAGATTCTCAGTATAATTTTCATAAGGCTTCTACCTACCCCAGTTGTAAGGAGTAGTACTGAGGGAACTCCAACAGAATGTCTTAGAGGGAAGCTTCTCAGAGACAAAGGGTCTGTAAGTTTAACTCTTGACCCCTCTTCTCCTTATGTAAAGCTTGGGGAAGGCAATAAATATTTAATTTTTAACTATTCAGAGCTTTGGACACATTATAATATTTAATATTCTGTAGTTTCATTTTCTGAACCCTTGGCTTATAATTTTTCTCAACTTGCATTAAAAAATGTATGAATGCACCCTCTTCAGTAGTACCACATGAAAATATAAATCTTGTTCTTCCATATCTTCTACACAGGAAGACTGAATGAGTAGTACCCTAAATATCCTGCAGGGTTACTTTGTGTACTTGACAAAAGATTAGGGAAAACCAATCCACTTCCATATCTTGAGCAGTAGTTAACTAGTCTTCAATCTCATCTTCCCAAATATCTTCATCAACATCCACAGCATAAAACAGCTGTTTAAGACATGTTGAAGCAGGATCAGTGAAATGTTTGTAAGGGTTTGCTCTAGAGAGAGAACTCATGCAAATCCAACAGAAATATTGCATACAGCCAGTACATGTCATCTTGTTATATCCATCTAATTTCTCTATGGGAGTTCCACAACATGGTCAGTTCTTGAAGTTTTTCTCTAGCCACTCCTTACTTTCCATCTCTTCCAGTGCCTTCTGAATCACCCTCTTATCATACCTTTGTTCCAAAAGTCTTTTATTGGCCTTATCTGCTTGCAGGTATTCATTTAGTAAGTCTATTAATTTCTCTGCAGTCACCTTACATGGAGAGACCCCATGGTAGGTCAACCTGCACAAGGTACAGAAGGCAAAATTGCAGCTGGAGCAGATACCCATGATGTAGCCAGGCTCCTGCATCACAGGCAGCTGGCAGCATGCGTGGGGGCAGTACACCACATCTGCCATCAGGTCCAAGGTGGACTGGAGGAGAAGGCAGTCATAATAGGCAAATAACTCTGCTTCCACTAGCTCTTTGACCTGACCAGTAGTGGCCACTGAAGGGCACTTTGGTTCTGGGCAGTTGAGGCATTGAACCTGGCCATCTCTGATCTGGATTTCAAAGTAGTCCTTCAGACAGTCTTTGCAGTACACATGCCTGCACTCCAAGAAGTACATGCATTCACTACCCAGCTTCTTACAGAAACAGATATTGCACAGGAACAAATTACTATTAAAGCATTTTATCTGCTGAGCTTGATCAAAGTCCAAGATTTCCTGGATCATATTTAACAATGATTCCACATCCTGCACACAGCTGTCTCATCCACAGTTTCCTCTTGGTCTGTATCAGATCCAGAAGTTCCTCCAAAATCTAGCTCTGTGTTGGGAGAGGCTTGAGCTGTCCTTCTCTGCACTTTTTTTCTGAGAATCAATCTTGAGCTCAAAAGGAGAGACAATATTCAGGTATACTAGGGTCTCTTCCTTAAGAAATTGCATCCAGGCAAACGGGATCACGCTGCCAGGGTGTTCTTCCCATAGAGCAGATAGCGCTCACAAACATCTTGAAATTCTATGGCAAATCCAAATAGATCCTGGTTTCTCCACCTTGGACAGACTGCTTTTCTAAATTCATCTCCATCGTAAATACTCACTGGGGCCAGCAATTCATCCTCTTGAGCTTCTTGGTCTTCTGACATTTAATTTTCTGAGGAACAAAACCAAGATGACCATGAGAGTGATCTCTGATCATCCTCACTGCTACACTCCCACCAGGGCCATGACAGTTTACAAATGCCTTGTTGTTTTGTTTTTTTTTTTCGTTTTTTTTTTTTTTTTTTTTTTTTTTTTGAGATGGAGTCTCACTCTGTTGCCCAGGCTGGAGTGCAGTGGTGCCATCTCGGCTCACTGCAACCTCTGCCTCCTGGGTTCAAGCAATTCTCCTGTCGCAGCCTCCCGAGTAGCTGGGACTACAGGCACTCACCACCACACCTGGCTAATTTTTGTATTTTTAGTAGAGACGGGGTTTCACCATATTGGCCAGGCTGGTCTCAAACTCCTGACCTTGTGATCCACCCACCTTGGCCTCCCAAAGAGCTGGGATTATAGGCGTGAGCCACCGTGCCTGGCAGATCCCATTCCTTTTTATGGCTGCATAGTATTCCATGGTGTATATGGCCACATTTTCTTTATCCAGTCTATCACTGATGGGTATTTGGGTTGGTTCCATGTCTTTGCTATTGTAAACAGTGCTGCAATAAACATATGTGTGCATGTGTCTTTATAGTAGAATGATTTATATTCCTTTGGGTATATACCCAGTAATGGGATTGCTGGGTCAAATGGTAGTTCTGGTTCTAGATCCTTGAGGAATCGCCATACTGTCTTCCACAATGGTTGAACTAATTTACACTCCCACCAGCAGAGTAAAAGCATTCTTATTTCTCTGCAGCCTACCCAGCCATCTATTGTTTCTTGACTTATTAGTAATTGCCATTCTGACTGATGTGAGATGGTATCTCATTGTGGTTTTGATTTACGTTTCTCTGATGATCAGTGTGATCAGTGATGTTGAGTTTTTTTTTTTTTTTTAGACGGAGACTTGCTCTGTTGCCAGGCTGGAGTGCAGTGGTGCAATCTTGGCTCACTGCAACCTCCGCCTCCCGGGTTCAAGCAACTCCCCTGCCTCAGCCTCCCGAGTAGCTGGGACTACAGGCGTGCGCCACCACACCCCGGCTAATTTTTTGTATTTTAGTAGAGATGGGGTTTCATGTTGGCCAGGATGGTCTCGATATTCTGACCTCGTGATCCACCCACCCTGGCCTCCCAAAGTGCTGGGATTATAGGCGTGAGCCACCACACCCAACCATTGAGCTTTTTTACATATGCTTGTTGGCTGCATGAATGTCTTCTTTTGAGAAGCGTCTTCATATCCTTTGCCCACTTTTTGATGGGGTTGTCTGTTTTTTTCTTGTAAATATGTTTAAGTTCCATGTAAATTCTGGATATTAGACCTTTGTCAGATGGGTAGATTGCAAACATTTTCTCCCATTCTGTAGGTTGCCTGTTCACTCTGATGCTGGTTTCTTTTGCTATGCAGAAGCTCTTTAGTATAATTAGATCCCATTTGTCAATTTTGGCTTCTGTTGCAATTGCTTTTGGTGTTTTGTCATGAAGTCTTTACCCATGCCTATGTCCTGAATGGTATTGCCTAGGTTTTCTTCTGGAGTTTTTCTGGTTTTGGGTTTTACATTTAAGTCTTTAATCCATCTTCAGTTAATTTTTGTATAAGGTGTAAGGAAGGGGTCCAGTTTCAGTTTTCTGCACATGGCTAGCCAGTTTTCCCAGCATCACTTATTGAACAGGGAATCCTTTCCCCATTGCTTGTTTTTGTCAGGTTTGTCAAAGATCAAATAGTTGTAGATGTGTGGTATTATTTCTGAGGTCTCCGTTCTGTTGCATTGGTCTATATATCTGTTTTGGTTACTGTAGCCTCGTAGTACAGTTTGAAGTTAGGTAGTGTGATACCTCTCCAGCTTTGTTCCTTCTGCTTAGGATTGTCTTGGCTATTCGGGGTTTTCTTTGATTCCATATGAAATTTAAAGTAGTTTTTTCTAAATCTGTGAAGAATGTCAGTGGTAGTTTGATGGGAAAAGTGTTGAATCTATAAATTACTTTGGGCAGTACTGCCATTTTCATGATATTGATTCTTCCTATCCACGAGGATGGAATGTTTTTCCGCTTGTTTGTATCCTCTCTTGTTTCCTTGGTGGTCTGTAGTTCTCCTTGAAGAGGTCCTTCACATCCCTTGTTAGCTGTATTCCTAGGTGTTTTATTCTCTTTGTAGCAATCGTGAATGGGAGTTCATTTATGATTTGGCTCTCTGCTTATCTATGTTGGTGTAAAGGAATGCTTGTGATTTTTGCACATTGATTCTGTATTCTGAGACTTTGCTGAAGTTGCTTATCAGTTAAGGAGTTTTGGGGCTGAGATGTTGGGGTTTTCTAAATATAAAATCATGTCATCTGCAAACAGAGACCATTTGACTTCCTCTCTTCCTGTTTGAATTCCCTTTACTTCTTTCTCTTGCCTGATTGCCCTGGCCAGAGCTTCCAATACTATGTTGAACAGGGGTGGTGAGAGAGGGCATCCTTGTCTTGTACTGGTTTTCAAAGGGAATGTGTCCAGCTTTTGCCTATTCAATATGATATTGGCTATATATTGTCATAAATAGCTCTCATTATTTTGAGATATGTTCCATCAATACCTAGTTTATTGAGAGTTTTTAACATGAAGGGATGTTGAATTTTATCAAAACTCTTTTTTGCATCTATTGAGATAATTATGTGGTTTTTGTCTTTGGTTCTGTTTATGTGATGGATTATGTTTATTGATTTGCATATGTTGAACCAGCCTTGCATCCCAGGGATGAAGCCAACTTCATCATGGTGGATACGTTTTTTGATATGCTGCTGGATTCGGTTTGCCAGTATTTTATTGAGGATTTTCGTATTGATGTTCATCAGGAATATTGGTCTGAAGTTTTCTTTTTTTTGTTGTGTCTCTTCCTGGTTTTGGTATCAGGATGATGGTGGCTTCATAAATTGAGTTAGGGAGGAGTCCCTCCTTTTCAATTGTTTGGAGTAGTTTCAGAAGGAATGGTACCAGCTCTTCTTTGTACTTCTGGTAAAATTCAGCCGTGAATCCGTCTGGTTCTGAGCTTTTTTTTGCTTGGTAGGCTATTAATTATTGCCTCAATTTCAGAACTTGCTATTGGTCTATTCAGGGATCCGACTTCTTGGTTTAGTCTTGGGAGGGTGTGTGTGTCCAGGAATTTCTCCATTTCTTCTAGATTTTCTAGTTTATTTGCATCAAGGTGTTGATAGTATTCTCTGATGGTAGTTTATATTTCTGTGGGATCAGTGGTGATATCCCCTTATCATTTTTATTGTGTCTATTTGATTTTTCTCTCTTTTCTTCTTTATTTGTCTAGCCAGTGGTCTATTTTGTTAATTTTTTTAAAAAAACAGCTGCTGGAGTCAGTGATTTTTGGGGGAGTTTTTTGTGTCTCTATCTCCTTCAATTCTGCTCTAATCTTAGTTATTTCTTGTCTTCTGCTAGCTTTTGGATTAGTTTGCTCTTGCCTCTCTAGCTCTTTTAATTGTGATATTTGGGTGTGGATTTGAGATCTTTCTCGCTTTCTGATGTGGGTGTTTAGTGCCATAAATTTCCCCCTTAACACAATGCTTTAGCTGTGTCCCAGAGATTGTGGTACATTGTCTCTTTGTTCTCATTGGTTTCAAAGAACTTCTTGATTTCTGCTTTAATTTCATTATTTACCGAGGAGTCATTCAGGAGCAGATTGTTCAATTTCCATGTAATCGTGTGGTTTTGAGTGAGTTTTTTAATCCTGAGTTGTAATTTGATTGCACTGTGGTCTGAGAGACTGTTTGCTATGATTTCAGTTCTTTTGCATTTGTTGAGGACTGTTTTACTTCCAATTATGTGGTCAGTTTTAGAATAAGTGCCATGTGGCACAGAGAAGAACGTATATTCTGTTGATTTGGGGTGGAGATTTCTGTAGATGTCTATTAGATCCACTTGATCCAGAGCTGAGAGTTCAAGTCCTGAATATCCTTGTTAATTTTCTGTCTTGTTGATCTGTCTAATATTGACAGTGGGGTGTTAAAGTCTTCCACTATTATTGTGTGGGAGTCTGTCTCTTTTTGGGTCTCTAAGAACTTGTTTTATGAATCTGGGTGCTCCTGTATTGGGTGCATATATATTTAGAACAGTTAGCTCTTCTTGTTGAATTGTTCCCTTTACCATTATGTAATACCCTTCTTTGTCTTTTTTGATTTTGTTGGTTTAAAGTCTATTTTGTCAGAGACTAGGATTGCAACCCCTACTTTTTTTTTTTTTGCTTTCCATTTGCTTGGTAAATTTTTCTCCATCCCTTTATTTTGAGCCTATGTGTGTCTTTGCACATAAGACAGGTCTCCTGGATGCAGCACACCAATGGGACTTGACTCTTTATCCAATTTGCCAGTCTGTGTCTTTTAACTGGGGCATTTAGCCCATTTACATTTAAGGTTAGTATTGTAATGTGTCAATTTGATCCTGTCATCATGATGCTATTTGGTTATTTTGTGCACTAATTGATGCAGTTTCTTCATAGTGTCATTGGTCTTTATATTTTGGTGTGGTTTTGCAGTGGCTGGTACTGGTTTTTGTTTTTCATATTTAGTGCTTCTTTCAGGAGCTCTTGCAAGGCAGCCATGGTGGTAATGAAACCCCTCAGTATTTGCTTGTCTGGAAAGGATTTGATTTATCCTTTGCTTATGAAGATTAGTTTGGCCACATATGAAATTCTGGGTTGAAATTTTTTTTCTCTAAGAATGTTGAATATTGACTCCCAATCTTTTCTGGCTTGTAGAGTTTCTGCTGAGAGGGCCGCTGTTAGTCTGATGGGCTTCCCTTTGTAGATGACCTGGCCTTTCTCTCTGGCTGCCCTTAACATTTTTTCCTTCATTTTGACCTTAGAGAATCTGAAGATTATGTGTCTTGGGGTTGATCTTCTCATGGAATATCTTAGTGATGTTCTCTGTATTTCCTGAATTTGCATATTGGCCTGTCTTGCGAGGTTGGAGAAGTTCTCCTGGATAATATCATAAAGCGTGTTTTCCAACTTGTTTCCATTCTCCGTCTCCCTCAGGTACTCTGATCAATCGTAGGTTTAGTCTTTTTATGAAGTCCCACATTTCTTGGAGGCTTTGTTGATTCCTTTTTATTCTTTTTTCTCTAGTCTTGTCTGCATGCCTTATTTCAGCAAGGTTGTCTTCAAACTCTGATATCCTTTCTTCTGCGTGGTCGATTCGGCTATTGATACTTGTGTATGCTTCACAAGGTTCTTGTGCTGTTTTTCAGCTCCACCAGGTCATTTATGTTCCTCTCTAAACTGGTTATTCTAGTTAGCAGCTACTCTAACCTTTTATCAACGTTCTTAGCTTCTTTGCATTAGGTTAGAACATGCTCCTTTAGCTCAGAGCCGTTTTTTATTACTCATCTTCTGAAGCCTACTTCTGTCAATTTGTCTGTCTCATCCTCCAACCAATTCTGTGCCATTGCTGGAGATACATTGCGATCATTTGGAGGAGAGGAGGCACTCTGGCCTTTTGGGTTTTCAGTGTTTTTTCATTAATTCTTTCCCATCTTCATGAGTTTGTCTAGTTTTGATCTTTGAGGCGCTGATCCTTGGATGGGGTTTTTCTGGGGGCTTGTTTGTTGTTGTTGATACTGTTGTTGTTGCTTTCTATTTGTTTTTCTTTCATTGGTCAGGTCCCTTTTCTATAGGGCTGCTGCTGTTTGCTGGGGTTTCACTTCAGGCCCTCGTCATCTGGTTCACTCCTGGGCCTGGAGATGTCACTCAAGGAGGCTGGAGAATAGCAAAGAAGGGTGCCTGCTCCTTCTTCTGGGATCTCTGACCTCAAGGGGTACCAGCCTGATGCCAGCAGTATTGCTCACGTATAGGGTATCTGACAACCCCTGTTGGAGGGTCTTACCCAGTTGGGTGGCAGGGGGAACAGGACCCATTTAACGAAGCACTTTGTCCCTTGGTTGGGGGGGTGTGCTTCGCTGGGGGGAAACCCACTTGTCTGGGCTGCCCAGATTCCTCAGAACTACCAGGAGGAAAGGCTAAGTCTGCTGGTCTGCAAAGACTGTGGTCACCCCTCCCGCTAGGGGCTCAGGCCCAGGGAGATCTGGGTTCTGTCCCTGAGCCTCTGGCTGGAGTTATTGAAGTTCCTGCAGGAAAGCCCCACCCAATGAGGAAGGATGGGTCAGGGTCAGGCCTGAAGAGGCACTCTGGCCACAGTCAGCCACAGTCAGTGTGTTGGGCTTTGGGGAACATGTCTTGGAACCAAGCTGTTCAGCCTCCCTGACTCCAGCAGAGGAAAAGCACAGCCTGGAGCTATAGAGATGGATGATGCCCTTCCACCACCCAGGGAGCTTAGTGTGTTAGGCAGTTGTGAGTCCCAGTGCTGGCTGCTGCCCCTCCCCCAAGGAACTCAAACGGCTTAGACAGCAGGCAGACACAGCTGTGGTGCTGGTCATGCCTCCCCTGGGGAGCTCTGTAGGCTTAAGCAGATTCCAGCTAAGAGGCTATTGAGAAACTTCACGGCTCTGGGGTTGGGACGCTAGGCCCTGGTGGCGTGGGTCGTGAGTGGGATCTTCCAATCTATAGGTTTCACAGTTCTGTGGAAAAAGCACGGTTTCCCCGGCTGGGTAGCACACTCACTCACCACCTCCCTTGGCTGGGGATATAGGGGGGTGCTCTCCTGCCCTGTGTGGCTCTCAGGTGGGCCACTGCACTACACTGTTCTTCCTCTCTGTGGATCACACCAGCCTCCTAGTCAGTTCTGATGAGAGAACCTGGATACCTTGCTTATTATAGTTCTTTTCAATGGGAGCCTCCGAATGCCGCTGTTTCTAGTCAGCCATCTTGGCCCCATCCCAGAGAATATTTTTGACTCACGATTTATTCAGAAGTGTGTTATTTAGTTTCCAAATGTTTAGGTTTTTTTTTTTTTTTCCTATTACCCTTTGGCTATTGATTTCTAGTTGGATTCCATTGTGGTCAGATATACACTTTCTATGATTTAAATTCTTTTAAATATGTTGAGGTTTATTTCATAGCTAGGATATGTTCTATCTTGGTATATGATCCACGTACACTTGAAAATAATGTGTACTGTGCTGTTGTTGGATGAAGTGCTCCTTAAATGTCAGTTAGATATTTATATTCTTGTTGAATTATTTTATATCCTTGCTTATTTTCTAATTATTGAAACAATTGTGAATTTGTCTATTTCTCCTTTCTGTTTTATCAGTTTTTGCTTCACATATTTTGCAGTTCTGTGTTGTTTTGTTTTGTTTTTTGAGACGGAGTTTTGTTTTTGTTGCCCAGGCTGGAGTGCAATGGCACCATCTTGGCTCACCGCAACCTCCACCTCCCGGGTTCAAGTGATTCTCCTGCCTCAGCCTCCCGAGTAGCTGGGATTACAGGTATGAGACACCACACCCGGCTAATTTTTTGTATTTTTAGTGGAGACAGGGTTTCTCTGTGTTGGTCAGGCTGGTCTCAAACTCCCGACCTCAGGTAATCCACCTGCCTCGGCCTCCCAAGGTGCTGGGATTACAGGTGTAAGCCACTGCACCCAGCCAGTTCTGTGATTTTATACACACATCTAAGATTGCTGTGTTTCTAGTGGATTGACCTTTTAAACATTATATATAATGCCCCTCTTTGATAATTTTCTTTCCTCTAAAATCTACTTTACCTAATATTAACATAGCCACTTCTGCTTTCATCTATTAATGTTTGCATGATGTATCTTCTTCCATCCTTTTACTTTCAGCCTGCCTCCATTGTCATATTTGAAATGAGTTTCTTGTGACTGCATATTGTTGGGTAATGTTTTAAAATTCATTCTGTTAATCTGTCCTTAACTGTTGTATTTAGGTCATTTACATTTAATGTAATAGTTGATGTCTTAGGACTTAAATCTGCCATTTAAAAAAAGTTTATCTTTTGTTTTTTGTTTTCTCTTTCCTGCCTTCCTGTGGGTAATGTGAACATTTTTCAAGAATTCCATTTTGATTTATTTAGTGTTTTTTAGTATATCTCTTTGAACAGCTTTTTCAGTGGTTGCTGTATTATACTACATATGCATAACTTATCACAATTTATTGGTTGTGTTAACTTAGTAATTTGAGTGAAGTACAAACCTTACCTCCTTTTATGTCCTTTTACCTTCTCACATTTATAGTGGTCTTAAATATGTCTTTTATGTATATTTGGAACCACATCAATATTATAATTTTTGCTTCAACCATCAAATATGATTTAGAAAAATTTATATTTACGTGTATTTTATATCTACCTGTATTTTTGCTTACCGTATTCTTTCTTTCCTGATATTCCTTCTTTTGTCATTTTCTATCTGTTTAGAAAAATTCCTTTAGTCATTCTTTTAGAGTAAGTCTTCTGGTGAAAAATTCTCTTCATTTTCTTTTATCTGAACCTTTCTTGACTTCTCCCTTATTTTCACTGGGTATAGGATTCTAAGTTGACAATTTCTTCCAATAATTAAAATTATTGTGCTTTGTGGGTTTTGATGAGAAATCCACTGTCATTCAAATTGTTTTTCCTCTGTAGGAAAGGTGTCATTTTTCTCTGACTCCTTTCTTTTTCTTTTTTTATTTTTTGAGACGGAGTCTCGCTCTGTCACCCAGGCTGGAGTGCAGTGGCACGATCTTGGCTCACTGCAAGCTCTGCCTCCCAGGTTCATGCCATTCTCCTGCCTCAGCCTCCAGAGTAGCTGGAACTACAGGCACCCGCTGCCACGCCCAGCTAATTTTTTGTATTTTTAGTAGAGACGGGGTTTCACCGTGTTAGCCAGGTTGGTCTTGATCTCCTGAACTCGTGATCTGCCCACCTCGGCCTCCCAAAGTGCTGGGATTACAGGCATGAGCCACTGTGCCCAGCCTCTCTGACTCCTTTCGATAGTTTTTTCTTTTTTTTTTGGTCTCATTTTCAGAAGTTAAATTTTGGGGAATGGGCATGGTGGCTCATGCCTGTAATCCCAGCACTTTGGGAGCTGAGGGAGTCAGATCACTTGAGGTCAGGAGTTCGAGACCAGCATGGCCAACACAGCAAAACCTCGTCTCTACTAAAAATACAAAAATTGGGCCAGGCATGGTGGTGGGTGCCTATAACCCCAGCTACTCGGAAGGCTGAGGCACGAGAATCACTTGAACCCAGGAGGCGGAGGTTTCAGTGAGCTAAGATTGTTCCACTGGACTCCAGCCTGGGTAACTGAGCAAGACTTTGTCTCAAAAAAAAAAAAATTTAAATTTTGGGGTATCTTGGCATGAATTTCTTTGGGTGTATCCTATTAATGGTCTGCTCAGCTTTTTGATCTATAGGTTTATGTCTCCTGTCAAATTTGGGAACCTTTCAGCCATTATTTCTTTGATTTCTTTTTCAGCCCTATATTCATTCTCCTGTCCTTCTGAAACTACGATATGTGAATATTATTAGATTTTGTCTTATAGTCCTACAGGTGCCTGCAGCTCTATTCATTTTATTTTAAGCCTATTTTTTCTCTTATGTTCAGTTGGGTAATTTCTATTTTTCTATCTCTCTCAATTCACTGACTCTTTCCTCTATTTGTACAATTATACTGTTCTGCTCAGCCATTAAGCTTTTAAAATTTCAGTGGTATTTTTCAATTCAAAAATTTCTATTTGGTTCTTAATATTTTTTTCTCTCTCTCTCTGCTGAGGCTATTTTTTTATTTCTTCCAAGTGTGTTTATAAGTGTTTTTTGAAGCATTTTAATTATGATTACTTTAAAAATCTTTGTCAAAAAATTCTAACATCATTAACATCTCAGTGTTTGTGTCTACTAATTGTCTTTTTTCAGTTTTAGATCTTCCTGGTTCTTGGTACAAGAATTTATTTCTGATTAAAACATAGACACTTTCATATTATGTTATGAGACTCTGGATCTTATGTAAACCCTCTGTTTTGGCTTTTTGTTAGTTTGCTCCAGCTCAGGGAGTGGGGAGATAAGACCTCATTACTGCAAGATGGAAGTGGAAGTCCAGGTTCCCCATCTGGACCCCATTGACACCAGAGATAGGAGGCTTCTAATTATTATTGGACAGATGTGGAGGTTCATCTCCATATGTAGCCTCCATTGAGATTGGGGTGGGGTCTAGGTGACAATTAGGACATGGCGTGATTTTTAGTCATTACTTTCATAAGAGGTTCCTTATATATTAATACTTTGAATCTAGAAATGCACTCAATGAGGATTGGCCTGAGCATGAAGGTACAGACAAATAGTGAGGTATTAACTAAGACCTCTTTGGTTACAAGTAACAGAAACCAATTCAAGCTAGCTTAATTAAAAAAAGCATAAGGTAGGGTAGGGGAAGAATTATAAGAAAGTACAAAGCTACTCATGGAAACAGAGGGAGAGGGAATTCAGCCAGGCTTCAGGAAAGGACTAGAACTAGAAAATGGAAAACATCCAAGGGTTTTTATTCATCTGCAGTCTCTGCTTTTCTCTCTCCACAGGAAAGTTTTTACTTCCCTTAGCTCAAATTTGCATCCTACAGCAGTTTCATGTGCAAGACTGATCCACTATCTCTCATTCCAATTCCAAAGTATAGAGAAAGATAATCTGATTGGCAACCATGCCAGTGGGTAGAGGTCACATAATTACAAATGCAGCTTTTGGAAGTGCTACCCTTGTGGATCAAGAGGCAGTCCCCAGAGAAGGGCAAATTGTGCCTGAGGTAGACACCCCCAAAAGTATCTGATATAGGTGTATATGGAAATATTAAAAAGTAGGAAAGCAGCAAGCAAATCCTTTCTTAACAGATGATCTCACTGCAAACTTAAACATTGTCAGGTTGATTTTTGTTGTTGTTGTTTTTCTTACAACTTAGTTCTTTATGGCTACCTTCTCTGTTTTATATATCATTTGTTTGACTGTCTCAACACTCTTACATGCTATTACCTATAGTAAGTGATTTCAGGGTAAAGTGAGAATAAGCAAAGAATGAGAAGATCACACTTTGCTAAACCATTTTAGACATTGGTCTAATTTAGGATTAAGGAGAAACTAGTTAATGTGCTGTAAGAGTTTGCAGAATTATCATGTTGAACATGACGTTACATCTGAATGTAATCATAGGGCTGAAACCTACATTGTCTGTTCTGTTCTTAAGCCAAAATGAATAGGGTCTAGGTGGATTAATAGGTGAATTGCATGTTAACAAGATGATTTACATACCTTAAATTTCTCTCTGGTCAAACATAGGTCAGATTTCAATATGGAGGAATAAATCTCATGCTTGGCATTCCATTTGGTAATGATGAAAATTCTTGAGAAAGATTATGCAAATCAAAATATAATTGGAGATATTTTTCACTTCCATGAAGATGAAGCAGATGCATTTTCCCTATTCTTTGCACTAAAAATAACTACAAATCCTGGACATTACATATAAAATGAACAAAAGGCAACTCCGAAAGGTAGAAAGCAGGCAGGCTAGCTAAGGACTTCAAGAACAAAGGAACAACACAATGGTGTCTCCTGGGTTTTCTTTTTGCCTCATATATCCAAGACTTGGAGCTGAAGAAGCCAGCAATCTGAAAACACAAATGTGCCCAGACACATGCACAAAAAGCTCTCAACAATAGCCTGTACTGTGTAGAAAAGGACCAGGAAAGGGACAGCCTACTGATATAGAAAATGTTAGGCAATAACCACTGTACTCCAGCCAAGCACCACAGATAAACAGTGCCCTCACTCCCACCCATGTAAGCAGAGGCAGAGGGGCTTACACTTCCACTCTTATGAGGTATAATGGGGGATCTCAAACCTCTGCTAGGGTGGAGTCAAAGAAGAACAAATAGAAGCCAGAACTTTGACCCTCCCACTGGCCTATAAAGAGTCTCTCTCCTCCCCCAGGGTGTCATTGGAAACCAAATGGGGAGCCGAGATTTCCATACTCAATGGACAGAAATGAAGTACCTCTTTCTCTCCCCATTGGGCTGGTGTCAGAGGAGGCCTAGTGAAGAGTCAGGGTTTTTACTACTGCACAGTAGCAATGGTTCATAGCCTTCACCCATTTTCTTATGAAAGTATTCATAAGTTTCCAGTTGATATGTAAGCACTCTTTGTATATTAAGTATATTGGTCATGTTTTTCACTTATAAAGAGAAATGGCAAAGCATAATGATGAAGTTCAGGAGGACTCTGTAGTCAGAATGTCTAGGTGGATTTGACTCCAGATTCCACTACATATTGGCTTGTGAGGCTTTGGACAAATTATTTAACCTCTTTGCACCTCAGTTTTCTCATGTGTAAAATGTAAAGTGTATACATATATAACTTAGAACGGTGTGTAGCACATAGGAAGTACATTATAAAAATCTGTTGATAATATTAGTATTGTATTTATTATTTTCAGCTTATTACTGTCTTTACTTTTATTTACACATGTTTCCTTTTGGCCTTAGAGGTAGTTCTGTTTTTTATCTTTAGAAGAAAACTGGTCTCGCTCTTTCTGCTTTCATCTCAGTATCAATAAACTGAAGTAGCTCAGGTTAATTATTTTTAATTCTGGTTACCCCATAGGATTATAAGGCTTAAAACAGCTGATAATTTTCAAATCAGGCTATAATCATACTTTATTTATGCCTACTTTATTAATAGATCTAAATTAATGAGTAGTTTCATGCAAATAATCAATTAAATAAGGCCTGATAACTTACTCCTTCATTTATCCAGTGTTTTCTGACAGCTTTGGGTCTTTGTTCTTTGCCAAATGTGATGGAGCTGACATCATTTTCAAGAGCAGATTTTTTTTTCGTAGGATAATAAATTAATAAGCCCTGCTTTTTTAAAAAAGATGTGTTAAATAGATAAGAGTGATAAAATTGTATTGACTTACTGATGTTGGATTTGGAAGTTGGTTCTTGGATTGAATAGCTGTTTTATCTGAGTGGTTTGCATGTTTTTAGTGCTATGCACGATGGGGAGCAAATACTGCAATATTTCTTGAGTTTGAACTATTCCTTTATCCTTGTAGCTTCTTTTTTCATCATCTGTCCAATTTATGCCAGTCTTCTTGCTTTGGAAAGATATGCATTCTTTTATTTTGCTTTTTAAGTTGTGGTGCAGATCTGGGGAGCAACCACAAAAATATGTACAGAGATATGAACTCTATTCACAATTACTTATTGGGCATTATTATATGCCAAGGATTTTATCTAAAATTCCTTGCCCATCTGAAGCTTGTACTTTAATGACAGTGGGCAGAAAATAAACAAATAAAATATATATTATGTTAGATAATGATAAAGTTTACGGGATAAAGTAAAGCTGCGGAGGGGAGTAGAGAATTCTTGAGGGGTTGATTTCCATTTTTAAAAAGGTGTTAAGAAAAAGCCTCCTTATGAAGCTGACATCTCATGGAAGTTAGGAAGTAAATCGAGCAGGTTTCAGGGGAAAGATAATTCGAGACAAAGGCCCTTACTGAGGTAGGAGAATAGTAGTGTGTTCAAGAACACCAAGAATGCATCAGTGGGTGGAGTAGAATGAACAAAAGGGAAAGTTATAAGGGGTAAATTTAGGTAGGTAACATGGACTCAGCTCATGTTGGGCCTCAAAGCCAGTAGAAGGACTTTGATTTTTACTGAGTGTGAGATGGAAAATCACTGGAAGGCATTGAGCAGAGGAGTGTCAGTCTGAGATTTGTTTGGACAAGATTGTGCTGGTTGTCAAGTTGAGAACAGATTGAAGAGAGGCAAGAGTGAACAAACAGGGAGATCTCTTGGAAGGCTTCAGAAACAATCCAGGAGAGATGGCGGTAGCTTGGACCAGGGTGGTGGAAATGGCTAGAAGGGTGAGAAGTGGGGTGGGAGTATTCTGGGTACATATGTGGATTTTCTAAAGAATTGGATGTGAGATGAGAGAATAAGAGAGGAATCAGTGGTGGCTCCAAAGCTTCTAGTTTGAGGAAATGGCAGTATAAGGACATGGGGGAGACTGGGAAGAGCATGTTAGAAATCCCTTCTTTATTAGATGATACAAAGGAATTATTGTTTTGTTAATGGAGACACTGGAATATAATAACATTTTAAAAAATGTTTATCTCACCCCATATTAGGATGGCTGCTATCAAAAAAAACCTCCAGAAAATAACAAGTGCTGGCAAGGATTTAGAAAAATTGGAACCTTCACACATTATTAATAAGAATGTAAAATGGTACAACATTGTGGAAAACAATATGATGGTTCCTCAATAATTAAAAATAGGATTACCATATGACCCAGCAATTCCACTTCTGGTTATATGCCCAAAAGCATTGAAAGCAGGGTCCCAAAGAGACATAGATACATTCATATTTATAGTAGCATTATTCATAATAGCCAACAGTGTAAGCAACACACGTGTTCATTGATGAATGGATTAACAAAATGAGGTATATTCATACAATGGAATATTATTTAGTCTTAAAAAGGAAGGAAATACTGACAAATGCTACAATACTGATAAACCTTGAGACCATTATACAAAATAAAATAAGCCAGACACAAAAAGACAAATATCACATTTGTCATCCAAATATTTGACTCCACTTCCTAATTTGACTAGAATATTCCATTGACTAGAATTCTATTTGACTAGAGCAGTCAAATTCATAGACACAAAAGTAGAAGGATGGTTTCCAGGTGCTGGGGGGAGGGAGAATTGCAGAGGAATAGGCATAAAGTTTCAATTTTAAAAGAGAAAAAGGAGTTCTGGAGATTGCACCACAATGCGACTGTACTTAACACTACTGAATTGTACACTTAAAATTAGTTGATGGTAAATTTTGTTATGTGTATTTTATCACAATTTAGAGTCTACATACTTGGGAAGTGGGTGGAACCCTGAGTAAAGCCTGAAGGAAGACTAGTAGTCAGACATTTAAAAAAATGTCCTATAATTTATAATTGTCATGCTTAAATTGGTCCGTAGACAGCATAAGAGAAAGTAGAATACATTTAGAATAAAAGCAAGAAATACACTGTGCTTTGTTAATAACTGTTTATCTAGTGATATACACTAAACTGTTTATAGGCAAAATAATATAATTTATAGAATTTATTTTAAAATATTCTAGGAAAAAAGTAGTGGGAAAACAGATGAAACAAGAGTAGCAGGATGCTGATGAGGATGGGTGATGGGTATCAGTGGACTCATTATTCTATTTCTACTTTTGTTTATGTTTGAAAATTTCTACAATAAGTTTTTTTGTAAAGAAATTATCTATTCTTAAAAGGAAAATAAAAAGATAAATAAAGCACACATTGCTTTAAGCTAGATCTGAAAGATAATGTATGATTACAATATCTGGCAATATTGGCAAATGAAATGAACTTATTTACAGTTTCTTGATAAGCCATTCTTAGGCCACTCAATAAACATTCACTGAATGTAGGCCGGGTGTGGTAGCTCATGCTTGTAATCTCAGCACTTTAGGAGGCTGAGGCAGATGGATCACTTGAGGTTAGGAATTCGAGACTAGCCTGGCCAACAGGGTGAAACCCTGTCTCTACTAAAAATACAAAAATTAAGTCGGCATGGTGGCGAGTTCTGTAATCCCAGCTACTCAGGAGGCTGAGGCAGAGGAATTGCTTGAACCCAGGAGGCGGAGGTTGCAGTGAGCCAAGATCGCATCACTGCACTCCAGCCTGTGTGACAGAGCAATCAATACTCCATCTCAAAAAAATAAAAATAAACATTCAGTGAATGCTTATTATGTATCTGGCACTATTTTTGTTTGGTAAATAGATGTGAAAAACACAGTCCCTGCCTTCAATATGTTAAGAATCAGGACTAGAGAGCAAAAAGTAAAGTATCTATTAGAATATACTCCTATAGAGATAAACCAGGGCACTCACTACATACATATACTTATAGCCATACTTATAGATGGGGGCAAAGGGTATGGGGTAAATGAATGAACACAAGTCAGCCAAGTAAAAAAGGACAGTCATCTAGGATGTGGGACTAACATGGCACATTCAGGAAATCACAAGTGTGGTGTAGAATAATTGGGATATCAGGTAGGTATGAAGACATGGTTCAAAACTAGAGGACTTGTTTGCAATAACACTTTTGAGATCCTCTGAGATGGGAATAATTCATGACTGACAGATGCTAAATAAATGTGTTTTGAATGAAACAGGGGGACATTGAAGATTTTACGCAAGAAAATCAGGTTTGCATTTTTGAAAGATCACACTGGGACCCAGGAAAACAAAAGGTTGAAGAAAAGTGAAACACAAGGCAGGGAGACAAATTAGGAGGCTAATGCAGTTATTCAAGGGAGGCAAAATGAGGGTCTGAATTAGCGGTAGCATTAGGATGAAGAGAGCAGATTCAAGAGAATCTTTAGAGGTAGAATGGATAGAGCTTCATGTTATTAAAGACCAAAAAACAGAAGTGTACAACATTAGGATAAGTCTTGGGTTTATTACTTAGATAACTGGATGATGGCAGTACACTGACTGAGACATGGGATGCAGGAGAAAGAGATCGGAAGTGGACACATTGAATAGAAGTGCCTGTGCGGAAAAACAGATGGCGATATCCAGTAGGCAGAGGAATATGAAATTCAGGAGAGGCTTAGACTGAAGATTAAAAAATATGATGGTTGTCAGTTGCTGGTTGAAGCTGCAGGTAGAGATGAGAGTGCTCAGAAATAAAGTATGTGGTGAGAAAGACCAAAGGATGGACTACTGTAAAACAGCCCACTTAAAATTTAGGCAGAGGTGATGTCCTACATGGGCTCCTCTTCACATATTTCAACACGTTTCATGAATGGCTAGAGAAACAGGAGTAAAACCAGGAGAGAGTAGTGTCACAGATATGACACTCAGATATTCATTGAGCTATTTCACAATAGCTATTGTGAAATGTTATTAAAGACCAAAAAACAGACGTGTACAACATTAGGATAAGTCTTGGGTTTATTACTTAGATAACTGGATGATGGCAGTACACTGACTGAGACATGGGATGCACAATAGCTATTGTGAAATAGCTCAATGAATCAAGGGAAATAGTTTAAAGGCCCTGAAAATAATCACCAGTAGAGAAGTTAGTATGGCTTTGTAAATAACCATTTCATGGTATGGCAACAGTAGAAACATTCTCAAGCAGTAGGTTGAGAAGTATACAAGTGAGGAAGTGAAGGTAATGAATGTTGGCTATATTTTGAGGAAGGTGAGTAAGACGGCAGTAATTAGAGTTATGTCACTAAGGAAATTGATGGACATGGGATCTAGAGCACTGCTGAATGAATTAACCTTAAACAGAGGGATATTTATTTCTTTGAAACAAGAAGGAAGGATGTTTGAGATGAGTTAATTTATTGATGGCCTCTCTGGTTTTTGTTTCTGTTTTATATGTGAAGTAAGAAGTTAGGTCATCTACTGAGGGTAAAGGGGAGATGTTAGGTAGGAGAGAGAGAGGAAAAAGTTTAGAATAGTTACTTTGGAGAATGGAAGAGGTAGCTGATCAAGTATATGTATATATAAATTATGCAAACAAGAATGTATAATGCCATTTGGTAATGTAATTTTTCTCCAGCAGGGCTCTGTAATCTAAGATAGGGGCAGAGATGGATAGTTAGATTCATCCAGAATTGCAGTTGTTCAGCATTGGCTTAGTCAAAGGATAAGGAGGCAAAACGAGTTTTAAGGACATTGTTAAGAAAGTGGTTGGGAGGCTGGCTAGATGGAGCTTGCATTTGTCGCTCTCATGGAGAGAAACTGAAGGAGTGAGTGAACACAACACCTTCAACTGAAATATCCAGGTACACACATTGGATTCATAAAGAAAACAACTTGACCCATGGAGAACAGAGAAAAGCAAGGCAGACAGCTGCCCACCCAGGAGCGACACAGAGCCAGGAGAGCCTCCCCTGCCCAAGGAAGGGGTGAGTCAGTGAGTGATGATGGGGACCCACGCTTCTCCCACAGATCTTTGCAGCTCCCAGGTCAGGAGGTCTTCTCATGAACCCACTCCACCAATTCCTGCAGTCTGACACATAGGGTTATTGATACATGGAGTCTTGGCAGAGCAGCTACTCAGGCATATACAGAGCCCCAGGAGCTTTAGATACTCGGGTTTCCCAGCAAAAGTGGCTGCAACTCCAGCAAAGTGGGAAGTTAGACCTCTGTACATACCCCTAGGAAAGGGGCTGAATCCAGGGGGCTGAGCAGTGACCGTCTGCAGATCCTGCTGCCACAGCACATCTCAGGATAAGACCCACTGGCTTGGAACTCCAGCCAGCCAGTGGTAGCAGTGTTGTACCTCCCTGAGACAGAGCTCCCAGAGGGACTGGCTTGGAACTCCAGCCAGCCACTAGTAGCAGTGTTACACCTCCCTGAGACAGAGCTCCCAGAGGGAGGGTGAACCACTATCTTTGCTGTTTTGCAGCCCTAGCCATTGTTGCCTTTGGTGCAGCCACCCTACAGAAAAGAAGCTAGACTACTTTTTCACATGGGTCTTTGATGCTGCTTCTCCTCAATGGGCAGAACTTCTCAACCAGGGTCACCAGTCACCCTTACTGGTGTTTTCCAGCTGGCAGTGGTTCAGAGCCTCCCTGGTATAGAGCTTCCACGAGAAAGGATGGGCCACCGTCTTTGCTATTTCACAGCCTTAGCCATGTTTGCCTTCAGGCTCTAGACAGTCTGAGGTGATTAGGGATTGGAGTGGTCCCCTGGCGCAGCACAGCAGCTCTCCATAAAAGTGGTCAGACTGCTTTTTCACACAGGCACTGGATCCCATTTCTCTTCACTGGGAGGAATTTCCTGACCAAGGTCTACAGATACCCCTGCTAGTGTTTTCTGTCAGCAACAGTTTCAAACTTCCCTGGGACAGAGCTCCCAGAGGGAGGGGTGGGCCACCATCTTTGCTGTTTCACGACCTTCATTGTTGGTACCTTCAGGTGCTGAAAAATCCGAGGTGACAAGGGACTGGAGCAGACCCCCAGCATACTGCAGCAGCCATACAGAAAGCGGGCAGACTGTTTGTTATGTGGGCCCCCATCCTGTATCTCTTCACTAGGCATGTCCTCCCAGTCTGAGTCTTCAGCCACTCCTTGCTGGGGCTATCGAGCCAATAGCAGCTCTACAACTGCCTGGGACAGAGCTCTCAGTGGGAGAGGTGGGTTGTCATCTTTGCTCTCTTGCAGCCCTCACCCGTGCTGCCTCCAGGCCCTAGAGAGAATTCTGGCAGTTCGATGGCCCAAGTGTCTTATGTCCTTCAAATGACTGCATCAGTTCTCCAACCAGGGTTCTTAACCTGAGTTGGTTGAAATGACAGAAATAGAATTCAGAATATGGATAGGAAAGATCATCAAAATTCAGGAGAATGGCAAAACCCAATCCAAGGAAACTAAGAATCACAATAAAATGGATACAGGAGCTGACAAACAAAATAGGCAGTATAAAAAAGAACCTAACTGATCTTATAGAGCTATAAAACACACTACAAGAATTTCACAACACAACCCTAAGTATTAACAGCAGAATAGACCAAGCTGAGGAAAGAATCTTGGAGCTTGAAGACTGGTTCTCTGAATTAAGACAGCCAGATAAAAATAAAGAGAACTAAGAATAAAAAGGAATGAACAAAACCTCTGAGAAACATGGATTATGTAAAGAGGCCAAATTTATGAATCATTTGCATCCCTGAAAGGGACAGGGAAAAAGCAAAACATTTCAGGATATTGTCCATGAAAACTTCCCCAACTTTGCTAGAGAGGCCATCAGTCAAATCCAGAAAATACAGGAAACCCCTGCAAGATTCTATACAAGAAGATCATTCCCAAGACACATAAACATCAGATTTTCCAAGGTAGAAATGAAAGACTATTAAAGGCAGGTAGAGAGAAAGGGCAGGTCACCTACAAAGGGAACCCCATCAGCTGACTTCTCAGCAGAAACCCTACAAGCCAGAAGAGATTGGGGGCCTATATTCAATATTCTTAAAGAAAAAAATTTTGAACCCAGAATTCCACATCCAGTCAAACTAAGCTTCCTCAGTGAAGGAGAAATAAGATCCATTTTAGATAAGCCAATGCTGAGGGAGTTCATTACCACCAGACCCACCTTATAAGAGATCTTGAAAGGAGCACTAAATATGGAAAGGAAAGACCAATACCAGCCAAAACACTTAAGTACGTAGACCAGTGACACTATAAAGCAATCACACAAGCCAGCCAGCATAATAAACAGCTAACAACACAATGACAGGATCAAATCCACACATATCAATACTAACCTTGAATGTAAATGGGCTAAATGCCCCCATTTAAAAGGTACAGAGTGGCAAGCTGGAAAAAAACAGCAAAATCTAATGGTATGCTATCTTCTAGAGACCCATCTCACATGCAGTGACACCCATAGGCTCAAAATAAAGGGATGGAGAAGAATCTACCAAGTAAATGGAAATCAGAAAAAAGCAGGGGTTGCAATCCTAATTTCAGACCACCAAGACTTTAAATCAACAAAGATAAAAAAAAAAGATAAAGACATTACATAATGGTAATCAGGGCTCAATTCAACAAGAAGACCTAAGTATTCTAAATATATATGTACCCAACACAGGAGCACCCAGATTCATAAAGCAAGTTCCTAGAGACCTACAAAAAGACTTAGATTCCCACACAAAATAGTGGGAGACTTCAATACTCCACTAACAGTATTAGATCACCAAGGCAGAAAATTCACAAAGATATTCAGGATGTGAATCCAACATTGGACCAAATAGATCTGATAGACATCTACAGAACTCTCCATCCTAAATCAACAGAATATACATTCTTCTCATTGCCATATGGTACATACTCTAAAATTGACTACACAATCAGACATAAAACAATTCTCAGGAAATGCAAAAGAACTGAAATCATAACCAACACACTCCTAGATCACAGCACAATAAAAATAGAAATCAAGATTTAAAAAATTTGCTCAAAACCATGCAATTACAGGGAAACTAAACAACATGCTCCTGAATGACTTTCGGGTAAATAATGAAGTTAAGGCAGAAATCAAGAAGCTCTTTTTAATTAATGAGAACAAAGATATAACATACCAGAATCTCTGGGACATAGCTAAGGCAGTGTTAAGAGAGAAATTTATATCACTAAATGCCCATATCAGAAAGTTAGGAAGATCTCAAATTAACAACCTAACCTCACAACTAAAATAACTAGAGAAGCAGGAGCAAACCTCCTTCAAAGCTGGCAGAAGACATGAAACAACCCAAGTCAGAGCTGAAGTGGAGGAGACTGAGACATGAAAAAGCCATTGAAAATATCGATTAATCCAGGAGTTGGCTTTTTGAAAAAAAAATCAATAATATAGATAGGTTGGTAGCTAGACTAATAAAGAAGAAAAGAGAGAAGATCCAAAGAATCACAATAAGGAATGACAAAGGGGATGTTACCACTAACCCCACAGTAAAACAATAATCAGAGACTACTATGAACATGTCTATGCACACAAACTAGAAAACCTAGAAGAGATGGATAAATTCCTGGATATATACACCCTCCCAAGACTGAACCAGGAAGAAATCGATTCCCTGAACAGTTCAATAGTGACCTCTGAAATAGAATCAGTAATAAATAGCTTATCATCCAAAAAAATCCCAGGACAAAACAGATTCACAGCTGAATTCAATCAGATGTACAAAGACGAGCTGGTACCATTCCTACTGAAACTATTTCAAAAAGCTGAGGAGGAGGGACTCCTCCCCAACTCATTCTATGAAGCCAGCATTATCCTGATACCAAAACCTGGCAGAGCCACAACAATAAAAGAAAACTTCAGGCCAATATCCTTGGTGAACATTGATGCAAAAATCCTCAACAAAATACTTGCAAACCAAATCCAGCAGCACATCAAAAAGCTAATCCACCATGATCAAGTAGGCTTTATTCCTGGGATGCAAGTTTGGTTCAACATATGCAAATCAAGAAATGTGATTCATCACATAAACAGAACTAAAGACAAAACCACGTGATTTTCTCAATAGATGCAGAAAAGGCTTTTGATAAAATTCAACATTCCTCCATGTTAAAAACTCTCAATAAACTAGTATTGAAGGAACATACCTAAAAATATCTATGACATGCCCACAGCCAACATCGTACTGTGGGCAAAAGCTGGAAGCATTCCCCTTAAATACTGGCACAAGACAAGGATGCCCTCTCTCACCTTTCTATTCAACATAATATTGGAAGACCTGGCCAGAGCAATCAGCCAAGATAAAGAAATAAAGAGCATCCAAATAGGAAGAGCGGAATTCAGACTATGCCTGTTTGCAGACAACATGATTCTAGAAAACCTCAGTCTTGGCCCAAAAGCTCCTTCAGCTGACAAACAACTTCAGGAAGTTTCAGGATACAAAATCAATGTACAAAAATCACTGGCATTCCTATATACCAACAACAGCCTAACCGAGAGCCAAATCAGGAACACAATCCCATTCATAATAGCCACAAGAAGAATAAAATGCCTAGGAATATTGGTAACTAGGGAGGTGAAAGATCTCTACAATGAAAATTACAAAACACTGCTCAAAGAAATCAGAAGTGACATAAACAAATGGAACATTCCATGCTCATGGGTCAGAAGAATCAATGTCATTAAAATGGTCATATTGTCCAAAGCAATTTACAGATTCAATGCTATTCCTATCAAACTACCAATGACATTCTTCACAGAACCAGAAAAAATTATTGTAAAAATCATATGGAAACAAACAAACAAACAAAAGCCCAAATAGCAAAGGCAATCCTAAGCAAAAAGAACAAAGCTGGAGGCATCACGTTACCTGACTTCAAACTATATTATAGGGCTATAGTAACCAAAACAGCATGGTACTGTACAAAAACAGACACATAGACCAATGGAACCAAATAGAGAGCCCAGAAATAAGGCTGCACATCTACAACCATCTGATCTTCTACAAATCTGACAAAAACAAGCAATGGGGAAAGATTCCCTATTCAATAACAGGTGCTGGGATAACTGGCTAGCCATATGCAGAAGATTGAAACTGCACCCCTACCTTACACCATATACAAAAATCAACTCAAGATGGATTAAAAACTTGAATGTAGGTTGGGCGCAGTGGCCTATGCCTGTAATCCCAGCACTTTGGGAGACCGAGGCAGGCGGATCACCTGAGGTCAGGAGTTCAAGACCAGCCTGGCCAACATGGTGAAACCCCATCCCTACTAAAAATGCAAAAATTAGCCAGACGTGGTGGTGGGCACCTGTAATCCCAGCGACTGGGGAGGCTGAGGCAAGAGAATCTCTTGAATCTGGGAGGTGGAGGTTGCAGTGAGCCAAGATTACACCACTGCACTCCAGCCTGGGTGAAAGAGCAAGACTCCATCTCAAAAAAAAAAAAAAAAACTTGAATGTAAAACCCAAAACTATAAAAACCCTGGAAGACAACCTAGGCAATACTATTCTGCACATAGGAACTGGCAAAAATTTCATGACAAGGACACCAAAAGCAATCACAACAAAAGCAAAAATTGACAAATGAGATCTAATTAAACTTAAGAGCTTCTGCACAGCAAAAGAAACTATCAACAGAGTAAACAGGCAACCTACAGAGTGGGGAGAAAATATTTGCATCTGACAAAGGTCTAAATATCCAGCATCTATAAAGAACTTAAACAAATGTACAAGAAAAAAAAAAACCAAACAGCCCCATTAAAAAGTGGGCAAAGGACATGAACACTTTTCAAAAGAAGACATACATGTGGCCAAAAGGCATATGAAATAAAGCTCAATATCACTGATCATTAAAGAAATGCAAATCAAAACCACAATGAGATACCATCTCACAGCAGTCAGAATGACTATTATTAAAAAGTCAAAAAATAACAAATGCCGGCAAGGTTGCAGAAAAAAGGGAATCTTATACACTGTTGGTGGGAGTGTAGATTAGTTCAACCATTATAGAAAGCAGTATGGTGATTCCTTAAGGAGCTAAAAACAGAATTACCACTCAACCTGGTAATTCTATTACTGGGTATATATCCAAAGCAATATAAATCATTTTATCATAAAAATACATGCATATGTATGTTCACTGCAACGCTATTCATTGCTATTGTGAATAATAGCAAAGACATGGAATCAACCTAGATGCCTATCAATGGTGGACTGAATAAAGAAAATGTGGTACACATACACCATGGAATACTATGTAGCCATGAAAATAATGAGATCATGTCCTATGCAGGAACATGGATGGAGGTGGAGGCCATTAACCTTAGCAAACTAGCACAGGAACAGAAAACCAAATATCACATGTTGTCACTTATAAGTGGGAGCCAAATTATGAGAACATAGGGACACAAAGAGGGGAACAACAGACACTGGGGCCTACTTGAGGGTGAAGGGTGGGAGGAGGGAGAGGATCAGAAAAAGTATCTATTGGGTACTGGGGTGATGAAATAATCTGTACAAACCCCATGACATAAGTTTACCTATATAAGTTTACCTATATGGGGTACCTGCACATGTACCCCAAACTTCAAAGTTTAAAAATAAAATAATACCATGATGAACATCCTTACATTAAAAAAAAATAAAGCAGTTGAAGCAGTTGAAGAAAATTACAACACAAGGAATGGAGAAAATGTGATAGAGACGTGGATGAGGTTGCAAGAGCTGAAATGTAACCTATATTCCTTAAATTTGGAATTGAGCTAATGTAGATTCTCAATCTGCCTGACTCTGCTTATTTATACCTGTCCAGATTCCAACTTTCAGTGAGATATGATGTGACTACAGATATCTATTATTCCCCTCTCAGTCTCCTACTGAGATAGAATGTGAAAAAGAGGAAACTGACTACCATAAGAAAACAGTAGGGATTATGGGTTTCCATATGTCAGAAACTTGAAGGCCTTTCTGTTAAATACAGTGCAGACGGATCAGATAAAACTCCTGTAGGCTGATTTTTAAAAATCTTTCCTAAGAAAAAAGCATGCATATTAAGAAAATAAAGAAACACTGGAAATATTCTATACTCTAACTCATATGGGTGAGAGTTTGATTCAAGAACAGATTATTGATAGTTGTGAGAGTATATTTTTGGACTTCACTTAAAACATTTTCTATATTCCCGAATATAGAGAGACTAGTATAAGGAACTCCCTCTTAAACCTATCACTCAGCTTCAATAATTTGATTTCTTTTTGCTGCAGTGATTAATATTTAGAATCCACCAAGAGCATTAGAAGAAATGATTATAGACAGCTAACATAAGCAGAAAATCTAGGCAGGTGAAGCACGTTCCAAAGAAAGAGAAATGATTCCTGGAATGCCATGACTTATTTCCAGGTGCGGATGGTCTGGCTAAGTAGAAGAGTGGATTCTGCCGGAGTATTGTGTTTGTGTTTACCAAGTTCAAAGAAGAAATGACATAGGTATAAAACAAGGCCTTTATTGGTTGTACATTTGGTAATTTTTTTCCAATATGTCCCATGCATTTTAATTTTCTTAACAGTGTCTTTTAAAGAGAATGATTTTGATGAAGTTCATTTACCAAGTTTTTCTTTTATAATTGGTGTTTATGAGTACTATTTGAGGAGTCTTTTCTTATTCCAAGACCATAAAGATTCTCTCCCATGCTTTTTCCTATAAGTTTTTATGATTTTAGCTTAGATATTTAGATCTATGATCCATTTTGAGTTAATTTTTTTTTGCTATGGTGTAAGACAAGGGTTAGGGTTAATTTTTATATGAATATTTAAGAGCCAAATAGATGATCATTTTATGATCTGGAGATGGGAGATGGGGTAAAACCTTCCAAGCATTAGAGCAATGAAAAAAAAAAAACCACAAGAGAAAGGACCAAAGTTCTCTCATACTGAAAGTACTCTTGGTGAAAATTTAAGCCTTCATGAAATGGTCTACTGGCTTGTCATAGCCACATAATACTGAGAACATGAGTAAGTGTGGTGCATATTTTGAGATGCATTGTTTCAATGCTTTGGATTATGTCAATGGAGTATAAAATTTTATTGGCCAATTATTCCATATTATTATCTTTGATATTATTAACATTTTTTAAGAATTAATGAATAGAATGACTGTTTTTTATAAAACACTTTAGGGAAGGTAAACTAAAAATGTCAATTCATTCCAGAAACAGAAGAAAATATAAGTATAATTTCCATGGTAGTCCAATTTTTAGACCTAATGAAGAAACTTTATGTTCCATTGAAGCTCAGCAGATAATATTTAAGTAATCACAGATTTGGAGCGGTGAATTTGACTTTAGCCTTACTTACTATAATTTAAACTAACATGAATTACCATTGTATTAGTCTGTTTTTATGCTGCTGATAAAGACATTCTCCAGACTGGGTAATTTATAAAGGAAAAGAGGTTTAATGGAATCACGATTCTATGTGGCTAGGGAGGCCTCACGATCATGGTGGAAGGCAAAAGGCACGTCTTACATGGAAGCAGGCAAGAGAGAATGAGAGCAAAGCGAAAGCGGAAACCCCTTATAAAACCAACGGATCTCGTGAGACTTATTTACTATCATGAGGACAGCATGGGGGACGCCGCCTCCATGATTCAATTATCTCTCATGGAATCCCTCCCACAACATGTGGGAATTATGGGAGCTATAATTGAAGATGAGATTTGGGTGGGGACACAGGCAAACCATATCAACCATGATGGAATCAAGGCTGGGCCAATCTTTTCTGCCCTTCTGTTGGGCACTTCAGTATAGAAATATCCCAAGACAGAAACTATGAACTATATTAGTCTTCAATTAGTTAAGGGCCACTCTAAAGAGTGATGAAGTAAAAGATGGTTTTCAACTGAAAACCCCATGTCTAGGAAGCAGAAGTGACCAGAATGTCTTTTTATTTTCTTGGCGGGTGGTGGTGAGGATGAAAGGCATCAAGTAACAGGAAGGTATTAGGAATACAGCAATTAAGTTTTTTTTTTAAGGCTATATTAAACTGAAATAATTTCCTTCTATATTCAACTCATATACAAATTAAATAAAGCAAGTATTTTTCACAGACAGGACTAAAATAGCTATCAATCTCATCCTTTTACAAAAGTAGTTCCCATAATCCAAGTTTCATAGGATATGTTAATGATGATATAGTGAAAACCATCTTTGTATGCATGAAAATCTTAAACAATAAAAACAAGTAACAACCTTCTGTTGGTATCCTTGTCTTCTCAGTCCAAGTAGAAGTTTGTTTGCCCATAGGAGACTGCAGGGATGTCACTTTGAAACAGTTTCCATACAAATCAGTTCCCTTGAGGGGAATTTTTTTCCTAGATTGGCCTCTCACTGATTTCTAAAAAATGTTTGTGTTGGTCTTTGCTATGACTCTGAGTCATACTTTGGGAGATGAAAAAAATTGGGTCCTCTGATTTCATTGTCAACAGTAAGCTACTCATGTAAGAGTAATGTAATAGCCATGTTATATTTGCATATTACACCTCAGGGTATGCAAAGTCTTTTAATACACTATCATACTTGGTGCTCTGATCAGTCTCATGATGTAGGCAGGATGGCCAATGTTATTCCCATGTTACATAAGGGGAATCAGAGAGGTTAAGCTATTTGCTCAAGATCACATAACTAGTAAGGGGCAGAGGTGGGTGTAGCATTCACATCTTCTAACTGCAGTACTTTTTCTATTACCTTCTTTTGTCTTGATATATCATTTTATTTCTTTCCATAAGACATGATAAATAATACATTTTAAAAAATTAAGTCAGTTTAAAATAACCAATTCTAGATCCAAGTGAAAGTAGGCCCAAAGATGCTTTACATGTTGGTCTCTTACCTAAATTTCTATATTTCTGGGGCAAGAGAGTCTACATCTTTCATCAGAACCCATTTTATTTAACAGAAACTGAGTTCTTAGAAGAGAAGCCAGGAAGGAAGAGAGGATATACCATGGTCTCTCTGTTGTACAAATCTAGTTGGTTCTCAAATACTTACCTATGGTTACCTATTCCACCATCCAGACAGTTGTTTATATTATTCCTAAGTAAGGGGAAACTTGCCAAGGGTGATAGAGATATAATAATTACTGGTTTAGACAAAACTATAAAGTTTGTCTGTTATATTTGACTTCCCATTCTCTTCTTTCTCCAGTTTTTAGTATTAGTTTTATCCCCCCATGACCAGTGCTCCAGTTGCTGCAATGGATAGTAAAGCATTTGATTGTCATTCATTCTAAAGTGCTAGATAATTATCTTATGCCACCAGTGTTTTTTTTTTTTTTAAAGAGAAACTCGGGTGCAGTGGCTCACGCCTGTAATCCCAGCATTTTGGGAGGTTGAGGTAGGCAGATCACGAGGTCGGGAGATCGAGACCATCCTGGTTAACACGGTGAAACCCCATCTCTACTAAAAATACAAAAATTAGCCAGGTATGGTGGCGGGTGCCTGTAGTTCCAGCTACTCGGGAGGCTGAGGCAGGAGAATGGCGTGAACCTGGGAGGCGGAGCTTGCAGTGAGCTGAGATCATGCCACTGCACTCCAGCCTGGGCGACAGACCGAGACTCCATCTCAAAAAAAAAAAAAAAAAAAAAAAGAGAAACTCAGACAATACAATGCTAAATGCACAGAAATAAATATCTAACTAGATTTTAAAGCATCTATTGGGGTAGTCTGGGGATAGCGAAATCTTCCCAGAACCTGCTAAAACACATCTTGTGGGGCACTGTGTATAAAACTGACCTAGTCACAGATACTATGTAGAATATGAGGAGACATCTGATTAGCAATGGTTATCCAAAAAGTCACTTTTACCTGTTGCTTTAATTCAAAATCAAAATCTTATAAGACAGAGGAAAAGGTGTAAGGTAGTCAGGTAGAAGAAATCAAGTACAGTTCTCCTACCTCAAATATTTTTTTAGAAGCCAAGAAGGGGCTCGTTCAGGTATTTTCACTAAAAAAGAGAATATACCATAAAATATCTGAAGTTAGGTCTTAAAAATCAATAAAACTTAATTTTTAACTTTCTTGACAATTACTTCATATATTTAATGGCTAGTTTAATTGAGCTTATCTTCAATTAACCTACCATTGTTTCATTCAGACACACAAAATATATGCATACATATTTCCCCTGGAAGCCTTTAAATTAAACTGTTTCAAGAGAACAGCAAACAATATAAATACCTAATCTATCTAATAAATGTTAAACATTCCAGAACTGAATTTATCTATGTTAGGATCTATGAAAGACAGTGACAGGTACACTAAGGTAACCAACATTTTTAGAGCCAATCTAGGACACAGATATACCAGACCAAAAAATAGTCTAACATATAATAATTACATACACATATTATTTTAAAATGAAATATGAAAAGTGTTTAACATTTTTATTATTCTATATTATTTACTTTGCTGTTACATACAGGTGATTAGGCAAAACAACAACAGGACTAGTTAACAGTGGCAATTAGTAGTAATAGTAGAACAGATTAATAGTATGTGTGAGAAAAGTAATTTTTTTATAATGTTTCTCTCCTCTGATACACATTTTAGCTCTTTAGTGGATATTTAAGTTTTATATGTCATATTATTATTGTATATTCTTAGGTTATAGATAAGACCTTTTAAAAGATCAATGTAAATATTTATTAAAAACTAACAATGACATATTTCTTAGTGTCCCATGATAAAGTAGGATATTTTTGCTCTTCCTGTTTCTTTTTCCAATAATACTTCTCTGAACTGCCTGCAGCCTTTGAGATATCTTTCTTTGATGTAGTGATTAAACAGTGTATTCTCACTTAAATGCGAAATTCCCTTTGACTTTCAGATCTGCTCTTATCAAGCCCACATTACACTGCTCCTGGTATCATTCCAATGCAATGACATCAAGTTAGATATCCTGTCAACAAAAATGTTTTCAGCATGGAATACAGTTGGCATTGTTTGTGTGGGCTCCACATCCGTGGATTTAACCAACTGAGGATGGAAAATATTTAGGAAAAAAATGCATCTGTACCAAACACGTGCAGACTTTTTTCCTTGTCATCATTCCCTAAACAATATAGTCTTACAACTTTTTACATAGCATTCACATTGTATCAGGTATTATAAGTAATCTAGAGATGACTTAAAGCATACTGGAGGATATGCATAGGTTATATGCAAACACTATGCCATTTTACAACAGGACTTGAGCATATGCAGATTTTGGTATCTGTAGGAGATCCTGGAAACAATCCTCCATGATACAAAGGGATGACTGTATTTAGACTTTACTTATTAGCAACGGCAGGTATTTAGACTTGTAGGAATTGGTTTCCAGCTTTTCAAAACTGTCCACTCACTTTGTATCTGTAGACCTATTTTGGTAGACTAACTGTTTGTCATTTAGGCCCTTTGCATCTATAAATTCATCATGTAGGGTCTCCATATCTAAAATATCCTGTTTATAGATAGATTATCTAAAGCACATTGAATGTCATTATAAGTTAAACTTCTCTTTCTCAGGGAAAATGTTTTTAAAGCACTGAGGTAATCTGAACTTAAACTGAGCATAGATTACAAATAAATTATAATTTTAGTACTGTTTAACTTGTATGCTCCTTTCTGGTGACATATTTTTGAGTTCTGAGTCAGTCTTATTTCTTCCCAAATGTCATTTTTTACCATACACGTCTTTGTCACAACCTACATATAATATCAAATAACTCAGGTACATGTCTAAGGAGGATATCTTCTTCCATTTCCATAAAGTCAGAAGTCTCATTCAGTGCTTCTGTATGTTTTCAGGAAATTAAAAAGTGACCCCAAACTTTTATTATAAAAGCCTCAATGTCACAGGCTAGCAAATCATACCCTTCACAGTACAACATATGGAAGACATTTAGTGGGTAAGATCTTTTCATTTTCTTTGATAAGAAGTTCACAGACTGAATGAAACATGCCAAAATTTACATTTTCATTGCCAATAATGCAGATTGATGAGCAAAGTCTAGTTAGTTTTTGGACAAAATATTAGCTAGCAATATTTGGTTTTATGTTTTCTTTGGTTTCATTAAAATATTCATAGAAATCAAGATTATTTGAAACCTCACTTTTCAAATCAAAGTACCTAAAAGCCATGGGGATTTTTTCTTTTGTTGCCATGATTCAGTGTATCACTTGATACACTGTAGAAAACATTATTGTTGGTAAGATCTGACAAAATGAGCTCTACCCTTTAAGAGGCCAACACATCTTTTACAAAATTTTCCCTTTGTTGACCGACGGGATATTTTAGTCGTAACCTTTGAACCAGGAAATGTAATTTTACTTTGTTTCATCAAGCAATCAAGGGAATGAATGATGTGATAAGCATTCATTTGTTGATGTGATAAGCATTCATTTGGGTGGTATGCCCAAGCAAATTCACCAGTTATTATGTTCAACTGAGCATTGGTATCTTCTTGGGTCATAAAAACACTTTCAATTGATTTAGAAGTACTTGCTTGTCTCTTCCAGGACTCCTGAGATTCAGTCTTCATATGTGCTTTCACATCCTTTCCTTTATAATGCACAATCCCAAATTCTTTTCTGCATATTTTGTCATATGCTCTATTTTGCGTATCTTCCTAGTTGTATATGTTCTTCCGCCAGTCATTAAAAGAATAGCCATGTATGTCCTTCCTTCTTCCCTTTTTCTTTCTTTCTTTCTTTCTTTCTTTCTTTCTTTCTTTCTTTCTTTCTTTCATTCTTTCTCTTTCTTTCTTCTCTTTCTTTCTTCCCTCTTTTTCTTTTTTGGTGATGTTCTATTTTGGGTATCTTCCTAGTTGTATAAGTTCTTCCACCAGTCATTAAAAGAATAGCCCTATCTATCTATCTATCTATCTATCTATCTATCTATCTATGTATCTATCTATCTATCTATCTATCTTTCTTTCTTTCTTTCTTTTTCTTTTTGTTTTTTTCTCTTTTTCTTTTTTGGTGATGTTCTATTTTGGGTATCTTCCTAGTTGTATATGTTCTTCCACGAGTCATTAAAAGAATAGCCATATATATCTCTTTCTTTCTTTCTTTCCTTCCTTCCTCCCTCCCTCCCTTCCTTCCTTCTCTGTCTGTCTGTCTGTCTGTCTCTCTCTTTCTTTCTTTCTTTCCTCTTTTTCTTTTTTGGTGACATTTGGGCCATGCTGGCATTGGTATTATACTCATTCTCTTTTCATTGTCTGAACTCTTAGGAAACATGATCCCAATATACACAACACTGAAATTAAGTTAGTGCTATCTCAATGTAAGCAAAACAGTTAACTCACAGGTAAAGTCAAAGATTAATTTTTTTTTTTTGAGAGAGAGTCTGTCTCTGTCACCCAGCCTGGAGTGCAGTGGCATGATCTCAGCTCACTGCAACCTCCGCCTCCCAGGTTCAAGCAATTCTCCTGCCTCAGTTTCCCAAGTAGGTGGGACTACAGGTATGTGGAACTACACCCAGCTGATTTTTGTAGTTTTAGTAGAGACAGGGTTTCACCATGTTGGCCAGGCTGATCTTGAACTCCTGACCTCAGGTGATCTGCCTGCCTCAGCCTCCCAAAGTGCTGGGATTACAGGCGTGAGCCACTGTGTCCTGCCCAAAGATGAATTGTTAGCACTCCAGATTGCAACACACTTAAGTTGCACTTCAGTACCCCCGTCCACTCAGAGTGATGCTCCCCTGGATGATCCATTATTGTGAGCAGCAAAAATCATGGTTGCCAACATCAGCAGTCAAGGGGAAAAAAAGTGACAGTGACTTTGAATGGTGGGTAATCTATGATGTATCCAATTAGCACAAAAAACAGTGTTGCTTCCATTTTCTATTTTGGGGAACTGAAAGCAAAGATAACATATGGCTTTTGTATTTTCTTGCCTTTTAAAATGCTTTAAAATCTTTTGTTGGTCACAGGACAGTGGGTAACAAAAACTGAAGTTAATAGGCCTTTACTATGGGGTTTTATATTAATCTGACAAGGAATTGGACTGTTTAATGTTTGCTGTAGCCACTAGTATCAAAGGCTTGGAATTCCTCTAGGATATTTGTTTTTGTCTCTCCTGTTGTCTTTAGGATTTCCAAAGAACGACTTATCAGATAGAATCTGTCTTTCTTGCTGCTTTATCAGCTGTAAACCACTGTTATTATACTGGAGTCATGTTGGTGTGGTGGTAAGGTATGGGGGAGAGGAAGTATCCTATAAACTTATTTTTAAATCTCAGTCTAAGTGGGCCTGTGTTCCTGGGCTATGACCTTAATAAGTGTTTCTTAGCTTTTCTTCCTCCAACCCTCCAGTGAGACAGGAAGACTAGAGGAGGCTGGAGTTGCAGAAATATCCCTCCCCGAAAATAGGATAAGGTTCTGGTAAAGACTGTTCACCTTGTGAACTTAGCAGAGTTCCAGGCTTAACATGAGTGACTCTATCTTGGGCTACTTACTCCATGTTGAACTGCTGATGAACTGTGAGACCAACAAGGGAACTATGAAAACCAAGTTCCTTTGCAAACATCTGTGCTCTCAACAATACAAGGAAACTGATCCCAGTCTTTAAGGGATTCTGTATATAATTTTTCCTTGCCAGCTGTTGCAAATGCACCATTCTACTAATGATTAAAGCCTTCTTTGTTTGGTAAACCAATGAAAAATCTGACAAACAACTTATGTAATCTGAATAAATTCCTATAAATGTAAGGCCTCTTGCTCCTCTTGGGTGGTATGGTCTCTGACTACTACCCAGGTTGCAATTCCTATTCTGAATAAATGCTTCATTTGTCTCTAACCTATTGATTTTCTCCTTTTAGAGTTAACACCCTAAGAGAGTAGGCCCTTGTTACGGAGAATGCTCTGGGTGTATTTCACAATGTTTACTCTTCTTCTCCCCTTTCCAGAGCAACTAAGAGGTCTTTCTTGGCTCTATGAGAACCTGGTGGGATTCCTGAAGATAAAGTCCACAAAAATGAAGCTCCAGACAAGACTATGGCCACCAGGAGTTTCTCACTTTCAAGCTAGTGCGCACTCAGCCTCTGGCAATTTGTTAAAATCACTGTTTAAGTGTTCCTACCAGTTTATGATTCTAGCAGCTTCTGCCTCAGACAAGCAGATCTCAGCAGTGACTCCCTGGATTCGTCTGTCTCTTCAGATTTCAGGGTAGTAGTTTACTTGTCAGCCTCAGTTCTCTGATGGATCCAATAAGTTGCTGATTTTTAGTTTGTTCAGCTTTTTTGTTGTTGTAAGGACAGGAATGTTGACTTTCAAGCATTATTCATGTTGCAGCTAAAACGAGAAGGCCCCTTATTATCTGTTTAAATAGTAAGTCTATATTTTCTTCTAAGAGTAGTTTTAACTCCTACATTTGTTTCTGTGATCCATTTTTTATTATTTTTAGTGTATGGTATAAGGAACACGGCCAACTTCATTCTTTTGCATGTGGATATCCAGTTGTCCCAGTACCATTTGCTGAAAAGACTATTTTTTTTCCCCATCCAATTGTCCTGGCATCTTTGTTGAAAAATCAATTGAAATATATATAAAGGTTTATTTACATATTTTCAATCCTATTTCATTTATCTATATGTTTACCCTTAGGCCAGTACCACACAGTCTCAATTACTATAGCTTGGTAGTCAGTTTTGAAATCAGGAATCCTTAAACATTGTTCTTTATCAAAATTGCTTTGGTTATTCTGGGTCCCTTGTATTTCCATATAAATTTCAGATTTGGTTTGTTAGTTTCTGCACAAAAGGTAGCTGACATTTTGATAGGGATTGCACTGAATCTATCAATTTGAGGAGTATTGCCATCTAGCAATATTAAATCTTCTGATCCATGACCAGAGTTATCTTGCCATTTATTTAAAGCTTCTTTAATACAGTTCAACTGTGTTTTTTGTAGTTTTCAGTTTATAAGTCTTGTACTTCTTTTGTAAAATTTATTCCTAAGTATTTTGTTCTTTTTGATGCTAATGTAAATGGAATTGTTTTCTTAATTTCATTTTTTAAATGTTCATTGCTAGTGTATAGAGATACAATTGATTTTTATAACAGGTTTTTGAGATGTAATTCACATACCATACAGTTCATTCATTACAACTGATTTTTGCCTATTGATCTTTTATCCTGCAACCTTGTTGAACTCATTTATTAGTGCTAATAGTGTGGCGTGTGTATGTGTGTGTGTGTGTTCCTTCGGATTTTCTATATACAAGAACATATATCCTACAAATAGAAATGGCTTCGCTTTTTTCTTTCTAATTTGGATGCCTTTTTTTTTTTCTTGCCTTATTGCCCGGCTGAAGCCTTCATTATAATGTTGAATAGAAGTGTTGAGAGTGAATATCCCTGTCTTGTTCCAGGTCTCAGGGAGAAAAGCATTTAGTCTTGCACTACCAACTATGACATTAGCTGCAGGATTTTTGAAGATGGCTTTTTTTTTTTTAGTAGAGGAAGATTCTATCTTTCCTAATTTGTTGAGTGTCTCTTTTTTAATCATGAAAGAATGTTGGATTTTGCCAGATACTTTTTCTGCATCTATTGAGATGACCATGTGCCTTTTTCTTTATATTCTATTAACATGGTATATTATATTGTTTAATTTTCATAATTTCGTATGCTAAACTAACCTTGCATTTCTGGGATAAATCCTATTTGGTCATTGTGTATAATCCCTTTTGGTTTGCTAGTATTTTCTCTTACTTTTTCATTCTAATTCTTAATAGATATAGAAGTTGGTTAAAAAAAAAGTTCAATTTATTTGGCCCCTGAAATCTTAACAATTACCTTTTCTGAGAAACCTTTTCTGATTTGCTCCTACCCACAAACAACTCCGATGTAACCCCATAACACAATAAGTAGCATTTGTTTCATATTACTATGTCTATTTACTTGTCACCCACTCTGCTATATTTTATTTACCATTGTACCCAAGTGTCTGGCACAACCACTTACTATTACAAGTTGGGACTTCTGGGAAGCAGAGAAACATCAGATTTTTAAAAGAACATGAACAACAATGGAAAGATTATGTAACAAAGGTTGAATATAAGAGAGTGGATAAACCATAGAATAGTTTCAGGATGATTAAACCTCAAATAAACCAAGATTTGAAAAAAATGTTGACAACAAAATTTTATGTAGCTATATTCAGAATAAAAATATACCAATGAATGTTCAGATTTATACTTCTGGAATTATTTTGTAATATTTATGGATGACAAAGAGCAGAGTTCCTCAGCTCATAAGTTACTTTTCTCTTTCTATTAAACAGAGTTTTCCTCTAACTGGAAAAGGAGAATAAATATTGGAAGAGATGAGAGAAATCATAAGGCTCTGAATGAGTTCTCTCCATCCCAGATATATTACAAGTAAGGAAAGCATTTACATATAAGGTCACAGAACCATTGACAATAGTCTTTTAAGAAGTCAAGGAAGTGATTTTCCTCTCCACCCTAAATGCCTAACTTCTCAGTTAAGACTACATCATGATTTAAAGATTAAATTCTTTAAGAAATCATTCTTGCAGATTTCCAGGTGGATTAGATTCCCTTCTCTGAGCCAGCAGACCAACTTGTGCGTAACTGTGACTCAATCCATCTCACTCTTATTTTAAGGAACTGTTTGAATCTTATTAAACCTTGGTGCTTATGCCTTAAATGATGAGTAGCTAGTCTAGTTTAAGAGAGGGAGAAGTATATTTCAGGCAGTGAAGTCAGTATGAGCAGAAGCAAGGAGGTGAGAAGACTGATATTTGCTGAGGCAACAGGATCATCTTTGTAAATGTCAGGGTCAGAGGATCACTGGAAGTCTTTCATGTCATGTTAGAGAACTTGGTTTCTATGCTGCAGCTAGAAATTGTCAAAAAATTTTTTATTTCTCAGAGTAATGTCAGCAAGATGGCTAACTAGAAGACCCTAGTTCACAGCCCTCAAAAAGAACAATGAATAAACAATTACACTTGACCTGTGAACAACACAGGTTTGAACTGTGTGGATCCACTTATACACAGATATTTTTCAACCAAACATGATAAAAAATACTGTATTCAAAGGATGTGAAACCCATGTACATCAAGCGTCAATTTTTTGAAAATGTGGGTACAGGGCTGACTGTGGGACTTGAGTATGTGTAGATTTTGGTATACATGGGGGTCCTGGAACAAATCCCCCACATATACTGAGGGGCAACTATATGTTTTAATGAAAATAACTAAGGGAGAGCACCAGAGTGCATGAGAGGAGTAACAGAAACCCTGGTGAGTGCAGAAACTAGGGAAGGCCATATGGAAAATGGAAGGAAACACCAGGACTCCACCACCCCATCCTCCAACCACGGTCAGCTGGGAATCAGGAGGAACTTCTTCCTACAGCAAGGAAGAGAAAGCAAGAGGATCCCAGTAACCTCCATCAACACATTAGACACCTACTGACTTCACCACTGAGGTCCCTGCATTCCTTACAGGCACAGTCCTTCCTCACAGCTGAAGGAGCTGCCTGGACTCCACTAGCTGTGCTCCCCCCAGAGAAGGAGCTGTCATCTTGGAACTGGAACTACAGCAGAAGTATGTCTTGCACCAGGGGTGAGTAGCTATAGCTCCCCTTCATCCCTGAGACTAGGCTGCTATGGAAACACCCCAGGGCTGGTGGTCCAACATCCTCAAACTGAGCTCTCTGAAACTCAACTGAAGCTGTTACACTCTCCCTCCCCTTTCACCCTTAGGGTGGAGCTTAGGTGGTACCCTACCTCCTGGGAAAACAGTACCTTGGCTGCTCAGTGTAGTCATGCCTCCCCAGTGCCTAACTTAAAGCAGTACTCTGTATCCCAGGAAATGGTGCCTTGGTCACTCAGAGTGGTCACGTACCCCAGTACCTAAGCTGGAGTCGTGCCCTGTATCCCAGGGAAATGGTGCCTGGGCCACCCAGAATAGTCACAGCCCCCAGCCCTGAGCTGTAGCAGTACATTTCCCCTTGGAGGATCGGTGCCCTGGCTGAGCTGAGCAGCTGTGCATCCCAGGACTGAGCTGACGTAGTACCCTGTGTCCCAAGGAAATAGCAATGGCTGAGCTGAGATGCCCCACCCTACAGGCCAAACAACTAGAGTATTCTGTTTCCCTAGAGTTGAACTAGCCCCTTAGAGTCTGAGCTGCTGAGATACCCCCTCCCTGGAAAATGGAGTCATTGCTCTGCTGGGCCCTCTAGGGCCCAGATGACAGCTGTAGTTCACCACACTGGGGTACTTGCTGCCAATGCACCTGGCCTCACAGAGTCTGTGATATACTGACCCTCACTATTCCAGGGTCTAAAGTCACTACTACACAGTGCTTCATCCACTGGAATCTGGGTTATCACTGAGTCTTATTGCCTCAGGTTCCTGAATTGCAGCCATATCCTGCCTGCTGGGCCCAAACTTCCAGAGCGCTCCTTCCTCCCCAGAGTCAGGCCAGTGCTGAGTCCAGCTTAGAAGTAGAATTACAGCTACAACCTGGCCCCATGGGATGCCTCAGATTCACAGATCCTGGCTCTGTGGAGGAACCTACATCCAACTCTGCCATAGAGAGTGAACATGCACTGGAAGACCCAGGTACCACAATAGTTTCATGAGTCCTTGAGTCTAAGACCCTGGTCCCACAACCACTCCAAGCACCTGCACCTGGAACCCCACACCACTGCAGCTGCTTGTAGGTTGTGTCAGTCTTGACAACAAGAGGGATCTCTTCAGCTAAGTCTTCCCACTATGGGGAAAACAAAAATAGGAAGACCTCAAAAGCCCTTAACAGTGAAGAGATGAACAACCTTTGCTGCTGCTGCCACAAACCTCTGCAGCCTATACCACTGAGGCAACCACAGTTATTGCTTATGTTGAATACAGACAAAACTTCATGGAGACTATACCACTGCACCTATCCAGAAACAAGTCAGCACATCCTTCCCAAATGGCACACAGAAACCCAACTGTAGGTGAAAGTCTCCCTACAAGAGCCACTGTGGAAAGTTTGGAAGGGACAGTCATTCCACCAGATGCACAGGCATCAATGCAGGGACACAAGCAACACTAAAAAGCAAGGAAATATGACACCACTAAAGAGCCATAATAGCTTTCTAATAACAGACTCCCATGAAAAGGAAATCAACAAATTGCTGGAAAAAGAATTCAATGAGAAATTGAGGAAACTCAATGAGATACAAGAAAATACAGACAGATAATTCAGTGAAATTAGGAAAACAGTTCATAATGTGAATAAGAAATTCAACATAAATAGATATAATAAAAAAGAAATATCACAGCTGAAACATTCAATGAATGAAATAAAAATTACAATAAAGAGCTTTGATGGCAGATTTAAGCAGAAGAAAGAATCTCTGAACTTAAAGACAGGTAGTCTGAAATACTCAGTAAGAGGAAAAAAAAAAAGAATGAAAAACAGTGAAGAAAACCTGCAAGACATATGGGACACCATTAAGCAAACAAATATTCATATCATGGGAGTTAGAGAAGGAGAAGAGAAGGGAAAGGTATAGAAAACCAATTTCTTGAAATAATAGCTGAAAACTTCCCAAGTCCGGGGAGACATATGAGATCCAGATCCAGGAAACTCAAAGTTTCCCAAATAGACTTAACTGGAAAAAGGTCCTCACCAAGGCACATTACAGTCATATTGTCAAAAGTCAAGAACAAAGAATTCTACAAACAGCAAGAGAAAAGCATCAAGTCACACACAAGGGAATCATCATTAGACTAACAGCAGATTTCTTTGCAGAAACTTTACAGGCTAGAAGAGAATGGGATGATAAATTCAAAGTGCAGAATGAAAAAAAATTGCCAGTCAAGAATATGAGACCCAGCAAAGCTATCCTTCAGATAAATAAAGTCTGTCATAGACAAGCAAAAACTGAAGTAATTTATCACCACTAGACTGGTCTTACAAGAAATAATCTAGGGAATACTACATTTGGAAGGAAAAAGATAATAATCACTATCATTAAAACATATAAAAGTATAAAACTCACTGGCAGAACAGATACACAAAAGAGAGAAAAGAATTAAACCTTATCAGTATAGAAAACCATTAAATGACAATGATAAACAATAAGAGAGAAGGAAAGGATCAATGGATGTACAAAACAACCAGAAAACAACAAAATATAGGAGTATGTCCTCACCTATTAATAAAAACCTTAAATGTAAGTGAATTAAATTCCCCACTTAAAAGATATAGACTGAATGGATTTTAAAAACCAACTATATGCTGCCTACGGGAAACTTATTTCACCATAAAGACACATTTAGGCTGAACTGAAGGGATGGAAAAAATATTCCACACAAACAGAAACCAAAAGTGAGCAGAAGTATCTATACTTATATCAGATAAAACAGACTTTAAGTCAAAAACTGTAAACAAGAGACAAAGAAGGTTATAAGGATAAAGGATCAACTCAATAAGAAGATATAATGATTGTGAATACATATGCACCCCACACTGGAGCACCCAGAAACATAAAGCAAATATTATTAGATCTAAAGGGAGAGATAGAATTTGATATAATAATATCAAAGAGGACTTTAACACATCACTGTCATCACTGGACAGATCATCTAGTCAGAAAATAAAAAAGAAACATTGAACTTAAACTGCACTTTAGAACAAATGAACCTAATAAACATTTAAGAACATTTCATCCAACAGGTGCAGAATACACATTCCTTCCATCAGCACATGGAATATCCTCTAAGACTTACGTTAGGGAACGAAATAATTTTCAAGAAATTTAAAATAACTGAAATAATATCAAGTATCTTTTCTGACCACAAAGGAATGAAACTAGAAGTCAATAACAAGAAGAACTTTCAAAATTGTATAGTTACATGGAAATTAGACAACATACTTCTGAATAACTACTGAAGACAGTAAAAAGGAAATTAAAAAATGTATTGAAACCAATGTAAATAGAAACACAACATACCAAAACCTATAGGATATAGCAACAGCAGCACTAAGAGGAAAGTTTATAGCAATAAATGCCTATATCCAAAAAGTAGAAAGATTTCAAATAAACAACCTAATTATGTAACACAAGGAACTAGAAAAGCAGGAACAAACCAAACCAAAAATTAGTAGAAGGAAAGAAATAATAAAGATCAGAACAGAGTATATGAAATTGAGATTAAAAATTATAAAAGATCAATGAAATGAAAAGTTGGTTTTTTTTGAAAGATAAAATCAACAAAACATTAGCTAGAATAACCAAGAGAAAAAAAGAAAAGACCCAAATAAAATCAGAATGAAAAAGACGTTACAACTGATAACACGGAAATACAAGGATCATTGGAGACCATTACAAACAACTGTACTCCAACAAATTAGAAAACTTAGCAGAAATGAATAAATTTCTAGACACATACAATCTACTAAGATTAAGCAAAGAAGAAATAGAAAACCCAAACAGACCAATTATGAGTAATGATTGAATCTGTAATAAAAAGTCTTCCATTGAAGAAAACCCCAGGACTTGATTACATCACTGTAGAATTCTACCAAACATTTAAAGAAGAACAAATACCAGTTCTTCTCAAACTCTTTTAGAAAATTGAAGATGAGGAAATTCTTCCAAACTTATTCTGTGTGACCAATATTACCCTGGTATCAACCAGACAAGGACGCAACAACAACAACAAAAGAAACCTATTGGCCTATGTTCTTGATAAATAAAGACGTAAAAGTCCTCAAAAAAATACTAACAAACCAAATCTCCTAAACCCAGCAGCACATTGAAAAAAATTATTCACCATGATCAAGTGGGATTCATCCGAGGGATGCAAGGATGAATCAATATACACATATTAATAAATGTGATACATTAATAAATGTGATACATCACATCAACAGGATGGAGGACAAAAACCCTATGATCATCTCAATATATGCAGAAAAAGCATTTGATAAAATTCAACATCTTTTTGTGACAAAAACTCTCACCAAATAAGGTATGGAAGGAATGTACCTCAACACAGTAAAGGCCATACAAGACAAACCCGCACCCAATATCATGCTGAATGAGGAAAAGTTGAAAGCTTTTCCCCTAAGATGTGGGACAAGATAATGATGCTTACTTTTGTTCAACATAGTAATGAAAGTTCTGGCCAAAGCAAACAGGCAAGAGAAAGAAATAAAGGGCATCCAAATTGGAAAGAAGGAAGTCAAATTGTCCCTGTTTGCAGATGACATGATCTTATATACAGAAAACCCTAAAGGCTCTATCAAATACTCCTAGAACTGATAAATTTAGTAAAGTTGGATACAAAACCAGCATACAAAGATCAGTGGTATTTCTATACCCCAAGAATAAACCATCAAAACAAGAAATCAAGAAAAACAATCCCATTTACAATAGCTACAAAAAATAATATGTAGGAATAAATTTAGCCAAAGAGGTGAAATATCTCTACAAGGAAAACTATACAACACTGATGAAAAAAATTGAGGAGGATACAAATAGACATCTCATGTTCATGGATTGGAAGACTTAATATTGTGAAAATGTCCATACTATCCAAAGTTATCTGTTCATTCAATGCACTCCCTATCAAAATACCAATAACATTCTTCACAGAAATGGAAAAAACAATCCTAAAATTTGTGCAGAACCATGGAAGACCCCAAATAGCAAAAGCAAATCCTGAGCAAAAGGAATAAAGCTGGAGGCATCACACTACCAGACTTCAAAATGAAGGCAATAGTAATCAAACCAGAATGGTTAAAAACATAAAAACAGATATGTAGACCAATGAGACAGAACAGAGAACCCCAAAATAAATCTACTTATTTACAGACAACTGATATTTGACAAAGGTGCCAAGAACATTCATAGGGGAATGATAATCTCTTCAATAAACTGTGCCAGGAGAGCTAGATATCAATACACAGAAAAATGAAACTGGACTCCTATCTCTCACCATAAAAAAGGTCAATTCAAAATGGACTAAGAACTTAAATGTAAGACCCCAAACTATGAAACTACCAGAAGAAAACACAAAGGAAATGCTTCAGGACATTGGTCTGATGAAAGATTTTATGGAGAAGACCTCAAAAGCCCAGGCAACTAAAGCAAATATAGGCAAATGGAATTCTATCAAACTGAAAATCTTTTGCACAGCAAAGGAACCAATCAACAGATAATCAAGAGATAACCTGCAGAATGGGAGAAAACATTTGCAAACTATCTGACAAGGGATTAATATCCAGAATATATAAGGGAATTACCTCAATAGCAAAAATAAACAAACAAAAATAACCTACTTTAAAAATGGGCAAATGAGCTGAATAGATATCTCTGAAAAAGAAGACATACAAATGGCCAACAGGTATATGGAACAATGCTCAACAGCACTAATCATCAGAGATATGCAAATTAAAACCACAAGGAGATATGGTCTCATATCTGTTAGAATAGCTATTATCAAAAAGATAAAAGATAACAAGTATTGGAGAGGATGTAGAGAAAAGGGAATCCCTGCACACTTTTGGTGGGAATGCAAATTTGTGCAGTCATTATGGAGAATAATATGGAGGTTACCCAGAAAACTAAAAACAGAACTACCATATGATACAGCAATCCCACTACTGGGTATATATCCAAAAGGAAGGAAATCAGTATGTCAAAGAGATATCTGCACTCTCATGGTCATTGCAGCACTATTCACAACAACCAAGATATGGAATCAACCTAAGTGTCCATCAACAGATGAAATGATAAAGAAAATATGGTATATATACACAATGGAATAGTATTTAACCATAAAAAAGAACAAAATTCTGTCATCTGTGGCAACATTGATGAGCTTGGAGGACATTATGTTAAGTGAAATAAGCCAGCCACAGGAAGATAAATACTGCATGTTCTCATTCATATGTAGAAGCTTAAAATGTTGATCTCATAGAAGTAGAGAGTATAGAATAGTGGTTAATAGAAGCAGAGAAGGATAGAGGGGTGGAAAGGATAGTCAAAGGTTGCTTAACAGATACTAATTACAGCTACATAGGAGGAATAGGGACTAGTGTTCCATAGAACTATAGGGTGAGTATAATTAACAATTTATTGTGTATTTTCAAATAGCTAGGAGAGCAGATTTTGAATGTACCAAACACAAAGAAATGATAACTGTTTGAGGTGATGCTAATTACCTCAATTTGATCATTATACATTGTATACATGTATCAAAATATCACACTGTACCCCATATGTACAATTATTACATCAACTAAAAATAATAATAAAAGGAAAAAATTTCGAGTTATAGACCATTATTGAAAGAAACATTGCATAAGAAAACTATTCAGGATGAAACAGGTTTGGTACAATTATTATGTCAATTAAAAATAATAAAGGAAAAAATTTTGAGTAATAGACCATTATTGAAAGAAAATTACATAAGAAAGCTATTCAAGATGAAAAAGGTTGGATGGGCTGGGCCCCAACTGCTTGGCCTCCAACCGATTTTCACTGTGGCCCCCATAGTGGTAACTTGCAAAGTGTGGTCTGCAAGTCATCAATGCCAGAATTATCTGAAATCCCATATAAACAATACAAATTATGGGGTGACATCAAAGACCTACTCGGTCAGAAGCTGAGATTTACATAAACTCTTTTGGTAATTCTTTTGTTCACTAAAATTTTAAAACCAGATATTCTATAAGACAACTTGCCAGTAATCTTTAAAAATGACAGTGTTGTGAATGACAAAGAAAGGCTGAGCCAATGTTCCAAATTAAGAGAATAAAGAAATATGATAATTCAATGCAATTCATGATCCCGTATTACACCTTGAATTAGATAGTAAGTTTGCTCTAAAGAACACTATTGGGATATTTGGCAAAACTGAATTATATACGATACAAAATAGTGTTGTATCAAGTTGAATTTCCTGATTTTAATGTAAGAGAATGTTCTTTTTCTTAGAGAATGGATAATGGGAAAAAAGATAGATTGATTAATAGAGAGAGAGAGAAAGTTTTTTTTACTATTCTTGAAATTATTTTAAAATTAAATGTAAAAAGAAATTAAAATGAGAAAGAGAAAGCCTAAAGAAAAGGCAGTGCCAGTCTTAGGGCAGTGTCAGTCCAACCCCTGTTAGATGACTGGGAATCACTAAAAGGCTTTTTTAGGTGGTGAGGTTGTATAGTCAGATTTGTGTTTCTGGTAAATCACTTTGATGGTAGTATGAAGGGTGTAATTAGAATGACAATATTGGTGGCAGGGAGACTGACTAGAAAACTACAGAACTCCTGGTAAGTGGATGATGATAAGAATCTGAAAAGAATGATGGTAATGATGGTAGTTAAGATAGAGAAAAAGAGATTCTGAGGTAAAATCATACATATTCAGTGGCTGACTGGATATGAGGGACAGAAGTGAAAGCGAGAAAAAAGGATACCAATCAGATTTGTAGCTGGAGTGGTTATGGAGATAGTACTGCCATCAATGTTATTGAGAATATGTGAGGAAGAGCATTTAGTGTGGAATTAGATGAATTTGAATTTGGATATGTGGGACATCTGTGTGGAGATGTATAGCAGATAGTTACCTACAGGGTCTGAAGCTTTGACAAGAGGTCAAATACATGTATCTATGTATATGTATATATACACATACATATATGTATTCACACATGCATATATATATAGTATAACAATATGACATAATAGTTCATGAAAGGCCGAACCTAAGAAGGTTAAATTTAAATTTAACAGGAATAAATTTAAGGTCAAGCACAATGAACCAAATAATAAGTGAAGAAGTAGAGAATGGAGGAGATACAACTTAGCGGTAGCACTATGAAAATAAAACGTTAAAGGTTTGAATATGTGAAATCCAATATGTCAAGATTTTAGAATAATTTTCAAAAGAAGAAATATAATCTTAAACTGCATTAATGGAAAACTAGTATCTATAAAGGAGCAAATAAAAATAAAGATATATTTTGCACTCATTAGACAACATCTGCAATACTGTGTTCAGTTTCATTTAAGCTTGAATAGCAATAAAAAAGAGTAAAATAAAATGGTAAAGGGACTTGAATCACGGTGTTTTATGGATGGTTGAAAGAAACGGAAAATTTCAGGGAAATAAATGACAGCTTTTTAAAAAATAGAGAAGGTATTACAATTGCATTATTTCAAGGAGAATTGGGGAAAATGAGTCAGTTGGAATTATTTACCTTTAAGGTTTCTTCACTATTTTGTGTTATTAGAGAGGACAGATTAAAAGAAGTGGATGAAATTTACAAGGACACATATTTTAAACTTTTTACTGTTAAAGTTTATTGAAAGTAAACTTTTTCAATGCTACAGCTCTTTAGCAATGGAATGAATTATATTGCAATTTAGTAAAGTACTTGTCACCAAGTGTAGTCAACCAGAGGTTGGATGAGCCTGGGGCCTGTCATGGGCAGAAGGTGAAACTAGAGCATTCTCAAGGTTTCTCTCTGCTCTAAGATTTGGTGAGATGGGAATGAAAAGATTAGACAATGAGATGAATATTCTTTTGTTTTGGTTTTGACTGGGTAAAATTAAAAGCAAATTGACATACAGTAAATTTCTACTGTTTCCCCTGTGTATTTCTAGAGCTAGAGAGAAAAATAACATTCAGATCATAGGGGACCACTCATTACTGTCTGTGTTCCTATTTTACTCACCCAAACCTTGATTAGGTAATTGTCTTCTGAAATAATCAACCATATAATCATCTGGTTCATTTGGCCTTGTATCTAGAGAAGATGATAAAGATCATAGTAGCATGAAAATAACTCGCCCATTTACATTTCATATTTTTCATCTTTTTTCAAAGTGGAAAATGCTAGTAAATAACTTGTAGACAGTAGTTTAGTTCAATGAAATTAAAATAAGCAGTCTTCAAATGTTACAAATTTTTGTTGCATTTAAAAATGTTCATACCTTTTGGGCCAGCAATTCCTTTTCTAGGAATTTGTTATAAAGAAATAAGAAAACACACAAATAGACAGTTATAAAGTTTTCATTGTTGTTTACAATAGGAAAAAATTTGGAAACAAAATGTAAGTTTAACACTGGGGGTGGCTTAATAGAATGGAATACTTTGCCACCATTTATTTACATATAAAGAGGTTTATAATATACTGTAATTTAAAATTAAAAAGTAGGTTGCAAAATAATGCGATGATTATGTGATTCATTAACATGGTGTGTATGTGGATAAATATAGGAACGCGTTTAAAATAAATATTCTAAAATGTAATGTTTACTTTCTTTTGCTTATCTTTATTTTTAATTTTTGACATTAAAATGTTAACAAAAGAATACATAAAAGTTACTTATAAAAAGCCGCTGAATATGCCTAGCTGACCATTATCAGAAAAAATAAAGTTTAAGTGAATTGACTATTTTAATTATAATAGTATTCTTCCCTTTCCTAGGCATGGTTCTTAGGTTCTTATCTCCACTTATATTTTTAATTATTTTGCTACATCATAAACTAAATGGATATATGAGTGTGTGTGTGTGTGTGTAATTAGGTTACCTCAAATCCTTTTGGGAAATAGGTAGATAAAAATGTACAATAAATTAATATATATATATATACACACACACATAAAAAATTAGGTATTTTAGATAAAATCAAAATATTGCTTAAATTATATGATTCCCCCTGCCAAAGGACCTCAACTAAAGATAAAATGACAGAATTAAGAAAAAAAAAAAAAAACAGAGATGCTAGAGAGTCAGTTAAAGATTCACATCAGACTTAGCAGGTTGCAGTAGAAGCCAATGAACAGTCTATGAATTAATTTCTCTCCTGGGCTTATCTTCTACTAAATTACAAAATGAGAGGGAAAAGATGGGTTTTAAAACATAAATGCCTTTCCCTTTGGGGGCAAGCCTTTCAAAACCTTAGGGATAGCCCTGAAATACGTGGACCTCTCTATTCTCCAATGTAATTGACCACTCCTTTCTCTCTGCTCCCTGGGAACCCTGAACAGACTACTGGCATTGTGTCTATGACACTGCGCTTGGATTGTTGTTGTTTCTTTCCTGATTAAAGGATGAGGTCCTGCAGGGAAGAAATGGTATCATATACATTTAATATCCCTAGCACCAAGCACAGTGGCAACCTCAAAGTTGTGGCACCAAAAATTCTTAGTTGAGTAAATGAATTAATTGTTTATGAGAAGGTAGAAGCAGAATATTACCTTTCACATCAGAATTTGATTGTGTGTGTCTTTGCAGCAAATGCCCTCTATCATAAACCTAATGGAATGTAGAATCAAAGAAAACAATGCTATTTTATCAACATGAAATGGGGTATATTTCCTATATGATTTATGGTATTGTGCATTTTTAACAAATATTTCTCATTTCATCCTTACAGGTTTAGAATGACCAAAATTATCTTATAAATCAGAGTCTTCTAATATTTTTCCCTACGCTACTTTTCTCCTGCATCAATGAGTAGAAGAAAATATTGATACTATATTTTGGCAGTAAAGGGGGCTTAAAAATTTTCCACATCACATAGAATGTATTTATAATGAGAAAGAGACAAAAAAATGGTATTCTTATAATCTCACTTATTTAAATTAGAACAACAAACATGGGAAGATAAAAGTGTGAAATGGGTGAAAAGATATAAAATTATGTAAAATATATAAACAGATTGCAAAACTGTGCTTATGTATAAAAAGATGAGGCTGGGCACGGTACACATCTGTAATCCCAGTACTTAGGGAGGCCAAGGCGGGCAGATCACTTGAGGTCAGGAGTTCGAGACAAGCCTGGCCAACATGGTGAAACCCCGCCTCTACCGAAAAAAAAAAAAAATTAGTGGGGAGTGGTGGCAGTCACCTGTAATCCCAGCTACTTGGAAGGCTGAGGCAGGAGAATTGCTTAAACCCGGGAGGCAGAGGTTGCAGTGAGCTGACATGGCGCCACTGCACTCCAGCCTGGGCGACAGAGCTAGACTCCGTCTCAAAAACAAAACAAAAACAAAAACAACCCACAATAAAAGTAGACTATGAAATGGAGTTAAAAGCTCAAACCCACCTCTTCATATATATAATTGATTGGCAGCAAAAAAATGGGCAAAATCAGTATGAAAATGGGAGAAAACTGTAAAAATCAAAATTTGATTATTGAAGAAAGGAAGAAACATTCTAGAAAAAATTACACAAATTTAAAAGTAGTGATATTATGCAATCACTAGCAAGACAAGGAGTGAAATCAGGCTGAAGAAAATTAGTAAGACTTGATTTGATAAACTCTTGTCATTTTTAGCTCCCATCTCTTAAGTGAAATGATTCTGTGAACCATAATAAACTGTTACATTCAATCCTACAGAAAAATATCACCAGGTCAGTGATCTTATGTACATGAGCTACAATTTCTGACCACAGTAATATATAATTGTTTGTGCTGAAATTCTTCAGAATCAACAAGTAAGAGTGTCTTGGTGGGAAACAAAGTTAACTGAAATATTTTTAAAATAATTTGCCAATATTATTTTAGGGATGTATTGATGTCTTCTTATAAGCAAACCAAGTAAGAAATAGTCAGTTCGAGAGCATGAATTTAAGTTGCCCTCAGCCATTTACCTGAGTGAAAGTGAGATTGTTCACTCTTTTTGTGAAAGAGGAGTAGGAATTTCAAGGTAAGTGACCACAATCTGCTATTAGCTTATGGGCACACTTAGAATGTATGCAACTTTCTCAAAGCATTTGACCAAATGAAGATTATTTTCCATTTGGAAGTATCTAACATTAAATATAATGATTTCATACAATTTTAAAAGCTCCAATCAAGAAAGACGCAAATACATGAGCATTTAATATAAAGGGATTTATAATATTTTACATTAAATGTAGCTTGGATACGTGAGGAAAACCACTCTGTGGATATATTTATGAGAACTAAATAAATATGTGTCTTGCAATATATACATTAAAAAAAAATCCCCTAACAAAAACCTATTTTGGTTATTGGGTCCTGCAAATGACTTAACACAGGGGTAACAATTAGAGGATTTGTTTACCATAAATAAAATTTTAATTCCTATTCATATTACATTCCTGAAATAATGTAATTCTAGAAGAGAGAGCAGAGGAAAAGGAGCATTACTCCTTTATAGCCATCTCTGCTCCCTGCAGTACTAAGCCTCTGATGTTGGTCCTCAGGGGTACAGACTTAGGTATATCCACATTCACTTGGGATGACAGTGCTAAGGCAGGGCTCTCTGTCTCTTTCCCTGACCACATTCAGCTCTGCTCTTCAGACTAATCCAGTCAAACTTCTTCAAAAGGATAGTTGCAGAGGTCAGTGTTTAAGATTTTTTCTGACTCCAGTAAGGCTCCTCCTAGCTGTCTCTTTCTCCAGTTCTCTCTGGAAAACTAGTCAGTATTCAGTTTAGCTTGTAGCTCCAATGAATCTACCAGTGTTGTTGCAGTAGGTAGCTAATCAGGCATCAGTGGGCAGGAGAGGGCTCCACCAAAACCCCACCAGGAATGTCAGGCATCAGGTGATGGTCAGGCGGTTGTTAACTGTCTCTCTAAAATAATAATTGGTTGCAGCCAGCAGCAGGGAAAGGCAGTCTTTCTACAGATAGGAAACACCTGAGACTGGTGATCAGCCGCTTCCTGATGAGATCTCAGGAGTGAGCTCGAGCATGCGCATTAAGAAACAAAATGGCCGAGTTTAACTGGTATGTGAACGTTTTAAGATTTGACTCAGGGGCATAAAGGCAGAAAAAGAGACTGAGGCAAGTTTTAGGGCAGGAGTGGAAGGCAAGAATTGATGTTGCTGCAGACCTGTACGGATTTGCTGCTGGTAAGATAACTTCCACCAGTAATATATTTGTCCTCCAGAATTTTTTTTTAAGCCATAATTGCACTGCTTTTGAGACTGTCCTTAAGCTTAACTTCTCTTTTTCTGGAAAAGATTAGGAGCTATCTGTTTTGTGACCTAGTTTTTCATCAGGGCAAAATTTATAAGCTATGGCTTATGAGCTGGGGATGGAGGAAATGGCACTCTTCCCTCCAAGTGATACCCTGCTTTAGGAGATGAACTGTAGGTGGAGGGGAGGCAGTAGACTTAGGTTTCCTCCATTTGCCTCTCCCAGTGTGGAACCATCATTTTACAAACCAAGATAAGGGCAAGCAGAGCCCAAGAATGCTCAGTGGTGGAGCACCTGAAGTAGAGCCTCTGTCTCATGTACGGGGACTGGGAGAGGAAGGGAGCCCCCATCTCTTGTCCGCACTCACCTGAGTTAGCAACAGACAGCAGGGGGAAGAATAAGACATACTGATATCCTCCCCCTCCTGGGATAGCCCTTTGGTAGCTCTGGGGAGAGGGAGCCCTAATTTCTTGTCTACACTAGTGTGGAGTTTCTGTCTTACCGAGCTGCAGAGTCGGGTGGGGGTAGAGGAAGAGGCAGTCTTGATTGAAATACCACAGGCTCTCACAGTTTTTAATGAATTTTAGTAGACTTTCTTGAATAAATTTTTGTTTCATTTGCTGTATAACCTTAAGACCATTTCAGAGACTTTAAATATCTGTTGTTGTTTGTTGTTGTTGTTGTGGATAATTTCACTAGTTTTGCTGGTGAATGGGTTTGCAGAGCTCTTCCTGTTGTCATGGTAGAAGCTGATGTTTCAGTACCACTGTTTTTATTTTTATACCCTTATATTCCCAGTTAATTTTTCTTAGTTTTAATTTCTTTATTCTTGCTACCCTGGATGCATCTTTGTAAGCTTCCTCAAATACTTTTTAGAGTAAGGTAAAAGTATAAATGAAATTTAAATATGGCATCTTAATAAGGCCCACCTCTCATCTGTCAAAGATCTTTTGTGTTTTTATAAACAGTAGATAATATGAACAAAATTTTAACTTCTCCTGGGGGAAAATTCGGGTATAAGAAGTATAAGAGAAAATAACTTGCCATTCTCTTTCATTCATTTAAAAAAACCTTAATAACTAGATTAATGAAGATTTACCTCTTGTCCTCTGGCATTTTGGTGGCTTGCTATGGTAGAATTCCTTTCCTTCTTTGTTTTCAAATGTTTTTTCTAGTAAAAGAATCATACTTAAAATCAATATTTAATCAACATATCAAAGAGTACATATGCAGACATGAAATTGTTTCGAGATTCCCACTTCTAAGAAGATGAGAAGTACTTTATTCCTCCCACTAAGTACAACCAAAAATTCTGGGTATCATATAAGAAGCTCTAAAAGATGGAAAGGAGAAGACAGACTAGCTAGGGAGTTCAAGGCCAGAAGAGTGGCATGATGATGAGTTCACTGGGTTTTCTTTTTGCTTCATATATTCTCGCTTTAAAGCTGGAGAGGCCAGCAACCCAGAAATGCCAGTGAATGCAATTTAAAAAAATCCCTACATAAGCCTGTTCCTTCTAGCCCAAGGACCAGGAGAAGGACAGCCTAAAGAGACCAAAACCTTTTAGATAGTTAACTGTTCTACTCCAGCCTAACACCACAGAAATGACTGTGATTCCCACACCCACCCATGCCAACACAAGCCCAGTGGGAGCGCCCCAACCCCTTTTTCAAGGTAGTGTCAGTGAAGGCTAAGCAGGGGGCCAGGCAAATAAGCATGTGAAAAGATATTCAACATCGTTTAACTGTTATGGAAATGCAAATTAAAACCACAATGAGATAACGCACTTGTCAGAATGGCTAAAATAGAAAATAGTGACAATACCAAATTTTGGTGAGGATGCACAGAAAACGGATTACTCATAAACTGTTCTTGGGAAGGGAAAATTGTACATCCATTTTGGAAAACAGTTTGGCAGTCAATTAAAGAATTAAACATGTATGTACCATAACTACCATACCACCTACCAATTGAACTCCTGGGTTTTTATCTCAGGGAAATGAAGACTTATTTCACATAAACCTGTACACTAATGTTATGTTCATAATGGCCCCAAACTGAAAACAACCCACATGTTCTTCAACAGGTGAATGGTTAAATAGGCTGTGGTAAATCCATATCACGGAATACTGCACAGAAATAAAAAGGAAGAAACTATGGATGTATGCATCAACTTGGGGGTGGGGGATAAGTATTCCAAGAAGTATGCCAACTGATAAAAGCCAATCCCAGCACGTTACATATTGTGTGATTTCACAGGGATGTGAAAAAACATTTGTGAATGATACATTTACAGAAATGCGGAACAGATTTGTGGTTGCCAGGGGATAACTGCAAGGTAAGGACAGGAGGGAGTGGGTATGGCTTTAAGAGGGCAATATGAGGGATCCTTATGATCATGGAAATGGTCAGCATTTTGACTGCATGAATATAAATAGCCTTATTGTAACATGGCACTGTAATTTTGTAAGATGTTACCATTAGGGGAAACAGAAAACAGGGTCCCTGGCATCTCTCTGAATTATTTCTTACAACAGCAAGTTAATCAAAATTAAAAGTTTAATTTTTAAAAGTTAGAATTTAATTGGTATTATGTTTCATCTGTTTATTCTTTAAAAGTTAACATTTTTATAATGCTAGAAAAATATCTTGATAAAGATGCCTATACTCAAAATACGGCACATAATCAATATCTGACCATTGTAGGGATTCATTTAGTTTTTGAAAATGACCACACAGAATACAAACTTGTTCTTTTTACTGTTATTTTTTACTCCAGAGGGTGTGTGTGTATGCATAACTGCCTGAATTGTGGGCATGGGTATGAATATTTATCCATGAGTGTCCTGATATACATAACTTGGAAAGAGGAGGTGTTTGTGAAATAAAGACTTGCATGGTATTTTAACAAACCCACAGGAATATTTGAGTATAATCCTTTAAAGTATTGAGAGTGGAGAGAGGAGAGAGGGAAAGATTGGCAAATGGAGGGAAAGGGAGAATGTGATGGCACAGCAGAGAATATGGGAGGAGGTAAAACACTTGTTCTTGTGCTATGTGATTGTTTAAAATTTTTTTGAATTTGGACTTTGTCCAAATTTGTTGTTCATGTCCCCAGAACCCATTCCCTCTTCTTCTGGCAACTGTCTTAAATTTTGTTAGAGAATTTAATCCTACCCACTCTCAGTTCTTGAAGTCTGGGTGAATGCTATGAGGGTTTGTCAAATAACCCAGGCTGATGCCAATCAGCACAGTCTATCCTGTTAGTCACAGTGAGTGATTTATGGGTTGACACATGTCTAAACCAGCCTGATAAGAATCATCTTTGCTTTTTTCCCTCTAGCTTTATTGAGGTCTAAACTGACAAATAAAAATTGTATATATTTAAGGTGTACATGATGTTTTAAGTATACATTTTGAAATTATTACCACAATCAAGCTAATTAACACACGTATCACCTCACATAGTTACCACTTATTTTGCTTTTCGTGATGAGAATACTTAAGACCCATTCTCAGCAAATTTCAAGTATACAATACAATATTATTAACTATAGTCACCACATTGTACATTAGGTCTTCAAAATGTATTCATCTTAAGGGAGGAGACCACCCCTCATATTGTCTTATGCCCAATTTCTGCCTCCAAAGAAAGAAGTAAAAACTAAAAGGCAGAAATGAAATCCACAAGCAAACAGCCTGGCGCCGCACCCTGGGCCTGGTAGTTAAAGATCGACCCCTGACCTAATCGCTTATTTGCATAAAAAAGGCACTGTGAAGATCCCTGTCCTGTTCAGTTTCTTTCTAATTACCGGTGTATGTAGCCCCCAGTCACGTACCCCCTGCTTGCTCAATCGGTCATGACCCTATCATGCAGACCCCCTTAGAGATGTGAGCCCTTAAAAGGGACAGGAATTGCTCACTCGGGGAGCTCGGCTCTTGAGACAGGAGTCTTGCCAATGCTCCCAGCTGAATAAACCCCTTCCTTCTTTAACTTGGTGTCTGAGGGGTTTTGTCTGCGGCTCTTCCTACTACACTCTTAAAACTGCAAGGTTTATTTATTTATTTATTTATTTATTTATTTATTTATTTATTTTGAGACGGAGTCTTGCACTGTCACGTGGGCTGGAGTGCAGTGGCACAGTCTCAACTCACTGCAACCTGCACTTCCCAAGTTCAAGTGATTTTCCTTGCCTCAGCCTCCCACGTAGCTGGGATTACGGGCACCCACCACCACACCCAGCTAATTTTTTTTTGTATTTTTAGTAGAGACGGGGTTTCACTATGTTGGCCAGGCTGGTCTTGAACTTCTGACCTCGTGATCCACCTGCATCGGCCTCCCATAGTGCTGGGATTACAGGCATGAGCCACCATGCCCGGCTACAACTGCAAGTTTATACCCTTGACTAACATCTCCCCGACCCCTGGTAATGACCCTTCTATTCTCTATTAGGTCCACTTTTTTAGATTTCACATAAAAGTGAGATCATGTAATATTTGTCTTTCTGTGTTTGGCTTATTTTACGGGGCATAATGTCCTCCAGGTTCAAAGACTAAATGATATTCCAGTATGTACACACACATACACATACACACACCCCTCATCTTTTTTGTTTTGAAATTTTTTTTAATTTTATTTTTATTTTTTATTTTTATTATACTTTAAGTTTTAGGGTACATATGCACAACGTGAAGGTTTGCTACATATGTATACATGTGCCATGTTGGTGTGCTGCACCTGTTCACTTGTCATTTAACATTAGGTATATCTCCTAATGCTATCCCTCCCCCCTCCCCCACTCCACAACAAGCCCCGGTGTGTGATGTTCCCCTTCCTGTGTCCATGTGTTCTCATTGTTCAATTCCCACCTATGAGTGAGAACATGCGGTGTTTGGTTTTTTGTCCTTGTGATAGTTTGCTGAGAATGATGGTTTCCAGCTTCATCCATGTCCCTACAAAGGACATGAACTTATCATTTTTTATGGCTGCATAGTACTCTATGGTGTATATGTGCCACATTTTCTCAATCCAGTCTATCATTGTTGGACATTTGGGTTGGTTCCAAGACTTTGCTGTTGTGAATAGTGCCGCAATAAACATACATGTGCATGTGTCTTTATAGCAGCATGTTTTATAATCCTCTGGGTATATACCCAGTAATGGGAAGGCTGGGTCAAATGGTATTTCTAGTTCTGGATCCCTGAGGAATTGCCACACTGACTTCCACAATGGTTGAACTAGTTTACACTCCCACCAACAGTGTGAAAGTGTTCCTATTTCTCCACATCCTCTCCAGCACCTGTTGTTTCCTGACTTTTTAATGATTGCCATTCTAACTGGTGTGAGATGGTATCTCATTGCGGTTTTGATTTGCCTTTCTCTGATGGCCAGTGATGATGAGCATTTTTTTCATGTGTCTTTTGGCTACATAAATGTCTTCTTTTGAGAAGTGTCTGTTCATATCCTTCGCCCACTTTTTGATGGGGTTGTTTGTTTTTTTCTTGTAAATTTGTTTGAGTTCATTGTAGATTTTGGATATGAGCCCTTTGTCAGATGACTAGATTGCAAAAATTTTCTCCCATTCTATAGGTTGCCTGTTCACTCTGATGGTAGTTTCTTTTGCTGTGCAGAAGCTCTTTAGTTTAATTAGATCCCATTTGTCAATTTTGGCTTTTGTTGCCATTGCTTTTGGTGTTTTAGACATGAAGTCCTTGCCCATGCCTACGTCCTGAATGGTATTGCCTAGGTTTTCTTCTAGGGTTTTTATGGTTTTAGGTCTAACATTTAAGTCTTTAATCCATCTTGAATTAATTTTTGTATAAGGTGTAAGGAAGAGATTCAGTTTCAGCTTTCTACATATGGCTAGCCAATTTTCCCAGCACCATTTATTAAATAGGGAATCCTTTCCCCATTTCTTGTTTTTGTCAGGTTTGTCAAAGATCAGATAGTTGTAGTTATGCTGCACTATTTCTGAGGGCTCTGTTCTGTTCCATTGGTCTATATCTCTGTTTTGGTACCAGTACCATGCTGTTTTGGTTAATGTAGCCTTGTAGTATAGTTTGAAGTCAGGTAGTGTGATGCGTCCAGCTTTGTTCTTTTGGCTTAGGATTGACTTGGCAATGCGGGCTCTTTTTTGGTTCCATATGAACTTTAAAGTAGTTTTTTCCAATTCTGTGAAGAAAGTCATTGGTAACTTGATGGGGATGGCATTGAATCTACAAATTACCTTGGGCAGTATGGTAATTTCTGCCATTTTCACGATGAAAATGGTGAAAATTTACCATTTTCACGATATTGATTCTTCCCACCCATGAGCATGGAATGTTCTTCCATTGTTTGTATCCTCTTTTATTTCATTGAGCAGTGGTTTGTAGTTCTCCTTGAAGAGGTCCTTCACGTCCCTTGTAAGTTGGATTCCTAGGTATTTTATTCTCTTTGAAGCAGTTGTGAATGGGAGTTCACTGATGATTTGGCTCTCTGTCTGTTATCGCTGTATAAGAATGCTTGTGAATTTTTCACATTGATTTTGTATCCTGAGACTTTGCTGAAGTTGCCTATCAGCTTAAGGAGATTTTGGGCTGAGACAATGGGGTTTTCTAGATATACAATCATGTCATCTGCAAACAGGGACAATTTGACTTCCTCTTTTCCTAATTGAATACCCTTTATTTCTTTCTCCTGCCTGATTGCCCTGGCCAGAACTTCCAACACTATGTTGAATAGGAGTGGTGACAGAGGGCATCCCTGTCTTGTGCCAGTTTTCAAAGGGAATGCTTCCAGTTTTTGCCCATTCAGTATGATATTGGCTGTGGGTTTGTCATAGATAGCTCTTATTATTTTGAGATACGTCCCATCAATACCTAATTTATTGAGAGTTTTTAGCATGAAGCATTGTCGAATTTTGTCAAAGGCCTTTTCTGCATCTATTGAGATAATCATATGGTTTTTGTCGTTGGTTCTGTTTATATGCTGGATTACGTTTATTGATTTGCATATGTTGAACCAGCCTTGCATCCCAGGGATGAAGCCCACTTGATTATGGTGGATAAGCTTTTTGATGTGCTGTTGGATTCGGTTTGCCAGTATTTTATTGAGGATTTTTGTATCAATGTTCATCAAGGATATTGGTCTAAAATTCTCTTTTTTTGTGGTATCTCTGCCAAGCTTTGGTATCAGGATGATGCTGGCCTCATAAAATGAGTTAGGGAGGATTCCCTCTTTTTCTAGTGATTGGAATAGTTTCAGAAGGAATGGTACCAGCTCCTCCTTGTACATCTGGTAGAATTCGGCTGTGAATCCATCTGGTCCTGGACTTTTTCTGGTTGGTAAGCTATTAATTATTGCCTCCATTTCAGAGCCTGTTATTGGTCTATCCAGAGATTCAACTTCTTCTTGGTTTAGTCTTGGGAGGGTGTATGTGTCGAGGAATTTATCCATTTCTTCTAGATTTTCTAGTTTATTTGCATAGAGGTGTTTATAGTATTCTCTGATGGTAGTTTGTATTTCTGTGGCATTGGTGGTGATATCCCCTTTGTCATTTTTTATTGTGTCTATTTGATTCTTCTCTCTTTTCTTCTTTATTAATCTTGCTAGCAGTCTATCAATTTTGTTGATGTTTTCAAAAAACCAGCTCCTGGATTCATTGATTTTTTGAAGGGTTTTTTTGTGCCTCTATTTCCTTCAGTTCTGCTCTGATCTTAGTTATTTCTTGCCTTCTGCTAGCTTTTGAATGTGTTTGCTCTTGCTTCTCTAGTTCTTTTAATTGTGATGTTAGGGTGTCAATTTTAGATATTTCCTGCTTTCTCTTGTGGGCATTTAGTGCTATAAATTTCCCTCTACACACTGCTTTGAATATGTCCCAGAGATTCTGTATGTTTTGTCTTTGTTCTCGTTGGTTTCAAAGAACATCTTTATTTCTGCCTTCATTTCTTATGTACCCAGTAGTCATTCAGGAGCAGGTTGCTCAGTTTCCATGCAGTTGAGCAGTTCTGAATGAGTTTCTTAATCCTGAGTTTTAGTTTGATTGCACTGTGGTCTGAGAGACAGTTTGTTATCATTTCTGTTCTTTTACATTTGCTGAGGAGTGCTTTACTTCCAACTATGTGGTCAATTTTGGAATAGGTGTGGTGTGGTGCTGAAAAGAATGTATATTCTGTTGATTTGGGGTGGAGAGTTCTGTAGATGTCTGTTAGGTCTGCTTGGTGCAGAGCTGAGTTCAGTTCCTGGATATCCTTGTTAACTTTCTGTCTTGTTGATCTGTCTAATGTTGACAGTGGGGTGTTAAAGTCTCCCATTATTATTGTGTGGGAGTCTAAGTCTCTGTAGGTCTCTAAGGACTTGCTTTATGAATCTGGGTGCTCCTGTATTGGGTGCATATATATTTAGGATAGTTAGCTCTTCTTGTTGAATTGATCCCTTTACCATTATGTAATGGCCTTCTTTGTCGCCTTTGATCTTTGTTGGTTTAAAGTCTGTTTTATCAGAGACTAGGATTGCAACCCCTGCCTTTTTTTGTTTTCATTTGCTTGACAGATCTTCCTCCATCCCTTTATTTTGAGCCTATTTGTGTCTCCACATGAGATGGGTTTCCTGAATACAGCACACTGATGGGTCTTGACCCTTTATCCAATTTGCCAGTCTGTCTTAATTGGAGCATTTAGCCCATTTACATTTAAGGTTAATATTGTTATGTGTGAATTTGATCCTGTCGTGATGTTAGCTGGTTATTTTGCTCGTTAGTTGATGCAGTTTCTTCCTAGCATCGATGGTCTTTACAATTTGGCATGTTTTTGCAGTGGCTGGTACTGGTTGTTCCTTTCCATGTTTAGTGCTTCCTTCAGGAGCTCTCTTAGGGAAGGCCTGCTGGTGACAAAAATCTCTCAACATTTACTTGTCTGTAAGGTATTTTATTTCTCCTTCACTTATGAAGTTTAGTTTGGCTGGATATGGAATTCTGGGTTGAAAATTCTTTTCTTTAAGGATGTTGAATATTGGCCCCCACTCTCTTCTGGCTTGTAGAGTTTCTGCCGAGAGATCAGCTGTTAGTCTGATGGGCTTCCCTTTGTGGGTAACCCGACCTTTCTCTCTGGCTGCCCTTAACATTTTTTCCTTCTTTTCAACTTTGGTGAATCTGACAATTATGTGTCTTGGAGATGCTCTTCTCGAGGAGTATCTTTGTGGTGTTCTCTGTATTTCCTGAATTTGAATGTTGGCCCGCCTTGCTAGATTGGGGAAGTTCTCCTGGATAATATCCTGCAGAGTGTTTTCCAACTTGGTTCCATTCTCCCCGTCACTTTCAGGTACACCAAGCAGACGTAGATTTGGTCTTTTCACATAGTCCCATATTTCTTGGAGGTTTGTTGGTTTCTTTTTATTATTTTTTCTCTAAACTTCTCTTCTCACTTCATTACATTCATTTGATCTTCCATCACTGATACCCTTTCTTCCAGTTGATCGAATCGGCTACTGAGGCTTGTGCATTCATCACGTAGTTCTTGTGCCATGGTTTTCAGCTCCATCAGGTCCTTTAAGGACTTCTCTGCATTGGTTATTCTAGTTAGCCATTCGTCTAATTTTTTTCAAGGTTTTTAACTTCTTTGCCATGGGTTCGAACTTCCTCCTTTAGCTTGGAGTAGTTTGATTGTCTGAAGCCTTCTTCTCTCAACTCGTCAGTCATTTTCCATCCAGCTTTGTTCCGTTGCTGGTGAGGAGCTGCGTTCCTTTGGAGGAGGAGAGGCGCTCTGATTTTTAGAGTTTCCAGTTTTTCTGCTCTGTTTTTTCCCCATCTTTGTGGTTTTATCTACCTTTGGTCTTTGATGATGGTGATGAACAGATGGGGTTTTGGTGTGGATGTCCTTTCTGTTTGTTAGTTTTCCTTCTAACAGTCAGGACCCTCAGCTGCAGGATTGTTGGAGTTTGCTGGAGGTCCACTCCAGACCCTGTTTGCCTGGGTATCAGCAGCGGAGGCTGCAGAACAGCGGATATTGGTGAACAGCAAATGCTGCTGCCTGATTGTTCCTCTGGAAGTTTTGTCTCAGAGGAGTACCGGGCCGTGTGAGGTGTCAGTCTGCCCCTACTGGGGGGTGCCTCCCAATTAGGCTACTCGGGGGTCAGGGACCCACTTGAGGAGGCAGTCTGCTCGTTCTCAGATCTCCAGTTGCGTGCTGTGAGAACCACTACTCTCTTCAAAGCTGTCAGGCAGGGACATTTAAGTCTGCAGAGGTTTCTGCTGCCTTTCGTTTGGCTATGCCCTGCCCCCAGAGGTGGAATAGTCTACAGAGGTAGGCAGGCCTCCTTGAGCTGCGGTGGGCTCAACCCAGTTCGAGCTTCCTGGCCGCTTTGTTTACCTACTCAAGCCTCGGCAATGGTGGGTGCCCGTCCCCCAGCCTTGCTGTCGCCTTGCAGTTTGATCTCAGACTGCTGTGCTAGCAATGAGCGAGGCTCCATGGGTGTAGGACCCTCTGAGCCAGGCGCAGGATATAATCTCCTGGTGTGCTGTTTGCTAAGACCGTTGGAAGAGCGCAGTATTAGGGTGGGAGTGACCTGATTTTCCAGGTGCCATCTGTCACCCCTTTCTTTGACTAGGAAAGGGAATTCCCTGACCCCTTGTACTTCTTGGGTGAGGCAATGCCTCGCCCTGCTTCGGCTCATGCTCGGTGCACTGCACCCACTGTCCTGCACCCACTGTCCGACATCCCCATTGAGATGAACCCTGTACCTCAGTTGGAAATGCTGAAATCACCTGTCTTCTGCGTCGCTCACACTGGGAACTGTAGACTGGAGCTGTTCCTGTTCGGCCATCTTGGCTCTAAAATCCCCCCTCATCTTTTTTATCCATTCATCCATTGATAGACACTTGTTTCTGCATCTTGGCTATTGTGAATAGTACTGCAATAAACATGGGAATGCTAATATCTCTTTAGCATCTGGATTTCCATTCTTTTGGATAAATACCAGAAGGGTGATTACTGTATCATATGGTAATTCACTTTTAAATTTTTTTGAGGAAACTCCATATTGTTTTCCATAATTGCTGTACCAATTTACATTCTCACTGACAATGTATAAAGGCTTCATTTTCTCCACATCCTTGCAAACACAATTTTTTAATTTTTTGACCAAGCAGGTGTGAGATGATATCTCATTGTGGTTTTGATTTGAATTTCTCTGATGATTAGTGATGTTGAACAACTTTTCATATAATTGTTGGCCATTTATATGTCTTCCTTGGAGAAATGTCTATTCAAGTACTTAGCCCATTTTAAAATCAGCTTAGTGGGTTCTTTTGCTATTAAGTTGTAGGAGTTCCTTAAAAATTTTGGAGATTACCCCCTGTTCAGATATATGATTTGCAAGTATTTTCTTCTATTCCATAGGTGGCCTTTTCCTGCTATTAAATATTTTCTTGGTTGTACAGAAGCTTTTTAGTTTGTTATAGTCCCACTTGTTTAAGTTTGTTTTTGTTGTCTATGCTTTTGGTGTTATAGCCGTGAAATTATTGTCAAGATCAATGTCATGGTGCTTTCCCCTATGTTTCTTCTAGGAGTTTTATGGTTTCAGGTCTTACGTTTAAGTGTTTAGCCCATCTTCAGTTGACTTTTTGTGTGTAGTATAAAGGTCCAATTTCATTCTGTTTTATGTATATATCCAGTTTCCCAACACCATTTTTGTTTCTTTGATACAGGGTCTCATTCTGTTGCTCAGGCTCGAGTGCAGTGGCCCAATCATGACTTACTGCAGCCTTGACCTCCCAGGCTCATTGATCCTCCCACCTCAGCCTCCTGAGAAGCTGGGACTATAGGCGTGAGCCACCATGCCCGGATAATTTTCTTATTTTTTGTAGAGGTGGGGTCTCACTCTGTTGCCTAGGCTGGTCTCGAACTCCTAAGCTCAAGTGATTCTCCTGCCTTGGCCTCTGAAAGTGTTGGGATTACAGGTGTGAGCCACCACACTCAGCCACCAACACTATTTTTTCAAGAGACTATCTTTTCTTCATTGTGTATTCTTAGCACCCTTGTCAAAGATCAGCTGACTGTATATGCATGGTTTTACTTCTGGGCTTTCTATTTTGCTCCATTGTGCTGTGTGTCTGTTCATATGCCAGTATCATATACTTTTGGTTATTGTAGCTTTGTAACATATTTTAAAATCAGGAAGTGTGATGCCTCCAGCTTTGTTGTTCTTGCTCAAGTTTGCTTTAGCTATTCAGGCTCTTTTGTGGTTCTATACAAATTTTAGTACTGTTTGTTCTATTTCTGTGAAAAATGTCATTGAAATAGGTATTGCATTGAATTTGTAGAGAGCTTTGGGTAGTATAGACATTTTGACAATATTAATTCTTCTGATTCACGAACACAAAATACTTTCCATTTATTTGTGTCTTCAATTTCATGAACATTTTACAGTTTTCACTGAACAGATCTTTCACCTCTTTGTTAAAAATGTCAATATCTGCATTTTTGAGAGAACTACTATATAGGAGGATGTCTCAACCAGACTTAGTATAGTGAGGATGTGAGGCTGGATTTCTATGGTCATTTTAACACCAAGAGAAGAAAGTCTGTCTGAGAATGGAACCAACCAAGAAAAGGCAGAAATGAGATGAAAGCAGGAGAAAAAACCCTCCAGGATCTTAATGACATCATCTGAGCCCCTCATTTAAGCCATGACAAAAGCCAGCCTTGTCCCTAGACTTTTTATTTAGTAATCCAACAAATTTCCCTTTTGACTAAGCCATTTTGGAAGGATTTTTTGCCTCTTGCAATGGAGAGAGTCCTAATACATCTTCAAAATATGGTTTAGTAGCTAGAGAACAAAATTAAGTTAACTATTTTACCATTGTCCTCATGGAATGGAAACTCTAATCTCCAGATGCTCAGGTCCCAAATTCTGGAGACCACCTTCTTTCCTTTCTATTTTTCAATCTTATAAACATGTCATCAGCAAATTCTCTTAACACTATCTTGAAAATATATCTAAAATCTAATCACTTCTCATTCCCTCTACTAGTATCACCTTGGTGCAGCCACCACTTTTATCTTGCCTGGGTTATTATAAGAGCCCCCTAATTGGTCTCCCTTATGGGTCATCATTGTACTCTTAACACAACAGCCAAGGTGACCCTACTAACCACTTGAGGCAGATCATGTCATTCCTCTGATCAAAGATCTCCAAACTCAGAGCAAAAACTGAAGTCCGAAGCCTACCAGGCTTTACATGACCTGCTCCTGCAACCTTCAAAGCCTATCTGATTTCATGTTTTACCATTGTTCTTCTTGTTAATTCTTCTCTAGCCACATTAGCTTCCTTGGTTTTCCTAGAAAATGACAGATATGCTCCTTCCTCAGGGCCACTGCACTTTTAGTACTCCTGGCCTGGGAAAAGATACCCCTGGATTGTTCCTAAATGTTCACTATTATATAATTATCCTTCCCCACCCCATTGATGTTGAATTTGGACATATGTCTTAATTTGGCCAGTGGAATGTTAATCAGAGGCTTTAAATAGATTTGCATGGTTTGTCTTGCCCTCTTGAACTCTTGTGATTGGCCATGAGCAAAATATGCCCTAGCTGGCTGCTGGTCTAGGTGAAGAAAGAAAGGTGAAATAAACCTGAACCCAACCCACAATTAGGAGCTAAGTTTGGCTGATTTCTGATTAGTTCAGTAGAGCCACTGCTGACCTTCAGATTCATGAACAAGAAAATACATGTTTGCTATTGTAAGCCATTGATAGTCTGAGGGTGTTATGCATTAAAATCTGAAAACTACAGAAATTGATATGCAGAAGTAAGATGCTGTCCTAACAAAACCTAAACTATGTCATAGTCATTGCTTTTGTGACTGCATAGTAGGTAATTAGGAAAATATAACAGAAAAATAGTGACATATTCACAAGAACATGGAAATTAAATAATACACTCCTGAACAGCCAATGGGTCAGTAAAGAAATTAAAACAGAAATTTAAAAATATCTTGAGACAAACAAAAATGGAAATACAACATATCAAAACTTATCAGATGCAGCAAAAGCAGTTCTAAGAGGGAAGTTCATATCAATAAACACCTACATCAAAAAAGAAGATCTTTTGAGCTGGGGCTGAAAAAAAAGGAAAAACAAGTTCTGAAATACACAACCTAGTGTTACACTTCAAGGAACTAGGAAAAGAAGAACAAACTAAGCATGGAGTTAGCAGAAAGAAGAAAATAATATCAGAGCAAAAATAAATAGGGACTAGAAAAACAATAGGAAAGACCAATGAAATGGTTTTTTGTTTTTAAAAAAAGAAACAAAATGGACAAATCTATAGCTAGACTAAGAAGAGAGAGAGAGAAGACTCAGATAAAGTCAGAAAAGATGAGACATTATAACCGACACCACAGAAATAGGATCATAAAAGACTACCATTATAAACAATTATATGCCAACAAATTAGATAACCTAGAAGAAATAAATAAATTCCTTGCTACATATAACCTACCAAGACTGAATCATGAAGAAGCAGAACATCTGAATAGATGAATAATGGGTAAAGAGATTAAATTAGAAATAAAAAGTTTCCCATCAAAGAAAAGCCAAAGACCTGATGGTTTGACTGCTGAATTCTACTAAACATTTAAAGAGGAACTAATATGAATCCTTCTTAAACTCTTACAAAAAATTGAAGAAGAGGGAATATTTCCAAATTCATTTAATGAAGCCAGCATTTATCTGATACCAAAGCCAGACAAGTAAACTACAAGAAAAAGATAACAGACCAATATCCCTGAGAAGCATAGATGCAAAAATCTTCAACAGAATACTAACAAACCAAATCTAGCAGCACAATAAAAGATTATTCATCATGATCAAGTGAGATTCATCCCAGGAATACAGGGATGGTTCAACATATGCAAATTGATAAATGTGATACATCATATTAGCAGAATGAAGGACAAAAACCCTATGATCATCTCAATATATGCAGAAGGAAGCATTTGATAGAATTCAACATCCTTTCATGATAAAAAATGCTCCAAAAATAAGGTATAAAATGCATGTACCTCAATACAATAAAGGCCATCTATGACAAACCCAAAGCTAACATCATACCCCATGGTGAAAACTTGAAAGCTTTTCCTCTAAGATCAGGAACAAGACAATGATGCCCACTTTTACCACTTCTATTCAACATAGTACTGAAGTCCTAGCCAGAGCAATTAGACAAGAGTAAAAGGAAGAAGTTAAATTGTCCTTGTTTGGAGACAACATGATCTTATATATAGAAAACTCCCATCAAAGAACAGAATTTAAAAATTCAGTAAAGTTGAAGGATAAAAAATCAACATACAAAATCAGTAGTGATTCTATACAAAGTATGATTAATAACAAACTATCTAAAAATCAAAAAAGAAATCAAGAACATAATTCCATTTATAATATCTACAAAAAATATGTAGGAATAAATTTAACCAAGGAAGTGAAAGACCTGTATACTGACAATTATAAAACATTGATAAAAGAAATGGAAGAAGACATGGAATGTCTTCTATGAAGAAATGGAAAGATATCTTGTGCTCATGGATCAGAATAATTAATATTGTCAAATTGTCCATACTACCCAAAGTGATCTACAGATTCAATACAATCTCTATCAAAATTCCAATGGGATTTTTCAGAGAAATAGAAAACAAATTCTATAATTCATATGGAACCACAAAGGAGCCGAACTAGCCAAAACAGTCTTGAGCTACATGAACAAACCTGGAAGCTCACACTGTCTGACTTTAAAATATACTATAAAACTAAGAAATCAAAATGGTATGGTACTGGCTTAAAAACAGACACATAAACCAATAGAATGAAATAGCCCCAAAATAAATCTGTGCATTTATAGTCAATTGACTTTTGACAGAAGTGCCAAGATCACACGATGTGAAAAGGACAGTATCTTCAATAAATGCTGTTAGGACAATAAGATATCCACATGCAAAATAATGAAATTAGACTCATCTCACACTATGTACAAAAATCAACTAAAATTGGATTAAAGACTTAAATGTAAGACTTGAAACTATAAAACTACTGAAAAAAGTATAGGGGAAAGGCTCGATGACATTGGTCTGGGCAATCATTTTTTTGGATATGAACTTGAAAACACAGGCAACAAAAGCAAAAGCAGCAGATACATGGGATTACATCAAACTAAAAAGCCTTTGTACAGCCAATGAAACAATCAACAGAATGATGAGACATCTAATGGGATGGGAGAAAATATTTGCAAACCATACATCTGATAAGGGGTTAATATCCAAAATATATCAGGAACTCAATAGTAAGAAAACAAATAACCTGATTAAAAAATGAGCAAAGGCTCTGAATAGATACTTGTCAAAAGAACAAATACAAATGGCCAACAGGTATATTTAAAAATGCCCTACATCACTAATCATCAGAGAAATGCATGTTAAAACCACATATGGATATTACCTCATGCCTGTTAGAGTGGCTGTTATAAAAAAAAAAAAGATAATTAGTGTTGGAGATGTGGAGAAAAGGAACCCCTGTACACTGTTGGTGGGAATATAAATTAGTACAGCCATTATGGAAAACAGTATGGAAGTTCCTCAAAAAATTAAAAATAGAACTATCATCTAAACTAGCAATCCCACTACTGAGTCTATATCTTACAGGAAAGGAAGTCAGTATGTCAAAGAGATATTGCACTCCCATGGTCATTGCAGCACTATTCACAATAGCCAGTGTATGGAATCAACTTAAGTGTTCATCGACAGATAAATGGATAAAGAAAATGTGGTATGTAGCACGATGAAATACTATTCAGCCTTTAAAAAGAAGGAAATCTTTTCACTTGGAGTAATATAGATGAACGTGGAGGACATTGCGTTAAGTGAGATAAGCCAGGCACAGAAAGATCATGTTCTCACTTATGTGTGGAGTATTAAAAAAAAATGCTGAATTCATAGAAGTTGAGAGTAGAATGGTAGTTACCAGGGACTGCAGGAGTGAAGGGGTATGGGTTGAGCAGGTGTTAGTCAAAGGATACAAAATTCCAGTTAGATAGGAGGAATAAGTTCAAGAGATCTATTATGCATCATTGTGACTATAGTTAACAACAATGTATTATACTGAAAATTGCTAAGAATAGATTTTAAGTGTTTTCAGTGTTCTCACCACAAAAATAAGTATGTGAGGTAATGAATATATTAATTAGCTCAATTTCACCATTCCACAATGTGTACATATTTCAAAACAATGTGTCATATACAATAAATATATATAATTTTTACTTATTAAAAATAAATGAATTGAAGAATGATGACACAAATTATGTAGAAGTGATACATTTAGTAAAACTGTCTCAAGTGATAGTTTGAAAGACAGAAAAATCTGCTGGATAGACTTGGGTCACTGGAAAAAGAGGTTTTGAGGTAGACTATTAACAGTGTGTGTTAGGGATTATATTGCTTGGTTTAACCTTGTGTACTCCGGGTTTTCAACATAGGATCTTGCCTGGGTATTCTCTAGCCCAAGCAAATGAGAAACATGTGGAACATAACTGAACTCAACCTGTAGCCTGAATCCAAGACCAGTTGACCCTACCCATGTCTAACAGAGCCAACCGGCAGACCCATGAGTGAGAAAATAAAAGTTTGTTGTAAGCCACTGAGGTTTTAAAGTTGTTATGTACCAAAAAGCAGTTAATATACCTAGTATCTACTTGGCTTGTTCCTCATTTCCTTTGAGTTCTTACTTAAGTATTTATCTTTCACTTTGGTAGCCTCTATCCCAAACTGCAATCTCCACCTAAACTCTTTATTCCCGCTCCTGCTTTAATTTACTCTTTAGGCACTTATCCCATGTAACACATCATGTATTTTACTTATCTTCTTTATTTTGTATCTCCCCCAGCCAGAATGTAAGATAACAAAGGGAAAGCTGTTGTCTCATTTTGTTGACTGCTCTATCCCCATCACTCAGCCAGTGCCTGATACATAGTTGTAGCTCAATACATAGTTGAATAATAAATGTATAAATTAAGCAGTCAGGTGATGTATGTTAGGCTACCACCTCTGTCACTAACAAGTTGTATGGCTTTTAAGAAATAATTTCATCTCTATGGATCTTAACTATTCTCATCTATAAAACAAGGATGTTAGAAAAAGAAACCCTAAAGTTAAATAATTCTATGATTTAAAATATCTACATAGTTAGAAAATAAATGATGATACAATAATTACATATCTGCAATTTTTTTTGCCTGATTATTAGTCACAATAAGAACAGTACCTACACAGCATATCCACATATAAGCAAAAATGTTCAGTCATACCTGAGAAGTTAACTTGAGAAGGTAAGTCAGAGAGTCAATGGATTCTGAACTGTCAGAGCCTCGGCTACTACAAAAAAAATAATTTTGGTTTATACAGTGTTTTGGTGGCATCTTAAAATTTCAACTGTTGCTTTTATTTATCTTATTTGAATGGTTGAAAAGTTCTAATTATAAGAAGTGGCCGGGCGCAGTGACTCATGCCTGTAATCCGAGTACTTTGGGAGGCCAGGGCAGGTGGATCACCTGAGGTCAGGAGTTTGAGACCAGCCTGACCAACATGGTGAAACCCTGTCTCTGCTAAAAATGCAAAAATTAGCTGGGCATGGTGGCACTTGCCTGTAATCCCAGCTACTCAGGAGGCTGAGGCAGGAGAATCTCCTGGGCCCAGGAGGCGGAGGTTGCAGTGAGCTGAGATCGTGCCATTGCACTCCAGCCTGGGCAACAAGAGTGAAACTCTGTCTTGGGGGGGAAAAAAGAAGAAGAGGAAGAATGTTTACAAAGGTTTAGTAGTTCCAGACAGCTTAGAGGGTTTTTGTTGAATGTGTGGAAAGATATAAAGGTTTGGGAATGTGTTAATGGAATGTAAGCTCCAGAAAAGTAGGATTTTTTTTTTTCTGTCTGGCTCACTGCTGTATCACCAGAGTGGAAATAGTGCTTGGCATATAGTAGGCACTCAAGATTTGTTAATATGTTAATGAATAAATGCTATATCAGGGGAGTTTCCTAGATGTCATAGGTATCATTAGCTCTTAAAATTCATTTATTTTTATATCACTATATCCATTCTACATAAAGCAATGCAGCACCATATGAAACATAGTACCTCAAGAAAAAAGGGTCAAACAAATCTGTTTCTAATTGTAATCATTTAATGCAGTGGTAGGCACGTTTTTTTGCTTGAGAGCCAATACAAGAAAGAAAATATTTCTGGGTTGTATTTTTTATGTATTATTTTAAAATTAATATAATTTATGTTTTTAGAAAAGTTCTAGGTTTACAGAAAAATTGAGCAGGTAGTACAGAGTTCCCATACACATGCCCCCATTCCCTGCATAACTTCCTAAATTATAGTATGTGGTACATTTGTAAATTAGATATCTGATAGTATGTGGTACATTTGTTACAATTGATTAAACAACACTGATACATTATTAAAAATTATAGTTTACCTTAGGGTTTACTCTTGTGGTATACATTCTATGAGTTTTGACAACTTTATAATGATATATAGCCATCATTACAGTATCATAAATAGTAGTTAAACTGCCCTAAAATTCCTCTGTGTTCCATCTATTCATCCTTCGTTTTCCCAGAACTTCTGGCAACCCAGTGTCATATAGCTGGGATCATATAGTATGTGGCCTTTTCAGACTTACATTTTCCACTTAGTAATATAAATTAAAGTTCTGCCATATATTTTTATGGTTTGATAGCTCATTTTAAAAAATCACTGAATAACATTTTATTGTCTGAACATATGTTTCTTTATCCATTCACCTATTGAAGGACATTTTGGTTGCTTCCAGGTTTTGTCAATCATGAATAAAGCTGCTATATGAATGCAATTGCTGGATCAAGTGTTGAGACTATGCTTAGCTTTGTAAACTGCCAAACTGGCTTCCAAAATAGCTGTACCATTTTGCATTCCCACTAGCAAAGAAGGAGAGTTCCTGTTGCTCCTCATCCTCACTGGCATTTAGTATTGTCACTACTTTGGATTTTAGCTATTATAATTAGGTGTGTCATGATATTTCACTGTTGTTTTAGTCTGCAATTCCCTAATGAAAATGATGGCAAGCATCTTTTTATTTTTTTTCAGTTTTCAACCATCTTTAGACCTACTAATTTTTTTCTTTCATGGATCATGATTTTGTCATATCTAAAAAGTCATTACCAAATTCAAGAGAATTTAGCTTTCCTCCTATGTTATCCCCTAGGAGTTTTATAGTTTTGTATTTTACATCTAGGTCTATAATTCATTTGGAGTTAATTTTCGTGAAAGGTGTAAAGTTGCTTCTAGTTCACATTTTGCCTGTGGATGTCCAATTGTTCCAGTAACATTTGTCAAAAAGACCTTATTTCTCCATTTAACTAGGGATTTTTGTTGCTCTTTTTTCAAACACCATTGACTATATTTGTCAGCGGTGACAAATATATTGGATATATTTCTGGGTTCTCTATTTTGTTTTATTGGTCTATTTGTCTGTTCTTTCTCTAGTACTGCACTGTTTTAATTATGTAGCTTTATAGTAAGTCTTAAAGTCAAGTAGTGTAGGTCCTTGGATTTTTGTCCTTCTTCAGTATTTTGTTAGCTATTTCAGGTCTTTTACATACCCACACAAATTTTAGAATTAGTTTGTCTATAGCCACAAAATAACTTTCTGGGATTTTGATTGGAATTACATTGAGTCAAAAATCATGCCAGGAGGAACTGACATCTTAACAATATCATCTTCCTGTCTATGAACACAAACTCTCTCTCCATTTATTTAGATCCTCTTTGATTTCTTTCCTCAGAGTTTGTAATTTTCCTCATATACATCTTTCACATATTTTGGTAGCTTTAATCCAAGTATTTTAAATTTTTGTGCTAGCATAGATGGTATTTTTTTTTAATTTTAAATTCCAGTTGTTCGTGGCTGGTATATTGAAAGGCAATTGTATATTAACCTTTTATCTTTAAATCCTTCTATAATTATTAGTTTCAGGTTTTTAAAAAATTCTTTGATATTTTCTACATAGATAACCATGTCCAGTGTGAACAAAGATAAATATTTTAACTAAATTAAATTTAAAATACAACTTATCAATATTTGTAGAATGGTGCACAAGCAGTGCTTAGAGGGAAATTTATAGCATTGAATGCATATGTCAGAAAAGAAGAAAGCTTTAAAATGAACAATCCAAGTGTCCACATTAGGAAATCAGAAAAAGGAGAAATAGAGACGTAATGCAAGCAGAAAAAAAGAAGTAATTTAAAAATCAGAGAAACTGAAAACAGGGAATCAATAATCAATGAACACAATGCTGCTGCTTTGAAAAGATCAATAAAATAGATAAATCCCTGGCCAGGTTAACCAAGAAAAAAGAAAGAACCCAACTTGCTAACATCAGAAATAAAAGAGGGGTCATTGCTACTGATGCTATGGAAATTAAAGAGATAAAGAAGGGATACTAACAACTGTGTCCTCATAAATTTTATAGCTTAGATGAAACAGACCAGCTTCTTGAAAGACACAGTGTACCAGAACTCACACTGGGAGAGATATAGATCTAATAGATAGATATATAGATCTATATATCAATTAAAGAAATCGAATTGATAATTAGTGACCCTACAAAACAAAGCACAAGTCCCAGATGGTTTATTGTGGATTCTACCAAACATTTAAGGAAAAAAAATACTAGTTTTCTAAAATCTGTTCCAGAAAATAGAAACAGAGAGAACACTTACTTTTTCTAAAAGGCTAGCATTATCCTAATACCAAAAGCAGACAAAGATACTGTAAGAAAGAAAAACTACACCAATATGTCTTATGAACACAGGTGCAAAAATCTTTAAGAAAATATTAGCAAATTGAGTACAACAAGGAATAAAAAGAATTATACACCATGACCAAATAGGATTTATTCCAGGTATGCCAGGTTGTTTCAACATTCAAAAATCAGTTGATGTAATCTGTCACATTAACAGGCTAAAGCAGAAAAAAAATTATATCAATATATTTTTGACATAAAGCATTTGACAAAATCCAACACATATTCATGACAAAAACTCTCAGCTAACGAAGTAGAGGGAATCTTGTTCAACTTGATATCTACAGAAACCTTACAGCTAACATACATAATGGTGAGAAACTAGATGCTTTCCTGCTTTGAGGACAGGATAAGGATGTCTTCTCATAGCACTTCTACTCAGTATCATACTGGAAGTTCTAGCTAATACAGTAAGACAAGTACTATAATATGGTTCAGCACTTATGGTTTGTCCCCACCCAAACTCATGTTGAAATTTGATTCCTAATGTGCCAGTGTTGGGAGGTAGGGCCTAGCGGGAGGTGTTTGGGTCATGGGGGTGGGTCCCTTATGAATGACCGGGTTCTCACTCTTGTGAGACTGGATTAGTTGTGGTGATGGATTCGTTCCCACAAGAGTGGGTTATTATAAAGCAAAGATGTCCCTTGGGTTTTTGCCTCTTCGCCTGTGTCCACTTCCCCTTTGACCTTCTCTGCCATGTTATGATGTAGCATCAAAAGCCCTCACCAGAAGCTGAGCAGGTGCTACCATCATGCTTCTTGTACTTCCTCACCTGCAAAACTATGAGCTAAATAAACCTGTTTTCTTTATAAATTACCCAGTTTTAGGTATTCTGTTGTAGCAACATTAAACAGAGTAAGACAATAAGAGAAGCAAATAAGAAGCTATACAGATTGATAAATAAGAAAACTCTCTGGGTTGTATTTTGGAAATAAGGAAACATACAAATATATGTGTGCATGCATATTTTTATAACTACAGTAATGTGTATACACACATATTTATGTTTTTAAGCATATTTTAATTATCTACCATTAAATATTTTCCTTTTTTGGCTAAGAAACTACATAAGTAGTTTATTATATTTACCACAATATCTGATTCAATGTGCATTAGAAAATATTTTTTCATTAAACAACACACCTTTTAAAGTTGCTTTATCTTTTTTATATTAATTGTAAAATATTGTTTGTCCTAGTGGTACTACTGTATTCTCTATAAGCAAATATTTTCCATTGCAAATCAGAAAATGTATCAATGCTTAAATCAAAGAAACTTCTACATTTCCTTATTTTGAAACACAATGCTTCCTTTTTCAGCAGCAGCTATAAAAGGAATTTAAGTTTCATTTGGAAAATTTCTCCTCTGCACTCACAATTTAAGTTCCAATGGATTTTATTTTACTTTGCTTCTCAGATACAGCTACAAGGTGCTTATAAAATGGCCTTCCAGGTAAATTTACTTATCTTTATTTCTGTGTTAGATCCAGCTTAAAGACAGCCAAAGGCAAGAGGACAGGCTGAGGTTAATTCATTGTAGGCCTTAAACTCCTCATTTGTAATATGGAAACTCCTAAAATTATATAGAAGGCTGCCACATATGGTTAGAAAGTTAAGGGTCTCTCAGTACTGACTTGATGTGTTTCACTTATGCCATCATAGAAGGTAACCAAATTTATGAAACAATAAAAGTAAACAAATTTTTAAATAATTAATATATCATAACTGTTGTTCATATCAGCCTTGATTTTGACACAGTAGGAATCTATACTGAAAGGTCTATGTTTTAAATTGCTTTATAATAGTATTTTCTATTTAATATATACTTATTCTTCTTAAAATCGAAGACATTGACTGGCAGACTATATTTTAAATGTCCATTTCCTATTTATTAGAAATGTTTTTATTTTCTTAAGACGAATTGTTAAATTGACAGTATCCATTAGAATCTTATCATTTTTTAGGTCTCAGGAATAATTTAACTAAATCTTTGTCACAATACAGGAATTATTTTATTAAGTCCCATAGCAGATGGTCGTCCAGCTTTGGCTGAATCCTTTGTGTGTTTTGTTTTGTTTTGTTTTGTTTTTTTGAGACGGAGTTTTGCTCTTGTTGCCCAGGCTGGAGTGCAATGGCACGATCTCAGCTCACTGCAACCTCCGCCTCCCGGGTTCAAATGATTCTCCTGCCTCAGCCTCCCGAGTAGCTGAGATTACAGGCATGTACCACCATGCCTGGCTAATTTTGTATTTTTAGTAGAGATGGGGTTTATCCATGTTGGTCAGGCTGGTCTCAAACTCCCAACCTCAGGTGATACGCCTACCTCAGCCTCCCAAAGTGTTGGGATTACAGGCATGAGCCACCCTGCCCGGCCTGGCTGAATCCTTTCTATAACAAGGTACTAACTACTTTCCACTAACCCTTCTCAGAATTAGCACTCATTATTAGGGAGTTCTTCCTTTTATTGTCCTGAAAGTCAGCTTCACGCATTTTTCACCCATCACTTCTGGTGTGGCCTTGCTTTCTTAAGCAAAGAATGAAGCTATGCCTTCTACATGTTTCTGCATGCAAAGTTCTTAAAATATTTGGACGCTTTCATTTAAAATTGGTTTATATCTCTGGAAAAAGTGGTTATTATGTTCCTTTTTCAAAAGGGCAATATACATAAGTAGCACATTTGTAATATTTCTGCACATGTAAGGATGAAGCTTTCTTCAATGTGTATCAGATGTTACAAAGTTTCCGAAATAACCAACATGGAATGATTCTGCAACCTCAAAAAACAGACTCCAGACTCCTGTAGAATATTGATTGGTGCTAGGAAATCAAGTTTATGTCCCAATTTACCATAAATTCCTGAATTTCTTAAAAGGTATTCTAGATAGATAACACATGATATATATTATTTATATAGTATTTTATAGCACAAAGTTATAGAGGATTTACTTACACATTATCTTATTTGATCTCACTTCTGTCTCTTATCCTCATTTAGAACCACATTTAAAAGTAAATCATTTTCAAATACCGCATGTTCTCACTTACAAGTGGGAGCTAAACTAAGGGTACACATGGATGTAAAGATGGAAACAACAGGCACTGGGGACTCCAAGATGGGGGAGGAAGGTGGGGGAGAGGGGTTGAAAAACTACCTATTGGGCACTATATTCACAATTTGGGTGATGGGTTCAATGGAAGCCCAAACCCCAGCATTATGCAATAAATACGTGTAACAAGCCCACACATATAGCCCCCCGAATCTATGGAAAAAAAGTGCTAATTGGAAAAAGTAGGCGATTTTCAAATGTTCCATCAGTAGAGGACAGACTGAGTAAATTATGATATATCCACCCTGTGGAGTACTACACAGAAATAAGGAAAACCCCTATGTACTGAAAAATCTACAGTGATTTCCAGAGTATTGTAAGTGAAAATAGCTAGATATGGAACAATGCTGATGGTATGCTACCTTTCGTATAAGGTACAGGGACATGAAAATATGTAGTTATTCACTCATATTTTTGAAGTAAAACAAAGAATAAGTAAAAAAAATTAATGAAAATGGTTACCCATGGAACAAGGGAGGAAACAGGGTACAGAAGGGGGGATGGGGTAGAATCAACACTTTTTTGAATGTTCCCTGTTATATGGTTTTGATGTTCTTATGTAAATGTGTTATATAATTTAAAAACAAAAAATTAATGGAAGTTATTTCTAAAAGTTAATATAATCAAAAACAAAGACACTTAACTGTCAGACTGGTAGCATAGCCACATAGAAAAAATAATCTCTTTCCTTTTAAAAAATACTTTATACTAAGCTTAAAAAGAATTACAAAGAAATGTTAAACTGCATTCAATAGTCATTTTATTGGTAGCATTATTATGGGTATATGATAGGAAAAGGAAGAAGCAGGTGAATATTTACCCTAAAGTAATTAGGAATGAAGATTTTTTCAGTATAAGAGAAGGGAGATACAAGTATAAAAAATAAGGAAGAATAAGTTCTATAATCTTAAATTTGAACTGGAAATATAATTATGAACTGAAGATTTTTTCTCATGAAAACACATATTTCCTAACTCAATCCCCTGGAAAAAAAAACCTAGACGCAATAATAACTATCATCTAGGCTATGTTATCTAAATATCCCTTTTTACTGAAAAGAACCAGGACTTCTGAGAGAAATGGCAGATTCCAGTTCTGGTGCAGGAAATGTACAAGATGAGCCTGGGAAATCTTATCATGGCTGAAAGTTACTGAAGACTATGAGAGTCATGTCAAAAAACACAGGCCAATTTAATTGGTCTTGTATTGTTGAGGTTTGGGAAAATTTGAGCATTCAAGTAATAATGACTGAAATTGATTAGAGCACATCCAATATTATATAAACAAACTCGAGCTCAAAATCATACTCTGCATCTGGAAACAAACATATTAGTCACCAGGGAAGGTTGCAGGGGCACTAACTCAAGACTGAAAAATGTGTAAATATAAGGGAAGAATCATACATTTGTTTTACCTTTCCTGTAAGTACTGTACTCACCTATAAGTGGGAGCTTATAAAATTAGTACATTCTTTCTTCCAACTATATTCCTGTGGCATTGAATTTTCCAGTTATTATTCATTACCTTTTATTATACTGCTTTTGTGTCATCTCAATAAAAATGTCAGTTCTCTGTGGGTAGTGACAGCATTAGAAATAATTTGAAGAGAAGAAAAGAGAAAAAAACTGTAAGACTAATAGAAAACAACAAAATGGCAATAGTAAATCTTCTATCAATAATGACCTTAAGTATAAATGGACTAAACTCAATCAAAGGACACAGAATGGCTGAATGGATTAAAAAAAGAGGACCCAACTACAATCTATCTACAAGATACTCCCTGTAGATTTAAGGAAATACGTAGACTGAATTAAGGGATGGGAAAATATTCCATGCTAAAATGGTAACTAAAAGAGAGCAAGAATAGCTATACTTATATCAGATAAAATAGACTTTAAGTAAAAAACTGTCATGAGAGACAAAGAAAGATATTATGTAATGATAAAAGGGTCAATCCACTAGGAAGATATAACAAATAAAAGGGCCAATCCACTAGGAAGATACAACAATCACAAATATATATGCAGCCAAACATCAGAGCACCTAAATACATAAAGCAAACATTGATAGAACCGAAGAGAGAAACGGCAATACAATAATAGCAGGAGACTTCAATACCTCATTTCAATAATAGAATATCAACATAGATGATCAATAAGGAAACAGAGGGCTTGAACAACATTATAGACCAAATGGATCTAACAGACATATACAGAACATTGTATCCAACAGCAGCAGGCTACATGGTCTTCTCAAGCACATCTGGAACTTTCTCCAGGATAGATCACATGTTAGGCCACAAAACAAGCCTTAACAAATTTAACAAACAAGTATTATTACTGACCATAATGGGGTGAAACTAGATAAATAGCAGAAGGAAAACTGGAATATTCACATTCTCAAGTGTAAAGAAATTAAACGCAGAATCTTGAACAATCATTGGGTCAAAGTAGAAATAAAAAAGGAAACTAAGAACAATTTGAGACAAAAATGAAAACATAACATACCAGAATTAATGGGATATAGCAAAAGCAGTACTAAGAGGGAAATTTATTGTGATAAATGTATATATTTAAAAAAGAATAAAGATCTCAAAAAAGACCTAATTTTATACCTCGAGGAGATAGAAAAGAACAAACTAAGACCAAAATTAGCAGAAGAAAGGAAAAACAAAGATCAAAGCAGAAACAAAATAGAAAATAGAAAAACAATAGAAAAAAATCAGTGAAACTAAGAATTAGTTTTTTGAAAAGCCAAAATTGACAAACTCTTAGCTAAACTAATTATGAAAAATGGAGAAGACTCAAATAAAATAAAAAATGAAAGAGGAAACTTCATAGCTGATACTACAGAAATAAAAAGAATCATAAGAGACTGTTATGAACAGTGGTATAACAACAATCTAAATAATCTGGAAGAAGAAGATAAATGCCTAGAAACATACAAATTACCAAGACTAAATTTTGGATAAATAGAAAGTCTGAACAGGCCTATAACTATTATGGAGATTTAATCAGTAATCGAAAATCTCTTAACAAAGAAAGCCCAGGATTAGATGGCTTCATTGGTGAATTCTATAAAATGTTTAAAGAATAATTAATGCCAATCCTTCTTAAACTCAAATAGAAGGAGAGTGAACTTTCAATTCATTTTAGGACGCTCACATTAACCTGATACGAAAGATCTAGACAAAGATACCAGAAGAAAAGGAAGCCACAGGCTAATATCCTTCATGAACATAGATACAAAAATTCTCAAGAAAATACTAGAAAACTAAATGTAACAACACATTAAAAGGATTGCCCACCATGACTAAGTGGGATTTATCCCTGGGATGCAAGTATGGTTCAATATATGCAAATCAATTAATTCGATAAACCATACAAACAGAATAAAGGATAAAAATCCATGATCCTCTCAATAGAGAAAAAGCACCTGACAAAATTCAACATCCTTTCCTCAACAAACTAAGAATAGAAGGAAAGTACTTCAATATAATATAGGCCGTATATGAAAAGCCCACAGCTAACAGCATACTTAAAGGTAAAAAACTGAAGGCTTTTACTCTAAGATCAGGAAAAAGGCAAGGATGCTCACCTGGCCACTGAAGGTAAAAAACTGAAGGCTTTTACTCTAAGATCAGGAACAAGGCAAGGATGCTCACCTTGCCACTTCTATTCAACATAATACTGGAAGTCCAAGCCAGAGCAATTAGGCAAGAGAACGAATGAAAAGGCATGTAAACTGGAAATGAAGAAGTAAAATTGTCCCTGTTTCCAGAGGACATGATCTTATATATGTATATAGAAAACCCTATGGACTCCATTAAAAAAAAAAAACAACTGTGAGAACTAATCAATAAACTCAGAAAGTTACAGGTTACAAAATCTGCATACAAAAATCCATTGTGTTTCTATATACTAATAATGAACTACCTGAAAAGGTGATATCCCTTTTACAATATCCCATTTTACAAAATATCCCATTTACAATAGCACCAGAAAGAATAAAATAGGAATAAACCTAACTAAGACTTGTATAATGAAAACTATAAAACATTGATAAAAGAAATTAAAGAAGACTGAAATAAATGGAAAGACATCCCCTGTTGGTGGATCAGAAGACTTAATATTGTTAAAATGCCTATACTACTCTAAGTGATCTACACATTCAATACAATCACTATCAAAATCCCAATGGCACCCTTTACAAAAATAGGAAAAAGAGTTCTGTGATTCATATGGAAACACCAAAGACCATGAATAGCCACATCAAATCAATCCTGAGAAAAAAGAACAAAGCGAGAGTCATCACTTTCTCTGATTTCAAATTAATATTACAAAGCTACAGTAATCAAATGAGTATGACACTGACAGAGACATCTATACTTACAGGATAGAATACAGGGCCCCAAAATAAGACCACACATATATGACCAAATAATCTTCAATACGGGTGCCAAGGATACACAATGGGAAAAGAATAATATCTTCAACAAATAATGGTGGGAAACTGGCTATCCACATGCAAAAGAATAAAATTGGATACTATATAAAAAAGTCAACTCAAAATGGGCTAAACACTTAAATATAAGAGCTGAAACTATAAAACTTCCAGAAATGTAGGGGAAAAGCTCCATGGCGCTGATCTCTGCAAAGATTTCATAGATACGACACCAAAAGCATAGGCAACAAACCCAAAAATAAACACATGGGACTACATCAAACTAAAACGCTTCTGTACAACCAAGGAAACAATAGAGTGAAAAAGTGGCCTATAGAATGGAAAAAAAATGTGCAAACTATACATCTAATAAGGGGTAGTCTACAAAATATATAAGGAATTCCTTCACCTCAATAGCAAAAACCCCTATAACCTGATTTTGTTATAAAATGGGCTAAGTACTTGAATAGATATTTCTACAATAAGACACACTGGCCAACAGGTATATGAAAAAGTGCTTGACATCGCTTATCAGGGAAATGCAAATTAAAACACAATGAGATATCACCTCATGCCTGTCAGGATGGCTGTCATCAAAAAACCAAAAGACAAGTGTTAGGGAGAATGTGGAGAAATTGAAAACCTTGTACACTATGGTGGGAATACAAAACAGTGCAGCTGCTACTGAAAACAGCACAGAGGTTCCTCAGAAAGTCTAAAAACAGAACTGCCATATGATCCAGCAGTCTTACTTCTGGGTATTTATCCAAAAGAACCGAAATCTAGACATTAGCATTCCTGTTTTTATTGTAGCACTATTCACAATAGCCATTATATAGAAACAACCTAAATATCTTTTGACAAATGAATGGATAAAGAAAATAAGACGTACCTATTCAGCTTTAAAAAAGAAGGAAATTCTGCAATAAGTTAACAACATGGATAAACAGCAAGGACATTACACTAAGTGAAATAAGCCAATCACAGAAAGACAAATACTGCATGATTTCATTTTTATGAAGTATCTAAAATGTCAAATTCATAAAATAAAAGTCAAATGGTGGTTTCTAGAGGGTGGTAGGGGAATGGGACTTTCAGTTAAGCAAGATGCATAAACTCTAGAGATCTGCTCTACAGTATTGTATCAAAAATAATAAAATATTGTACAGTTAATAATTTAAGAGGGTATATCTCATACTGTGTTCTTACCACAATAAAATGAAAAATAAAGAAGTAACAATCGACTCCAATGCTGGAAGAAGAAAAGCCACGAAACATATTCTTACCATACAGTCTAGCAACCATGCTCCTTGATATCTACTCAAAGAAGTCAAAGACTTATGTCTACACAAAAACCTGCACATGGATATATGTAGCAGCTTTATTTATAATTGCCAAAACTTGGAGGCAACCAAGATGTCCTTCAGTAGGTAAACTGATATATAAACTGTGGTACATTCAGACAATGGAATATTACTGAGTGCTAAAAATAAATGAGCTTTTAAGCCACGAAAAGACATGGAAGAAAATTAAATGCATATTACTAAGTGAAAGAAGCCAGTCTGAAAAGGCCACATACTGTGTGATTCTACCTATATGCCATTCTGGAAAAGGCAAAACTATGGAGACAGTTTAAAATATCTGTGGTTTCCAGGGGTTAGTAGGGAGAGATGGTTGAATAGGTGGATTCTTAGGGTGAATCCTTACAGTGAAAATACTCTATGATACTATAATAGTGAATACATATATTATACATTTGTCAAAACCTGCAGAATTAACACCAAGAGTGAAGCCTAATATATCCAATGGACTTTGGATGATAAAGACATGTCACTGCAGACTCATTAACTGTAAATAAGTACCACTCTGGTAGGGGATATATAGGAACTCTCCGTACTTCCCCTTCCATTTTGCTGTGAATCTAAAACTGCTCTAAAAAGCTAAAATAAAGTCTATTAAAAAGAAAGAGAAAAACGAAAACAATAACCAAACAAAAACCAATTTCATATGTCTTTCACACACTATTCACAGTACACTGTACATAGCAATGTTCATGTTACTTGAATAAAATAATAAAGTCTTAATGAAGTCTGGCCAAAATAATGGGCATGGGAGAAATTTTCCACCACTTACAGTTGGGATTTTCAGTTGAGAACTGACAATAAAATGCTGGTATAATTATAAAGAACATAGTAAAACAGCACAACAAATTGCATTACTTCAGCAGCCTTGAGTTACCTAGACTCTACATCCAATGTAATGTCTATCACAGGTGTGTCTGAATCCTCAAAGACTTTTTCCAGGGTTATATGTCTTTCCATTTCTTCTAATTCTTTCAGGCACCGATAATACTAGGCAAAAGTAATAAATGAGCTCATTATGAAATAACTTTATTTCCTGATTAAACTATTTGAGTATTTATAGACACCTGGAACAATTGTTACTGGGAAATTAAGTGCTAAAACCCCAACAACACTGTTGGGACATTAAAAGGCAAACACTGCATAGGCCCATAGTCAGCTTATGTTATCTGATAGGCTGGAGTCTGATGCATTACCAAATGGACTTTGCTTACCTTGGTCCGGTCGGGATCACAATAATCCAAGAGAGAATCACAAAAATGATATCCCATTGATTCCAGGTCTTTCGTGCTGAAATGAGTGCCTCGTTTGTTACCTAAAACATCAATAAGTTTATCCACCCTTGAGGGTAAGTTAATAATTTTTCTTAGCAGGTACATTGCAAAACACTATAAACAAAACATTGATATGATTCCATATCCTATCCTTTAGATTTTTTTCTTCAGGACAGGTCATTTAACATCTCATTGCTTTCCCTTGTTCCTTTTCCACCATCTGGACCAAAGCTGATTTAACATACATTAGTACATGTTTTAAAGGCATAAAAAAATTCAATAAGACAGTTATAGAATATTTGGTTGCCAGTTAGAAACAGTGGTAATAATCACTTTGAGAAAAACTCATGTAAAGATTTTATGAGAAAAGGTTTTCATCATCACAAATGTTATATCAGTATCAAAGTGCTTTGATTAAGAAAATGTGGCACATATACACCATGGAATACTATGCAGCCATAAAAAATGATGAGTTCATGTCCTTTGTAGGGACATGGATGAAATTGGAAATCATCATTCTCAGTAAACTATCGCAAGAACAAAAAACCAAACACCGCATATTCTCGCTCATATGTGGGAATTGAACAATGAGAACACATGGACACAGTAAGGGGAACATCACACTCTGGGGACTGTTGTGGGGTGGGGGGAGGGGGGAGGGATAGCACTGGGAGATATACCTAATGCTAGATGACGAGTTAGTGGGTGCAGCACACCAGCAAGGCACATGTATACATATGTAACTAACCTGCACATTGTGCACATGTACCCTAAAACTTAAAGTATAATAATAATAAAATACAATAAAAAAAACAAGCTGAAAAGTACATATATGGATTTCTAGCACTTTAAGTTGATACATTTTTCTGATAATGTGACAATTATTTTAATATGGAGTATTCTAACCATGTTAGGATATGCTAGCTGTAACTAAAAGATTTCTTAAATGGGACTACAAAGCACACTTTTAATTTTTGTTCAGGGAACCAAGTGCTTTCATTTAAACATATATTGACCCCCAAAAGTCCATTTTGCCTTGCAAATAGCAAATCCAATAAAAAATATTTTTAAAAAATCTGTAGATATCCCCTTAAAAACAACAAGCATTTAAAGATTACCATATGAAACAACCAATTAGAGTATTCTGTTTATATGCTTAAATCTTCCTTTCTAAACAAAGGAAAATTATGAAATAGAGATACCATATTTTGAGAGTTTATTCATCCTGTTTATAGAATTGATTAAATATTAGTATTATTTAAATAGGAAGAAAGTACTATTGTCTGTACTGTTACATTTACATTAAATTATACATGTTTGGTTTAAAGCTTTGAGAGCTGTGAATGAGAACCCTTGGTCTTACCCAGAGTAGATCCACAGAAGGTGGCCTCCATGGTAAAGCTGTTCCTGATTCCCATTTTCCACATTACCACCCTTCCTGTTCCTTCTTTGCTCTTCTGGACATTAAACTTGCAAGCTGAGAATGAAAACTGAAAAGCAGCAAATAAAAATGAGACTCGTTGTTCTGGTACCGATATCTTTTTTTGAAAGTAGTATTAAAAATGATAAAGTGGTTATGCAAAGTCTATAATTCTCACTAAAGCTTCAGGAGCTACTTTTTATTTCCTGACCTGTGGAAATATCTCATTTTAAGGATGATATGTTCACATTTCTGAGAACTATAGATTCTAATTCCTGCAATAAAATTTACTATTTTTATAGAAAGATATGTATATATCTTTATGTAACATATATATTCAAAATAAGTTCTTTTTTAATTTTTAATTTTTGTGGGTACATAGTAAGTTTATATATACAGGGTGTACATGAGATATTTTGATAGAGATATGCAGTATGTAATAATCACATCAGAGTAAATGGGGTATCCATCACCTCAAGCATTTATCCTTTGTGTTACAAATAACCCAATTATACTTTTACTTTTTTAAAAATGTATAATTAAATTATTATTGACTATAGTCACCCTCTTGTGCCATCAAATACTAGTTCTTATTTTTTGTACCCATTAACCATCTCCACTTCTGCCCTCCTCCACTACCTTTCCTAGCTTCTAGTAACCATCCTTCTATTCTCTGTCTCTACAAGTTCAGTTGTTTTAATTTTTAGCTCCCACAAATAAGTGAGAACATGCACAGTTTGTCTTTCTGTCCCTAGCTTATTTCATTTAACACAATGATCTCCAGTTCCATCCATGTTGTTGCAAACGACAGAATCTCATTCTTTTTTATGCCTGAATAGTACCCATTCTGTATATGTACCACATTTTCTTTATCCATTCATCTGCTAATGTACACTTAGGTTGCTTCCAAAAGTTGATTAATTCTTGATGCTGTTGGGATAAAATTTTATACTTTTAAAAAAGTTATAGGAAGGGATTCAATCTTCATGTTAGGAATGAAGATTAGTGTTGGAGATGTTCAAAAATAAAGATTCTTTATCTTCATATGAAAGACCATTTGAAATTATGCCCTGAAAGATTGTCTACAAAGAAATTTTTTGAGGTGCAATTTTATTTTTTCAGTAACATACGATAAAATTGACTTTTTGTGTTTCATTCTATGCATCTTTTTGTTTTTGTTTTTGAGACAGGGTCTCTCTCTGTCACCCAGGCTGGAGTGCAGTGGTGCGATCATAGCTCACTGCAGTCTCAAACTCCTGGGCTCAAAGCTATCTTCCTACCTCAGTCTCCCAAATAGCTGAGACCACAGGCACTTACCACCATACGTAGCTATTTTTGTATTTTTTTCACAGAAATGGGGTCTTGCTATGTTGCTCAGGCTGGTCTCAAATTCCTGGCCTCATGCCATCCTCCTGCCTTGGTCTTCCGAAGTGCTGGGATTACAGGTATGGGCCACTGTGCCCAGCCTCATTTTATGAATTTTAACACACATATAGATTCCTGTAACCACCATCACACTCAAGATACAGAACAGTTCTATTATCCTAATAGGATAGTTATAGTCACACCCTCCTGCCACCTCTAACCCCTGGCAACCATTGATTTGCTCTCTGTCACTATAGATTTGCTTTTTCAAGACTGCTATATAAATGGAATCATATAGAATGTAATCTTTTGAGACTGGCTTCTTTCACTTAACCTAATACTTTTGAGATTTATCCAAGTTGTTGCATGTGTGAATATTCATTCCTTTTTATTGGCAAGTACTATTCCATTGTATGGGTGTACTAAAATGTATATCCATTTACCAGTTAAAGGACATTTTGGGTTGTTTGCAGCTTTTGGCAATTATGATAGAGTTGTTATAAATGTTTGTGTGTACAGGTTTATATATGAATGTACCTTTTCATTTCTCAAGGGTAAATACCTAGGAATGAGATTGCTGGATCATATAAGTGTACAATTTACAAGAAACTGACAAACTACTTTTCAAAATGATATACCATTTTGCATCCCCAACAAAAATGTATAGTATGAGAGTTCCAGTTACTCCAAATTCTTATTAGAACTTGGGATTGTCAGTATTTTTATTTTAGCAATTCTAAAGGTATATAATTGTATCTCCTCATGGTTTTACTTTGCAGTTCCCTGAGGGCTACTGATGTCAAACATCTTTTCATGTGCTTATTTGCCTTCACATATCCTTTTTGGAAATGTGTGTATTTAAGATTATTGCCATTTTTAATTGGGTTGTTTTATTACTATTCAGTTATTCTGGATAAAAGTTCTTTGTGAGATATGTGATTGAAAATAATTTCTTCTACCTGGAGCTTATCTTTGTATTCGCTTAGCAGGATCTTTAAGAGAGCAAAAGGATTAATTCTGATGATGTCCAATTTATCAATTCATTACCATCCAATGGATAATGCTTTTGGTATTTTCTAAGAAATTTTTGTCTAATTCCATGTCATAAAAATTTTCTTCTAAAAGTTTTACAGTTTTACATTTAAGGTTTGAGGGTTAGGTGAAAGTTTTTTGTTTTTTAGATGGATGTTCAATTGTTCCGACACTTATTTATTTAAATGTTTCTTTCTCCATTAAATTTCCTGTGCACCTTTGTCAAAAGGCCATATGTATATGGGTCTATTACTAGACTTGCTATTCTGTACCACTGCTTTTGGTGTTTACACAGTTCCTATTAACATACTATCTTTATTACTGTAGTTTTATACTGTCATAAAATTTGATAGTGATTCCTTCAACTTTATTTTTTAAAATTGTTTTGCCTATTCTAGTTCCTTTGCATTTCCTTATCCATCTTAGAATCAGCCTGTTTATATCTATAAACAATTATGCTGTGATTTTGTCTGAAACTCTGTTAAATCTACAGATCAACTTGGGGAGTTGATATTTTACTGTGTTTAGTCTTCCAATCCATAATACAGCACGTTGTCTCCATTTCTTTGGGCCCTTGATTTATTTCATCAGCATTTTTAAGGCTTCAGCATATAGAATCTGTACATTTTGTTAGATTTATAACTAAGTATTTATTTTGAAGCTAAGATAAAAATGGTATTGTTTTTAACTTTGGTTTCCAATTTTTTCATTGTGAGTATACAGAAATGCAATTGTTTTTTGTGGGTTGATCTTGTATCCTACGACCTTGCTTAAATTCCCTTGTTCTAGTTTTGTGTGTGTGTGTGTGTGTGGTGTGTGTGTGTGTGTGCATGGATCACTTTGGATTTTCTGTGTAGATAATTGTGCCACTGTCATTACTTCTTTCCAATCTGTCTGCCTTCACCTTTCTTTTGCCTTTTTGAACTGGTTAGAAATTCCAGTACAAGGCTGCATGAAGTGGGGAAGAGTGGACATTCTTGTCTTCTTCCTGACCTTGGGCAGAAAACATTCAGTCTTTCATCAACTATGTTGTTAGCTGTAGAGTTTCTTGTAGATGTCCTTTATCAGGTTAAGGAAGTACACTTTTATTCATTATTTGCTGAAAGTTTTTTTTTTTTCATAACAAGATGCTGAATTGTGTTAAAAACTTTTTCTATATCAATTGACGAGATCACACAGTTTTTCTTCTTTCAACTCTTAACATAGTGGATTACAATGATTAATTTTCAAATATGAAACCAGCCTTATATTTTGGGATAAACCCCATCTGGTCATGGTCTATTACTCTTTTTATATATTGCTGGATTTAATATGCTAATATTTTGGTGAGAATTTTTGCATCTATGTCCATGAGGGATATTAGTCTGTAGTTTTCTTTTCTTGTACTATGTTTGTCTTGTGTTGGTATCATGGTAATCCCGGGAAAGATTGCCTTTAAATTTTTGGTAGAATGCCTCAGTGAATCCAACTGGATCTTGATATTTGTTTTCTGGAGTTTCTTTTTGAAATGCTTTTCAGGACTATTCAGATTATTTCACCTTGGGTGAGTTTTGGTAGTCTGTAGTTTTCAAGGAATTGGTTCATTTCATCTAAGTTGTTAAATTTATGTGCATAGAATTGAATTTCCCCTTATTGTCCTTTTAATGCCTGCAGGGTCTGTAGTGATACCTCTCTTTCATTCTTGATATTGGTAAGTTGTGCCATCATTGCCTCCCCCTCCTCCTCGTTCTCTTCCTCCTACTTTCTCATCAATCTTGGTAAAGTTTTGTCAGTTTTACCAATCTTTTCCAAGCACAAATGTTGCTTAATTGATTTTTTTTCATTGTCTCTCATTTTCCAATTTCATTGACCTGCTTCTCTTTATTATCTGCTTCCTTCTGCTTGGTTTATTTTACTCTTCTTTTTCTATTCTTAATGTGAAAACTTAGATTACTAATTCAAGACCTTTGTTCTTTTCTTTTTTGAGATGGAGTCTCACACTGTTGCCCAGGCTGGAGTACAGTGGTACGACCTTGGCTCCCTGCAACCTCTGCTTCCTGGGCTCAAACAGTCCTCTTGCCTCAGCCTCCCAAATAGCTGGGATTACAGGCACACACTGCCATGCTTGGCTAATTTTTGTATTTTTAGTAGAGATGAGGTTTCACCATGTTGGCCAAGTTGGTCTTGAACTCCTGACCTCAAGTGATCTGCCCACCTTGGCCTCTCAAAGTGCTGGGATTATAGGCATGAGCCATTGTACCCAGCCTATTCTTTTCTAATATAAGCATTTCTTGCTATACATTTTCTTCTAAGTGCTACTATTTAGCTGAATTTCATAAAATTTCATGTTACATATTTTCATTTTCTTTCAGGTGAAACTATATTCTAATGTTCCTTAAGAGTTCCTCTTGGGCCTAAGGATTTTTTAGAAATGTGGTTTAATATCTACATGTTTGTAGATTTTCCTCTTTTATTGATTTAGTTTAATTCCATTATGCTTAAAAACATACTTGTGTGATATTAATTATTTTAAATTTGTTAGTATTTGTTTTAAACCAGGATGTGATTTATGTTGGTGGTGTTCCATGTGCATTTGAATATAATGTGTATTCTGCTGTTTAGTAGAGTGTCCTATAAATGTCAAATCCAGTTGGTTGATCCTTGCCTACTGTCTATCTACCAGTTCCAGATTAATGTAAGAGGTATTTAAAATCTCCAACTATAATTGTGGATTTTCACAAAAAGTTTTTTTTTTTTTTTGAGACAAAGTCTCGCTCTATCGTCCAGGCTGGAGTGCAGTGGCGCCATCTCGGCTCACTGCAAGCTCCGCCTCCTGGGTTCACACCATTCTCCTGCCTCAGCCTCCTGAGTAGCTGGGACTACAGGCACCTGCCACCAAGCCCAGCTAATTTTTTGTTTTTAGTAGAGACGGGGTTTCACTGTGTTAGCCAGGATGGTCTCGATCTCCTGACCTCGTGATCCACCCGCCTCGGGCTCCCAAAGTGCTAGGATTACAGGCGTGAGCCACCACGTCTGGCCCAAAAAGATTTTTATAAGAAACATTTAACAGAAAACCTAGAAATAGGAGCCTCTATGTTTTAAGCAACCTTTAGATGATGTGGAAGGCCTGTTTAAGCTGCAGAGTGGTGGTTTGAGTTATTTAAGAAATTGGTCCATTTCATCTAAGGCACAACAGGTTAGAGATCTAAAACCCTAAGAAGCATGTCAATAGACAAACATCAAAATATCTTAGTAACACAGAATTATTTTATAGGAGTAATAAACTATACCTAAGAGTATTGACAGTATAAATTTACATAGCAATAGCTTCAGCTATGGGTTTGGGTTTTCCCGTCTTTCTTGCTGAGGAAATGAATCCTCTTTGGCGAACAAACCTGTTCTTTCTTTAAATAGCTATTTTTATCAGATCATCCTTTCCTTTTTATGTCTTTGGGCCCCAATTATCCCCAAAAGACAATTAGTTCTTCTCCAGTAAGTCCTTTATAATTGAATTTGTTGGTTGAGAACTTAAAGGAAAGTCTGCAGGAATTTTCTTTGCTATGTTAACATCTTTTCCCTAAAGAATGATTAAAATATAATTTTCACATCTTGGTAAATGAGGCTCCAATATTTCCATAGTTTGTGAAAATAATAATATACTTTATTCTTTTCTCATTCTAATTTCTATATATTTTAAAAATATTGGTTATTGGATTAAGTTTTTTCCTGGCAAAATTCTAATAAATACTTTGAAGAAACTGTTACACATTTCTTAAGAATATACATTTCTTAAGAAATTAATCTGTATAATTTAGGCACTCAATGACTATTTAAACAATAAAAAAACCCCTAAAATTGATTGATAAAAATGACTAATAGAGGAAGCTTTCAAAAGGTAAAAGAGCAGTGGTATTATGGTGGTAGGTTTGGGGGCATTTTTGCCTTTTTTCCCCATATTTTCAAATTATTGCTCACTAAGTAGTTCTATATAGTTGCTTTCTTATTGTCAATTGTATAAACTGGTCAAACTAACTAAAAAAAAAGCAGTTTGGAATAGTATTATCCACGTGGGCCATTCTGCTATCTCACATGGGCAACATTTGATAAAGGAAAAGTTAATACCTTAAAAGGTGCTTACTTTATCTGGACAATTTTTGCTTAGCATAAGTGGGAAGATTCGTTGCTGTAAGTATAATGTCTTAGATCTGTCACTACCATCACAGCCATACATGAAGATGTTCTCTTTCCTACTATGGCCATGAAGATCACAGTATAAAATAACCTCTCGTTTCTCCATCAGTCTGCCAGGAAGAAAGATAAGTTACTAACTTTTATCTCTGCATTTTTCTTCTATAGGTACAACTATGGATTTATAAGTGTAATATCCAAATAAATACAATTTCTTATATCCTAGCTTTCTCTTATCTATATTGCATATTATTAATATACAATTTTTTAAATCTACAATAATTTATTAACTATATAAATATCTGAATGCAGGCCGAGCGCAGTGGCTCATGCCTGTAATCCTAATGCTTTGGGAGACTGAGGCAGGTGGCTTGCCTGAGGTCAGGGGTTCGAGACCAGCCTGGCCAATGTGGCGAAACCACCTCTCTACTAAAAATACAAAAATTAGCTGGGTGTGGCGGCACATGCCTGTAATCCCAGCTGCTTGGGAGGCTGAGGCAGGAGAATTGCTTGAACCCAGGAGGCAGAGGTTGCAGTGAGCGAAGACAGCATTACTACTGCACTCCAGCCTGGGCAACAGAGTGAGACTCCGTCTAAAAAAAAAGTCTGCATGCAGTAGCCTTCCATTATAAGGACAAAATTTACCTTACTCCCAAGACTTTCTCCAACAAGATCTCTCTGCTTTATTATTTTGATGTTTTCACTCTTGCCTTTGCCCATTACCTTTCACGTATTTTCTTTCTGACTGAAATATCTTCTTTCTCTATCTTTGTAAATGTAAATACTACCTGCCATCCTTCAATACTGACCTTATGTCTCACTTCCTTTCTAATTTGTCAAGGCCACAGAGCTTTCTCTTATTGAGCTTCGGTAGCACTTAAAGATATTGGTACCATTTGCTTGGCCCTTGTCTAGGAAAGTTTTTATATTTTTCATATTCAAGCTTATTAAGAATGGGGAATGCTTCAAATCATCTAGAACAGTGCTATGCACATAATAAGTACCCAAATATTTGTTAAAAATTGAGTGCTTGATGACTTGGTGCTGAAGCCAATTAATATTTAACCCTTGATTAGTGTGGTGATTAAGTTATTATTTTGAGAAAAATGGTACCAAAGTTTGAATTGACTTTTTCTGATAAATTTCTAACAAATATCTAAAAAAAATTACACATTCCTGAAGAGCACAACCTTTGGTCTATATAATTTAACACTCAATATAAAAATAACAAAACAAAAAATAAGTCCCTCAAACTGATTGATAAAATGACTAATATTAATAGAAAAGGCTTTAAAAAGTAAGAAAGCGTGGTGTTAAGGTGGTAGGATTATTACTTAACTAATCAAAATTACATATACTATTTGCTATATCTGGAAAGATAAACACCAAAATGTTAGCAATAGTATTTATAATATTATGAAATATATTACATTTGTAACAAAAATACTAAAACCTAAAATATAAACATTCAAAGCATTTTGCTTCTATTAGAAACCATACTGCTTTAAACTACAGTGAAATTACAAACTAAAATTTATTATGTGTTAATTTATTGCCCTTTTCTCATTTGCTGCCTAATAAATTCTCATTGATAACATAAGATTGATATAAAGCCACTAAATGATAGTTACAAGTTTCTAGAAAACTAACTAGATTATAAGGCATGAATATCAAGTTAAGTTCTTAAATATGAAACATGCTGTACATTTTTAAGCCACAAATTTCTCAGTCTTTCAGTTTCTTATAAGCAAGTCAAAAGGAACTTTACTTCTAACAGATTAATTTCCAAAGAGATGGTATTACTTCTGAAGTGAAACAGGATATTAGGGTCTCTCATCTTAGATTAATTTGAATAACTTTAGAAACAGTTTGGATTTTCTTTTTACCCATAGGTAAACAGAAATACTTAGTATAAGATTTTACTCATAGGTATCTTTATGGGTAAAAAGATATTCTACTTATGTTATACTAAGTATTTTATACAAAAATCTACTCTCTTATTCTAATATGCTTTAAATATACTTAATCTTATATATACTTACAGCTGCTCACCTTTCCACACACATGTGACTGACTTCTTATCCTACTTACCTGTGTATGATTAACCGGATTAAGATATTTCTCTTTCTTGGAAGTCTTTTAGAAACTTGCTGAATAGACTCCTGCCTTAAACTTCTTACAAGACATTCAGAGACTAACTGACATTTAAAAGAGTTTCTAGAGAGAGAAGCCAACGGTTTCATGTATATAAAATATATATATTTATAAAAAAATTATTTTAAACATCAGTGCTACCATTATCTTTAGCAAGAAGCCAAATTTGGGATATGCAAGCTTATTAGTTTCATCAAGTCATCAAAACATTCTAGAATCTGTTTCATTATTTAAGGGGAGGTTATTTAAGGGGAGGTTAGTGAATCCAGTGGCATAATGACAGAAGGGTATAGAATCACAGTTGTGAATAACGGGGAAAAAATAAAGTAGTTATACAGTAGTTAGACTATCTTGAGAAGTTACAGTAAAATGAATGAGATTGTGGGAGCAAAATTGTTACTACCAAGTTTACTAAATAAGCACAGAGGTAATTTGAGGCTTATTTTACCTATGAACCATGTTCCGGGTATACCATACAGAAGGAAAAGATTCCTTCAGGAGAGATGTATAATTACGGTTTAAATCCCGTCCAGCTAAGGAACAGCGATAATTTCCCACAATCACACCATCTGGATTGAGCATGGGTACCACCTTGAAGACAAAAGTGTCCCGAAGCAACTGTGCATCACTTGAGTTTCCTAAAATATAATCTAGGAAGCCTTTCATGATCCAAGAGCTGTTGGTTTCCCCTGGATGGACCCTTGCAGTCAGAATCACAGCCTTCCGCTTTCTTGAGTCAGAGTTCTTCAAGGGGGTAGTGATTGTTAAAATATACACCATGTTCCTAGCAAGCGTGTGGCACAAAACACGTATTTTACAAAACTTTGACCGTACTGGATCATTATTGATGCCAGAAAGGTATTCTTGCAGGTTGGTGTAAGTGTATGGATAGCAATGAGCAAAGTAGCAGGTATCTTTGTTGTGTGGAAATTGAAATGTCCATGTAAGAGAGAAATAATGGCGCCCATCTTGGCCTGGGTTGTTCCTATAATACTTGATTTGGTCTCCTATTCTCTGCCAGCCAATGTGATGAGCCTTGGCCTCTTTTTCAGAATAGAACAGTGGGCGCATACCCCGACTGTAAAGACTAGCAGGTTTGGTGAAGTTGACAATAGTGAATCTGTAGACTATTCCTGCTCGCATATTAGTGACTTGGAAATAGTACCACTGGGTGTGTTTATTTGTGAAGAGGTCAGGGCGTACAGTCAATTGGTATTCGTATTCTGCCCTAATACACAAGAAAGAAAGGGAAAAAAGCACGTAAGAATGTAAAAATGACATTTTGTAAAAAACCAATGTAAAATTTTGAGTTAAATAAGGAAAATTATTTTATTTTTACTCATTCACAGAAAGCTTTGTTAGGAAACAATGTAAACGATAAAAGTTTTGAAATTTTCCCTTTTATTGGATGAGAAACTGCTTCTATGCTAATTCTAAATCCTTTGTATTCCTTGGTAATTCAAGAGAGCACATAAAAACACAGGTATTTGATAAAAGTTTATATATTTCAACCTAATTATGTTTTCTATATAAGAAATGATTAAAGAGTTACCAAAACTGAAGCAAAGTCCAACATTTCTTTTTTTACTTCAGACATATGTATCTATTACAGTCTAATACTAGGGATATAAAATAACTATCACTGAGAGATTTAAACACATATAAATTAATATGATCACATAGATTACATAATTTGATCTATTTGAGAACAAGAACTGCATTCGATAACTATTTGCATCCCTTTACTTAGTCTTTGGAGATGCTTAAATAAAGGCAAAAATAATAATTTCACTGGAATGTTATTTATATACATAACAATATTATCTGGTTAGTTGTGACTATTTTTCTCTACTAAGTAACTTTCTATTCTATAAGCACTCTGCACTTAGCATGTAATGTGTATGTGTACAGTTGTAAATAATCACCTAGGAACAGGTAAAATAAATGTTGCAAAACCTTGATAGCTGTTGAGTCTAGGTGATAGGTATGTGGCCATGGACACAGAATTGTACTATTCTCTGTACTTAAGTGTATGTTTAAATATTTCCATAATATTTTTAAATAAAATAATGCCCTTGGGATATTCTATGGAACACTCATCCCAAGAACTATTTCAATACAAAGTTTGAGAAGCACTGTGTGTGTGACAATTCATATTGCCATACTGAAAATGTACAGTACAGAAGCCTTCTTAACTTTACCTCATAGTTCTCAAAATTATTTGAACTCAGAATCTTTTATACTCCCCTCCTCCACAACAATTTCTAATTATTAATAGTATCCATACTTCAAGGAATTACAGTTTCATAATGGATACTAAGAACTTTAATGTACTTGATACAGAAAATAATAGTTGATGGTCTAGCTCCTTAAATAAAAATAATTAGAACCTACACTTTGACTACCTTCTGTAGATTACCACTCTCAAACCTTGCTTCAAACATCAAAGTATTGTCACGGTAATCCACAGGCTGCTTCAAAGGTGTTCGGTTACCCCCAACTCGGGAATACACAAAACAGGGCTCTTTGTAAGCTGATGAGAGAAGAAGATCATAAAGATGTCAAGGTATACCTAAAGTAAGAAGGTTATTCTGCACAGAGTTTGGAGCAATAGTACAAGTGTAAGGATTGTAAATTTTAAAGTAACTGGACACTAATTTATATAGACATGTTGAAATAAGAGAATCTAAGAGTATTTAGACTAGAAAAACAATGCCTAAAATAAATTTGTATATTTCTTACATTAAAAATACTCATTTGGCCAGGCGCAGTGGGTCATGTCTGTAATCCTAACACTTTGGGAAGCCGAGGCAGGCAGATTGCCCGAGCTCGAGGAGTTCGAGACCACCCTGGGCAACATGGTGAAAGCCTGTCTCTACTAAAAATACAAAAAAAAAAAAAAAAATTAGCCAGGTGTGGTGGCACGTGCCTGTAGTCCCAGCTACCCAGGAGGCTGAGGCAGGAGAATCGCTTGAACCTGGGAGGCAGAGGTTGCAGTGAGCGGAGATCGCGTCACTACACTTTACCCTGGGCGACAGAGTGAGACTCTGTCTCAAAAAAAGAACAAAAAAACAAAAAAACAAAAAAATTCACTCCATTTCTGGTCATGATGAAGTAATTGGTTCTGAACTTGCCCTTTCACCATAAATGACTGTAAAACTGGCTAAAGGGTATGAGCTGTTTTCACGCATTTGGACAACAAATAGAACAACTATGTAGGATCTTTGAAAGAAGATCAATACATGAAGTGAGCCCATGTTGAGCCCTGGCTTGCTGCATAGGGGTACTTGCTGGACTACAGCCTAGGGAGGTGGCATTTTAGAACAGTATGACAGTCTTCAGCTGAAGAGGAAAGATTGTTGCTTGGGGCTGCTGAAATTTGTGGGTCAGGACACCAGGGAAAAGAAAGCTACATAGAGAGAGAACCTCAACAGTCTACATAGCGGTTTCCTAGTCCTTGGATGAGGGTTTGGCTACCCAGTCAAAAGATGAGACTAAGAAAGACAGGAGAGAGCACCACTGCGGGCTGAGATGCCAGAGGACATACACTTCTGGGATATATTAGAATTCCAACTTATCCAGAGTGGAAAGATTTTATGGAATACCTTAGGCTTTCAACTGTGACTCCAGAAAGGCTGCATCTTAGGCATAAGGACCACATTCAAGAGTAAAGGTCATGACCTAGCATTGGGGATAAAATGAAAACAGACCTGCCTCTATACAAAATCAAAGCAAGCCTGAAAGAAGCAAAATGATCTGCCAGCAATTTAATTGCCTGCTAGAACAAAATTCAACGTAATGTTTAAAAGAACATAATACACGATGGATGCAGTGGTTCATGCCTGTAATCTTAGCATTTTGGGAGGCTGAGGAAGGTGGATCATGAGGTCAAGAGTTTGAGACCAACCTGGCCAACATGGTAAAAACCCATCTCTACTAAAAATACAAAAATTAGCCGGTGTAGTGGTGCATGCCTGTAGTCCCAGCTACTCAGGAGACTGAGGCATGAGAATCGCTTGAACCCAGGAGGTGGAGGTTGCAGTGAGCTGAGATTGTGCCACTGTACTCCAGCCTAGGCGACAGAGCGAGACTTCATCTCAAAATAAATAAATAAATAAATAAAAGAATATAATACAGACTCCCTAAAACATATCTTTTACAATGTTCTACATATGATAAAAACGTAAAGCATTCAGAGAAGCAGGAAAATGTGATCCATGAATACATATAAAATTCAGCAGACTCCAAGATAATGCAAATGTTGGAATTAACAGAGAAGGACTTTGAATATATATTCAAAGACAAAAAATGAAAAGATAAGAGATCATGAGAAAACAGATAAGAAATCTCAAAAAACAAAAAAAACAAAACTGAACCAAATGAAAATTCTAGAAATAAAACTACAATAACTGAAAGATTTACCAAATGGGCTGAAGATTTAATTATTCCACACTATATTCATAAATCATAACATCATTTTGTATGCCATAAACATATACAACTATAATTTGCCAATTTATAATTGAAAATTTTAAAAAGAAGAGTTAAAGCTTGCAAAAGAAATAATCAGTGAACTTGGAAACAAATAAAAATTGTCCAAACTGAAAGACAGGGAAAAAAATGGACAAATATCCAGTGACATGGGGGGACGTATCTAGAATCCAACATATGTGTAATTCTAAAAAACATGAAAGAAAGAGTGGTATGGAAAAAAATATGTGAAGAAATAATGGCTGAAATTTTCTCAAATTTTGGTGCAAAACCCCTACTAACCTATGGATCCAAAAAGTTCAGCAAACTCCAAGCAGGATAAATATTAAGATAACCAAATCTAGGCACACCATAGTCGAATTGCTGAAGACAGCCAAAGAGAAAAAGACACATTACATACAGATGGTCTCCTACTTATGATGGTTTGACTTATGATTTTCCAGCTTTACAATGGTGTAAAAGTGATACACATTCAATACCCTCCTTGACTTACAATGAAGTTATACCCAATAAATCCATCATGAGCTGAAAATATCACAAGTTGAAAATGCACCTTTGATTTATGATATTTTCAGCTTAAAATTGGTTTATTGAGAGGTAACCCTAATGTAAATTGAAGAATATCTGTATAGGAAACAATGATAAAGGCGTACCTTGTGAAATTGTGCTTTGCTTTATTGTGCTTCACAGATACTGTTTTTTTTCTTTCTTTTTTTTTTTTTTTTTTAACAAATTAAAGGTTTGTGTTGAGCAAGTCTATCAGCACCATTTTTCCAACATGTGCTCACTTTGTGTTTCTGTGTCATATTTTGGTAATTCTCACAACATTTAAAACTTTTTCATTATTATGATATCTATTATGAGTGATCTTTGATGTTACTGTTGTAATTGTTTTGGGCCACCACAAACTGCACCCATATAAAATGGTGAACTTAATTGCTGTGTGTGTTCTGACTATTCCACCACCACCCATTCCCCCATCTTTCTCCCTTTCCTTGGGCCTCCCTATTCCCTGAGACATAACAATATTGAAATTAGGCCAATTAATAATCCTACAATGGCCTCCATGTGCTCAAGTGGAGAGTCACACATCTCTCTCTTTAAATCAAAAGCCAAAAATGATTAAGCTTAGTGAGGAAGGCATGTCAAAAGCTAAGATAGGCCAAAAGCTAGGCCTTTTGTGTCAGTTAACCAGGTTGTGAATGCAAAGAAAAAAATTCTTGAAGGAGACTAAAAGTGCTACTCCAGTGAACACACAGATGATAAGACAGTCTTATTGCTGACATGGAAAAAGTTTGGTGGTCTGGGTCAAACCAGCCATAACATTCCTTTAAGCCAAAGCCTAATCCAGAGGAAGGCCCTAATTCTCTTCAATTCTTTGAGGGCAGAGACAGGTAAGGAAGCTGCAGAAGAAAAGTTTGAAGCTAGCAGAGGTTGCTTCATGAGGTTTAAGTAAAGAAGCCATATTAATAACATGAAAGTACAAGGTTAAGCAGCAAGTGATGATGCAGAAACTTCAGCAAGTTGTCCAGTTCTAGCTAACATAATTGATGAAGGTGGCTACACTAAGCAACAGCTTTCAATGTAGACAATCAGCCTTCTATTGGAAGAAGATGACATCTAGGACTTTCCTAGCTAGAGAAGTCAAGTCAATGCCCTGCTTCAGAGCTTCAAAGACAGACTGACTATCCTCTTAGGGGTGAATGTGGCTGGTGACTTTAAGTGGAAGCCAATGCTCATTTACCATTCTGAAAATCCTAGGGCCCTTAAGAATTATGCTAAATCTATTCTGCCTGTGCTCTATAAACAAAACAACAAAATCTAGACGACACCACATCTGTTTACAGCATGCTTTACTAAATATTTTAAGCCCATTATTGAGACTGACCTCTCAGAAAAAAGATTCCTTTTAAAATATTACTGCTTATTGACAATGCATCTAGTCACCCAAGAGTTCTGATGGAGATGCACTGGAGACTAACATTGTTTTCATGCCTGTTAACGAAACAACCATTCTGCAGCCCATGGATCAAGAAGTAATTTCAACTTTCAAGTATTATTATTTAAGAAATAGATTTTGTAAGGCTATAGCTGGCCTAGAGAATTACTATTCCTCTGATGGATCTGGGCAAAGTAAATTGAAAACCTTCTGGAAAGCATTTTCCATTCTAGATGCCATTCAGAACACTAGTAATTCATGGGAGGAGGCAAAAATGCCAATATTAACAGAAGTTTAGGAGAAGTTGATTTCATTCCTTATGGATAAGTTTGAGGGCTACACAACTTCACTGGAGGAAGTAACTGCAGATGTGGTGGAAATAGCAAGAGAACTAGAATTAGAAGTAGAGCCTAAAGATGTGACTGAATTGCTTCCATCCCATAATAAAACTTGAATTGGATAAAGAGTTGCTTCTTAAGGATGAGCAAAGAAAGTGGTTTCTTAACATGAAATTTATTACTGGTAAAGATGCTGTGAAGATTGTTGAAATGACAACAAAGGATTTAGTATATTCCATAATATTAGTTATAAACTAAGGATTTAATAGGACTGACTCCAATTTTGAAAGAAGTTTTACTGTAGGTAAAATGCTATCAAATAGCATCACATGCTACAGAGAAATCTTTCATGAAGAGTCAATTATGTCTAATTGACTCACTGCTGTCTAATTTTAAGAAATTGTCAGAGCCACCCTACCTTCAGCAACCACCACCCTGATCAGTCAGCAGCCATTAACACTGAGACAAAATCCTCCACCAAGCAAAAAGAATATGAATTGCTGAAGGCTTAGATGATAATTTTAATTTTTTAGCAATAAAGTATTTCTAATTAGGGCAAAGATGTTGTTGTTTTTAGACATGATGCTATTTCACACCTAATGGACTTTCATATCCACTTGGACACCACCAAAAAATTTGTGTGACTTACTTTATTGAGAGATTCACTTTATTGCAGTGGTCTGGAACTAAACCTGCATCTCTGAGGCATGGTTGTATAAATTATGGCTGAATTCTTTTTAAAAATTTGTACAAATATATAGGGTTCATGTGAAATTTTGTTATATGTATGTAATGGGTAATGTGTAGTGATCAAGTCCAGGTGTTTAGGGTGTCCATCTCCTGAGTACAATATATTCTTGTTTAACTACATTCTATGGCTGTCTTCTTATTAAAGACAACAGAGGCTACAAGACAATGGAAAAATATCTTTAAAGAAAAAAAAGCCAACTCAGAATTCTATATTCATTGAGAATGCCCTTCAAAAAGTGGTGGAAAAAATACAGGATTAGACAAATGAAATTTGAAATAATTCACTGCCAGCCAACTTAAAACTGAAAAGAAATGCTAAAGACGTTCTTTGGGATAAAAAAACAATGATGCCAGATGGAAATTCAGATCTACAGGAAGGAATAAAGAGGAGAAGAAATGGTAAATACATAAATAAATATAAATACAATTTTTTCTCCTCTTAATTTCTTTAAAGGCAACTGACCCATTTAAAACAAACAAAAAAAGGTATAATATTAATTTCAAATAGACCATAAAAGGCCAGAGGCTCACGCCTGTAATCCTAGCACTTTGGAAGGCCAAGGTGGGTGGACTGCCTGAGCTAAGAAGTTTGAGACCAGCCTTGGTAACATGGTAAAACCCCATCTCTACTAAAATACAAAAAATTAGCCGAACATGGTGGTGCGCACCCTAGTCCCAGCTTCTCAGGAGGCTGAGGTGGGAGAATCACTTGAACCTGGGAGGTAGAGGTTACAGTGAGCAGAGATCATGCCACTGCACTCCAGCCTGGGTGACAGAGCGAGGCTCTGTCTCCAAAAATTCAAATAAAAAGTAAAATAAAATAGACTTTAAGAAATTGTATATTGTAATTTCTAAACCAATCAAACTAAACGTGAGGTATACCTAAGAAAATATTTTAATTAAAATGAAATACTAAAAGGTGTTTGATTAACCTTCCCAAAAAGAGGAGTAACTGAGGAATAAAAATGAGATGGGCCAATTAATAAGATAGAGCCAAACCCAAACATATATGCAAATACACGAAATGCAGACTGTCAAACCACTCTAATTAAAAGGCAGAGATTGTCAGATTAGATTTTTTAAAGTAAGGTACTACTATATACTATCTATAAGAGATAGAATTAAAATATAATTTCATAAAAAGATTGAAAATAAAACGGGGAGTTATTCTAAGTAAACAGTAAACATAAGAAAACTGGTATTGACTATATTACTCTCAAACAACATAAAGACATGATGTAATGCCAGAGATAAAAAGAAATATTTCCTAGTTATAAAAGACACTGGCGGGCATGGTGGCTTACGCCCATAATCCCAGCACTTTGGGAGGTCGAGGTAAGTGGATCACTTGAGGTCAGGAGTTCGAGACCACCCTGGCCAACATGGTGAAACCCTGTCTCTACTAAAAATACAAAAATTGGGCAGGTGTGGTAGCGCACGCCTGTAATCCCAGCTTCTTGGGAAACTGAGGCAGGAAAATCGCTTGAACCTAAGAGGCGGAGGTTGCAATGAGCCAAGATTGTGCCACTACACTCCAGCCCGGGCAAAAGAGCAAGCCTCCATCTCTAAAATAAAATAAAATAAAATAAAATAAAATAAAATAAAATAAAATAATGGTATTCATTTCTATTTTTATTGCACTGTGATGTGAGAATGTGCTTGGGGTGATTTCAATTTTTTTTAATTTATTGAGTCTTGCTTTATGACAAAGCATGTGGTTGATCTTAGAATATGTTTCATGTGCAAATGAGAAGAATACATATTCTGTGGTTGCTGGGTGTTCTATTAGGTCCAGTTGCTCAAGTGTCCAGTTTAAGTCTAGAATTTCTTTGTTAGCTTTCTGTCTCAATCATCTTAACACTGTCAGTGGGGTGTTAAAGTCTCCTACTGTTATTGTGTGGCTAAGTCTTTTTATAGGTCAAGAAGAACTTTTATGAAACGATGCGCCATTGTTGGGTTTATATATATTTAGGATAGTTAAGACTTCTTGTTTAATTGAACTGTTTATGTAATGCCCTTCTTTTTCTTGATTATTGTTGATTGAAAGTCTGTTTCATCTGATATAAGAATCGTGATTCCTGGCCTTTTTTGTTTTCTGTTTGCCTGGTAGATCTTTCTCCAACCCTTTACTTTGAGCCTGTGGATGTTACTACATATGAGACGGGTCTGTTGAAGACAGCCAACAGTTGGGTCTTGTCTTTTTATGTAGTCTGCCACTCTATGCCTTTTAAGTGGTCTGTTCAGACCATTTACATTCAGTGTTGGTATTAATATATGCGATTTTAATCCTGTCATCATGTTATTAGCTGGTTGCTATGTAGATTTGACTGTGTAACTGCTTTACAGTGGGCTATATGGTTAAGCATGTTTTTGTGGTAGCAGGTATCATTCTTTTATTTCCATATCATCTTGTAAGGCTGGTCTAGTGATAACAACTTCCCTTAGCACTTACTTGTTTGAGAAGGATTTTATTTCTCCTTCACTTGTGGAAGCTTAGTTTGATGGGATATGAAATTCTTGATTAGAATTCTTTCTTTAGGGATGCTGAAAATAGGCCCCCTTCTGGCTTGTAAGGTTTCTGCTGAAAGGTTCACGGCTAGCTGGATGGGGTTCCCTTTGTACATGACTTCACCCTTCTCTCTCGCTGCCTTTAAGATTTTTTCTTTCATGTTGACTTTGATGATTCTGCTGACTATGTACCATGAGGATGGTCATCTTGTATAATATCTTGCAGGGGTTCTCTGTATTTCTTGAATTTTCATGTTAACCTCCTTAGTGAGATTGGGGAAATTTTTGTGAACTATATCCTAAAATACATTTTCCAAGTTGCTTACTCTCTCTCCTTCCCTCTCAGGAATGCCAATGGGTCATAGGTTTGGAATCTTTACATAATCTCATATTTCTCAAAGGTTTTGTTCATTAAAAAAATTATTTCTTCTGTATTTTTGTATGAGTTTATTCAAGCTCTGAGGGTTTTCTTCAGCTTGGTCTAGTCTGCTGTTAATGATTCTAACTGTATTATGTAATTCTTGTAGTGAATTTTTCAATTCCAGCAGTTCAGTTTGGTTTTTTCTTAAAATGGCTATTACATCTTTCAGCTCTTGGATCATTTTACTGGATTCCTAGATTGGGTTTCAACTTTCTCCTGAATCTCGATAAGATTCCTTGCCATCCAGATTCTGAATCCTGTGTCTCTCATTTCAGTCATTTCAATCTGGTTAAGAACCATTGCTGGAGAGCTAGTGTGCTCATTTGGAGGTAAAGGGACACTCAGACTTTTCGAATTATCTGAGTTCTTGTGCTGATTCTTTCTCATCTGAGAAGGCTGGTGTTCTTTTAATTGTGGTTTAAGTTGAGTATAGTCAGTTGGCTTCATTTCTGGGTGTTTTCAGAAGGCCAAAGCTCTGTACAGGGTATTATTTGTGGATAGATTCTTGCCCTGGGTTTTACAGGCAATGAATGTATATTGGGCAGAATGTTTTTGGTATTGTAATTTGTGCTACAAACCACAGATGGTGCTTGAGAGTAATGGCCAGCAGAGAAGCTCTTAGCCATAGGGCTCTTTTGTATTGCAGCACACCTGCAGCAGCACTCTATGGTGGGCAGGTGGAAAGATGACCCCCATCACCAGGCCCGCTCTGGGCCTTGTAGGAGTCCCCTCCAATCACTGGTGCCACTTGTGTTTTTTTGTTGTTAGGTGTTCCAGGTTGTGGGGCTCCCAGGCACACCACACCCTTCCCAGACGGTCATGTAGAGGGAGGTGTGCCCTGTTCCTTTGTTGGCCCATGAGCTTGCATGTCTCACCTCTCTCAATGTTCTCAGAATGGGGGCTCCTCCCGCTCAAGTGCTGGTCACAGATCTACACTCAGCACTCACAAGCTGCATGCCAAAGCCCTGGGACATTGTAACTGGCCTGTGCCTCCATCTGGCCCCTTGGGGTTGAGCACTGGGTGTGCTGGGGGATGTGAAGTGCTCCTAGGCCACTGGGAAGTATTCAGATGGGGCCACCAGCAAAGCACCCAGGTTGGGCAGAGGAGGCTGTGCTGTGCACATGCTCCTGCAGGAGCAGCTAGGCAGGGGCCTTGGGAAGGGCTAGCGGGCAGGAGGGCCTGAAGAACAGACATGCCCCAGTCCCACAGGATGGGATAGGATAGTCAGCCCTGCTCTCTCTTGACCCTGTAGTCAGCTGGGGTTACAGTGACTCAGAGGAACATAGGGGGCCTTATATTAGAAGATGGGCACCTATGGCTGTGTTCTGCTTCAGCTGCCCCATGTGCAAAATCCCCTGGGCTCCATGCAGGCGAAAGCTCTGTCTCTGCCTACTCTCTAGGCAGATTCCCCTGACAGTTCAAATATCTGTGGGGGTCATGAAATCTCTTGTAGCTAGGATCCCAGTAATCTGCAGCAAAAGTAGGCTGTCCCACCATCCCTTCACTTGCCTCTTCCCTAGGACTGTTCAGGGGTAGGAACTAGCCCCGGCATTCAGCAACCCCATGCAGGGTTCCTAGCTTTCTCTTCAACCTTGGTGTCTGCATCACCTCTCTATCAACCCTTAGTGTTTTCTCTCTGAGGATCTGTTCAAAGTATGTTGATATACTTGATATTTTGGTCTCTCTCAGTGGGAGTGGTGCTTCCTGACTGTCTAGTCAGCCATCTTGTCTCCTCCTTCATTGAGTTTCTATAGCACATGAAAAAGTAAAACATTTGAAAACCATAACACAAAGAAAGGGAAGCAGGAATTGAGAATATACTTTTGTAAGGTGCTCACACTATATGTGAAGTGGTATAACATTATTTGAAGATAGTCTTCTAAATTAAAGATACATACAAAAAAACCTAGGGCAAAAATTTAAAAACAGATATACATGATAAGCCAATAGTGGAGATAAAATGGAATAATAAAATATAGTCAAATTAATGTCAATGAAGGCAGACAAAGAATTAAAAAGAAATAACAGATGGAATAAAGCAAAGCTAGTAAGATGGTAGCTATTAATCCAACAACAATAATTATATATTAAACATAATAATTAAAAGACAGATTTTCAGTTTATATAAAAAGCAAATCCAACCATAAAAACTCTAGAAGAAAACCTAGGCAATACCATTAAGAACATAGGCATGGGCAAAGATTTTATAATGAAATGAGCAAAAGCAATTGCAACAAAAGCTAAAATTGAGAAATGGGATCTAATTAAACTGAAGAGCATCTGCATAGCAAAGGAAACTATCATAAGAGCAAACAGGCAACCTACAGAATGGGAGAAAATTTTTGCTATTTACCCATCTAACAAACGTCTAATATCCAGAATTTACAAGAACGTAAAACAAATTTATGAGAAAAAAAAAACCCATCCAAAAGTGAGCAAAGGATATGAACAGACATTTCTCAAAAGAAGACGTATGTGGCCAACAAACATATGAAGAAAAGCTCATCATCACTGGTCATTAGAGAAATACAAATCAAAACCACAATGAGATACCATCTCACACCAGTCAGAATGGCGATTATTAAAAAGTCAAGAAACAACAGATGCTGGTGAGGCTGCGGAGAATAGAAACACGTTTACATTGTTGGTGGGAATGTAAATTAGTTCAACCATTGTGGAATAAAGTGTGGCGATTCCTCAAGGATCTAGAACCAGAAATACCATTTGACCCAGCAATCCTATTACTGGGTATATACCCAAAGGAATATAAATCATTCCATTGTAAAGATACGTGCACATGTATGTTGATTGCATCACTATTCACAATGGCAAAGACATGGAACCAACCCAAATGTCCATCAATGATAGACTGGATAAATAAAATATGGTACAAATACACCATGGACTACTATGCAGCCACAAAAAGGAATGAGATCATGTCCTTTGCAGGGACATGGATGAAGCTAGATGCCATCATCCTCAGCAGACTAATACAGGAACAGAAAACCAAACGCCACATGTTTTCACTCATAAGTGGGAGCTGAACAATGAGAATACATGGACACAGGGAGAGGAACAACACATACCGGGGCCTCTCAGGGCAAAGGCAAGGGGAGGGAGAGCATCAGGACAAACAGCTAATGTACATGGAGCTTAAAACCTAGGTGACAGGTTGATAGGTCCAGCAAACTACCATGGCACACAGATACCTGTGTAACAAACCTGCACATTCTGCACATGTATGCCAGAAGGTAAAAAAAAAAAAGCAAATCCCAATGATATGCTGTGTATCTTCCAAAATTAAAAAAAATTAAAATAAAACATAGGTTAAAAGTAGGGCCGGGCGTGGTGGCTCACGCCTGTAATCCCAGCACTTTGGGAGGCTGAGGCGGGCGGATCACAAGGTCAGGAGATCGAGACCATCCTGGCTAACACGGTGAAACCCCGTCTCTACTAAAAATACAAAAAAATTAGCCAGGCGTGGTGGTGGGCGCCTGTAGTCCCAGCTACTCGGGAGGCTGAGGCAGGAGAATGGCATGAACCTGGGAGGTGGAGCTTGCAGTGAGCCGAGATAGCGCCACTGCACTCCAGCCTGGGTAACAGAGCGAGACTCTGTCTCAAAAAAAAAAAAAAAAGTAAAATGATGGAAAAATATATATGCACTATACAAATGCTAATAACAAGATTGAATATCAAAGTAGATTGCCATGGATAAAGCTACAATATCAATATGGTGGTACTGGCATAACTATCAATACATCAATGGAACAGAATGAAGTGTCTAGAAATAGACCTACATATATATTGTTAACTGACATTTAATAAAGGTGGCTGGGCAATTCAATAGGTCATAGGATAGTCTTTTTTTTTTTTTATTATTTAAGTTCTAGGGTACATGTGCATAACGTGCAGGTTTGTTACATATGTATACATGTGCCATGTTGGTGTGCTGCACCCATTAACTCGTCATTTACATTAGGTATATCTCCTAATGCTATCCCTCCCCCCTCCCCCACTCCACAACAGGCCCCAGTGTGTGATGTTCCCCTTCCTGTGTCCAAGTGTTCTCATTGTTCAATTCCCACCTAGGAGTGAGAACATGCGGTGTTTGGTTTTTTGGCCTTGCGATACTTTGCTCAGAATGATGGTTTCCAGCTTAATCCATGTCCCTACAAGGGACATGAACTCATCATTTTTTATGGCCGCATAGTATTCTGTGGTGTACATGTGCCACAGTTTCTTAATCCAGTCTATCATTGATGGACATTTGGGTTGGTTCCAAGACTTTGCTATTGTGAATAGTGCCGCAATAAACATATGTGTGCATGTATCTTTATAACAGCATGACTTACAATCCTTTGGGTATATACCCAGTAACGGGATCGCTGGGTCAAATGGTATTTCTAGTTCTAGATCCCTGAGGAATCACCACACTGTCTTCCACAATGGTTGAACTAGTTTACAGTCCCACCAACAGTGTAAAAGTGTTCCTATTTCTCCACATCCTCTCCAGCACCCTTTGTTTCCTGACTTTTTAATGATCGCCATTCTAACTTGTGTGAGATGGTATCTCATTGTGGTTTTGATTTGCATTTCTCTGATGGCCAGTGATGATGAGCACTTTTTCATGTGTCTGTTGGCTGCATAAATGTCTCCTTTTGAGAAGTGTCTGTTCATATCCTTCACCCACTTGTTGATGGGGTTGTTTTTTTCTTGTAAATTTGTTTGAGTTCTTTGTAGATTCTGGATATTAGCTGTTTGTCCGATGAGTAGATTGCAAAAATTTTCTCCCATTCTGTAGGTTGTCTGTTCACTCTGATGGTGGTTTCTTTTGCTGTACAGAAGCTCTTTAGTTTAATTAGATCCCATTTGTCAATTTTGGCTTTTGTTGCCATTGCTTTTGGTGTTTTAGACATGAAATCCTTGCCCATGCCTATGTCCTGAATGGTATTGCCTAGGTTTTCTTCTAGGGTTTTTATGGTTTTAGGTCTAACATTTAAGTCTTTAATCCATCTTAAATTAATTTTTGTATAATGTGTAAGGAATGGATCCAGTTTCAGCTTTCTACTTATGGCCAGTTTTCCCAGCACCATTTGTTAAATAGGGAATCCTTTCCCCATTTCTTGTTTTTGTCAGGTTTGTCAAAGATCAGATGGTTGTAGATGTGTGGTATTATTTCTGAGGGCTCTGTTCTGTTCCATTGGTCTATATCTCTGTTTTGGTACCAGTACCGTGCTGTTTTGGTTACTGTAGCCTTGTAGTATAGTTTGAAGTCAGGTAGCGTGATGCCTCCAGCTTTGTTCTTTTTGCTTAAGATTGACTTGGCAATGCGAGGATAGTCTTTTCAATAGCTGGTGATTAATCAATTTTGTTAAAAGGTGGGAAAAAATGAACCTTGACCCATATCACAAACCATTCACAAAAAAATGATTCTAGATGAATCAAAGACAAAGATAAAAAAGTGAAAAGAATAAAGTTTCTTGAAAAAAATAGGTGATCTTGGGAAAAGCAAAGTTTATAAGTAGGCAGGATGCAAAATGCACTAAATTTGAAAGAAAAACAATTGGTAATTGACTTCATAGAAGTTTAAAAGTTCTACTCATCAAAAGATATTGTTATGAAAATGAAAAGGATTTCCACAGATGAAAGTGAAGATTTCACTATATCATATATATATGACACAGCATTTACATCTTGAACACATATCATAAAAAGACAAAGTGTGGTATAGTTATATGATGGAGTACCATTTGGCAATATAAAAGAGTCTGCTAACATGTATAAATCTGAAAACATAATCCCAAGTCAAAGAATTCAGACATAACAGTGTACTTACTGTATGACTGAATTTATATGAAGCTAAAAATCAGGCAAAACTAATCTATGGTGACAGAAATCAGACCAGTGTTTGCCTGGGGCTGGAGCTGCGGACTGACCAGAAGGGGAGAGATGGGAACTTTCTGGGGTGATGGAAGTATTCCATATCTTGATAGGAGTGTTGGTTACACAGATGATATATTTTTCAAAACTCACCAAATTGTGTACTTATGATCTATACATTTCATTCTGTCTACATTTTACCTCAATTTATTCAAAATAAAAACTAACCATGTCTCACAGTATGACACATTCTTCAGTACCCTGTCCTAGGGTTTTAACTTTATATGAACATTTTAATTTTCATTGACATTTAAATTACATCTTACCTACTGAAATTTGTCTTTTCTACTCTTCTTTTTTGTCATTTGTAAAAATGGAAAAAGGTAAATATTTACAATTAATCTTTCACACGTTCAATGAAAATCAAGTAAGTCAAGACTTTTTTTCATCCTCAAACCTTGTTTCTATAGCTTTCCTTTCAACTCATGGAAAGGCAGATCTTCACAACTCCCAAGTATGGCATAAAAATAAGATTAAGTGGGGTTGATTGAGATGGATATTCTGTTTCTACCTACAGATCTATCCTCTACTCTTCTCCACATTATACGTTTCCAAAGAGGCTGATCTGTATTGACTGCCCCAGAGGTTCCCTTGCCCTTTGGCTGTGGACAATGGGAGGCACTTGTAGAACATGGGAAGTTGGGAGGATAGTGAAATTGGTTTATTTATCCTCCTAGCATTTTCCCTTCGGTGCCACAGGTTGGCAGTTGTCTATTTCTTTACTAAAAGCTACAGTTGTTTCGAGGCTGCCCTCTCCTATACCTAAAGGATTCTACAGGTCTGGAGACCAGTTCTGTCTTCTCACCCTTTCAGGCCCAGCAGACATGGTTCTCCTCTGTTGATAGTCCTATGTTGCTTCACCATCCCTTGTTAATCTCAATTAACTCTGTCTACCCTTTTTAAAATTCATTAAATTAAATTTAATTAAACTTTATTAAATTACTCTGAGTATGCTATCTAATTCCTGAGAAGACCCTGACTGATTCATCTCAATTATTTTAGTTTTTTCTAAATCAGATCTCATTTCAGTTATGTATGGCAGTTCTGAGGCAGGTTCACCATGTAAATATTCACAATCAAATTGGAAAAATCATAGGTATTCCTCTCCATTTGTTTAAAAATATTGTGAGTATATTTTTGTGAGTTGTTTGTGAGTATATGATTTCTAGAATTGCTTACTGTACAGGGAGCAGCCTCTGTGAATTTCTCTTTGTCTTGCTAGTTCCTTAAATAAAATACATATGCTCCCTGGAAGTTATCTTTAATATACGAAAACACTCTAAGACATTAAACTGTGATGGTGAAATTATGTGGAGTCTATACTTCCTTATGCTGGTGCTTCAGGAGCAGTATAGTTGAGAGTATACTCTGAGACTTCTATGTTTGATTTTTTGCAAAGTGGGGCAGTTGTTTCTCTTTTAAAGATTATAACGCCAAGAAATGCATCAGAGTCAGGAAATTAAAAGAAAAACATCTGAACGAATGCATGAATGTGAGCCATACATGGAGAGGGAACAATAATTGCAAAGCATTTCACTGGGTTTATCTTTCAAAATTGATATGAAGCAAAATTCATTCTAAATATAACTCTTCATTCTAATGGCCAACATGATGTTTAATTTTAAAGTAACTTTGCATAAACTGCAATACACCTTCAAAAATATAACTGGCTCTAAATCAACACTTGGATCAATATATAAACAAACATCTTTATGTTTAGGGACTGGTCATCTGAAATTTCCACTACAAACAGCAAAACAAATATAATTAAGAGATTAACCTAAGTACCAAATTATATTTTACAGCAACATGTGTCATTATGTGCTCACCATCTTCAGCTAGATAAACCACAGTAGCTTCCTTGGAGTCTGGATAAAGGGGTTCCGTTTCTAAGCCCGTTGGGATATACACTGGCTCAGGACAAGAAGGAGTCCAATCTGGAAAAAAAAGTGAAACATTATTTGAAGATGACTTCAAAATAAAACAGAAAAATTTTATTGCATATTTTCAAATTATTCATTGATAGATCTAGGCTAAAATGTAGTGTTTTGTGTGGGGTAAGATTTTACTAAGGGTTCATTGGAATAATGAATATTGTCACACTGTAATACAACTTATGACATTTCATTCATATCTTCTTCTGAATTATTATATTGAGTAGTTTCATGCTTGCTTTTTGCTCGTTACTGATTTTATACCTATTTTATAACACAATTCTCTTTCTCCTGAGCCCTTGATACCATTCTGTCTCACCTCTGGGAAATCTTACTCTACCTTTTATTCTTCCTTTCCCTTCAGCTTCTTTGCTTGATAATGGCTGTCAAGATAAATCTTATAAACATGTTCAGGTTTATCTCCCAAAAGGAAAGATAGTCTTAGATGTCCCCCTACCCCTGCCACTTCTCCTTTAGCTATCAGCTTTCTTTCTTTTTAGGATCAAATTTCTTAAACATCATCTGCACTATTCTCAGGTCTTTCTGACCATGACCTATTTGATGGGGGAAAAATGACATCACAGCCTAACTACCCTAGTTATTTGTATTTTTTTTTTTAATGAACGAAGAATTTGATGACAAACAAGTATTACTGGACAAACATTTTGGAGATTATGTGTACATCTGCTTTAACAACAGAAGTGTATTTGACATTATCAATAGGGATCAAATCTAGCTACAGAAGAAACACAGTCTACCATATTGATGCAAATGTGTATCACTGTATTGTAGAGTTAAATGAATCACACATGACCAAATAAATTGATAATAAAGATAAGCAAATTATAATTAAAAATTTAAATGTTTTATTTAAAAATCTCATTAGTTGAAAGTCTTAACCAACTTAAGTCAAAATTAATGAACTAATAAAATAGCTCCCATTCTGAAAACATTAGGAATTTCAGCTATTTGCCTTGGTGTATGCTGATTTTTTTTTTCTTTTCTTTTTTTTTTTTTTTTTTTTGAGATGGAGTGTCGCTCTGTCGCCCAGGCTGGAGTGCAGTGGCGTGATCTCAGCTCACTGCAAGCTCCGCCTCCCGGGTTCACGCCATTCTCCTGCCTCAGCCTCCCGAGTAGCTGGGACTACAGACGCCTGCCACCACGCCCGGCTAATTTTTTTTTTTTTTCTTTTTTTTGTATTTTTAGTAGAGACGGGGTTTCACCGTGTTAGCCAGGATGGTCTTGATTTCCTGACCTCGTGATCCACCTGCCACGGCCTCCCAAAGTGCTGGGATTACAGGCGTGAGCCACCATGCCCGGCCTGTGTATGCTGATCTTCAAAAGTTGCACGAAATCCAGACTTCTCAGTTAAGAAAACAGAGATTTTATTAATTTCTGCTTATGCTCTTCTTTATTTATTAATAACTAGTAAAGAACCATGAAACCCTATCATTATAACTGGAGAAAGAACTTGTATATAAGCGACAAGTTTGCAGTTTATTAGAGTACCCTTACTGAGAGCCATGTTTTGAGAATCAGATGTAACCCACTTCTGATACCCATATCCACTGTTCCACTAAAATTGTTCTTTACGTTGTATTTGAAACAGGGTGAGCATTCAGTTAGATGTCCATAGATTAAATGGACAGACAGATGAATGGACATATGGAGAGATGAATGAATGGATGGTTGAACAATGCAAAGTTTTTATCCACATATTCCTTAAATGTAAATAATGTAATATACGTCTACTGCATAAACGTTTTATGTCTGGCAATATCGTCATTGCAAAAAAGCTACTCTCGAGCAAGCGTTGTTTAAGTAGAAGATTTTGGCTTGAAATTAAGCATTTCAAGATTTTCTGAGTATTCTATAGTAAGCAATTTCATCTGTAATGGACTTAAACATCAACATGGATTCCTGATATAGGCACTTCTTCTTGACTTGTTATTCAGTGATAGATTTTGCAGCTATCTTTATGTCAAGTAGCCTGGAAAATTCTATATTCATCTTTCCATTATCACAATCTCCTACTATCCTTGTTGATGTCTGCTGTTCAAAAAACTATTTGAAAGTGTTGGCTATCATTGTCCCAAGATAACTCAGATGTCTGTGCATAGCAAATATGTTTCCTAGTTCTCTCAAAGCTGCAAACTCGAGCTGTGAAAAAACACTGCATTCTCTTGAGTCCTCCTTTAGTCAAAGTCATGTTCCCAGAAGAATGGAGTCTGTGCTTAGCAGTTACCATGTCATGTGAGCACCAAATCAGTGCTGTTTGTGCCATTATGTCTCATGGATCACCTTGTGAAGGTTTTTGCTTTGGCCTTCAGCTCCTTTCTCCATAGGCCTTAGGACAGGCTGAGACAACACCATGCCTTCAGCCCTTCACCATATGTTTCATTTTCTTCCAAGGAAAAAGAAAAAAAAATAAACTTCTATGCAAAAGAAGACTCCTTCAGGTCCTAACCATCAGTATAGCAGATGTAAAAGCCTAAGTAGTTGGTAAGGATATTCCATTTTGTGTATCTTTTTTCACTTGGCTACTGTGAGACTTCTTGTTATCTGTTCTCAGATTTATCTTTGGGTGATCCCACTTTTTGATCACTGAGATATGGTATATGCAAATGATCTTATAAAAGGGATATCCAGGAGCCATAGAAAATCCCAGAAAACACCTTCTGAATTAAAGGTGTTTAACTTGGAATGCTTTTTATAAGTAATTATTTTTATCAGACTTGTTTATTGTGTAAAAGTTAAAAGTATAGCTTAAGCAAAAAGAAAAAAATCCACAATCTCATTATGCAGAAATAGGTATCAACATTTCGGGTTTTTTTTTTTTTTTTTTTTTTTTTTTTTTCAGAGACAGAGTCTCGCTCTGTTTCCCAGGCTGGAGTGCAGTGGCATGATCTCAGCTCACTGCAACCTCCACTTCCCAGGTTCAAGCAATTCTCCTGCCTCAGCCTCCCAAGTAGCTGGGACTACAGGCGCATGCCACCATGCCCAGCTAATTTTTTTGTATTTTAGTAGAGATGGAGTTCCACCGTGTTGCCCAGGCTGGTCTCGAACTCCTGAGCTCAGGCAATCCACCCGCCTTGGCCTCCCAAAGTGCTAGGATTACAGACATGAGCCACTGCGCCCGGCCAACATTTTGGTTTTTATCTTTTTAGGCTTTCTCGCTTTCAACCATCCAGTTCAGATGCTTTTGGCATATGCTAAGAAAATATATTATTTCACTTATTTAGAAACCCAGAAGTAGAGTGGATTCGAGGGATGGTATAATCAGTGACTCAGTGGTCATCCAGAGCTCACTTTTTTATGTCTCTCCACTTTGTCATCCTCATCCTAAGGCTTACCATTGTAAAATGTAAAACAACATGACTGTCAGCGGAAGTGTCTTGTACTAACTGACTTAATCAAATACAGTGGAATCAACTACAATGAGTCAACCACAATGTCTTCTTCAAGTATACGGCATCATTCTATATATACTGATCACCAATTTGTTTTTCCCACCCACTTCACTAAACATCTTAGAGATGTTTAATATACATAGATCTTTATCATTTTTTAACATCTGTATACTGTTCTCTAATATGGATTGCCACAATTTGACCATTAGTGGACATAATAGTTATGTCTTTATTTACCTAAGAGATAAACTGCTGGTCAGGGAATACATGTATATTTTCCTTTATTAAGAAACAAAACTGTCAAACCTTTTTACAAAGTGATTATGCAATTTTACATTCCCACCAACAATGTATTAGAGTTCCAGTTGCTCTACTTTCTAATATTTGGTTGTCAGTCTTTTAAATTTTTTGCCATCCTGGTAGATGTAAAGTGGTATCTCATTGTGGTTCAGATTTTCATTTCCCATGTTGAAAAATGTTTTCATATGATTATTGATTATTATAATTCTTTGAGAAATGTCTGTTCGAGTCTTTTGTCCATTTTAAAATTAGGTTTTGATTATTGGTTTGTAGGAATTCTTCATATATTCTGCATACAAGTCTTTTGTCATATATGTGTTGGGAATATTTTTTATAGACTGTGGCTTTCCTTTTCATTTTTAACTGTCTCTTAATGAGAAATTTTAAATTTTGATGAAGTCAACTTTATTAATTTTTCATTGTTTCTTTTTTCTTTCTGGCTCCTAAGGAATTGTTGCCTTATCTATAACTACAGAGATATCGTTCCATGTTTTCTTCTATGAGCTTTATAATGTTAGGTTATATATAGCTTCGTTTAGGTCTATGATCTGTCTTGAATTAATTTTTGTTTACTAGTGAGGTAGAGGTCAAGGATTTTTTTTTCTACATGTATGCTAAGTTGTTACAACACCACTTACTGAAAAGACTTTCCTTACCCTCATTGGGTTTCTTTGGTGCCTTTGTCAAAGGTCATTTGGTAATAAACACGTTGGTCTATTTCTGGACATTTTACTCTGTTCCACTGATGTATTCATCTTTTTGTCAATTGTGCCCATTAAAAAAATCTACCCAAACATACTTCTATCCACATTTCACAGGGCCAAAAACAAAGCAAATATTTAAATGTTTATTAGGTATTATACTTATGAAAAGTGCAAAAACAAAGAACTACAGCTTACTGATTTATCACAAAGCAAACACCACATAGGCCAAGAAATATTACATTGCAAGCACCTTACATACTCCACTCATGCCCCTTTCCCATCACCAGCCTCTCCCTCCCTTTGAAAAGTAGCCATTAGTCTTAATATAATGCAGTCATTTCTTTACTCTCCTTTATAATTTTACCACCTAAGCATTCATATATATGCATGTGTATAATACAGTTTTTATCTACAGAAGTGTAAATAAAACTATTGCTTTGCTTTGCCTATATTTGAACTTTATAAAATTAAAATCACATAGTGTATGGTATTCTTCTGTGCTGTTTTTCACGTATATTCATGAAATCAATCCACATTGTGGCATACTGCTGTAATTTGCTTATTTCATTGATATATAATATTGTACAAAATGTTACAATTTATCAATTTCTATTTATAATGGACATTTGGGCTGTTTCAGTTTGGGGCTATTAAGAAAAATGGTGCTATGAACAGCTTTATACATATTGCTTAGAGCACCTGTGCTCACATCAGTTTTAGGTATACAACTGGGAGTAAAAATTCTAGGTTGCAGGGCATGTATCAATTTCAGTAAATAACGCCAAGCTATCATCCAAAATGATTATACCAATTTACACACCCACCAGCAGGTCACAAAGTTTCTGTTTGCTCCATATGCTCACCATTCCTTAGTATAAGTTAAATTTAACCTTGCAAGGTTTCTGTGAAACAGAACTCAGCCTCATTAACAATCAGGGAATAGCAAATTAAAATCACAACAAGACTTCATGATAAGGTTGATATTATCTCATATGTTTATTGGCCATGTGAATATCATTTTTTATTAAGTGCCCATTCAAGTCTCTTGCCCATTTTCCTACTGGGTTGTTTGTCTTTTCTTATTACTTTCAGAAATGCTTTATGTATTCCAGAAATGATCTATTTGTCAGTTATGTATTGCAAATATTAATATATTCTCCCAAACTATTGTTTGCCTCGTTTTATTTTTTGATGAACTGAGGTTTTTAATTGTATCGTAGTCAAATTTATCAGTCTTTTTCTTTATGGTTTAGGGTATTTTCTGTTCTGTTTAAGCCTTTCCAGATTTTAATATTATGAAGATATTTTCTTGTATTATTTTCTAGAAGTCTTATTGTTTTACCTTTCATTTTTATATCCATAACCCATTTAAAATGGACTTTTGTGCATAAGGTTGGGGTGAGATTTCACTTTTTCCATATGGAAATCCAATTATTCCAGTATTATTTACTGAAAAGACCATCTTTAACTTTCTCTTGCAGTTCCACCTTTGTCATAATGACCATATATGCATAGGTCTGTTTCTAAGCTCTCTGTTCTATTCCATTCCTGTTTCCTTTCAGCAATGCCATATATTACTATAACTTTATTAAGGTTTAAGAGCTAGTAACTCTTACAATTTTTTTGTCCTTTTAAGAGGTCGTTGGCATTTCCATATGCATTTTTAAAGTACCTTGTCAATTTCTATAAAAAAATCACAATTGGGATTTTGACTGGTATTGCATGGGACATGTAGATCAGTTTGGAGATAACTGACATCTTTAAAATAATGAGTCTCCCAATCTATGAACATGCTATTTCCCTCTATTTACTTAGGTCTTTTAAAAATCTCTCTCAATGCTTTATTGCTTCTTCATAGAAATCTTGTCTATCAGATTTATTCCTAGGCATGTGGTTTTTAATTTTATTTGAAACAGTTGAAAACATACAGAAAAGTTGCAATAACAGGAAAAACAACTTTTTTTCCCTGAAATATTTGCAAACATAATACCCCATCCTCTCCAAATACTTATATTTCCTCCAGTGAAGGAAATCCTCCTATATAAATAACCATAATACAACCATCAAGATCAGGACATTAATACTGATTTATTTCTAATATTTAATCCTTAGACTTAAAATTTTGACAGTTGTATAAATAATGTCCTCTATAGCAAAAGGATCCACTTTAGAATCACACATTGCATTGAACTTTAATGTGTATTTTAGTTTTCTTCGATATAGAACAGCTTTTCAGTCTTTCCTTATATTTCATGACTTTGACACTTTTGAAAATTACAGGTCAGATTTCCAATGTCAGCTAAGAGATACAGAATGTTAAAAAAAAAAAAACAACAAAAAAAAACCCAGCACTTTGGGAAGCTGAGGCAGGCGGATCACGAGGTCAAGAGACGGAGACCATCCTGGCCAACATGGTGAAACCCCGTCTCTACTAAAAATACAAAATTAGCTGAGCGTGGTGGCACGCGCCTGTAGTCTCTGCTACTCAGGAGGCTGAAGCAGGCGAATCGCTTGAACCTGGGAGGTGGAGGTTGCAGTGAGCCGAGATCGCACCACTGCGCTCCAGCCTGGTGAGACTCACTCCAGCATGAGACTCCATCTTAAAAAAAAAAAAAAAAGTGTCATCCTCACCCTTACAACAAAAAATAAAATAACAAACTGCAAATTAATGACTTTTCGCCAACCCACCATAGAAGAGGTTGCAGGGCAACCAAATGCTCCAAAGTCTGCGAAAAGACAGAAACCTGCAAGGTGAAATTGGACCTCAGTAGTTGCCCACTGAAGGCAGATGCTGCTGAACTTCATATAATCTGGTAAAAAGGCACAGCTAAAGCTTTTAAAATAAATTTTTAAAAGCCAAATGTGAGTGTGAAGCCCCTTGGGGCTGCAGATATAAGTGGGTTAGTACCCACTTTCAGACTTTTCCTCTGGGAATCCCACCAGGTGCTCACAAGGAAGATCAAAGAGAATCCTGGGAAAGTTATTCTTGTGGTGTTGTGTTGGGGAGGGGAACAGCAGCCTCTGCCAAACTCCACCCAGACCCATCTATGCATCTCCCTTTATGGAACAAAATACTTAATCTATAATAAGACATTAGTAGAAAACCATTGCATCTGGGGAAAGGGAAGAGAAAAAAACAATCAAAAAAAATCCCAACACTACCACACTAACCTTGAGTGAGATGTAGGCATATGTGCTATTTTGTCTATATAGTTGCCTGTTCTAGTCATTTCACATAATTAGAATCATATTATTTGTTCTTTTGTGTCTGGCTTCTATCACTCAGCATAATGTTTTCAAAGTTCATCCATGTTGTACCATGTATCAGTACCTCATTCCATTTTTATGGCTAATTAATATTCTATTGTGTGGAAATACCATATTTTGTTTTTCCATTCATCCATTGATGGACATTTGGGTTGTTTCCACCATGTGGCACTAAGAAAAATGCTGCCGTTAACGTTTGTATGTAAGTTTTTGTTTGGATATATGTTTTCATTTCTCTTGGGTACATACCTACAAGTGGAACTGCTGGGTCAAATAGTAACTCAATGTTTAACTTTCTGAAGAAACACCAGGTTTCCAAAGTAGCTGCACAATTTTACATTCCCAACAGCAGTGTATAAGGGTTCCAATCTCTCCACATGCTTGTCAGCACTTGTTATCTGACTTTTTGATTCTAGTCATCCTAGTGGGGGTAAAGAGGTATCTTATTGTGGTATTAATTTGCAGTTCCCTATGACTAAAGATGTTGAACATATTTTCATGTGTTTATTGACCATTTGTTCATCTACTTTGGAGAAATGTTTATTTAGATCCTTTGCACACTTTAAAATTTGTCTTTTTAATATTGAGTTGTAAGAGTTCTTTATATAGTCTAGATAGAAGTCCTTTGTCAGATAAATAATTTTCAAATATTTTCTCTTGTTCTGTGGGTTTTATTTTCATTTTCTTGACAGTTTCTGTTGAAACACAGAAGTTTCAATTTTGATAAAGTTCAATTCATCTATTTTTTTTTTTTTCAGTTGTTGCTTGTGCTTCTGGCATTATACCTAAGAATCCATTGCCAAATCCAAAGTCATGAAGATTTGCCTCTATGTTTCCTTGTAAGGGTTTTATAGTTCAGGCTGTTAGTTAGATCTTGATCCATTTTGAATCAATTTTTGTATATGGTGTGAGGTAAGGGACAAACTTCTTTATTTTGCATGTGGTTATCTATCCAGTTGTCTGGGTGCCATTTGTTGAAAAGACAATGCTCTTCCTATTGAATAGTCTTGCCATCCTTGTCAAAAATCAGTTCACCACAGACACATGGGCTTATTTCTGGACTTCCAATGTAATTCACTGGTCTATAAGTCTATCCTCATGACAGTACCACACTGTCTAAATTACTATTTGTAGTAAGTTTTGAAATCAGAAATTGTGAGCTCTCAAATATGTTCTTAAGTTTTTTTTTCTTTTTTTTGGCCATTCTGGGTTCCTTGAGTTTCTATATAAATTTTAGTATCAGTCTGTCAATTTCTACAAAGCAACCCACTGGTATTCTAATGGAAATTGCATTCAATCTGTAGATTCATTTGGAGAGGACTGTCATCGTAATAATAGTAAGTCTTTTGATCCATAAACATGGGATGTCTATTTATCTAGATCTTTATTTTCTTTCAGTAATGTTTTGTAGTTGTCAGAGTATGTCTTGTACTCTTTACCTAAATGTATTCATATTTTATTCTTTTGCAAATTGAATAGTTTTCATAAGTTCATTTTAGGGTTGTTTATTATAAGTGCATAGAAATACAATTGATTTTTATATATTACTCTTGTATTCTGCAACCTTGCCGAACTCATATTAGTTCTAAAAGTTTTTTTCAGTGGATTGCTTAGGATTTTCTATGTACAAAATTATTTTATTGGCAAGTATAGTTTTACTTCCTTCTTTCCAATCTGGACTTTTTAAACTTCTCTTTCTGTCTAATTACCCTGGCTAGAACCTCCATTACAATGTCGTATAAAAGTGGAAAAGTGGGTATCTTTGTCTTGTTCTTGACCTTATGGGGAAAGCATCTAGTCTTTTCACCATTAAGTAGATATTAGCTGTGGGATTTCCATAGACGCCTTTCCTTTCTCTTCCTAATTTGGTGAGTGTTTTTGTCATGAAAGGGTGTAGGATTTCTTAAAAATGTCTTTTCTATGTTTATTGAAATTATCTTGTTTCTTTTTAATTCTACTGATATGTTCTATCACATTAATTGATTTTTGGGTACAGGGAACAAACAACATATCTGGATAGATTCCACTTGTTCATGATACATATTCTTTTTATTTGTTGCTGGATTTAGTTTGCTAGTATTTTGCTGATGAATTTTACATCTATATTCATAATATATATTAGCCTGTAGTTTTCTTGTGATGTCTTTTGTGGTTTTGTTATCAGAGTAATACTGGCCTCATAGCGATGAATGGGGAAGCATTCCTTCCTCTTCTATTATTGGAAGAGTTTTTGAAGAATTAGGAATTGTTTGGTAGAATGTTCTAAACATTAAATGTTTGGAAGAATTCAGCAATGAAGCTATTTGGGTTTAAGCGACTCTCTGTAGTAGTTTTTCTATTATTAATTAAATCTCTTTACTTGTTATATGTCTATTTAGATGTTCTATTTCCTCTTGAGTCAGTTTCCGTACTTCATATCTTGCCAGTCATGTGTCCATTTCATCTTAGTTATTTAATTCCTTTTTATTCTGTATCTGGTTCTCATCTAATTGATAATTACATCCTCTTAGTCTTCTAGCACAAGATTATCAGGACAGTTACATACATCATCACAAGTTGGTAATATTCAAGCCTTTAAACTGTTTGCAACTATA